>NC_000002.12:125614618-126239618 GCF_000001405.40 Homo sapiens
ACTATAGATGAAGATAAAGGATAAGGGTAAAGGAGACAGACAAGAACACAGACTTGTGAAATATGATAGAACCATTACAATGTAATCATTACACTTAATGATTGTGTATGGGAATGCTAGTAAGGGTAGCATTAACATTAGCTTCCCAGGATGAAAGCTGAGTAAATTCTAGGTTTGGAGGGTAAGAGGCATTTTTGCCAATTTTCAGATGCAGAGAAATATCAAATAATTTTGGCACTGTAAACTGGAAAAAAAGCTGAAATGACAAGAATGCCCTTACAACACAAACCTCTTCTGGTCATTTACATATTCTACAAGAAAATACCATGATGATGTCGTTCTGTCTTCAGCATCTTATAAAATAGGATTCATCTAATCTTAAAAAATTCTGAATGATTGTGGTTTTGATTTGCATTTCCCTGGTAATTAGTGATGTTGAGCATTTTTTCATATGTTTGCTGGCAATTTGTACATCTTTTTAAAATAATTGTCAGTTCATGCCCTTAGCCTGTTTTTTGATGGGATTGTTTGTTTTTTTCTTGCTAATTGGTTTGAGTTCCTTGTAGATTCTGGATATTAGTCCTTTGTCAGATGTATAGATCGTGAAGATTTACTCCCACTCTCTGGATTGTCTGTTTACTCTGCTGATTGTTTCTTTTGCTGTGCCGAAACTTTGTAGTTTAATTAAATCCCACCTATTTATTATTGTTTTTGTTACATTTGCTTTTGGTTTCTTGGTCATGAAGTCTTTGCCTAAGCCAATGTCCAGAAGGGTTTTTCTGATGTTATCTTCTAGAATTTTTATGGCCTCAGGTCTTAGATTTAAGTTCTTGACCCATCTGGAGTTTATTTTTCTATAAGATGAGAGATAAGGATTCAGTTTCATTTATTCTTGCAATAATGGCCATAATAAAAAATATAATAGATGTTGGTGGCGATGTGGTGAAAAGGGAACACTCTTATACGCTGGTGGGAATGTAAACTAGTACAACCACTATGGAGAACAGTGTGGAGATTCCTTAAAGAACTGAAAGTAGAACTACCATTAGATCCAGTAATCCCACTACTGGGTTTCCATCCAGAGGAAAAGAAGTCATTATACAACAAAGATTCTTGCACATGCATGTTTTTAGCAGCACAATTCGCAACTGCAAAAATACAGAATCAGTCCAAGTGCCCATCAATCAATAAGTGGATAAAGAAATTGTGGTATGTGTACACACACACACACACACACACACATACATACCATGGGATACTATTCAGCCATAAAAAAGACCAAAATAATGGCATTCACAGCAACCTGGATGGAATTGGACACCATTATTCTAAGTGAAGTAACTCAGGAATGGAAGATGAAACATCATATATTCTCACTCATAAGTGGGAGCTAAGCTATGAGTATTCAAAGGCATAAGAATGATACAATAGACTTTGGGGACTTGGGGAAAATGGTGGGGGTGGTGAGGGATGAAAGACTACAAATTTGGTACAGTGTAAACTGTTTAGGTGTTGGGTGCACCAATATCTCACAAATCATCACTAAAGAACATACTCATATAACCAAACACCACATGTTCCCCCAAAACCTATGGAAATGAAAACTTAAATAAAATAATATAAATAAATAAATAAATAAATAAATAAATAAAATTCTGAGTAAAAAATACTTCTCTTAAGACAGGGAGATCCCTCAGAACACAGGCAGGTTGTACTGCATCCATGGACAGATATGTGTTACATCTGCAGAGTTATGTTGTACTCCTGAAGATGTGTGGGTCAACAAAAGAGCTATGCGTGGCTGTTTCATTTTGGTGAGACCTTGTTAAGGCCAGGCTTAGGAGCGCTAGGAAGAGGGGAGGTAAAGTGACCACATTGCTCTCCATGTTCACTCAGAGCTGGATAAATCTAAGGGCTTGAGAGGGTAATGATGTTACTAGCGGTAAGCAGAGCAGGGCGAGAGTATTAATACCCAGGGGAAGGAAACATGAGGCTAGAACACTGGATGACATTGTTGAGAATGAAAAGTGTCATATGGAGACTTTGCAGTTGCAAAGCATGGGTGGATCCTAACAGACTAAGCCCACTTCAAATGTAGCCCCAGCTTCAATTCCCAGCACACTCTTCTCTGGGATTAACCATCATCTGGTAGAGGCAATATAAAAAGCCTACTGCCCATGTTTTCTCAGAATTATATTCACAACAGCAAAGATATGGAAGCAACAAAAGTGTCTGTTGACAGATGAATGGATAAAGAGTATGTTTTACGTATACACAATGGAATACTATTCAGGTTAAAAACAAAGGGCATTTGTGACAACATGGGTGGACCAGGAGGACATTATGTTAAGTGTAAGCCAAGCTCAGAAAGACAGTTTTATTACATGATCTCACTCATATGTGGGAGCTAAGAAAGTCAACTCACACAAGCAGGGAGTAGAATAGTGGTTACCAGGGACTGGGAGAGGGGTGAACCACTGAGGAGGTGTTGGCAAAAGGGCACAACATTTCAGTTAGACAGGAGGGATAAGTTCAAGAGATCTGTTGTATGACATAGTGATTATAGTTAATAGCAATAGATCATGTATTTGAAAATTGCTTAGAAATTAGATTTTTTTAAGTGCTCTCACTATAAAACCAAAATGAAAAATATGTAATGCATATGTTAATTCAATTGATAGTTATAATGTGTACAAATTTCAAAACACCATGTTTTAAACCATAAATATATACAAGTTTCATTTGTTAATTCAAATGAATAAATAAATAATGTTGGAAAAGAAAATAAATAATCAAATCTACTGCCACTGGTTCTCTTGCTCAAGATTAGATATCTTCTATTTTGGAGGATTTACAGAGGAGTTTTGGGCCAGATTTTCCTCGTGCCTCAGTGTTTGCTTTTTGGGCTTCCACTAATTGCTCCCTCATTCTTTTCTCCCACGGTTTATAGACTTGATCTTGAAATTGATCTAGAATAAGTTTTTTTGCAAAGCTGAAAGTCTCAATTTTCAAGATACTCCATAAATGATATGGCCCTGTGGTCTTTACAGGTTTTATTTTAATAACCTCTAAAGAATATGTGAAAACATGAATATCCTTGTATTTCTCTTATCCATAAATACTATCATTGCCAATGGTATATATGTTGCTGTCTTGAAATATCAATGTTTTAAAATAAAGCTGTTATATGTCTTTTAAATGTATACAGTGGAATATCAGTACCATACTAATAGGGTACCAGTAACTATTAATTTAAGTATGAAAAAGTCTTTAAAAGTCAAAAATTTTATATGGCTTTATTTTTTCTTAACCTTATATTCTCTTTATTTTATCAGAATTTAATCCTAATGTAATTTATTACCAAAAGTATTTTATCACCTTCTTATGCATCTCTGCAGTAAAAATATACCTATATATTTAAATTTAGACGTTTGTATTTCTTGTGACCATAAGGCCTTAAGAATTTTTTTTCTTTTTAATTAAAGTTGTCTTCATAATTGCTAATAATACATACTGATTAAACAACATCATACTATAAATTTGGATAAATAATTATTAAACATAAAAAGTAAACTTTTAAATTTGATGCATGTTTTAAAGATGTGGATTTTTTTAAATTAATTCATGCACCCACAAATAAACAATACTAAATGCTGAAACAAGACAGGGCTTGGTGCAAGTTAACAAAAAAAAGAAAATAAAGTTTAGACTACATTAACTCTAAGTCTTAAAAAGGTGAATTAATAATTGTTGATGATGCATTATTTACGGTAAAATGAACTATATAGTCTCACTAATTATTCCAGATTTAATTAGTTCATGCCAGGAATAAATACATGAGCAGATAAAAGTTTAGATAATTACAGAGTGTCGGATACTTTATAACAAGCAACTATGACTAAAAATTTAGAAAATACGATGATCTTTTGGGAAAAGTTAATAAAAAATATTTCTTCTACATATTTGAATACATACTTAATATAAAACACTCAGTTATTTATTTTTCTAATTAATTAATTAATCATTTTAAAGACAGAGTCCCACTCTGTTGCCCAGGCTGGAATGTAGTGGTGCAATCATAGCTCAGTGAAGCCACAAACTCCTGTGCTCAAGCAATCCTCCTGGCTCAAACTGCTGAGTACCTGGGACTACAGGCATGAGCCATCACACTCAAATAATTATTTTATTTTTTATAGAGACAGGATCTTGCTCTGCTGCCCAGGTTGGTCTCACACTCCTGGCCTCTCGAAGTGTTGGGATTACAGGTTTGACCTACTGTGTCTAGCCTCACTTATTTCTAACATATGCTCTTATTACTCAATGACTTTAGTTGATTCAAAGAAAGTAAACGCTGTGCTTTTAATCACCTCTTCTTTGAAATCATGCAGGATTTTCAACTGAGATACAAACCAAAACAAGAATAAATGAAAGAATACACAAATATGCAAAAGATGAAATTGCAGTGAAAACACACATTCTGTCAGATTGGTAATATTCAGCATCGTTGTTATAATTCTTGACTATGTTATGTCTACACACCAAAATAGTCTACATACATAAATTGATAAGGACACAGTCTTGGCATGAATTTGTTGTCTGAAAGAAGCAAAGCACTGTCACCTTTAATTGTTCTTGAGAACATTGTTTTTGCTTTGCTCATATGAGACTCTCTCTTTGAAGCAATGAATTCTTTGACAACTCTTAAAAGATGGAAGGACTCTTATTTTAACTTATGGTTTCTTCATTAAAAGAGATCCAGGTGACTTTAATATTTCAAATGATCTAATATTTTGGTATGCTGGTGTTCTCTTTTGTTTTTGTATTTTTATACTCCAGATTTACAACAGTTTCAATCTAGATTTTGCTTTTTTTTCTTTTTTGAGTACAATGGCGTGATCTCGGCTCACTGCAATCTCTGTCTTCAGGGTTCAAGTGATTCTTCTGCCTCAGCCTCCCAAGTAGCTGGAATTACAGGCACCTGCCACCATACCTAGCTAATTTTGTATTTTTAGTAGAGACAGGGTTTCACCATGTTGCCCAGGCTGGTCTTGAACTCCTGACGTCAGGTGATCCACCCACCTCTGCCTCCCAAAATGCTGGGATTACAGGCATAAGCCACCACGCCTGGCCGATTTTGCTTTTCTTTTGCAATATTTATATGCTTAAATTATTTTCTTGTCCTCTTTCACACCTAGGACTTTCTGTAAACCGTTAAATAAGAGTAGTGGTAGTATAAATCCATGTAATTTTGTTTATTAACAGTAGTTTAAATTAATTTGAAGTTTGCTACACATTTTTTCCTTTCAGGAAACTAGTTATTAAATAAAATTAATTTGTATTACTATTTTGCTAAAAATTTATTTTTAAGATACATTGGTATTATGTTTTATGAAATCACTTTTTCTGTATAAGTTGAGATGCTATATGGTTTGTTTCCATTATTTCATTAATATAATGAATTATGTTGATCTATTTTCAAATGATCTATTTTCAAATATTAAGTCAATATTTTACTTCTGGGATAAACTCAATTTCAGCGTTGTGTGTTATTATTTAAATTATCACTGAATTAGGGTTTCTACTATTATACTTAGGGCTGCTTATGAGAAAGAATGGCTTATAATTTTATTTTTCTGTAATTGTTTTGTTAGGTTTGTAATCGTTATTATTCAGCCTTCATAAAATGAGTTGAGAATTTCCTCTTTTTATTCTGGTCTCTGAAATATTTCATGTAAAATTAAGTTTCTCTCATATATTTGGAAGATATTGAAAATATTAAATATTTAGATGCTATTTATACCTGGAGCTTTTTGCTTTGTTTTTAATAAGCATAAAGTTCTCACACTATCCTTTTATTGTTTACAGGATCTATAATGATACTCTATTTTTCTTTTCTGATATTAGTAATTTATTTTCTTCTTTAATACTTGATCACATTTAGAAGGGCTTAGCTGTTGTATTACTCCTTCCAAAGAACTGATTTTCAGTTTGTTGATATTCTGTACAATATTGTATATATGTGCATACGTCCTATTTAATTCATTCTGCTGTTGTCCTTAACTTTGCATCATTCTACTTTTTTTGAAGTTTAATTTAACTAAATCATCAGAATGGTAATTTAGTTAGTTGGTTTTGGGTATTCTTTTTTTAGATTAAGTTTTTTTATTTTTATTTTTTAATTTTTGATAGATATATAATAGTACATATTTGTGGGGTACATGTGACATTCTGTTAAAATTATGCAATGTATAATTACCAAATATGGGTAATCGAGATCATCATCACCTCAAATTTAGGGCTATAAATTTTCCTCAAAGAATGCCCCACCAGGCGCGGTGGCTCACGCCTGTAATCCCAGCACTTTGGGAGGCTGAGGCAGGTGGATCACGAGGTCAGGCGTTCAAGACCAGCCTGGTCAACATAGTGAAACACTGTCTCTACTAAAAATACAAAAAATTAGCCAAGCATGGTGGCAGGCGCCTGTAATCCCAGCTATTCAGGAGGCTGAGGCGGGAGAATCGCTTGATTCTGGTGGCAGTGAGCCAAAATCGCATCATTGCACTAGAGCCCGGGCAATAGTGTGAGATTCCGTTTCAAAGAAAAAAAAAAAAGAATGCCCTTAGCTGCTGCTCACACATTCTGATATTTTATCTTTCCACTATTACTCATTGCAAATATAATTTAATTTCCATTGTGATTCCTTTGTTGTCCAATAAGATATTTAGAAATCCATAAAATAATTTCCAAACATGGGGTTATGGGGAGTCCTAGTTATGATTTTGTAAGTTATTTCCAATTTACTTCAACTGTAGTCAGAAAACATACTTTGCATGATTGAATGCATTTTAAATATATGGCTTAGTATTCTAGCGAAAAATTAATTTTACTACATGTTCCATGCATGCTAACAAATGCATTGTTTATTATTAATCATATTGTTAAAATAATCTATGTTTTTACTGTTTTGACTAATTTTCTCTTACTGAGCAATATACATTAGTAAGTCTCAAACATGATTCTGTATCAGAACCATATGTAGAAGTGACAAAAAGATTCAGTGTGTCTGCGGGGACTAAAGGAACCTGTGTTTTTAAAAACTGACCAAATAATTTAATGCCATCAGGTAGAAATGACTGTACTCGATTTGATATGGTTTGGCTGTATCCCCACCCAAATGTCATCTTCTATTCCCACATGTTATGGGAGGGAACCAGTGGGAGGTGACTGAATCATGAGGGCGGTTCTCTCCTGTCCTTTTCTTGTGATAGTAAATAAGTCTCTTGAGATCTGATGGCTTTATAGGGTGGAGTTTCCCTGTACAAGCTTTCTTTTTGCCTTGCTTCTCCTTTCCTTCTGCCATGATTGTGAGGCTTCCACAGCCACATGGAACTGTGAGTTATCCATTAAATCTCTTTCTTTTGTAAATGCCCAGTCTCATGTATGTTCTTATCAGCTTTATGAAAACATATTAATACAGCAAATTTGAATCAGTAGAGTGGGACATTGCTGAAAGGATACCTGAAAATGTGAAGCAACTTTGGAACTGGATAACAGGCAGAGGTTGGAACAGTTTGGATGGCTCCGAAGAAGACAGAAAAATGTGGGAAAGTTTGGAACTTCCTAGAGACTTGTTGAATGGCTTTGACAAAAATGCTCATAGTGATATGAACAATAAGGTCCAGGCTGAGGTAGTCCCAGAGGAAGATGAGGAACTTGTTGGGAACTGGAGAAAAGGTGACTCTTGTTATGCTTTAGCAAAAAGCCTGCTGGCATTTTTCCCTGCCCTAGAGATTTGTGTAACTTTGAACTTGTGAGAGATGATTTCGGGTATCTGGTGGAAGACTATTTAAGAGGTGACTTGTGTGCTGTTAAAGGCATTCAATTTTAAAGAAAAACAGAGCATAAAAGTTAGGTTAATTTGCAGCCTGACAATGCAATAGAAAAGAAAATCCCATTTTCTGAGGAGAACTTCAAGCTCGCTGTAGAAATTTGCATAAGTAACAAAGATCTGAATGTTAATCCCCAAGACAATAGGGAAAATGTCTCCATGGCATATCAGAGGTCTTCATGGCAGCCCATCCCATCACAAGCCCAGAGGCCTATCAAAAAAAAAAGAAATGGTTTCATGGGCCAGGCCCAGGATCCCCATGCTGAGTGCGACTGAGGGACTTGGTGGTCTGGCTCCCAGTCGCTCCAGGTGTGGATGTGAGGGGCCAACATAGAGCTCAAGCCATGGCTTCAGAGGGTGCAAGCCTCAAGCCTTGGTAGCTTCCACATGGTGTTGAGCCTGCGAGTGCACAGAAATCAAGAATTGGGGTTTGGGCCTACGTTTGATTGGTGTATCTGAAAGTGACAGGGAGCATGGAACCAAGTTAGAAAATGCACTTCAGGATATTATCCAGGAGAACTTCATAGCAAGATAGGCCAACATTCAAATTCAGGAAATACAGAGAACACCACAAAGGTACTCCTTGAGAAGAGAAACCCCAAGACACATAATTGTCAGATTCACCAATGTTGAAATGAAGGAAAAAAATGGTAGTGGCATCCAGAAAGAAAGGTCAAGTTACCCACAAAGGGAAGCCCATCAGACTAACAGCAGATCTTTCTACAAAACTCTACAAGCCAGAAGAGAGTGGGGGCCAATAATCAACAATCTTAAAGAAAAGAATTTTCAACCCAGAATTTCATATCCAGCCAAACTGAGCTTCATAAGTGAAAGAGAAATAAAATCCTTTATAGACAAGCAAATGCTGAGGGATTTTGTCACCACTAGGCTTACCTTACAAGAGCTCCCAAAGGAAGCACTAAATATGGAAAGGAAAAACCTGTACCAGCCACTGTGAAACATAACAAAATGTAAAGACCATAAACACTATGAAGAAACTGCATCAACTAATGTGCAAAATAACCAGCTAGCATCATAATGATAGGATCAAATTCACACATAACAATATTACCCTTAAATGTAAATGGGCTAAATGTCCCAATTAAAAGATGGAGACTGGCAAATTGGATAGAGTCAAGACCCATCAGTGTGCTGTATTCGGGATACCCATCTCAGTGCAAAGACACACATAGGCTCAAAATAAAGGGATGTAGGAATATTTATCAATCAAATGGAAAGAAAAAAAACTGGGGTTTGCAATCCTAGTCTCTGATAAAACAGAAAAAAAGACAAAGAAGGCCATTACATAATGGTAAAGAAATCAATACAACAAGAAGAGCTAACTATCCTAAATATGTATGCACCCAATACTGGAGCACCCTGATTCAAAGAGACTTAGACTCCCACACAATAATAGTGAGAGACTTTAACACCTCACTGTCAATATTAGACAGATCAATGAGACAGAATATTAACAAGGATATTCAGGACTTGAAGTCAGCTCTGGACCAAGTGGACCTAATAGACATCTACAGAACTCTCCACTCCAAATCAACATTCTTCTCAACACCACACAGCACTTATTCTAAAATTGACCACAGAATTGGAAGTAAAACACTCCTTACCAAATGCAAAAGAATGGAAATCATAACAAACAGTCTCTCAGACCACAGTGCAATCAAATTAGAACTCAGGATTAAGAAACTCACTCAAAACCACACAACTATATGGAAACTGAACAACCTGCTCCTGAATGACTACTGGACAAATAATGAAATTAAGACAGAAATGAATGAGTTCTTTGAAACCAATGAGAAAAAATACATGATGTACCAGAATCTCTGGGACATAGCTAAAGCTGTGTTTAGAGAGAAATTTATAGCACTAAATGCCCACATGAGAAAGCAGGAAAGATCTAAAATCAGCATCCTAACTTCACAATTAAAAGAACTAGAGAAGCAAGAGCAAACAAATTCAAAAGCTAGAAGAAGACAGGAAATAACTAAGATCAGAGCAGAACTGAAGGAGATAGAGACACGAAAATCACTTCAAAAAAATCAATGAATCCAGGAGCTGGCTTATTGAAAGGATTAACAAAATAGATAGACGGCTAGCCAGACTAATAAAGAAGAAAAGAGACAATAATCAAATAGACAAAATAAAAAATGATGAAGGGGATATCACTATTGATCCCACAAAAATACAAACTAACATCAGAGAATACTATAAACACCTCTATGCAAATAAACTAGAAAATCTAGAAGAAATGAATAAATTCCTGGACACATAAACCCTCTCAAGACTAAACCGGGAAGAAGTCAAATCCCTGAATAGACTAATAACAAGTTCTGAAATTGAAGGAGTAATGAATAGCCTACCAACCAAAAAAAGCCCAGAAGCAGAGAGATTCACAGCCAAATTCTACCAGAGGTACAAAGAGGAGCTGGTACCATTCCTTCTGAAACTATTCCAAACAATAGAAAAAGAGGGACTCTTCCCTAACTCATTTTATGAGGCCAGCATCATCCCGACACCAAAACCTGGCAAAGACACAACAAAAAAAGAAAATTTCAGGCCAATATCCCTGATGAACATCAATGTGAAAATCCTCAATAAAATACTGGCAAACTGAATGCAGCAGAACATCAAAAAGCTTACCCATCACAATTAAGTTGGCTTCGTCCCTGGGATGCAAGGATGGTTCAACATATGCAAATCAATAAATGTAATCCATTGCATAAACAGAACCAATGACAAAAAATACATGATTATCTTAATAGATGCAGAAAAGGCCTTCAAAAAAATTCAACACCCCATTTATGTTAAAAACACTCAATAAACTAGGTATTGATGGAACGTATCTCAAAATAATAAGAGCTATTTAAGATAAACCCACAGCCGATATCATACTGAATGGGCAAAATCTGGAAGCATTCCCTTGAAAAATGGCACAAGATAATGATGCCCTCTCTCACCACTCCTATTCAACAAAGTATTGAAAGTTCTGGCCAGGGCAATCAGGCAAGATAAAGAAATAAAGGATATTCAAATAGGAAGAGATAAAGTCAAATTGTCTCTGTTTGCAAATGACGTGACTATATATTTAGAAAACCCCATCATCTTAGCCCCAAAACTCCTTAAACTAATAAGCAACTTCAGCAAAGTCTCAGGTACAATATCAATGCGCAAAAATCACAAGCATTACTATATAACAATAATAGACAAACAGAGAGCCAAATCATGAGTGAATGCTCATTCACAATTGCTACAAAGAGAATAAGATACCTTGGAATACAACTTACAAGGGATGTGAAGGACCTCTTCAAAGAGATCTACAAACCACTGCTCAAGGAAATAAGAGAGGACACAAACAGATGGAAAAACCTTTGATGCTCATGGATAGGAAGAATCAATATTGGGAAAATGGCCATACTGCTCACAGCAATTTATAGATTCAATGCTATCCCCATCAAGCCACCACTGACTTTCTTCACAGAATTTAAAAAAACTACTTTAAATTTCATACAGAACCAAAAAAGAGCCTGTATAGCCTAGAAAATCTGAAGCAAAAAGAACAAAGGTGGAGGCATCATGCTACCTGACTTCAGACTATACTACAAGGCTACAGTAACTAAAACAGAATGGTACTGGTACCAAAACAGATATATAGACCAATGGAACAGAACAGATGCCTCAGAAATCATGCCACACTTCTACAACTATCTGGTCTTTGACAAACATGACAAAAACAAGCAATGAGGAAAGGATTCCCTATTGAATAAATGGTGTTGGGAAAACTGGCCAGCCATATGCAGCAAACTGAAACTGAACCCCTTCCTTACACCTTATACAAAAATTAACTCAAGATGGATTAAGGACTTAAACTCATGATGTAAAATCATAACAACCCTAGAAGAAAAGCTAGGCAATACCATTCAGGACATAGGCATGGGCAAAAACTTCATGACTAAAACACCAAAAGCAATTGCAAAAAAAGTCAAAATTGACAAATGGGATTGAACTAAACTAAAGAGCTTCTTCACAGCAAAATATACTATCATCAGAGTGAATAGGCAACCTACAGAATGGGAGAACATTTTTGCAATCTATCCTTCTGACAAAGGGCTAATATCAAGAATCTACAAGGAACTTAAACAAATTTACAAGAAGAAAACAAACAACCCCATCAAAAGGTGGGCAAAGAATATGAACAGACACTTATCAAAAGAAGACATTTTTACAGGCCAACAAACATTTGAAAAAAAGCTCATCACTGGTCATTAGAGAAATGCAAATCAAAACCACAATGAGATACCATCTCTCGCAAGTTAGAATTGTGATCATTAAAAGGTCAGGAAACAACAGATACTGGGAGGATGTAGAGAAACAGAAATGCTTTTACATTGTTGGTGGGAGTGTAAATTATTTCAACCATTGTGGAATACAGTGTGGTGATCCCTCAAGGATCTAGAACCAGAAATACCATTTGACCCAGCAATCCCATTACTGGGTTTACACCCAAAGGATTATAAATAATTATACTATAAAGACGCATGCATACGTATGTTTATTTCAGCACTATTCACAATAGCAAAGACTTGAAACCAACACAATAGCAAAGACTTGAAACCAACCCAAATGCCCATCAATGACTGACTGGATAAAGAAAATGTGGCACATATACATCATGAAATACTATGCAGCCATGAAAATGGATGAGTTCATGTCCTTTGCAGGGACATGGATGAAGCTGGAAATCATCATTCTCAGAAAACTAACACAGGAACAGAAAACCAAACACCACATATTCTCACTCATAAATGGGAGTTGAACAATGAGAACACATTAACACAGGGAGGGGAACATCAGACACCAGGGTCTGTTGCAGGGGAGGGGGCAAGGGTAGGGATAACATTAGGAGAAATACCTAATATAGATGGCGGGTTGATGGGTGCAGCAAACCACCATGGCATATGTATACCTATGTAACAAACCTGCACATTCTGCACTGGTATCCCAGAACTTGAAGTATAATAAATGATAAATACATAAATAAGTAAAAGATTTTGGGGACCTCCACCTAGATTTCAGTAGTTGTATGGAAATGCCTGGATGCCCAAGCAGAAGTTTGCAGCAGGGGTGGTGCCCTCATAGAGAACCTCTGCTAGGGCAGTAAAGAAGAGAAATGTGGAGTTAGAGACCCCACACAGAGTCCCTACTGGGGAACCACATATTGGAGCTGTGAGAAGAGGGCCACCATCCTCCAGACCCCAGGATGGTAGATCCACCAACAGCTTTCCCCATGCACAGGGAAAAGCCACAGACACTGATTGCCAGACCATGAAAGCAGTCAGGAGGAAGGCTGTATCCTGAAAAGCCACAGGGGTAGAGCTGCCCAACACCATGGGAGCCCACTTCTTGCATCAGCATGACCTGGATGTGAGACATGGTCAAAGGAGACCATTTTGGACCTTTAAGATTTGACTGCCCCACTGGATTTCAAACTTGCATGAGGCTTGTAGTCCCTTTGTTTAAGCCAATTTGTCCCATTTGGAATGGCTACATTTACCCAATGCCTGTACCCCCATTAAATCTGGGAAATAACTAACTTGCTTTTTATTTTATAGGCTCATAGGTGGAAAGAACTTGCCTTGTCTTGGATGAGACTTTGGACTGTGGACTTTTAAGTTAATGCTGTAATGAATTAAGACTTTGGAGAACTGCTGGGAAGGCATGATTGCTTTTAAAATATGTAAGGACATGAGATTTAGGAGGGGCCAGGGATGCAATGATATGGTTTCCCATGTTCCCACCCAAATCTCATATTGAATTCCCATATGTTATGAGAGGGATCTGGTGGGAAGTAATTGAGTCCTGGGGGCTCATGTTACCTGTGCTGTTCTTGTGATAGTGAATAAGTCTCATGAGATCTGATGGCTTTATAAGGTGGAGTTTCCCTGCACAAGTTTTCTTTTTGCCTGCCACCATCCACATAAGATGTTACTTGCTCCTCCTTGCCTTCTGCCATAATTGTGAGGATTCCCCATCCACGTGGCACTGTAAGTCCATTAAACCTCTTTCTTTCGTAAATTGCCCAGTCTCAGTTGTGTCTTCATCAGCAGAATGAAAATGAACTACTACACTATTCAGTCAGTGTACATGAGGAGGTTTGGTGCATCTAGGCCATTAAATATTACCTTTATCTGTCTGATACATTTTTATCTTAACATGATGCTTCTCTTTCTGATTTAAAATGTCCCAATTTCAGAAGTTTTTTCATTGGCTTCACATAGTTGTTCTGATGCTTCCTCAGTTTATGTGTTCCAAACAAAACCAAAAATGATTTTATTTTTTGAAAAACCACTGTTGATTTTAGGGTAAGCATTCCTTTAAGTCACCTTAGTTTATGAGTTCTATATAAATCTCATACGAGTCCCCTTCTGTGATTAATCCATGTTTTTTTCCTACCCCCATCAATCATTCACCCTTCCTACAGTGTTTCATACTCTATGATGCTAATCTGTCCAAAGGCACAATCCAACCTAAAAGGAGAAGGAAAGAAACAGGATAAAGAGATGTATTTACGTGATTCCTGTTCGTTTGCTTGTCCTAGCACTGGCTGTGTTTCCTCAGGTATAGTTCTGGCAGCCTTTCTTCTCAGTCTCTGGATATAATGTACTATGGCAATACTGATTACTACATTTTCACCTTTAGGCCAAGGAGCAGTAAAAGTTCCCAATTACTGGTAATCCCTGGAATCCCCAGCATCCCTTGTTGCTTCCTGGCTCACACTTTTCACACATCTAACTGATCATTGCATTCTTTTGAGTTGAGCACTCTTAAGGGCTCTCTGGATATGCCCACTCAAAATATGACAGATACAACCACTGTGGCCTCCCATAGCATTTGGAATAAAATATAAACCTTGACGTTGCTCCTGAAGACTCTAGATGCCTGCCTCTGCCTATCTTTTCCACCTTTTCCTACCACACTCGCCTCCTCATCATCTACACGCTACTTTCTGTTTCTTTAACCTGAAAAGTTTAATAGCTCCTCACTACTTTTTTCTGTACTGTGACTGCAATGGTATTCTTCTTTCAGATCATTAAATGCCTGCATCCATCTGGTCTGTAAAATCTTGATTCTCATATTATCAGCTAAAAGATTTCTTGGTCACCCTACTCTGCTGGGAAAACAAAAGAAACAAGGAAAATTAGTTGGGAGGTATAAAGAGGAAACTTAATTGACCCACCATTCTCAAAATGGCTAGTTCCATTTACAGACTGTGCATTATCCTCCCAGTATTTATCCCTCTGGTGAATGCAGGCTGTAAAGTTCCAAAATTGTACAATAGGCAAGAAGGTTTTTCCACAAAGCCAGTGAAATCACTAATTCAAAAATAAGATTAAACAAACAGTATTTAACCTTTTATGGTTTCAAGAGTGTTATTTCAATGGTGCAGGTTTATTTGCATAATCTGCATATGTATATTCTGAACTTTATCTTCCCCTAGTATCTATCTGCAGTGTGAATGTGTCTACAAGGCTGGAACTTAATGATTCATTTAGGCAGTCCCTTAGCATACACGAGGATATCTTGTCTTTTTTTGTGTTACTTCCATCAGAACATGTAAACATTTTCTTGATTTAATAACAATAGAAAAGGTATGAGAAAAGATAAAGTGTATAGAAAGAAAACCATCAACTTGCCATTATGATTTATATGGCACAATCTGAAACACCTTTGCAGTATGTTTGTATAAAAAAGTCTATAAAAATGAATGGCTGGGTGGAATTCATTATAGAATGGAATTTGCATTAAAGGTGAGTTTTCTGCTAAACAAAGACACGAAGACATCTTCAGAAAATGTGGAAACATTGGAGACTGACAAGTTAATTTCTGTGTCTGACAAAAAGTCCTAAGGTCTAAGCTAGATAAAGACTGATGCCCTCGAAAATCCGAGCTGTGAAATCACCTTTGAAATCCTGGCTTCACTATTTATGAGTTATGTCACTGTAGGCAAGGACCTTAGCCTGTGAGTCTCAGCTTTCTCATTCTGTGAAAGGAAATAGTATTACCTCGCTGACTGAATCATGAAGCAGAGAGTTGAAGCACTCAGTTCAGTTCCTGGTAGAGCCTTGAAGCTCTGTCAGTGTCCATCAGTGTCATCCAGAACTGCTACTCAACCAACTACATACCAGCCACGATGTCCTCGTCCTTTGGAAAAGTCTGCCAAGCTGAAGAACAATGTTCTGAAGTCCGTCTTGAAGTAATACACTAATCAATTGTGCCTTAGTCTGTTTTGTGTTGCTATAACAGAATACCACAGACTAATTTATAATGAACAGACATTTATTTGGCTGATAGTCTGGAGGCTGGGAAGTCCATGGCTGAGGCACCCCATCTGGTGAGGGGTTTCTTGCTGCATCATCCCAAGGGCTGAAGGCATCATGTAGGTGAGAGAGAGCAAGGGAGGGGGACAAACTCATCTTCATAAGGACCCCACTCTCACAATAGCAAACCCACTCCCACAATAACAGCAAGTTGTATTATGCCAAAAGGCTGAATTGATGATACTCAAATTTTTTAATCAATCTATAGACTTATTTACACAGATTCCTGCATAAAGGCAGCATTTTCATGCTGTACTCTCTTAGTCTGCTTAAACCCTTTCTTACTGGCAGAGACAAAACGGTGTCGGAGCCCACATTAACGAAATCTGTGTATGCATAAGCTGAAAAAAAAAACTCATCTACCCTCACTTTTGTTTCAGCAGGGGCTCAAGGGTGTTTGAAAAGAGAGTAAGTTTTCTAGAGTAGAAAGAGGAAACAGTGTTGGGCACACATGCTATTGAGAGGTGAAGCCGGCTGGGCTTCTGGGTCAGGTGGGGACTTGGAGAACTTTTCTGTCTAGCTAAAGGATTGTAAACACACCAATCAGCACTATGTAAAAATGGACCAATCAGCACTCTGTAACAATGGACCAATCAGCAATCTGTAAAATGGACCAATCAGCGCTCTGTAAAATGGACCAATCAGTAGGACGTGGGTGGGGCCATATAGGGGAATAAAAGCTGGCTACCCCTAGGCAGCAGTGGTAACCCACTGGGGTCGCTTTCCAGGCTGTGGTATGTTTGTTTTGTAGCTCTTCACAATAAATCTTGCTGCTGCTCACTCTTTGCGTCCACGCAATGTTTATGATCTGTAACACTCACCACGAGGGTTTGCAGCTTGTTTCTTGAAGTCAGCCAGACCACAAACCCACCAGGAGGAACAAACAACTCTGGAAGGGCCACCTTTATGAGCTGTAACACTCACTGCAAAGGTCTGTGGCTTCACTCCTGAAGTCAGCGAGACCACGAACCCACTGGGACACATCTGAACATCTGAAGGAACAAACTCTGGGCACACAATTTTTAAAAACTGTACTCACTGCGGGGGTCAGTGGCTTCATTATTGAAGTCAGCCAAGACCATGAACCCACTGGAAAGAACCAATTCCGGACCCACTAAAGGTGGCATTTTGGGAAGCAGGGAGAGTTTCTAATTGGTTTTCAGGTAGGTTTGGCAGTCGTTGGTTGGCTGAAAGAGAGCAAGGAAGCAGGTGGAAACATTTCAAAATGGGGTTACTGAATGTTAGTTATAGGAGGTTCTGCATAACTGGCCATTTACTCCCCAAGTAGGGGTTGACAGAATAACTTTTTTTTTTTGGTCAGACTCTCAATATTCCTTATGGGAGAGGGCGAGTGTGGCCTCCATGACGGGAAGTTTCTTATTGCTCAATATATGTGCCTTTGGCCAGGCCTGAGATCTTTCACTTGAACTTGCCCTTCAAAGATCTCACTCCATGTTGCCAGCCCCCATTTAGCATTTAGATGCTGTGGTTATGCGTGCTGTTCTCCTGGCCTGACACCAGGTTATAGTGCTCCCATTTTGTTAGGCAGAAGCCTAGAGAGTGACTTAATTTCTCAGAGCTGGGGAGAAAGGAATTCAGATCTGAATCTCTGTCTCTGGTTTCCAAACCCAAAAGTTCCCCTTATCCTGGGCCTTGTCTTTTTTCACAACTCAAAGAAAAATGGTATACTAGGAACTTTTGAGCCAGAAAATTATATCCTTTCATTTAAGCTAAAGGATCTGTGGTTTAGAAGTAAAAATGGGCTTGTGGAAGAGCGTATAACTAGTGATCACAGTTAACTAATAACTAATAGATCACAGAGCTATTAAGAGTGAGAATTAATATGAGATTTGCAGAACCCAGACTCACACACAGCAGCTCCTTTATGAACTGTGTGACTTTTATTTTGGTTGTGAATGAGGTAGCCATATGTCGTCACACATGTTTTGACTGTGCCTGCCAAAACTATGGTGTAAAAGGAAGATCATAGCTACCTCATCAGTAATTTTTTTTCTTTCTTTTTTTTTTTTTTTTTTTTTTGAGACAGAGTCTCGTGCTGTCACCCAGGCTGGAGTGCAGTGGCGCGATCTCGGCTCATTGCAAGTTCCGCCTCCTGGGTTCATGCCATTATCCTGCCTCAGCCTCCCCAGTAGCTGGGACTATAGTCGCCTGCCGCCACACCCGGCTATTTTTTTTGTTTGTATTTTTAGTAGAGACGGGGTTTCACCATGTTAGCCACGATGGTCTCAAATCTCATGAGCTTGTAATCCACCGGCCTGGGCCTCCCAAAGTGCTGGGATTAGAGGCATGAGCCACCGCGTCCAGCCATCAGTGATTGTTATAAGAATTAAACTAATATTAATATATGTAAAGTCCTATCACGAGATCTTTGAATATGTTGGGAACTGAAGTGATCCACTGGGGCACAAGCGAAAGAGAATCACAGTAGTGCCATCCACTTGAATTCCTGGGGAAGCTGCCTTAATGCCTCTTCATGAAGATATTTTGTTAATGCCACATTTTGATCTATAACACACATAGATGGGTCCCAGCAATGCTGAGGTCACCCACAGCCTGATGCCTCTGTTTAACTTTGCTTTTGATGCCCTTAGCATTTGGATAAAATCTGAAACTGTGAGATAATGCAAGTAAGTTAAATTTTAGAGGGAATCCCTTTTTGGGTTTCTTAGAAATGCAAAGCCAATGGGTTTCTAAGCAAGGAAGACTGCCCTGCCCATCCTCTGAACCACATTTACCAAAGGGCAACAACCCTATTTATTTAAATCAATATGCGCTGATTTATAGTTGTCTTTACAGATTATGTCCTTCAAGAAGGGTATCTTTGCTTTATTGCTTAATTTTACTGAGTCTCTCCAAAAGGGCTTAAGCTCCTTTAAAATATATGCAGGAGGTAAGAAAGTGCTGATTTAACTCTCAGAGCAATTCGTAGGTAATATTAAATTGTGTGGCTTCATTACTGTAGTCACCTTTCTAATTTAATTCATTCAAACATGCAAACTTCCTAGCAAATCAACCCTAAAGATTATCATCTGTGTTACTGGAGGTCTTTGGAAACTAAACTTATTCTATTCCTTCTTAACCAACACCATACTACCCTGCCACTACCCACCCATTTCTGATACTACCTGACACCTAGAGGCCTCCAGTTAAGGTCCTACAAAAGTGACCATTTTCTGTTAGCTATTGCTACTCTGACCCTGCAAGCTGACTTCGCCCTTTTTGTCTGCTGACTTCAATGATCAGCCAGTGGATTGGTAAGTGTTCCCATTCACAATGACTGTATGTGTCGTACGTGTGTGCATACGCATATATATGTGTACATACACACATGTAAACATGTATATCTGTAATAATTTAGATATTACATGCATATTGTGTGTTTATATAAATTATATGCATTAATTTCATGTTATATACACATATAGCATGTACACATTATCTATTAATACATATTCTTATTATCTAGTAATGTCACCAAAGACTACCTGATGTTAGAAAAGTTTACATAGTTTAAGGAAGAACAGCCTCCCACCCAAAATTATTTGATTCCTCATTTCCATGTTAGCAATTTCACAAATGCAGTTTTTGTCTGTAGAAACCTAGGCCTTGCTTTTTGAAGCAGCATGCTATGGGAAAGTACACAAAATTATCTGAGTACAAGATTTAGTCCACACAACACAGTAATTGGCTGTGTTGCCTTGGGCATGGTACTTAATGCTGCAGGCCCTCAACTTCCCTGGTAGAAACAGGGGGCTAAAAGTCATATTTTAGAAGGTTATTGTGAAAATGAGATGCCTCTTAAGTCTACAGCATAGTGTCTAGCCTGCAGCTATGGTCCAGAAAATAGCTTTGCTTTATTGCCATGGTAACAGGGGGCCTCTTGGGCTGCAAAGAGTGGGGAGGGGTCACTGCAGGCTCTGTCCCTGGCAGAAGCTCAGAGAGGCCTTTGAGATTCTCCCTTTAGCAGGTCCTGTGCCCCTCACCCACAGCCAGACAGGAAGCAGGGGAAAATAGATGGGAAGGTGCTTTGGAAGTCAATGTGCTCTATAAATCCAAGGTATTATTCTTAAACAGATGGCTAAGCTTTTTATGGCCCACTCAATCTCCTAAATCCTTAGTCCTGCCCAATTTCTTAGTACTGGATACTTAGTGATACACTGAGGAATTCTTCTCCTCCTGGTTCTTCCTCTGCCCTGCCTGGCTATCCCTGTTTCTGCATTTTTTCATCATTTGGAAAATACCCTTCCCTTGAATCTCAAGCAGGGCTCACTTCTGCTACAGGAATTTCTAGGTAATAAGAAGTTGAGGAGGCAAAAGGAACAGGGAAGCAAAAAAGCAGCTTCTCCACGAATCCTCTATCAGCTTGCATTTCATTAAGATGGGAGACTTGGACTTCTAAGCTTCTCTCCTGTCCCCACCTTTGCCTAAACAGCCCCATCGAGTTGCTGGCTCTCTGATCCTCATCTAGTAGCCATCAATAGCCACTTTTCCACAGGTAGCTTGGGCATGGCCCCTCTCAGCAGACTGGAAACCACGTTCTCCTGGCACTTTCTAGCTAAATTATATTTCTGCCCTTTATCATCTCCTTACTGTTTATTTGCCTTTCCCTCAAGCTGCTTTGAGAACATAGACCAGGGCCTTGATTTCTGTCATCTCAGTACCAGGTGTACGGTGGAGCTTGATGGGAACCTGCTGAATTGACTTGGTCAGTTTCTACCGGGAGAAACAGGACAGGGTCCAGCCTGCACCAGGGAAGAAGCTCTGTCAGTTCTGTTGATTCTGGTAATTCGAGTATCCAGAAACTGCATGGAAGAGAGTGGGATCTTAAAATCTTTTGAATAAATAAATGAAACAATAAAACCAGAATTTCATCAGAGGCATCTTTAAAAAAATTATCCTTATTGAGATACAGTTACATGTCATACAAGTTATCCCATTTAAAGTAAAAGCCAGTGTTTGCTAGTATATATACAGATACGTGCAACTATCTCCACAGAGTTCAGAATATTTTCATTGCCTCAAAAAGCAACTCTGTATCCTTTCGCTGTTGCTGTCTTTCTCCATATATTCTTCCAGTCCCAAGCACCACTCATCTGCTTTCTTCTCTGTAGATTTACTTGCTCTAAACATTTTATATGAATGGAATCATGTAATATGTAGCCTTTTGTGACCAGCTTCTTTGACTTAGCAAAATGTTATCAATATGTATTCAGACCGTAGCATGGATAACTTCTCAATTCTTATTGTGAGGGAATAATCGCCATTGCATGGACAAAGCACATTTTGCTTCATTCATTCATCAGCTGATGGATATTTGGGCTACTCTGAACATCCATTTTAAATATTTGTATAAACTTATGGTTTCATTTATCTTGGCAGTATACTCAGGAGTGGAATTGCTGTGTTATATTGTAACTCTAGATTTAATTGAACTGCTAGGCTGCTTTCCAATGCAGCTGCAGCACTTAACATTCCACCAACACTGTATGAGGGTTAGAATTTCCCCACCTCTCCACCAACACTTGCTATTATAGACTTTTAATTCTAGCTATGCCAGTGGGTATAAAATGGCATCTCACTGTGGTTTTGCTTTGCGTTTTTAATGATAACTAATCATGGAAAGCATCTTTTCTTGCGCTTATTGAACATTCATATGTCTTGGAAAAATATCTATTCAGATCCTTTGCTCTTTTAAATGTTTTTATTATTGGGTTCTAATAGTTATTTGTATATTCTGGATATTAATCTCTCATCAGATATATGATTTGCAAATATTGTTGCCAAAGTGCCAGGAGTTTGGTCTTGTCACTCACAGCACAGAAAGCCAATCACTAAAACAGCAAGTATTGCCAGGGAAGAGGCTTTTTATTTGGTTGATATTAGCCACAGACCAAGGAAGATCAGTCTCAAATCCATCTCTCCCAAATGACTAAAATTGCAGGCTTATATAGTGGGGAAGGAATGTAGCCACATGTGGGAAAACAGGAATTAGGGAGAGGTAAGGAAGCAATCAAGAAAATGAGGGATCTGGCATCTCACTGCTGGGGTGTGGTGATTTGGTGAGTTTCAATTTCTTGCTTGAGGGTCAGTTTCCTGAGGAAGGGACTCAGATAAGACAAATGTTAGTTTCTAGTTTTAAGACTGAAAGTTCATTTCTATATTTATCCTCAAAGCAGTACACATCAGTTCTATGGGACAATTGAGCTGGCTTTAATATTTTCTCCCATTAGGTGAGCTATCTTTCCATTTATTTTTTGGCAGTGTCCTCTTAAGTATAAAGTTTTTAAATTTTGAAGTGCAATTTATTTATTTTTTCCTATGTTACTTGTGGTTTTAGTATTACATTGAATAATCTTTTGAAAAATCTAGGGCCGTAAATATATACTTCTATGTTTTTAACTAAAAGTTTTAGTTTTTACATTTAGGTTTTGGATACTTTTTTTTTTAATACAGTGTGAGATAAGAGTACACCTTTATTCCTCTGGATGTGGCTATCTTTTCAAGAAAGTTGATTCTTTCCCCATTGTATAGTCTTGGCACCCTGGTCAAAAATCATTTAATCATAGATGCATAATTTTATTTATGGATTCTCAATTATATTCCATTTATCTACATTTTACTCTTGTACCAGTATCACAGGTTTTGAATCCAAGAAATGTGAGTCTATCTACATTGTTCTTTTTCTAATTATTCTGACGATTTTGTGTCCTTGCAATTCCATATGAATTTTAAAATCAGTTTGTCAATTTCTACAAAGTAGCTCACTGGGTTTCTGATGGGGATCAAGTTAAGTCTGTAGATCAGTTCAAGGGGCATTACTATCTCAATAGTGTTAAATCTTTCAAGCCATGAACTTAGGATAGTTTTTCATTTATTTAGATCTGTATAATTTCCTTCAAAAAAAGTAATTTTTGGATTATAAATGGTGTATTTCTTTTGTTGAACTTATTAGTATTTTGTTTTTATTCTATTGAAAGTGGAATTCTTTTCTTAATTTCATTTTCAATGTTGATTGCAAGTGTACAGAAACAAAATTGATTTGTTTATATCTGTCTTGCATCCTGCAACACTGCTGAACTTATAAGTTCAAATACTCTTTTAGTTGGTTCCTTAGGATTTTTTATATACAAGATCATGTCATTTGCCAATAAATATAGTTTTACTTCATCCTTTCCAATCCATATGACTTTTTAAAGTTACCTAATTGCCTTAACAAGAACATCCAGTATCATGTTAAGCAGAAGTACAGACATCCTTATATTGTTTATGATCTTAGGGTATATGCTTCCAGTCTTTCACCATTAAGCTATTGTTAGCTGTGGGTTGTTCACACATGCCTTGTATCAGGTTAAATTCCCTTCTATTCAGTTTTCTGAGTGTTTTTTTTTTTTAATCATTAAAGTGTGTTGGATTTTGTCAAATACTTTCTTTGCATCTATTGAAATGATTGTGTAATTTGTTTTGTTTTTTATTCTATTGATATATATTCCATCAATTGATTTTCAGGTGTTGAACCAAGCTTGCACAATTTTGTCAGCAGCATCTTATGTTTTATTACTTTTAACTGACACATAATAACTGTACCTATTTATGGAATACAAGCATCTTGTGTTTTGACAGGAGCCAATCATAGTTTAAGCTTGACATTGTATGTTTAAGTGTTCAGCAACAATCCCTCTTTCTGAAGCTAACTGTCCTCATTGTACACTTCTACCTGTGAATGTCCCCTTCACATAGTTTATACATGATATTGAAACACTACTTTTGGGCTCATGCCTGTAATCCTAGCACTTTGGGAGGTTGAGATGGGAGGATCGCTTGAGGCCAGGAGTTTGAAACCAGCTTGGTTAATATAGTGAGACCCCCATCTCTACTAAATAAAACAGTAATTTACAAATTACTTTGTAATAATTTAAATCAATAATTTAAACATATGTAAATTATAAAAAAAACCCACAACTCTGCTTTTGGGGGAAACTCCTGCTCCTGCCTATGCTGCTCCCTCGTGCCCTGCCGCACTTCTCTGCTAAATCTCTAAGCATATGTCTGTCCGCTAGCTCCTCTTTTTACCCTCATCTCTTTCTCCTTTACCAACTTAGATGATGACATTTTTATATTTTGTGCAGGACTGCCCTTATTTACCTGAGCCTGTTCTTCTTTCACTTCATATTTCTCACCTTTTATGTTTTATTTTATCCCTGCGCTCCTTTCTTCATTCTATATGCATTATATTCAAAAAAATATTTGAGGTTAAGCTTAGGAAATCTCACCACTTAGCAATATTCACTGAGCACTTACTATGTGGTAGGTACTAAGCTGGAAATCAGAGAAACAGAGTGACAAGATCAGAGGCCCTGTCCTCTGGGAGCTCACCAAGAGGCAAAGAAATGACTATTGATGATGTACCTGTGCAATGCAATGATGGACCCAAGATTCAGTCCTGATAAAAAGAGAGGAAACTACAGATTGTATAATCTGAAACCTGGCAGCTCTATTGCCAATAAACATTCTTTGTAAATCTAATTTCACATAATTCTTTATTTCCTTCTCACTTGTTTTATTATCTTATGTTTCTGGGTTTTGCACTAGCTGTCACTCTTTTCTGCAGCTAATGGAAGTAGAGACAAGGTAGTGTTGAGAGCATGAAAGTGGCAAGGCGTCTTCCCTGATATCTAGTGGAACCACCAATTCTTCCCATTGCCACTGCCTTGAGGGTGGCTCTCAGGCAGCAGGCCAAGTGCTATGCTATCCAACGGAAGCACAACTAAGTCAAACCAGGATTTGTGCTTACCTGACTTTATTCACAACAGGTTAGGCTTGGTGAAATTGACAATTTTAGTATAGACCAAGTTTCTGGGTAAGAAATGAGTTTAGGTGAATTATGGCATAGTGGTAAGAAATTTGGGATTATTTCAAAGGTGTGACTGGCAGTAACTAAATGTTACTTTTTTCATCTACAATATGAAAATAGTAATACCTATTTGATATTGATTACTTTTTTATTTCTTCATTTTATTTGGAAGATATTTATCGATTGCTCACTAAAGAGCCTGGACATGTTCCAGGCTTTTGGGATACAGCAGCAAACAAGATAAAAATCTGCTCTCCTGAAGTTTATTTTCCAGGGAGCAAAGACACACAAGGAATTACGTGCTCTAAAGGAAAATAAAATCAAGGAAGGGGAGAGGAGAGAGAATCAATATATGAAGTACTTGGCACACTATGTTGCAAGTGCTCACGAACCTATCATCATGGTTCCTATGGTTGGAAATGCTCAACACCAGCATACTGATAAGTTGGAAAACAACTGGACAACATGCTATGTTAGGTAAAAGCCAGGTGCCATCAAATATAGAGTGAAAGCTGGGCATGGTGGCTCACGCCTGTAATCCCAGCACTTTGGGAGGCCAAGGCGGGTGGATCACCTGAGATCAGGAGTTCGAGACCAGCCAGACATGGAGAAACCCTGCCTCTACTGAAAATACAAAATTAGCCGGGCATGGTGGCACATGCCTGTAATCTCAGCTATTTGGGAGGCTGAGGCAGGAGAATTGATTGAACCCGGGAGGTGGAGGTTGCGGTGAGCCGAGATCGTGCCACTGAACTCCAGCCTGGGCAACAAGAGCAAAAGTCCATCTCAAAAACTATATATGTAGATATAGATAGATGTAGATAGAGAAAGCGTGAAGCTAGGAGTGAGAAGCATCTTACAGAGAGAGTTCAGAGGGAGACTGTGAATTGCTTCCTCTGCTGGGGCTTCTCCAGTGTGGGGGTAAGGCAGGCACTCTGCTGAGAGCCCCTCCCCTCTCCAGGAGGCCTAGAGACCAGCAGCATGGCTCGCTCAATACGAATGTGCTGGAATGCAGCATCACATGCTACATCTTAGATACACTGAGAAGGCATCTGCACTGTCACAGACCCCAGGGGATATGGATTAACCTGAAAGGGTCAGAAGCCTGGTGAAGGATCTGTACATAACAGGCTCACCAAAGACGATCAACGCACAACTTGCTTCTCAATAGAACTGACCTTTCCCCTTGTTTTGGTGTTAAAGAGCCTACTTTATTCATTGGGAATAAAGAGATGCCACATGTGACAACATCAGCAATTTTTCATACCATAGTACAACTCGATTTTTATTTTGTCAGTAAATTTATTTTTGCTCCCTTCCCCTGCACCGAAGTCCTCAATTCCGTTTATACAGCTGTCAGTTACAGGCATTAAAGCTTTCAGTCAGATGCTGTGGGAGGCCAGCTCTTGGAGCCTTCCAGGTCTCAATGCAGAGTGGGCCTAGAGGTAGAGTAAGAAGTATACTAAGGGGGGAGCAACAGACACTAGTTGCTTGGTGTTTAGAACCAGTGTTTAAAAATAAGGAAAACATGACAAAGGTCCATGTGCTAGCATGCCATTAGATAAGAAGCAGAACCAGGCTTCTTGGCTTCCTTACCTTACCTTGGCCAAGTCCACACCTCAAGCCAGACAGGTACCTCTCTCTGAGGATATTAGCTTTTATTCTCAGCCATTCTTCCCCCAAAAACTTCCAGTTTCCCTCTTTCCTCAATAATAGTCCCCTGCTCTGCATTTTCTCCTTTCTTTTCTATGTTCACTTTACACATTTGAATTTAAATATTATTTTATACATATCTAAGCATCATTTTTATGGCTTCTCTTCATAATGATTCTCATTCCTTATCCAGCATATACTGAATCTGCATGCTGTTGGTAAACACAGCTGCAAACCAGTGTGGTCTCAGACTTGACTTGCTTGGACCCCGCCCTTAGAAGATGCACCCACCAGCCTTGCCCTCCCCTGCAGTTGGCACTGGACACCTGCCTTGTGCTGCAAGTTCCAGCTGAATGGAGCATTACCAAAGTTATGTTCGGTGATGCTAATGCATGTCATATGAAAAAAGGAGGTCTTTATTTCAAAACATTTGGGAAAGGTTATTAACAAAATCCAAAGGTTTCCTTACAGCAGTACTTCCTGGAATCTAGTATTCTAGAATAGGGATGAGGATCATTCTATATAGTGCCAAGTACAGGGACTTGAAATGGAGCTAAATTGTACCTAATGATGATGGTGAAATGTTAACGTTGAGCCCAGTAAAAAGTATGATGTAGATGGGCCCCAACTTTTGCCCCATCCCCATGCCACAGGCCAGCTCTCTGGATCCCCCAATCTAGGGTTCTGATAAGATCCACCATGTAAGAGGCTTTGGAGAAACATGCGTGTTTATCTTTCCTATATAACACCAAAGGTTAGACCTATGCCCACATCATCACAGGAGAGTTATGCAGGAATATCCATAAAATGTTTATAGGCTGTTTCTCTTTTCTACTTATATTGGTATATTGTGTTCTATGTCACATGGTACGCTGGATAAGACAGTACAGTCTGACCTCATATTTTGCTTTACTGCTTCATTTTTTCTTAGTTTGAGGTTATTGAAATAAATAAATAGTCTTTTTCTCTAAGTAGTCTGACTTGTGAATTAGCTGTTTTCTAGTGACAACCCCCATCTTACAAGCATAAACTGAACTCAGCATTGGAACAGTCAAAATACATGAAAATATTTCTCTCACGTCACAAGTGCTCCTTGCCTTTTTCTGTACTTTTTTTTTAAATCAGGTTATATTTTCAGTAGAGGCATAGAAATAAGTGATTGCCTAGCTTTTACTAATGTGAAAACTCATGTTTGTTAGCATTAAAGCTTTGTGCAGATTTTCACACTCCTTGTGTTATTTTTTTACTAAGAAGAAAGATAAGACAAATAGCTAAAATGAACTAATCAGGCTTTAGATTAAGTGCTTTATTTCTCCTCCTGGAAGTCTGATGAAAAAAATTATCTGTCTTGGGGGAGGAGAATTAGATGATGACAATTCTCCGCCTCAACTTTTGGTTGCTCAATATAAAACACAATTTATACAAACCATTTTCCCAATACCAGAAACTCTAACTTGTATTAGATTTATAGTAGCACACAGATGAGAAAGATCCTTTCCTTAATTGCCAAGCAAGCTATAAACATTCCCCTTTGATATATAAGGTGAAAAGTGCCGCAGGATAGCTAAACCAGGAAAAAAAGAAACAATCTGAGGAAATCTGTTAAGCCTTAGGAAAACTGCTACTAAGCAAGGCAAATATCTCTCTAGAACAGGAAGAAAGAGACTAGACAAAGTACTCTGGCCGGCTGCTCCTAAACTATCTCTCCTGAACAACAGATGTGTTTTATTTTGTTTTTGTTTTCATTTTTAATTGATTATTTGTAACCCATAGTAAAAATGATTTTTTAAAAAGTTATTCAGTTCTTGGATTTGCAGCAATATCAAGTTGCTGTAAAATTCTCTAAAACCTTGCCTTCAGTGTGCACACTTACCTCATTGCAGTTCTTACAAAAGTCAGGAACCCCCACTGGTCTTCAGACCACAGTCTTGTAACGGAAGATCACAGCCTCAAAATGCATTTTCAAGCTTTTTTGTTTGTTTGTTTTCTTTTTTGTTTTCAGCCTGAAACATACTTTGAAACTCTTTGTTTCTCCCTTTCTCGGTAGGGACTTCCATGAACAGTACTCACTTATTTAATTTTGTACTTGCTTGGAAATTCCAGGGGCCAATTTTGAAACAAACCAGGCCGAGGGCCCCAGCTGGGGAATCCTCCCACTTAAGGGGTGTTTCAAACAGTTAGCCCACCACTACCAGACCCAAGTCAGGATAATGCAAAACAGACCTCCAGATGGGCAATTACTCAAGGTTACCATTGGAAAGAGACACGCAGACCCCTTCTGTACCACTCCGGCATGTTTCTCACGTTTTCCTTCTTAAACCCCCGCCCTCAGCCCAGAAGGCAGAGATGGCTCCTTTGAGGAAGAAGACTGGCCGTCTCCCATCTGCTAGCATTTGATCAATAAAGTTGCTTTCCTTTAACCACACCCTGCTTCTCGTGTTTTTGGCCTCTGAGCAGCAAGCAGCTGGACTTGATCCAGTTACGCTATGACAAGAAACCTTCCTGAAACTCACCAAATAACCCGCTAGTCACCACTGTTCAGGAGCTCTGAGAAGTAAGCATATGAGAAGTAGATTATTTGGCCATTTATTAAAACAAAAACAGTGTTTTCTGAATGGAATATATTGTTTTTTATGATGCTTTTAGACCCAAATTTTCTTTGTATTTTAAGAGAGAACGAAGAACCAAGTACTTGGCATAAAAATAATTGCCCAAATAAATTATCACTGAATGAACCAATAAATAAAGTTTACATTGCTCTTCACTAAAACCTTGCAGTTTCAAGCACTCAGAAACTCAGCCTGATTCTCTTACCCATAGTAGCCCCCAACACTCTAAAACAAGTAAACAAACAAAAGCATGGCGTGAAATGGAATACATGCTGTCTTGTGTGCACATGTACACACACACACACACACACACACACACACAAAGTTGCATCTGTCCCTGGACAATGGGAATGATCTCTTAGAAATCTTCATTGGAAAATGATTTAGAGCTCTAGTTGCTATGACACCCACCCTGTCACAGTGATTGAAAATGACTGGCAGGTAAATACAACAGTGACCATCTCAACTGCTCTCTTCTTAATCCATCACAAGGTAACTGATGCTCTTTCCTGCACAAAAGCTGCTTAATTCCCTTCTAGTAACAAGATTTTATTGAAAATGTCTATTATAACTAATCCAGGAGAATGGCTGTTTTTATAATCAGCAGAAAGGAGAAAATGGAAAAAAGATAAGAAATTTTATTCAGCTGTATTTGATCTGTTTTATTACCTGAGAAAACATAATACATATAATCTCTTTGCAGCTGTTTCAAAAACTCAGCCCTTATTACTTATATCTCATTAGATATAAAATTGTTTATGTGTCACTGCAGTACACATACACACACACACACACACACTCACCAGAGAGTTTAATGAAGAAAACAGAAACTTTTCTGTATCAATCTTTCCATTTGTTTTCCTGTGGTATTTCTTGTACCACCATCTGACATTGAAACCCTTGCTATTTTTGAACCCAAAACTTTTTAAATGCTCACCTGGAAAGAAAAGGGACGAATAATTTGTTCCTGCTTCTTGAGTTATTAATTCCTGACTTCACAGCAATGGAAAAATCACATGAAACAATTAAAACAAAATGCCAACTCTTGGATGAGGTAAATTGCAATATAAAAGATAATGCCAACAATTATAGAAAAATTAAAGAAAAGTTTATTTATGCTTTATTAATCAGGCTGCTGTAGCTGTAGAGGCAACATAGTTAACAGGAAAGTATTGGAAGTTTGTGAACATTGCCTGAGCTGTTCTTAAAATTCTTTTTAGTGCTATAATTGCTTAAAACTTGGTTTATCTTTATCTACCTCAGCCAATTTCATCTTTTGCTATAAATGGAATAATACTTAATGAATATCCATGTCATTCTTCAAACATTCATTGAATATGTGCCCTTGGACCAGAGCATCTGCTCAAAGAGACAGGCTTTCTTTATTCAAAGTTCACCTTGTTGACTGAGAGGCATATAAAAAATGCCTAATTATGAGAGAGCCCCAAAATATTATGAGTTTAAACTAAAGTTGAATGAAAGTGTGGGGAAAGACTAATCCAGAGTTCGGCCAAACATTATGCGAGAGCTTCCTGCAGCAAGACCTGCAAGGTAAGGAGTGTCTCACAGGATGAATGAGTGTTTATCATTCATGCACCCCTATGTAAACTGACTGCTATTTTAAGTGTATCACTATTAAAAGTAAGGTATGGAAGTCTCCCACTATTACTGTTGAATTGTCTATTTCTCTCATCATGTCAGTTTTGGGGTTTCCTTAACAGTTATGTGCATGTTTATATTGTTATATCTTCTTGAAGGATTGACAGCTTTATCTTCATAAATGTCATTCTTTGTCTCTAGCAACAATTTTGTCTTAGTATCTATTTTTTTCTGATATCAGTAGAGTCACTCCACTTGACTTTTGGTTACTACTTGCATGGATTTTTTTTTAACCTCCTTTTACTTTTAATTGATTTGTGTTTTTGAATCTAGAGTGTGTTATTTGTAGCCAGCAAATAGTTGGATAAAATTTCTTTTTTTAATTTTTTCTAAATTTGTTTTAATTATTCGTCATCCTCTGTCCTTTAGTTGGAGTGATCAATGTATTTACATTTAATATAACTACTGATAAGGTAGGATTTACAGCTGCCAGGTTGCTCTCTGTTCTCTGTATGTTTTATGCCCCGCCCCGCCCCCTCCTTTTCCGTGTTTTGGCCATTCCTCTACTCTTTCATAGCTACCTTCTTTTGTATTAAATGACATTACCTACTGCATTATTTTAATTATCTTCTCATATTTTACTTTTTCTTGGTTTGTTCAGTTATTTTTTTTAGTGGTTGCCCTGGGGATTACAATTAACATCATAATTTGTAACAGTCTAGTTGGCATTAATATCGACATAATTTCTATAGTATAAAAATGCTGTGCTCTTGGTAGCTATATTTTCCCAACTTCTTTTGTGCTTATTGTCACAAATTATACCCAATTCTCATTAATCATGGCATTTGTACTTTTCCTTACTTGCTAAAATATATTTGTAACTCCCGAATCAATACAAGTGACTCTTAAGCGGTCATTGACAAACAGTTACATAAGGCCAAAATTTATATATATATTTTGTGTATATACACAATTTGCGTAATTATGAGAGAGCCCCAAAATATTATGAGTTTAAACTAAAGTTGAATGAAAGTGTGGGGAAAGACTAATCCAGAGTTCGGCCAAACATTATGTGAGAGCTTCCTCTCGCATATATATATATATATATATATATATATATATATATATATATATATATATAGAGTGTGTGTTTTGGTCATTTTATATATATATTTTGTATAAAATATATTTGGTCAAAATATATATATATTTTGTGTGTATATATATATATATATATATATATATATATATACTTAACTTCTTAACTTGCACATTCCCACATGAGGTTGGACAAGGCAGAGCTCTGTCTTCTTGTTTCAGCTCTCATGCAGACATGACCAGAAGATAGAAACAGTAGGGTGCATTGTAGTACAGTGTAAGAAGCCCCAGCTTTAGGGCCAGTTAAATGACATTTGAATATCAGCTTTGACAACTGTTAGTGGGATGACCTCAGACAACTGATTTCATATTTCTGAACCTAACTTTCTATTTTGTAAAATTAAGAAAATAGAATCTATCAAAATGAGTTGTTTATAAAATCTGCAGTTACAGTCTATGTTATATATGTAGTATGTATATGATAAAACTTACGCTAGGAGCAATGGTTCAGTATTCGCTAATCAATATTTACAAAGACTTTATAGAACATATGTGTAACGAATAATGAGAATCAACTCTACATGTTTGCACACTGCCAGTCAGGGTTCTCCCAAAAAACAAAACCATTAGGATATGTTTATTTTAAGGAATTGACTCATATGATTGTGGATATGGGCAAGTATAAAATCTGCAGGGCAAGCAAGCAGGCTAGGCAAAAGGAGTTGATGTTGCAGTCTTGAGTCTGAAATGTATAGTACAGACTGGCAGTCTGGAATCAAAGGCAGAATTTATTATAGACTTTCTTCTATGGGAAACGTCCGCTTTTGCTCTTAAGTCCTTTAACTGATTGGATGAAGCCTATCCATGTTATATAGGATAATCTTTTTTACTTAAGTTCAACTGACTATACATGCTAATCACGTCTGCAAAATACCATCACAGTAACATCTAGACTAGTGTTTGGCCAAACAAGTAGGTACCATGGCCTGGTCTAGTTGGCATAATGTAACCATCATGATTTATAATTATTGCTTAATAGAATTTTCTTTTAAATCAGATAGGACTAACAAAGTTAAACAAAAATATATTTATACTCTCTTGTATGTTTACCAATGTACTTACCTTTTCTAGTGTTCTTGATGTCTTCATGTTGTTCTGAATGAACTGCCTGTTCATTTCTTCATGAAGGACTCCCTTTAGTATTTTTTAGGATAGGTTTGCTAGTACCAAATTTTCTCATTTTTTTATTTTCTAGAAATGCCTTAATTCCTCCATCCTTTACAAAGCAGAATTTTGAGGAATCTAGAAATTTTTGTTAAACATTTTTTTTTCCTTTCAGCACTTTGAATATGTTGTCCCACTGCCTTCTGGTCGCCATTTGTTTCTGATGAGAGATCAACTCATAATCTTACAAGGATTTCTTGTATGCGATGGATCACTTCTCTCTCATTCCTCTCATGAATCTCTTTGTCTATGTGTTTCAACAGTGTCATTATCATATGTCTTGGCAGGGATCTCTTTGAATTTATATACTTTGAGTATGTTTAGATTCTGAGATGTGCACATTAATGCTTCTTATTACATTTTGGAAGAGTTCTGCCATGATTTCTTCAAATATTATTCTGTGCCTGTCTCTCTGCTATCAGGAAATCCCATTGTATGCATATTGGTGCATTTGATCATCCCACACATTTCTGAATTTCTGTCTGTTGATTTTTCACCATTCTTTTTTTTGTTTGTTTCTCGGATAGGATGACCTCAATTAACCTTTTTCTGCCTGCTTAAATCTGCTGCTAATCTCCTCTAGTGGATTTTTCATTTAAATTATTGTAGCTTTCAACTCCAGAGTTTATATTTGATTTGTTTTTATCATTTCTATCTCTTTATTGATATTCTCTATTTGGTAAGATATCAGTTCTTATACTTTTATTCTTAGATATAGTTTTATTTGTTTGAACATATTTAAAATGCCTGATTAAAATCTATGTCTAATAATTCCTATACATGGACTTACTAATGGATAGTTTTTTGATAACCTTTTGTCCCTATGTATGAGCCAAGCCTTTTTTATTTTTGCAAGCCTTGGATTTTGTTGTTGTTGTTGTTGTTGTTGAAAACAGGACATTTAAAATAATACAATGTGGCAACTTTGGAAATCAAATTATCTCCCTGCCTTAGGGTGTGTTACTTTTCGTTTTAATATTATTGTTGTTTGCTTAGGAACTTCTTCTGAACGATTCCATCATGTTTGTGTCATGAAACCTCTTCATAGTTAACTTAATGGTCAGCTAATGATTGGACACACATTTCCTTTAATGCTTGGAAAAAACAAATCTTCCAGTCTTTGTTGACAGGCTCTGCAATGTGAGCTGGGGCACCCTTCAAACACCAAGCCAGAGCCTTTACTTCCTGTTTGTTCAGTGCCTTCAAGGTTAGCAGAGGTGGGAGCTTGGAGCACTTTCAGGTATTTTTTGGACCATATGCCCAGCCTGGGCATGTGTAGAGCAACATGCATGTGTGTGACCTTTTATATCCCAGGAATGCATCAGAGATTTTCAAAGCCTCCCATGGATATCTCATTCTCAAGAATTTTCTTTTAAACTTTTGGAGTAGCTTATTGTTAGTCCAAATTGTTATTTACTGCCTTAGGCAGCAGTGATGTTAAACAATTGCCACTTATTATTATTTTTTTTATAAATGCCCCAGGAAAAAGGCTGTTCACACTAGGGGAGCTCCAAGTCAGGACAAATAAAGAGGGCTCTGAGAGTGTGGTCTTTCATGGGACTGTCAGACAGGACAAATAATGACGAGTCTAGGGGAATTAGGCTTCGAAGGGGTACCAAACCTCCTGCTTCCAGGTGGCTGCCACGCCACTGACCATGCTTGTTGGCTGTAGGTTTTCAAGGAAACCATAGAGTTGGAGGTGTGGAATGGAAGCAGCGCAAGTTAAAAAGGTACAAGAAGCTCTGTTAGTCCTGAAATTCAGCCATTTTTCTTGAATAAAAACTTTCAGGATTGCTGCAAGCTGTTGGTTAATTTCTAGACTTCTGAAAAAACTTGGTCTGACATTTCTAAGTTTTCTTTTTTTATTTAAAAATTATTTTATTTACGTAAACCAATAAAAAGAGAAAGTCAAAAATGAAAAACCATTTTTAACTCCAAGAAAAATTTCACAGGTTTCATATGGGCTTGTTTATTGTTACAAGACCCATGAGGTCATATTTAGTGATTGGGGTATCCAGGTTGATAAGAAGTTAAATCTGTTCTGCAAACATTTGTAAGTTTGCTCGCTGCTTTTATGGAGCAAATAATTTTTGAGGTTTCTAGTCTCCCATTTTTACCAGAAACTATTCCCCTCCAGTTATGTATATTTTTTAAATATTTTGGTTAAACACATACAGATTTCCAAAAAGATTGAATAAATTGGTATCTAGCATAACATTAAGCTGATTTCTCTACTAATTTATTCCTTATTTTTTGATATTCACCTCAAACACTAGGATCCAGCCATATCAAGCCCCTTGCAGTTTCTCTAACATGCCATAAGTTTTGTAACTCTGAACAAGTTACTCTCTCAGCTAAAACGCTGTGTGCATGCTCTTACCTTTTAGCTGGATAATTCCTACTAATCCAGTAGGATTTGATCAGATCCCTTTGTTCATTAACCCTCTTAACCAAACAGATTTAGGAGAGTATCATATGCTTGCATAGAACCTGGTTTACCTCTATTACAGTACTTGCCAAATACTGGGTATGTATGTCTCCCTAAGTACAAAGGAAATTTAGTGAAAAATATTTTTTTCAGAAGAATGGCAGAAGCCTATATATATACATACATATATATATAGGCCTATATATATATAAGCCTACATATATACACATACTATATATACATATATACACATATATACGTACATATATAGTATATATATATACGTGTGTATATATATACGTGTGTATATATATACGTGTATATATATATACGTGTATATATATATACGTGTATATATATATACGTGTATATATATATACACACACACACACACACACACACATATGTATATGAGTGATGAGTAGGTATACCTAAACTTCTCTCTAGATTTTTGATGACTTAATTTCTTAACCTCTCTAGATTTTTGGTGCCTAACTGCTCCTTCAATTCAGACTGAATTAGTCAGTAAGAGCCCTCCTTTTAAATTCTAGCACCTCCAGGCTCTGACTCCAGTCTCATATTTCCGACCTCTATATGTTATTTCCATTCTTCTATACTACATGTCTTTCCAATTCTCTTACACCAGCTCTTCGTAATGGAAGCATCACAAGGTTTGTTAATTTAGAGCTAGTCCAAATGCACCCCTAGGCACTTTTCTTCAGGTCTTCCTTGCCTTCCTGCTCTACATTGTGGGAACTTGGCATGCCCCTCCTCTGCGATGATCCAGGCTCCCTGGTGACACTGTGTCCTGGAGCTCTACTTGCCAGGAATAGAGTAAGAAGCTCAGTTATCAGGGAATATTTCCAGGAAATATCATCTGGAATACATCCTAGGTGAGATTCCAACTGTATCCTGTGATGAGGAAAGTCAAAACCAACAAGAGTAGAAACTTCAAAGAGCAGCCACTTCCTGGAGCTTATCTTTTAGTAAGAGAGACAGGCAGAAGCCAGTTAGGTAAAAATATTACAACTTATGACATTAAGTAGACAACATAAAACAAGTACCAACTGAGAGTGGTTAGAGTGCAGATGAAAGAGCAATATTTTGGGGCCAAAAAAAAATACTTTCAGGAGAAATGAAGTGCATAACGCATTTCACAAATCATTCTATAAAATACTTTTCAGTACTTAAAAGAACAGAGCCTTCACTTATGTGGAATAGTTACATGTTGTCCTGTCACTGCTGCTGACAACTCCCCTATGGATCTCCTGGGATCTGAATGGGGTCCTGTCCCTGGCCATGGCTCTGCAGATGGTTTACCAGTATCTTGCTCTGTCTCCCTCTCTATCTTTATCTCTCATCTCTTGCCCTCTTGAAACCCTATGGTTAACACACAATGAGCCATTACACTCCACCAGATGCAATATTCTCCCTCTCCGCCCACAGTGTTCTTCCCTGACTCTTCTTTCTTCCTTTGTTCTTCAACAGTCAGTTCAGGTATACCTGGTAGACAGGAAGTGCTCCCGGGAACTCCCGCCAGATATGGAAAATGGCTTTCCTTTCTGCTCCTGGCACTCCTTATTGTATCCGCTGCTAATGTGATTACCCAATATTATAATTGTTTAGTTCTCTGTCTCTCTCATCGGGATGGGATCTTCTCAAAAGGATAGCTACATTTCTCCCTTCAGTATCCTTTAACAGAGGCTAATTAAGTGCCTGACGGGACACCAAACTAAAACGTCTTTCTATGTATTTTGGGAATACACGTGCTGGGGTGAAGAATTTGCAGCGAACTGAAAATGCTCAAGAGATGTTCCTACACCAGAGCTTTTCTTCCCCTCTTAAGAGCAGTTTTATCCCTAAGATTGCACTTTAAACCCACCAGCCTAGTGCCTTGTCTTCTTGGTTTCCTTTGTGCAAATTGCCAGTGTTGAAAGAATGCAAAAGAATGACACTGAGCATAAGTGAACGATGGCTGTGCGGGAGGGCCACTGCAGTTTAAAATGCATCTTAAGTGGCAGGGCTGTGATAGATTCACTTCCCTTGCTTGTCCTTGAGAACCAGCAGGAGCACCCGTGTTGGGTAATAATTGCTCTGCCTTGCTTGAAGGCATAGCACTTGGCTTATAGGACATTGATTCATTTGGATCTTGTGTCTATTTCAGCCCCAGGGCATTCCCCACTGTTGAAATTGACACAGAACAGGAAGAGATAAATGTGTAAAGGCTGGGGCTTTGAGGAGCCCTGAGGCTGATATTGATGAGGCAGTAGCCTTAGTGCTTTGCTTCCTGTGGCTTTTCTCCATCACAGGGAAGGCAGACTAGTCCCCGACTAGGAATGAAACTGTTTCCACAACCAATAAATTGGAAGCCATCTTTGCATCACTTAAAAAGGAAAAAGAAAAATTAGAGAGCTCCCATAATTAACAGATGGAAATGTGAAATAAAATTGTCAGAAGAGTTTACACATTCTTGAGTTCTCAAGCTCAGCGTCCCTTCAACACATGAAAGTTCAGCCCACTTATTTCCTAACTGTTTAATCCCAAGTGGCATTCTCTCTGCAGGGTGTAAATCTAGCTCCTTTTGTTCAGATTTGGGGAATTGAGAAGCCAACATTAGCAATGAGTTCTTCCTCTCAAATCTAAAACTTTTTTCTGTATTGTTTTCTGTCTTCTCTCAATCCTTCAACACAGCAGGGGACAATCCAGGCCCCAACCCCTGCACATGATGCTGCACCAAACACTCTTTTCCTTTCTTCTCTCCTTTCTAGGTGCTCCTTTTCACCTCTTGTTCTGACTCTTCTTTCTTCTCACATCTGCTCATTTCAGGCTTGTTCACAATGTCTGTTTGCACAAGTCAAATCTTTACACTGTTTCCCTAAATGGTGAAGTGCATTTCAAATACACACATGCATACATATACATACACACACACACACACACACACATACTATATATGTATATACAAATACATATATACATATATGCATTTGAAATGAACACAAAATATATATAATGTGTGTATGTATTTATATACGCACATGTGCAAACACACACACATATAAAATGTGTATATATAAATGTGTGTGTATGTGGTGTTTGCGTATATGTACTTAGAGCCTTTCGATGGCTAAAATAGTCCCTTGGATTTATTGTTACTTAGTAAATATGTATTTAGATCCTTTCGATGGCCTCTAACATTCAATTCTTGCTTTGTGCTACACCCCTATACTTGCCATATGCCCCAGTCAAACAAGCCAAAGACTACCTGTCATGCAACCTGTAGGAAAGTCCTTTGTCTTCCCTCATGCTATTCTCACCACGGAGACTACTCCTCTCTACCCCAAGCCCCTCTCTGTCTGTCAGAGCTCTACCTAAACCTCTTTTCAGACACCATCTGATAGAAACATGGTCATCTTAAGCTTCTCTTCTTAAAGGGTTGAATTATACCATCTTTTAGTACAAACTATTTATATGCTTCTCTTATGAGCAAAACTGAAAAACAAGAGGCAGTAGTCCATAAAACTGCATGCAAATATAATAAGCAGAGAGTGGAATGAAGGAGTTCCAGCCAAAGTTTGTTCCCTTTTGGGAGAACATCAAGAGTTGAGTTTTAGCTGGGCATAGTGGTGCACCTGTAATTCCAGCTACTCCAGAGGCTGAAGTGGAAGGACAGTTTGACCCCAGGAGTTTAAGGCTGCAATGAGCTAAGATTGCACCTCTGCACTTCAGCCTGGGTGACAGGGCAAGACTCCGACTATAATTTTTTTTTTAATTAGTTTTGTAGAGTTAATACAATAGATCTTGCTGGCCTAGCATACTTGGAAGCATCTTGCTGTGCCTGCATATGACTTGGTGGGTTGGTAGAAATAAGCTGAATGATCTATTGCCTGAATTGTTGTACCCAGTGGTTATTTATTCCTTATGGAAAAACGACAGCTAAGAGGAGGAAGAGAAGCCCTATGGCATCACCTGCCCTGTGGAATGTATCACAGCATGCACTGATGATCCCTCCAGGCTTTTCTTGTTTCCAGGAAGGAATGATACTATCTCAATGAGTTAGGCTAAGAAAGCAGGGAGGCCAACAGAATTGCACAACTCTCTTGTTCACTAAACATTCTTCATACCCCTCCAGTGGGTTGAGGGCAACCCAGACAGATCTGTGTGTTGAAGTTCCAGCACAGTATCTGTCATCCTGTTCAGAAAGTATTTACTAAGTAACAATAAATCCCAGGGACTATTTTAGATGACAACACTTGAGAGCACAGACATTAAGCTTATGTGTTTTTCTTGTACATTGTCATATAGAAGTAACTGCTTAATAAAAGATTCACAATGATGGTGAGGCAAATATCTATTACTCTAGGAGCTGTACTCCCACGTGGCCTTTCACTATAACTTACAATAGAGCTGTGACATTTTATAAATGCTGGATACAGGTTTTCAATATCAACAAAAATACAGTTATGTGTTAATAATTTATTGCAACAAGCTTTACCCTGATATAATAAATAAATTATTAGTTCATACTCTTAAGGAAAATAGTTCTGCACAGAAGTTGGTCTATTTCTCCTTTCTTGCTTGGGTTTTAGATTATCACAACATTTGCAGAAGAAACAGATGTCATGAATTTAATTCTGAAAACAAGTCAGACTGGTACTTTTCAAGATCCATCAAGTTATTTCAAAATATATCAAAATTAGTACATCCAGTGACAAACTAATATAAAGGTTGTGTCCAAGATGTGAAAAAGAGGCATTCTTGGCCTTTAAAAGGACAAACATGTTTGCAAAATTGGACAGGACTTTAACGACACTGAAAATTTTCATTTAGAAAATGTCATTATGTTGTACGAGAACAGCTAACCTATTATAGTAAAGAAAAGAGGCCGGGCGCGGTGGCTCATGCCTGTAATCCCAGCACTTTGGGAGGCCAAGGCAGATGGATCAACTGAAGTCAGGAGTTCTATACCACCCTGACCAATATGGTGAAACCCTGTCTCTACTAAAACTACAAAAAATTAACTGGGCATGGTGGCATGCACCTGTAGTCCCAGCTACTTGGGAGGCTGAGAAAGGAGAATTGCTTGAACCCAGGAGACAGAGGTTGCAGTGAGTGGAGTGGAGATGGCGCCACTGTACTGCAGCCTCGGTGACAGGGTGAGACTCTGTCTCAAAAAAAAAAAAAGATGGAATCTATCAATAGATCAATAGCTCCAATCGATGACTGCCTTATAAGTGATGCCCTGTGTCTTCTGCATTGAGAGGAGGGGACTCTTTCTCTCTCTCTATATATATATATTTAATTTAATAATAAAATATAATATAATAGTTACCCTTAAAAAAATATAGCAATGGCCGGGTGCGGTGTCTCATGCCTGTAATCCCAGCACTTTGGGAGGCTGAGGCGGGTGGATCACAAGGTCAGGAGATCGAGACCATCCTGGCTAACACAGTGAAACCCCGTCTCTACTAAAAAATACAAAATTTAGCCAGGCGTGGTGGTGGGCCCTGTAGTCTCAGCTACTTGGGAGGCTGAGGCAGGAGAATGGCGTGAATTCGGGAGGTGGAGCTTGCAGTGAGCCGAGATCGTGCCACTACACTCCAGCCTGGGCAACAGAGCGAGACTCCGTCTCAAAAAAAAAAAAATCGAGATCGTCTTGGCCAACACAGTGAAAACCCTTCTCTACTAAAAATACAAGAAATTAGCTGGGCCTGGTGTGTGCGACTGTAATCCCAGCTACTCCGGAGGCTGAGGCAGGAGAATCACTTGAACCCGGGAGGCAGAGGTTCCAGTGAGCCGAGATCACGCCACTGCACTCCAGCCTGGGGACAGAGCAAGACTCTGTCTAAAAAATAAATAAATAACAATGTGTCTAACTGGAGAGAGAAAATACACACTGTTAAATTGTTCTAGGATGACTTTAAAACATAATTAAGTGGAAAATGTCTGGAAGAGACTTTCTGTTACCATCCATTATCATCCATTATCAGTCAACAGGGGGCGTGTGTCTGCTATAAGCACCCACTTTGGTTCTCACTGGAGATTCAGGATTAAGACTTGGTCTTCACCCTTGAGCAGAACTTAACCTAATGGAAAAAGAATAAACAATTTGAACTGCAGTATGCAGAGAAAGATGCCAGACTGATTTTTCTTTAAAGGTTCCCAATCCAATCATATAATTATATTGCTAAAACCACATCTTTGACTTCCCAGTGCCTGAAAAATTAAAGCTAGACTCCGCAAGAGATATTCTGCTCAACCTTCTCTGACTCTGTCTCTGCATAATGTTAACTACTTCTATACCCCTAATTGCACTCTTAACTCTCAATATCATTTGCCTCTAGGTATTCATCTATGCACTTTTACTAAGTGGAAACCCTACCTCCCACATTGAACACACCATCCCCTCAGCTGCCAGCAACCATGTAGTATCTGTCTAGTACTAGTTCCATGTTCCTATTAGCCTTTGAGATTCTATTGATATGTGGCTTTCTCTAGTAGCTTTATCTGACAAAGGAACAACTGATTATAGGAAGCAGTATTGACATTTTAAGTGTTAAAAGCATTTAACAAACTAGGGGCTGGGAAGGGGTGAGGGGGAGGAATAGGGAGAGATTTGCTAAAGGATACAAAATTACAGCCAGTTAGGAGAATTAAGTTCTGGTGCTCTATATCACTGCAGGATGACTATAGTTAACAACAATCTGTTGTTTCAAATAGCTAGAAGGAAGATACTGAATGTTCCCAATACAAATAAATGATAAATGTTTGAGATGACGAGTATGCTAATTATCCTGATCTGAGTACTATATATTTTATGCATCAAAATATCACTGGGTGTCCCATAAAACTGTACAATTATTGTGGTCAATTAAGCATCAAATAAAATGTTTAAAGCCAATAGTTTTGAGGCAGGAGGTAGTAAGCTGTGCAGATCAACTGGAAGGAGAGAAAACAGAGTTGGAGCCAAAGCGACTAGAACTTTGACCAGAGAGTCAGCAGTGGAAATTAAAACAAAAGGAAAATGTAAAAATGTTTCTGATAAGGATTTTGCTGCCCTTGGTTAGGGTTAGAATATAAAGGATCTTTTAAAAATTTGTCATTAGGCAAAGATATTGTTATTAAGAGAATTGAAAAACGTGAAAGAGGGGGAATATACCAGGAGAAGTTACCAAGTTCAGATGAGGCACACTGCTTAAAATGATAGCAAAACATCCAAATACAAGTGACTCGTGGAGTGTTTAAAATGTGGGCCTTTAGATTTAGAGAAAATGTAGAGACAGAAAGGATGGGTTCAGGATTGTGCTTCATATTGCTGTGGCATTTCAGCAAATGCTATTTACCTGTTATATGACTATTTCCCTGGTACACTGTCAATTTCACAAGCTAGGGATGGAGGGAAGAAAACATAATTTCTTTTCTTTCTCTTCTTAGTTCTTAGTTGAGACACTCTCCTGAAAACAAAAGTCAAATTAACAACAACAACAACAAAGCAGAAGTGTATGAACACGTGCTGTACCTATCATGCAGGAGAAGCCTTAGCTTAAAAGTAGTTCTCTCTCAAGGCAGTGGCTTACGTGCCTTGCTTAAATAATATTTTAACAAAGAGCCATAAGTCCAAAATAGAGACAAGACAAAGAATAGAACAGTTCCATTTTTTGAAAAGGTGGGAAAATGTGGGAACATAGTAAAATCGCTTCTCAGATTCCTCTGGTGCCTGCTGGTATGGTCTGTAGGCTGAGGAGCGAGTGCTGTCCTTAGTGAGGAAAGATTTATGCCCTGCCATGAGGCAAACAGAGCCCACGCTTTTAGTGTATTTAATTTAATCATCTTCAATATTTTGGGGAGGATTATTATGTTTTCCTTCAGGAACATGGTTCATATTCTGCATATCTATAACTCAAACAATGGGAATAGTGTCGGGCATATAGCAATGGATTAACTAATAATGAGAGGAAAAGTGCTCCATGTAAGGGAGCCCTGATATAGCATATATTGGATGATATGTTGATATGTTTTTGCATCTTTAGCCCCTTTGTAGGACATCTTTGAAGGACAGTGGTGAAAGAAAATCTTCCCAGTAGGCAAAACTTCGAGCAGTCCACCTCGTTGTGCACTTTGCTTGGAAAGAGAAATAGCCAGCTATGCGATTTTACACTGATTCATGGGTTACAGCCAATGGTTTGACTGGATGGTTAGGGACTTGGAAAAAGCATGATTGCAAAATTGGTGACAAAGAAATTTGGAGAAGAGGTGTGGATGGACCTCTCTGAGTAGTCAAAAACTGTGAAGATATTTATATCTCATGTAAGTGCTCACCAAAGGGCGACCTCAGCAGAGAGGAGTTTAATAATCGAGTGGGTAGGATGACTCATTCCATGAACACCACTTAGCCTCTTTCCCCAGCCACCCCGTCATTGCCCAGTGAACAAAGTGGTCATGGTGCCACGGATGGAAGTCACGCATGGGGTCAGCAACATGGACTTCCACTCACCAAGGCTGACCTGGGTGTGGCCAATGCTGAGTGCCCAATTTGCCAGCAGCAGAGACCAAAACTGAGCCCTCAATATGGCACCATTCCTCAAGGTGATCATCCAGCTACTTGGTGGCAGATTGATTATACTGGACGCCTTCCATCATGAAAAGGGCAGCAGTTTGTCCTCACTGGAATAAACACTTACTCCAGATATGAGTTTGCCTATCCTGCATGCAGTGCTTCTGCCAAGACTGCTATCCGTGGACTCACCAAATGCCTTATCCACCATCATCACCATCATGGTATTTCACATTGAATTGTCTCTGACAAAGGCATTCACTTTTTGGCTAGAGACATGGGGCAGTGGGCTCAAGCTCATTGAATTTACTGGTCTTACCATGTTCCCTATCATCCTGAAGCATCTGGATTGATAGAACTGTGGAATGACCTTTTGAAGTCACAATTACAATGACAAGTCTAGGTGACAATACTTTGCAGGGCTGGAGCAAAGTTCTTCAGAAGGCTGTGTATGCTCTGAATCAGCATCCAGCATATGGTACTCTTCCTCCCATAGCCAGGATTCATGGGTCCAGGAATCAAGGGGCAGAAGTGGACATGGCACCACTCACCATCACCCCTAGTGACCCACTAGCAAAATTTTTGCTTCTTGTTCCTGTGACATTACGTACTGCTGGCCTAGAGGTCTTAGTTCCAGAGGGAGGGATGCTGCCACCAGGAGACACAACAATAATTCCATTAAGCGGGAAGTGAAGATTGCCACCTGGACACTTTGGGTTCCTCCTACCTCTAAGTCAATGGGCTAAAAAGGGAGTTACAGTGTTGGCTGGGATGATTGACTCAGACTATTAGGATGAAATTAGTCTCCTACTTCACAATGGAGATAAGGAAGACTATGTTTGGAATACAGGAAATCTCTTACGACTACTCTTAGTATTACCCTGTGATTAAGGTCAAGGGGAAACAACAACTACCCAATCCAGGCTGGACTACAAATGATCCAGACCCTTCAGAAATGAAGGTTTGAGTCACTCCACTAGGAAAACAAAACAAAACAAAACAAAAACAAAAACATAACAAAAACCACACACATACAAAATAATAATAATAAAAAAAAACCCATGACCTTCTGAGGTGCTTGCTGAAGGCAAAGGGAATAAAAAATGGGTAGTAGAAGGTAATCATCAATACCAGTAACAACCATTTGACCAGGTTACAGGAATGAGGAGTGACTGTAACTGCTATGAGTATTTCCTCCTTATTTTGTTAAGAACGTATTTGTGCACGTAGACACTTGTACTAAGAGAATATTTTCATTTTATTTCCTTTTTCCCTTTACTGTGTGACATAAGATTTATTGACTTCATATCAGCATTTAAATGTGTTTAACTCTATGTAATAGCATCTAGGTTAAGGATTAGTGCACACTGGGTTGTATGAACGATAGCTGTATTATGTTAGGTATAATTATGACTAATTATGACCTTATTATTGTCTTTATTTGAAGATTGCATATGATTTTAGGAGATGTATGTTGGTTCAAGTTGACAAGGGGTGCACTTGTGATGGTTAATATTGAGTGTCAACTTGATTAATGCTTCAATGCTTGATGAAGCATTGAAGGATACAAAGTATTGTTCCTGGGTGTGTCAGTGAAGGTATTACCAAAGGAGATTAACATATGAGTCAGTGGACTGGGAGAGGCAGATCCACCCTCAATCTGGGTGGGCACCATCTAATCAGCTGCCAGCACAGCTAGAGTAAAGCAGGCAGAAGAATGTAGAAAGACTTGACTTGCTGAGTCTTCCAGCCTTCATCTTTTTCCCATGCTGGATGCTTCCTGCCCTCGAACATCAGACTCCAAGTTTTTCAGCTTTTGGACTCTTGAACTTACACCAGTGGTTTGCCAAGGGCTCTTGGCTTTTGGCCACAGACTGAAGGCTGTACTGTCGGCTTCTCTAATTTTCAAGTTTTGCGACTCAGACTGATCCACCACTGGCTTTCTTCCTCCTCAACTTGCAGACAGCCTATTGTGGGACTTTACTTTGTGACTGTATGAGTCAGTTCTACTTAATAAACCTCCCTTTCACATATACATATATCCTATTAGTTCTATCCCTCTAAAGGCGGTATACAGACACATTAGTTATACTTTCTCCCTGGGAGAACTTAGTGTCCTAGAGAAAATAAGAAACATTCTCAGCAAGCTCCAGACAGCTAGGCGAGAAAAGATGGGCCCCAGCTGTAGACACATGGGCAAGGACAGAGGAACTGGCTTTTGGCACTAGAAAGGCTGGAGGGAAAAGCAATTATGAAAGAGCTCTTATTTGATATTTAAGGAAGGAGATGGATATGGAGGGCTCTCTAGGCTCAAAGAGAGTTATACCTTTGTAGTCTAACTGGCTTTTCTCCTGTTAGGGTGGAGTGATGTTCTATCCAGTGTCCCTAGATAGTTTGTGCAACATATTGAGATAATAAACGATTGTGTTATTAGTTTGAAATTGTTTTGTTCTCAGTGGACATTAATATTACATTGCGTCCTTGTGTAGATGTATTTGTTACATTCATAGACTGTGTAAGGATCAGGTCAGGGTATGTGGGGTGTCCATCACCTCGAGTAGTTATCACTTCTCTGTGTGTGGAACATTCCAAGTCCTCTCTTCTAGCTGCTTGGACATATATAATACATTTTTGCTAACTTTAGTCACCCTAGAAGGAAGGGTAAAGGGAGGGATAGTGGTATGCACCACTGGCCTAGATTCAATGTGGAAAGTTTTTCCATTTATTCCCTAATTTTCAAGGCCACTCTTGTTCTTGCCTTGAGTCCTTCCAAATTCTACTCTGGGGTTCCCACACAGATGGGTGCCTCCCTGGTGAAGGCCCCTCTAGCCCTTGTTCTGAGCTAGAACTTCCGCCGAAGTGATTCTTCTCTCAGCACCTTCAAATCTCTCATTTTTTTTCAAGGCCCCTTTCCCATTCTTTTTAATGTTAGATGTTTTTCCCCATCCTTCCTTATTACCAATTCACTTGAAACTCAGGCAAGAGAAAAGTAGAAAACAATAACAACAGCCACACACACACAGTGTTCAAAAATACCTTAATTGGGAGGCCTTATTATATTTTGTCACTTATTTATTCATCATATTTAATCACACAATTTGACTGGTCAATATTAATAATTAAGACCTTAATTTTGAAATAATAAAGAGCTGGGAATCCAAGCAACAAAATCAATTATTCTTAGTTTTTAGGGTTAATAATTCTGGGACACAGGCTTCATATATAAACAAATTTATATATAAGCAAATATCCAAATGTTATTTTACTTTAATAATTTGAGTCTATGAAATATATTAACATGAATATAAAGAAAATATTAATATTTTACCTGCAACTCAATATGAGTTTCCATTTAAAAAAAAATGTTATCAGTGTGACCTTCTAATCAAGTTGTGTTCCTATACACACACATACACACACAGTTTGGAACTGTGCATTCTTTTAAACTCTCAGCTTCTCTCTAAATACCCATGTTTTGGTTATCAGAATAACCAAAACAAGATTGTTAAACAAGGTTTTTTTTGTAATAAATATTGATCGAATCTGAAGATTCATAATATGATTGATTAAATGAAGATGTTGGTGTCAGGTCAACTAACTCCTCCTTAGTCACCAAGAGCACTCTAACCTTAAGTAGTCAGCGTTCTCTGAGTTCTGCCCATTCTAGAGCAGCACCAGGTACACACTGAAGATGAGAGCTAAGGTCTGAGGGAACGTTTAGTCATGGAAGTGCATCCAATAGGTTAGAGCAAGAATGACACAGAGTCAGCCACAGACTCAAAGCTACTGCACATCCCTGTTGCTGAGGAAGGGAACTCAGGAACAGCTGATAGGCTTTTGGCCAGGAGGAGGTGGACCTTAGGCTCAGGAGCTAGGTAGAACCGGACCAGCTCAGAAGATAACTAAAATGGCACTACCTGCCACATTACGCCATAAAATGGCATCCTGTTCCCTGTAAACCCTAGCTCGGATTACTGATAGCACATCTAGTAGGAATGTGGGAATGTGACAATGGATGTCACAAGGGAGTCATACACCTTTCCCTAGTACCATACATGATATAACCCTAAATATTTTTCTATTAGCCTAAATAGAAGACATCAATATTGTTAGTGGAAAATCTGCCCATTCACAAAGGATGCGATGTAGCCAACCTGCAGAATCCGTATGCGTAGGCTTTCTAAATTCAGAAACAGAAACTGAGAACACAGAACATTCCTATGGAACCAGATTCATAGCCAAGCACTCAGGCCAGAAAGCTTCCATTGCTCACAGTGTTCATGGGACCACTAGGAGAATCCAACTATATTAGAGATTTAAGAGTCAATTCGAGTATTTACGTCAACAGTAGTCAAAAGTCTACGACTATTCCCAGTCTTCTTCATGAAGTTCCAAAACAGAAATTCAGCAGAATTTTACTGATCATGCCTGGGTTTTCTGATTCAGAAATTAAGTCTTGTGGAATTTGCATTGTAAGCATGCAAGATCAAGAGAAATAAAATCAAGGGTTTTCTTCATCATTTCTTGATGTTGCGGAGCAGGTCATTAAGATTTCTTCTCACCTCCCAATATGTCCTGTCAACTGTTCCTACACTCCTTTATGGGACCCCACATAATTCAATACAATATCTCACAAAATGATAATTGCTGCCCGTTTTAGAAGAGAGCTCTTGGGTTTTTGGAGAAAACTCATACTTTCATCCATGAAAAGAAAAACGTTTCCTTCTATTCTCTGGAGCAGAAAACTAGACGGAAAAATACTAGCTGAATTGCGTGCCTTGAGAGGCTGGTAGAAATAAACTGAGGCTGTGGAGAAGAAAGAAGCAGAGAGAGGGCACCCAGAGATAAGAAATTCCCCAAAGACTATCCAAAGTGTGTAATCATGCACAATCTATATGAAAAGATTAGTACTATCTTTTTATGTTTGTATGAATGTGTAGTTTTCAAATAATGGCAAGCACCTTTATCTTTTAATGGCAAGTTCCTTTATCTTCACATACTTCTGAATATTGTGTACCTAATAGATTAAATAATTGAAGAAAAAAATAGGTATCACTTCCCCTGCTCTGTTGAATTTGAATAAAATATATTATTTTCAATCCCCTAAAAATGCTCCCAAAGATATTTCTTCCCTTTATGCCAATGATGAACAAAATAAATGGTAATTAAGCAAAGCCAGAATTTGCGAACGTACATCCTGTTGTAATTCAAACAATATATTATTTTTAAGAGCATAATTTGAGTGTATTCCTAAGTTACTCATCCACTAAAACTGAACAAAACAAAGACCAGCACGTTTTCCAAGAAAAAGGGGGAGAAATAGGTTTTCCATCATCACCTACAGTAAAAAGGCAAATATCAGTAGAGTTAGCTGGACTGTTTCTCTATGTTGTGATACATTCAACTAATTTGGGAAGATCCATTTATTTCATTTCCCTTGCTATTTATCCCAAGTGATCATAAAGGAGAAGTCTAACAAACATGAAAAACCAAAATAGTGATAGATTGCCCCCGCCTTACTTAGGGTCTTACATAAAATAACATTGTCTAGAAACTTTCAGTGTAAGAGGAACTGTGAAAACTTTTAGTAGGAAAAACAAAAAATCTGTCTTCTATTGTTGGTGAGTAATAACACTCCTTTTGATGATCAAACATTTCAAATTCAACAATCTAATTTTTAAAGAGGAAATCAACAAGGTATTCTAGTATCGACATGTTACATGATGTAGAAAAACAGAAATTTGCAACTACTTGTCCAATCATTGGAGAGAACAAAACAAACGCGTGCGGAATTGGCTCCTGCCCGTGGGTTCTTGGTCTGGCACCAATAGACCCGCGGACCCTAGCCCTGAGTGTTACAGCTCTTAAAGATGGCATGTCCACATTTTGTTCCTTCCCCTGTTCACATGCTTCTGGATTTTCTTCCTGCCGTGGGTTCTTCGTCTCGCTGACTTCATGAGTGAAGCCCCAAACCTTCCCAGTGAGTGTTACAACTCTTAAAGGTGGTGTGTCCGGAGTTGCTTGTTCCTCCCAGTGGGTTCACAGTCTGCCGATTTCAGGAGGGAAGCTGCACCCCTTCACAGTGAGTGTTACAGCTCATAAACGTAGTGCAGACCCAAAAAGGGAGCAGCAGTAACATATACTATGTAGAGCAAAAGAACAATGCCTCCACAGCGTGGAAGTGGAGCTGAGATGGGTGCCCCTACTGGCTTGCCAGCTTTTATTCTCTTATTTGGCCCTGCCCACATCCTGCTGATTGGTCCATTTTACAGAGCGCTGACTGGTCCATTTTACAGAGTGCTGATTGGTGCGTTTTTGCAGAGTGCTGATTGGTGCTAAGTTTACAAACCTTTAGCTAGACACAGAGCACTGATTGGTGTGTTTACAATCCTTCAGCTAGACAGAAAAGTTCTCCAAGACCCCACCTGACCCAGAAGCCTAGCTGGCTTCATCTCTCAAAATGTGACTATAAAGAAAAATTTAGCAGAATGGACAGCAGGTAACACTAGTTAAAATCAAAGAATATCATGGTTGTGGGATGGCTGAAATATATTTTAAGAATTTAGGTAGGAAGTTAATTGGATGTTTTCTGGATTGCTGTAATATGAATTCTTCTTTTGTTTTCCTTAAAAATCTTCATACATTTGTTTAAATGTATTATTTTTGGTAAATTACTAAAGAAACCTTAATTGTGGCTATGAGATGTCATCTAAGGAGATATGGATTCTAACATATGGAAAGGATGGGAAAACCAACCCTGGAATTCAAGAGTATTTTGGAGTGAGACAATAAACTTCTATAGATTGTTGGGATGAGGGGGAATGCAATGTTTTAAGAGATTGCTCAAATCGTCTTACCCTACTACATAAACCCTTGACCTCCCTTTTAACTTAAAATGAAATTTTCATGTCTCACTGTGTCCTACAAGGTTGTAAATCCCTACAGACCTGGTGGTTTTCTATCTATTTCTACCAGAATTTATTTTTCATCATTTAGATGTCAGCTCAGCTCCACTGTGAAAACTTTTTAAATCTACCATCTAAAATAATTATCTATATTCTCTATTAAATCACTCTGCTTTAATTCTGCATGACCCTTTGCTCCCTCCAAAATTATTCTGCTTGTATGCTTATTTATTTTCTGCATCCTTCACGGAAATGTACACTCTGTGGGAACAAATAACTTGTCTGTCTCTATCGTCAATGCTTAGAACTCTGTTCAGCAGATAGCGGCACCAACAAATAAATATTTCTGGAATGGATGATTTTTTTGCTTAACTCATGATGAACAGGGGTGCTCCATCTGACATTTATTGTTTATCCTTACTGATCACTTTTACCTATCTACTAACATTTCGTGGGCTGTGTAGTCTACAATCAGAATAAGATCTGTGAACTCAAGTAGGCCATAAGAAAATTAGGGATAGCTGATGTATGTCAAGAAAAAACTGAGACTTGATATTTCAAGAAAATGCAGAAAATTGGTTGATATGCAAGAAGATAAAAATTTTTAGTCCGGCACAGTGTCTCACACCTGTAATCTCAGCACTTTGGGAGGCCAAGGCAGGCAGATCACCTGAGGCCAGGAGTTGTGAAACCCTGTCTCTGCTAAAAATACAAAAATTAGCCAAGCATGGTGGTGTTTTCCTGTAATCCCAGCTACTTAGGAGGCTGAGGCAGGAGAATCACTTGAACCTGGGAAGTGGAGGTTGTGGTGAGCCAAGATTGCACCACTGCACTCCAGACTCGGCAACAGAGTGAGACTCCATCTCAAAAAAAAAAAAAGAAAAAAAAAAAAGAACTTTTAAGGAAAGAAGAGAAACAGTGTTTTTGTGATAGGATTGTGTTTTAATGTAACACAACAAAAATTGTTGACTAGTATATTAGTACTTTTTTAAAAGTAACATAATAAAAACTTTTAACCTGTATATCAAGCCTTGTGAAAAATTACACTAACATAATTTTCAAAATATATTACAATTGATATTATTTTACCATTTAGCATTTCATCTCATTTTCATTTAATAAAAGACCAAAGAAAATGTGAGGATTTCAGAAAAATAAACTCACACATCACAGAACTCATTCATTTTATGACTGAAGAAAATAAAGTCTAAATAATTAATTTTTGGCCACAGCTAGTTAGTGGTAGAGTTTTAACTAGATGTTACATTACCTGAAGGATAGCCCTGTGATTTTCTGACTAAAAAAAACATTTAGGACCTCTAGAACCAAAGCTCTGTAGCTCTGGGGCCTCTATTATTCTCTCAAAAAAATCAATAACTTCCCTATTTTTAGTGTCTATTTGTATTTGAGGAATCCAAGGCCTCAAACTGGAGCAGTGGTTACAGGGTTGTGGGTGGGACTGGACAGGGAAACATCATTTGGAAGAAGAAAGTTTATGAAGAAAATTGTTGTACATATACTGTATGTATGTATGCATGTATCTATTTATTATTGGCTGCGTTGTTGAAACATTTCACTATATATATATTTCACTATATATATACATATACATATATGCTGGAAAGATCATATATATATATGAAACCAAAGAAAATGTGAGGATTTTAGAAAAATAAAGAAACTCACACATCACAGGCTCTTTTATATATATAACCTATTTTAAAAATATATATTTTAAATAAATATATATTAAATATATAATATATTTAATATATATATAATTTTTTAATCAAAGGCAGCAAGATTAACTTTAATCAGAGGCAGCAAGGTAGAAGTTCCCATCTCAGCACTTATTTTTTAACAGATACGTGCTAATTGTCTGAGTTCGATCCCCAGAACCTCCACTTAGTTTCTTTGTTGGAAAATGACTTCCCCTCTTTTGGTTTCAGTTTCTTGCTCTGTGTGGTGTAAACCACAATAGTAGTTGTTTCACAGTGTTACTGTGAGGACTAAATGTATTAGCACAGATAAGAGCTTAGCATAGTATCGAAGATAGCATTGGTCAATCTGGTGGAAGTGTTAGGGTGTGCATGGACTGTGCACACACCTTGTCTGGGGAGCTACAAGCTCAAAAGGCCTCTGTCCCCCTACCTGTCACTAACCTCATGTTCTTCTTATGTCTTATCATTGGAAAGAACCTATCAATAAATTTGTTTCACAATAAAGACTAATGGCAAATGACTGGCTCTGTAGTGTAAACTTGTAGCGCTACTAACAGATTAATGGGATGTGAGCTGTGTGTGTGTGTGTGTGTGTGCATGTGTGTGTTTCCTTTTAGAATGGTAGGACTTACCTTCCATCTACTATTCCAATCAAATTCTACCAGCATCATCTAGTCGCAAGTTTAGTTTTGTCTTTTCCAGTAAAACATATCAATAATGTATGTGCTTACAAACCAAAAGGAAAACAATGTATTCTCATCCCTAGTTCTTTGTAATCTACAGCAAGAAAAAAAATAACCGCAGAAAAAGAAAGGAAGAGAAATGGTCTTAAGAGATAAAGAAGAGAGTGGCAATTGTTTTACCATCCAGACATCTATGTGACTCCATCAATTCAGTTCTCTAAACTTGGTTAATTCAGCATAGATGTGTTGATAGCATGATGTGTGTGGCTCTGTAGTAGGCTAAGAGGTTGAAGAACAAAATAAGACAGAGTCCTCTCTACAAAGACCTTCAACATTTGCAGACAAGCCACTTAATCCATTGATTCTTGTGTCTGAGGAAGCTTCTCCTTCTGTGAAGGCAAGAGATAGCTCAGAAATTTGAGTTTAGATTGGGTTTGGAGACAGATCAAATACCTCCCAGACTGACATAAAGGTATCCATTTCTAGCTGACCTTTCTTCACTATGTGTTTTTGATTATGTGTTCAAAGAGAGGATGTAACTGTTTTTCACCTGCACGATAAGGCTCTAGGGATTTGCAGTTATTCTCTTTAAATGCTCTGGTTCTTCATCTCATCTTCCACATGCCACCTGAATGTTGCTCTGTTCACCTCTTCTCAGTTTTTGAAATATTTCTCCCTAGACTGGCAGTGTGGATGGCTGAAGGAAAGGGTGACAATTCAAATCTTAGGTGATTCTGGTGCTGGGTGTAAAATTCCTGTTGCTGCTCCTAGGTCTGGAAAAATTGAGTACCAAGCCAACTGAGTTTTCTCTAATACTATGTTTACAAAAATCAAGAGCTGATTCCTAAACAGGTTGACCTTGGAGCAATACTAGTATTTTTTGGGCAAAAAGGAAATAGCACTGGTTGCTTTGAGTATGTGCTTTGTGGGGTGTGATGAGGGATGCAGTTAACTCCTGGAGAAGGATTAAGCTGAAGCATACTCCCCATTACCCTGCTTCACTCCAGTCTTCTTGGCCTCATTATTGCTCAATTTGATGCCTTCATTTATTCATCAATTCATTTAATAAATGTTGGGGAGTGAGTCACATACACAAATTAGTGCAATGCAATGAGATAAGCACAGTAAGAACACTGTGAACAAAAGGCAGTTGAGATACAAAGAAAAAATTGTAATAACTGAGGGAATCAGGGAACACTTCACTGAGGAAGAATTTTAAGGAAAATTAGAAATGCTACAGTGATGTTGGATTTAATCTGGACACTCTGCTATAAGAAGCAGCAGCATCAAACAGTATCAGGGAAAGCAAGAAAGGCCCTCTCAGGTTGTATGGTTTATTCAGCAACAAAAGATGCCTACCTCTATAAGCAAGGAAGACAATAGCACTTGCTTATAGATAAGAGAGTCAGTTGTGGGGCCACAGCCCTGCAGTTTCCTGGGATTATTGGAAAAGAACGTGAGAGGTTGCAGAGTAGGATGGTGTGAAAGACAGGACGTTTGGGAACAGATACTGTGAACCTTTGTGTAACCATAACACGGTGCTTTCTGATGGGATCTGCCAATTTTTTAGAGATGAGGAGGCAGAGGCCAGGGAAGCTTAAATGATCTGCCCATGGTCTGGGAGTCAGTGGCAGAACTAGAATTTTCAGCCTCCGAGTTCATTTTTTGGTTTTTCTTTTGTTTGGAGTCCCATAATAAATTTTTTTTGTCTCTGCACTGCCAACAGAATTGTGATTTCTACCACTGTCCTTTTATTGGATACTTTCAGATCCAATCTGCTGTTTAGTTATTTTTTTCTTCTTTTGTAAATAAGATTTTTTTTCTTACACCAAAGCATGTTATTTTGGAGAACATTTGCACTAAGACTGTAGGAGATGGTGAATTCTTGGTGTTGATATTTTAGCATCATTCTTGCATTCTGCTTTTCATTTATGAAGCAATCTCAATGAACAAAGGAAGAAGATTCCTCTGGGAAATAAATTTTTGTCAAGAAAATGCAATATAACTTTATATTACCTAGCTGAGCATGTGTAGTACTTAAGCAAGACTCCATTTGGTTTCTCACTTTTAATGTATAATTAAGTTTGAATTAACGTTTAATTCTCTTCTCTATCACATATTTGTTAGGAGCAAAATAGGTCCCACAGCTTTCCTTCTTCCACAAATCAACACTTTATAAACCAACGATTTTCCTTTCCTTATGAATTCTATGAAACTCTGTACCCCTTTAGTGATACATTTCTTCAATTTTTCCAGAACAAGCATACATTGGAAGACTTTCTAAGACCTTTTGCTCAAGGGCAAACCTTATTCTCAGATTGGATCAAGTTGAGAAGCCCATGAAGTATTGTCACCAAGCATACAGGAGGAAAAAACAGGTAAAACAAAAGGAGGATCATGTTCTTCCTGCCTCCAGTGGTTTGCCCCTGGGATATGCTGTATAAGCTTGTTCATTTGCTCAGAAAATCAGCCCATAGAGCTATCAATAGGAGCAGGTCACATGCGGGGATGGAAACATCTGCTCATGCGTCTCTGGCCACGTGCCTTTCCTGTGATTGAAATTTCTCATTTCAGGAGTTGGCAAATAACAGCTGCACAAAACATAGCACACATTAAGGCTAAGCTGGAATGCCTCAGACCAAAAACAAAGGCAAATGTATGGGTTTTATATTATTAAAATCTCCTAATATGGATTTATTTATTTCCTTCTAACTAAACTCAAATTTTTGGAGAAACATGTAAATACTGGTGAAGATATCAGAGGAAAATCATATTGAAATGATTTAAGTAGAACATAAGCAAATGAGCAACATAAAATTTTTGGACAAGCCACCATTCTAGAGATAAAAGTGTTTCTTACAGAGGTAATGAAAGCCCTAAGGTTCTTACACATGGGTGTATCCAGAGGCTACCCTGACATCTTGAGAGGTGAGAAATTTGGTCAATTCCAGAGATAGATCAGTTAATTTATTAATCTGAATACATCTACCTATATGTACATACAGTTCACCCTTGAACAACATAGATTTGAACTGGGCAGGCCCACTTATATGTGGATTTTCTTCTATGCCATCCTGAGACAACAAGAACAACGCCTCCTCTTTTCCCTCTTCCTCAATCTACATGAAGAGGACGAGGATGACCCACTTCCACTTAATGAATAATAAATTTATTTTCTCTCTTATGTATGGTTTTCTGGATAGATTTTCTTTTCTCTATTTTATTGTAAGAATAAAGTATGTAATAGGTATAACATACAAAATATGTGTTAATGAACCATTTATATTATTGGTAAGGCTTCTGATTGGCAGTAAGCTATTAGTAGTTAACATTTTTGATTATGCAGGGGGTCAGTTCCCCTAACCCGCACATTGTTCAAGGGTCAAATCTATAGGATAACTTTATATATATGTTTATTTTCCACGTAAATCGAGTATGATTTTCCTCTGATATCATTAAGCCCAAGAGGAAGTGCATAGAGTTGTTGATTTTGACTTACTATGAGCTTACAGACATCAGTCCTCTGAGCTTTAGGCTCCTTACCTGTGAAATGGTGGTAACAGTATCTCCCTCTCCCACATCACAGAGTTATTATACAGATCAGTTGGGATTATAGGTGTTAAATCACAAATGCAATATACTGCACTATAAGATGTCAGTTAGCAGTTAGAGTGGAGAATAAGCAGTGTCTGTCTTAGAAAGGGATCACAGAATCTATGCCATTTAACATCTGAGTAGACGTATAGAGCTATGGAATGGAAGGCTAGTTTGAAGTTTGCTAGACCAAATGTTAGGTAGATGCCATTTTCCCGAGATTGGGAATTGAAGAGGAATATAAATTTTGAACCAAGTTAATACTTGCTTATTGGCTATGCTGAGATAAAGCTAATGCAGAGCAGTGGAAATGCCAAGCAGGAAAAAATGGACATCAGAGTCATATGGTATGTCAGAGGCAAAACTACAGGAACCATGAATTTAAACATGATGGGAGATAAATGGCATTTATAAAATGAATAAGGTAGAAAATGTAGAACATTGGGTCCCCATGTTGGCTGCACATCTGAATAACCTACAAAGCTATTTACATTTCAGAAACCTCAGTATTTGTTTTCTATCCAATATTTTCTTTCATGCCGTAGGCATTTTCCCCATTTACTTAGGTTGACCAATCCGTGATAATTACTTCAAGAAAATGATTTGAGACAAAAATCAGAAACAGGAAGCTTGCTGTTGCTGGCCATTAAAGCTCTGTTTCCTGAGAGGAAGAGAAAGTCACTAAGACCCCAAATGAATAAGAGCCACCTCTCCCCACTACACCAAAGTTCTCTGGACTTGAGAAGCAAATGCAGACAGGAACAGCCTGAACTGGAAATGCCTATGTAGAGAGGGCCTAGGAGAGCTTTCTAGCACCCGTTTGTAGTGTGGAGGTAGGATTGCAATTCCACACAATCAGGAATGTGCTTGGGTTTCTAAGAGAGCCTCCAGAAAGAAGGTGCTAGCAGACTGACACAGAGATGATGCAACAGAAATTTCAAAGACTGATGACCAAGCCCCAGTGGGCTAGTGCCGGGTTCACTGGGTATCAGCACGGTTTTAGAAAAACTCTTCCAATATGGATGAAATCTGGTTTAAAAAGGAAAACCCAAACTGCCTGGGCTTGTCACCCTACCACAATGGGAAAGGGGATCAGTTTTGAAACCATATTCAGTTATTGAGAAATCAGGATCGTGATATTGCTTTTATTTCTACTTTTATTGTGTGAGATTCTGACATTTGATTCAACCAAGCAGAATCTATAGAGATGGGGACCAGTCATCACCCTTAATTTAAAATAAACAAATGGTACTGCATATTCTAATGCTGAGGCACAGAGTTACCAAGAAAGAACCTTAAAAATTACTTGCTTTTAAAAGTTTGAGAGAAGAGCACAATCTAAAATATAAGCCTACCTTGTTTTATTGTTTTTGCTTTATTGTACTGCACAGATATGGCTTTTTAAAAATATATATTCAAGGTCTTTGGCAGTCCTGTATGTCAAGTCTGTTAGTGGCATTTTTCCAAGACAATGTGCTCACTTCATGTCTCTGAGTCACATTTTGGTAATGCCTGCAATATTTCAAACCTTTTTCATTATTATTATATTGGATATAATCATCTGTAATCAGTGATCTTTGATATTATTATTTTAATTTTTGGGGGGTGCCACAGACTGTGCCCATAAAATATGGCAAACTTAATCAATAAATGTGTGTTTTCTCACTGCTCCATTGACCTGTCATTCTTCCATCTCTCTCCCTCTCTTCGAGCTTTTCTATTCCCTGAGACACAACACTATTGAAGTTAGGCCACTTAATAATACTACAATGAGTTTTAAGTGTTCAAGTGAAAGGAAGATTTGTATAGCTCTTTAAATCAAATGGTAAAAATGATTAAACTTAGTGAGGAAGGCATGTGAAAAGCTGAGATAGGTTGAAAGCTAAGCCTCTTGTGCCAAATGGCCAAGTTACGAATGCAAAAATGTTCTCAAAAAAAGTGATCCCCAGTGAACACACACATGATAAGAAAGTAGTACATCCTTACTGTATTGCTGATATGGAGGAAGTTTTAGATAGATCAAACCAGCCACAACATTCCCTTAAGCCAAAGCCTAATCCAGAGCAAGGTCTTAACACTTCAATTCTGTGAAGGCTGAGATTGGTGAGGGAGCTGCAGAATTAAACTTGAAGCTAGTAAAGGTTGAATCATGAGGTTTAAGGAAAGAAAATCCATCTCCATAACATAAAAGTGAAAGGTGAAGCAGCAACTATTAATGAAGAAGCTGCTGCAAATTATCCAGATCCAGCTAAGATAATTCATTAAGGTAGATACACTAAACAAAATATACTTTTTAAATTTTTTCCATAAGTTATTGTGGTACAGGTGGTATTTGGTTACATGAGTAAGTTCTTTCGTGGTGATTTGTGAGATTTTGGTGCACCCATCACCCGAGCAATATACACTGCACCATATTTGTAGTCTTTTAATCCTCAACTCCCTGTCCTACTCTTCCCCCAAAATCCCCAAAGTCCATTGTATCTTTTTTTTGTTGGTTTTTTTTTTTTTTTTTCGGAGATGGAGTCTCACTCTGTTGCCCAGGCTGGAGTGCAGTGGTGCAATCTCGGCTCACTGCAAGATCCGCCTCCCGGGTTCATGCTATTCTCCTGCCTCAGCCTCCTGAGTAGCTGGGACTACAGGTGCCCACCACCACATCTGGCTAATCTTTTGTATTTTTAATAAAGATGGGGTTTCACCGTGTTAGCCAGGATGGTCTCAATCTCCTGACCTCGTGATCCGCCCACCTCGGCCTCCCAAAGTGCTGGGATTACAGGCATGAACCACCATGCCCCACCCATTGTATCATTCTTATGCCTTTGCATCCTTATTGCTTAGCTCCCAAATATCAGTGAGAACTTACAATGTTTGGTTTTTCATTCCTGAATTACTTCACCTAGAATAGTAGTCTCTAGTCTCGTCCAGGTCTCTTCAAATGCTGTTAATTCATTCCTTTTTACGGCCGAGTAGTATTCCATCATATATATATATTCCACAGTTTCTTTATCCACTCATTGATAGATGGGCATTTGCAATTTTGCAATTGTGAATTGTGCTGCTATAAACATATGTGTGCAAGTATAATGTATAATAATTTGTATAATGACTTCCTCTGGGTAGACAGATACTCAGTAGTGGGATTGCTGGATCAAATGGTAGTTCTACTTTTAGTTCTTTAAGGAATCTCCACACTATTTTCCATAGTGACTGTACTAGTTTACATTCCCACCAGCAGTGCAGAAGTGTTCCCTGTTCACCGCATCCACGCCAACATCTACTGTTTTTTGCTTTTTTGATTATAGCTACTCTTGCAGGAGTAAGGTGGTATTGCATTGTAGTTTTGATTTGCTTTTCCTTGATTATTAGTGATGTTGAGCATTTTTTCATATGTTCGTTGGCCATTTGCATATCTTCTTTTCAGGATTGTCTATTCATGTCCTTAGCCCACTTTTTGATAGGATTGTTTATTTTTTTCTTACTGATTTGTTTGAGTTTGGTGTAGATTCTGGATGTTAGTCTTTTATCAGATATATAGATTGTGAAGATTTTCTCCCATTCTGTGGGCTGTTTTCTCAACTGACTGTTCCTTTTGCCATTCAAAGCTCTTTAGTTAAGTCTCAGCTGTTTATATTTTCTTTTATCGCATTTTCTTTTGGGTTTTTAATCATGAAATCCTTGACTAAGCCAATGTCTAGAAGGGTTTTTCCAATGTTATCTTCTAGAATTTGTATAGTTTCAGGACTTAGCTTTAAGTCCTTAATCCATCTTGAGATGATTTTTGTATAAGGCAGGGATGAGGATCCAGTTTCAATCTCCTACATGTGGCTAGCCATTTATCACAGCACCATTGGTTGAAAAGGGTGTCTTTTTCCCACTTTATGTTTTTTTTTTGCTTTGTTGAAGATCAGTTGGCTGTAAGTATTCGGGTTTATTTCTGGATTCTCCATTCTGTTCCATTGGTCTATGTGCTTATATTTATACCAGTACCACACTATCTTTGTTACTATGGCCTTATAGTGTAGTTTGAAATCAGGTAGTGTGATGCCTACAGATTTGGTCTTTTTGCTTAGTCTTGCTTTGGCTGTGCAGGCTCTTTTTTGGTTCTCTATGAATCTTAGAACAGTTTTTTTCTAATTCTGTGAAGAATGATGGTGGTATCTTGATGGAGATTGCATTGAATTTGTAGATTGCTTTGGCATTATGGTCATTTTCACAATATTGATTCTACCCATCCATGAGCATGGGATGTGTTTCCATTTGTTTGTGTCGTCTATAATTTGTTTCAGCAGGGTTTTGTAGTTTTTCTTGTCTCTCAACTCCTTGGTTAGGTATATTCCTACTTATTTTATTTTTTTCGCAGCTATTGTAAAAGGGATTGAGTTCTTGATTTCATTCTCTGCTTGGTCGCTGTTGGTGTATAGAAGAGCTACTGATTTGCATACATTAATCTTGTTTTCTGGAAACTCTGCTGAATTCTTTTATCAGTTCTAAGAGCTTCCTGGAGGAGTCTTTAGGGTTTTCAATGTAAACAATAATATCATCAGCAAACAGTGATAGTTTGACTTCCTCTTTACTGATTAAGATGACCGTTATTTCTTTCTCTTGTCTGAGTGCTCTGGATAGGACTTCCAGTACTATGCTGAAGAGGAGTGGTGAGAGTGGGCATCCTTGTCTTGTTCCCATTCTCAAAGGGAATGATTTCAACTTTTCTCCATTCAGTATTATGTTGGCTGTGGGTTTGTCATAGATGGCTTTTATTACATTGAGATATGTCCCTTGTATGCTAATCTTGCTGAGGGTTTTAATTATAAAAGGATGCTGGATTTTGTTTAATACCTTTTCTGCATCTATTGTGGTGATCATGTGATTTTTGTTTTTAATTCCGTTAATGTGGGGTATCACATTTATTGACTTGTGTATGTTAAACCATCCCTGCATCCCTGCTATGAAGCCCACTTAATCATGGTGAATTATCTTTTTGATATGTTGTTGGATTTGGTTAGCTAGTATTTTGTTAAGGATTTTAGCATCTATGTTCATCAAGGATATCGATCTGTAGCTTTCTTTTTTGGTTATGTCCTTTCCTGGTTTTGGTATTAGGCTGATGCTGGCTTCATAGAACGAATTAGGGAGGGTTCCTTCTTTCTCTGTCTTGTGAAATGGTGTCAGAAGGATTGGTACCAATTCTTTGAGTATCTTGTAGAATTCTGCTGTGAATCCATCTGGTCCTGGGCTTTTTTTTTTTTTTTTTTTGGTCGGTAATTTTTTAATTACTATTTCAATCTTGCTGCTTGTTATTCGTCTGTTCAGGGTATCTAATTCTTCCTGATTTAAGCTAGGAGGGTTGTATTTTTCCAGGAATTTATCCATCTTTTCTAGGTTTTCTAGTTTATGTGCGTAAAGGTGTTCACAGTAGCCTTGAATGTTCTTTCGTATTTCAGTGGTGTCAGAGGTAATTTCTCCTGTTTCATTTCTTATTGAGGTTATTTGGATTTTCTCTCTTCTTTTCTTGGCTAATCTTGCTATTGGTCTATCAATTTTATTTATCTTTTCAAAGAATCAGCTTTGTGTCATTTGTCTTTTGTATGTGTTTTTTTTGGTTTGTTTGTTTTGTTTTGTTTCAAGTTCATTTACTTCTGCTCTGATCTTGGTTATTTTCTTTCTTCTGCTGGGTTTGGGTTTGGATTTTCTTGTTTCTCTAGTTCCTTGAGGTGCGACCTTAGAATATCAGTTTGTCCTCTTTCAGTCTTATTGAGGTAGGTGTTTAGGGCTATGAACTTTCCTCTTAGCACTGCCTTTGCTGTATCTCAAAGGTTTTAGTAGGTTGTGTCACTATTGTCTTTCAGTTCAAAGAATTTTTAAATTTCCATCTTTGTTTCATGTTTTACCCAATGCTCATTCAGGAGCAGGTTATTTAATGTCCATGTATTTGCATGGTTTTGAAGGTTCCTTTTGAGTTTATTTCCAGTTTTTTTCCCTATATGGTCTGAGAGAGTGATTGACATAATTTCAATTATCTTAAATTTATTGAGGTTTGTTTTATAGCCTATCATAGGGTCTATCTTGGAGAAAGTTCCATGAACTTTTGAAGTGTTTATCTTGTGGTTGTTGGATGAAATGTTCTGTATATATCTGTTAAATCCATTTGTTGCAAGGTATAGTTTAAATCCATTGTTTCTTTGTTGACTTTCTGTCTTGATGACCTGTCTAGTGCTGTCAGTGGAGTATTGAAGTCCCCAACTATTATTGTGTTGCTGCATATCTCATTTCTTAGGTTTAGTAGTAATTGTTTTATAAATTTGGGAGCTCCAGTGTTAGGTGCATATATATTTAGGATTGTGATATTTTCCTGTTGGACAAAGCCTTTTACCATTATATAATGTCCCTCTTTGTCTCATTTAACTACTGCTGCTTTAAAGTTTGTTTTGTCTGATACAAGAATAGCTACCTCTGCTTGCTTTTGGTGTCCAGTTGCGTAAAATATCTTCTTCTACCCCTTTACTTGGAGTCCTTATGTGTTAGGTGAGTCTCCTGAAGGCAGCAGATAGTCGGTTGATGAGTTCTTATCCATTCTGTGGTTCTGTATCTTCTAAGTGCAGCATTGAGGCAATTTACATTCAATGTTAGTATCAAAATGTGAGGTATCCTTGCATTCATTGTGCTATTTGTTGCCTGTGTACTTTGGATTTTTGTTTGTTTGGCCTTTTATCTTTATTTTTCTTTTATAAGTCCTGTGTAATTTATGGTTTAAAGAGGTTCTGTTTTGATGTGTTTCCAGGATTTGTTTCAAGATTTAGAGCTCTTTTTAGCAGTTCTTGTAGTGGTGGTTTGGTAGTGGCAAATTCTCTTAGCATTTGTTTTCCTGAAAAAGACTGTATTTTTCATTCATATATGAGGCTTAGTTTCACCGAATACAAAATTCTTGGCTGAAAATTGTTTTGTTTGAGGAGGGTGAAGACAGAGCCTCAATCCCTTCTAGCTTGTAGGGTGTCTGCTGAGAAATCTGCTGTTAATCTGATATGTTTTCCTTTATAGGTTACCTGGTGCTTCTGTCTCACAGCTTTTAAAATTTGTTCCTTCGTCTTAACTTTGGATAACCTGATGACAATGTGCCTAGGTGATGACCTTTTTGTGATGAATTTCCCAGGTGTTCTTTGTGCTTCTTGTATTTGCATGTCTAGGTCTCTAGCAAGGCCAGGAAAGTTTTCCTTGATTAGTTCCCTAAATATGTTTTCCAAGCTTTTAGAATTCTCTTCTTCCTCAGGAATACCAATTATTCTTAGTTTCGGTCGTTTAACATAATCCTAGACTTCTTGGAGACTTTGTTCATATTTTCTTATTCTTTTTTCTTTGTCTTTGTTGGGTTGGTTTAACTCAAATACCTTGTCTTTGAGATCTGAATTTATTTGTTTTACTTGTTCAATTCCATTGCTAAGACTTTTGTAAACATTTTGCATTTCTAGGTGTTTCCAATGTTTCCTGAATTTTTTGTTGTTTTTCCTTTAAACTATCTATTTCCTTGAATATTTCTCTATTCACTTCTTGTATTATTATTACTTTTTTATTTCCTTGCATTGGCTTCACCTTTCTCTGGTATCCCTCTGATTAGCTTAATAACTAATCTCCTGAATTCTTTTTCATATAAATCACTGATTTATTCTTGGTGTGGATCCAGTGCTGGTGAACTAGTGTGATTTTTGGGGGGTGTCAAAGATATGGTAATATGTTTTGTCATATTACCAGGGTTAGTTTTCTGGTTCTTTCTCATTAGTGTAGGTTCCGTCAGAGGGAAAGTCTAGGGCTGAGGGCTGTTGTTCAAATTGTTTTGTCCCACAGGGTATTCCCTGGATTTAGTACTCTCCCCCTTTTCCTATGGATGTGGCTTCCCATGAGCCGAACTGCAATGATTGTTGTCTCTCTTCTGGGTCCAGCCACTGAGAAAGTCTGCCAGGCTCTGGGCTGGTACTGGAGGTTGTCTGCACAGAGTCCTGTGATGTGAACTGTCTATGGGTCTCTCAACAGTGGATGCCAGTGCCTGTTCTGGTGGAGGTGGCTGGGCCGGTGTATGCAATGGACTCTATGAGGGTCCCTAGCTTTGGTGGTTTAATGCTCTATTTTTGTGTTGGTTGGCTTTCTGCCAGGAGGTGGCTGCTTTCCAGACAGCATCAGCTCTGGTAGTATGGAGAACAACTGGCAGTGGGTGGGGTCCGAGAACTCCCAAGATTATATGTTCTTTGTCTTTGGCTACAAGGGTGGGTAGGAAAGAACCATCAAGTTGGGGTGGCGCTAGGAGTGTCTGAGCTCAGACTCTCCTTGGGCAGGTCTTGCTGCGGCTGCTGTGGGGGATGGGGGTGAGATTCCCAGGTCACTGGAGTTGTGTAGCTAGGAGGATTATGACTGCCTCTGCTGAGTCATGTAGGTTGTTAGGGAAGTGGGGGAAAGCCGGCAATCACAGGCCTCACTCAGCTCCCCTGCAAACCATAGGGCCCATCTCACTCCCACTGTGCCCGCCCCCAACAGCCCTGAGTCTTTTTCCAGGTGTGGATGAGCTGGGCTTGAAAACTTGCCCCAGGCTACCTACCTCTCAGCTGTGAAAGAAAAAGGGTTGGTTCTTTCCCTGCCTGTGGAGTCTGCACCCTGGATTTATGGCCTCCCCTAAGTTCTGGCCTGGAGGCTTCTCCCCACCACCGTTGGCACTGTTACACAGTTGGGCTAGAGATTCCCTTCTCCCTGTGGAGTTTTACCCCCCACTCCTCTGGTTGCCCTCCGGATGGATCCATCTGGTTCCAGGCAAGAATAGCCTGCTTAGGGACCTGGCGAGCTCCCAGGACCTTTCTGCTGCTTTCTCTACCCCTGTATTTTGCTCGGCTCTCTAAATTGACTCAGCTCCAAGTAAGGTCAGAGCTTCTCCTGCAAGCAGAACTTCAGTTTCCCCAGTGGGGGTGTGTGTTCAGGAGAGGAGGCTCTCCCTTTCCCGCTACCACAGTTGTGGCACTCACAGTATTTGGGGGTGTCTTCCGGGTCCTGCAGGAGCAGTTCACTTCCTTTAGAGGTTCTAGGGGTCCTCTCGGGATTGCTGGTTTGTTCTTTCAGTCTACCTGGAGCCAAAATTCACAATGCGAGCCTCTGCACACTGTGCTGTCTGGAGCTGCAATCTAGTCCTGCCTCCTGTCTGCCATGATAATCCTCTGCTTGTCTCAAACAAAAGATTTTTTTATGCAGACAAAGCAGCATTATAATGAAGAAGATGACATCTAAGAATTTTATAATGAGAGAGAAGTCAATGTGTGGCTTCAAAGCTTCAAAGAGCAGGCTGACTCTCTTGTTAAGGAATAATGCAGCTGGTGATTTTAAGTTGAAGCCAGTTTTCATTTTCTCTTCTGAAAATCCTAGGACCCTTAAAAATTATGCTAAATCTTCTCCGCCTACGTTTCATAAATGGAACAACAAAGCCTGCATGACAGCACATCTGATTATATAGTAAGATTTACTGACTGAATATTTTAAAACAACTGTTGCGACCTGCTGCTGAGAAAAAAAATCATTTCAAAATATTACTGCTCATTGACAATGCACCTGGCCACCCAAGAGCTCTGGCGGAGATTTACAAGGAGGTGAAGATTGTTTTCCTGCCTGCTAACACAACATCCAATCTGTAGCTTGTCAATCAAGGGACAATTTCAACTTTCGGGCTTTATTACTTAAGAAATACCATTTGTAAGGCTGTAGCTTTCATAGACGGTGCCTCTAATGGATCTGGAAAAAGGAAACTGAAAAACTCCTGGAAAAAATTCACCATTTTAGATGACCTCAAGAACAGTTATGATTCATGGGAGGAGATCAAAATATCAAATTAACAAGAGTTTGGAATAAGTTAATTCCACCCCTCTTGGATCACTCTGGGGCCTTCAAGATTTCAGTGGAGAAAGTAATTGCTGATGTGGTGAAAACAGCCAAAGAATTAGAATTAAAAGTGGAGCTTGAAGATGTGACTGAATTGCTACAATCTCATGATAAAACTTGAATGAATAAAAATTTGCTTCTTATGTGCATGCAACAAAAGTGGTTTCTTGAGATGGGATCTATTCCTGGTGATGATGCTGTGAACATTGTTGAAATGGCAACAAAGGATTTAGAATATTAAGTAAACTTAGTTGATAAAGTAGTGTCAGAGCTTGAGAGGACTGACTCCAATTTTGAAAACAGTTCTAATGTGGGTAAAATGCTATCAAACACCATCACATGCTACAGAGAAATATTTTGTAAAAAAAAAAAAAAAGAGTCAGTTGATTGATATGGCAAGCTTTATTGTTGTCTTACTTAAGAAATTGCCACAGGCAGCCCAACCTTAAGCAACCGCTAACCTGATCAGTCAGCAGCTGTTAACATCGACACAAGACCTTCAACCAGCAAAAGAATTACGACTGCCTGAAGGCTCAGATGATTCTTAGCATTTTTTACAATAAAATATTTTTTAAATTCAGATATATACATTTGTTTTTTAGGCATAATGCCATTGCACATTTAATAGACTACAGTGTATTGTAAACCTAACTTTTATAAGCATTGAGAACCAAACAAATATATGAATTGCTTTATTGCCATATTCACTTTATTGCAGTGGTCTGGAACTGAGCTTGCAATATCTCTGAGGTATACCTGTATATTGACTAACAGTCAGAAAGGAAGGAAGACCAAGGCATCTCACTGTCTGAGAAGACAGTAGAGAACAAGATTTCCCAAAAAAGTAGAGTACTGGAGGACCAGATGCTATGCAGTGAAGAATGATGCATGTGTGGGAAGGTGGTGGGAGCAGAGCTCAATTCTTCAGAGCATTTTAGCAGGATTTTGTTTTTTTAAAAAAAGGATACATGACTTCAGAATATTTAAGAAAGTCATGTTTTTCTTTCTTTTTTATGTTGCTTTAAAATTTTTATTTTTAGACTGGTAGGGGCCTTTAGCATATATTGAGTCTTATGGGAAAGATCTAGTAGATAATTTTTTTAAAGTTTTGAAAATTAGGGCATAGCTAACACATACATAAATAGCTAACACTTATTTATATAATGTATACTCTGTGCCTGGGATTGTTGAAAATAATTTACACACACACACACACACACATATACATCATATATATGTATATATATGTAGTTTACTTAATTTGCATTTTTAAAACCTATGAAATAAATACTATCATCCAGAAAAATTTTAAGTGAGGACATGTGCACACACACCTGCACACACACACCACACACACAGTACACACTGCAAACACAGGAGAAGTGATTTATTCCCAAGTCACATACCTATGATGTGGCGGAGGTGGGGCTGGAGCTCACACTGTCTGTCTCTGTGGTTGATACTTACAGCTATTATGCCCATGGCTGACACAATGGGTGCTCAGGTGCCTGAGAGAAGCACAGTAAACTCACATGGCCACCATGGGATATTTTTAATTTTAAATTTGAGAAGCTCCATGTGATGAATTTCTTTTGCAAAATAGTACACATATTTTACTTTAGACTGCACCATGCTCCTGTTGATTTGAAACCATGTTGTCAGGATTTGCCATGATACAAAACAAATACCATGTGAAAATCACTGTGAAACAGGGTGTGAGGGTGTTGGCATCCTGTCTGATTCCAAGGCTTCAGAAATTGAGAAGTGCCCAACAGGCATACCTGTCCTATTAGTAAGTAATTGTGCTTTCTTAGAATAGTTTTTGCAATTAATGTAAATTATTTTTTCTAGAGGATACAAAGCTATTGGGACACACATTTTTATCCATTTTGGGGGACTTAATGACTTAACAAATGGAACTGTTAGGTAATTCTTTTGGCCTAGCAGTCAATGAACGAGTTACTGAGACCCTGCCAGCACTGTGAAGCAAGAACACTTAGAAGCATCTGCCCTAGGCTGAGAATGGAACGGGGGAGAATTTCCCAGATGAAGACGTTAGCCTTGGAATGGCGGGTGGGGGATACACCTTCTTCTTGAACAGAAGTAAATGGGAGAAGAACATGCACATGAAGAAAAGAAAAGTTAAAATAATTGTGTTCATTTGGCCAAGATTTACTCATTGAGTAGGAAGTGAGTTTTTCTTATGAACATCAGGAGGTCAGATTGAATAGAGGGGTTGATAAAGATGAAACAGGTCTCAAAGCTAAAACGTATAAAGAATCTCTATCCTGTTATAAACCAAGCATACACTAGGACTTCAATAAATTCTTATTTGTTTGGATGAAAACATTTCATTGGAACTTTTGAAAAAATACATCCAAGAAAAAATAAAACGTATGTTTTTCCTGCTTGTCATGGTATATCTGATATGCAGTAGTTCTAGTTGTGTATGAGATGGACGTGTGTTTTCTGTATAAATACTCATACACAAACACTTATTCTGTTCAAATAAATTAGCACAAAAAAGCTGGATTCTGTGAGATGAATGCATGTTGGCTCTTTCAAGAGGCACTCACAGCTGCTCTGCTAAGGTGTGCTGGCTAAATACATATGTTTAAAGCTGTTTTAATTTGGCAATTCTGTCAGAATATCCCTTGACACTCTCCTTACCCATCCTCTGCCTGAGATTGTTGGTAAACTGACAAGGTGCAGCCTTGTTCCCCCAGTTGATCTATTTTGAGGCTCGAGAAATGCAAGTGAGAATTAGAAGCAGAAACCAAAAATAGCTATACAATCCAAAAGATAGCCAGTGTTCAGAAGAAATTATATGAGTATGTTGAAGAGAAAATGTTTTAGACATAGACGCAGACTTAAGTCCCATTTTAAATAAAAACTTGGTCCAAATGACTTGATCACATGCCCTTTCTGGCTCTTCTAAATTGTTTTCAACGCTTCTGTGTTACCTTTAGAAAAAAGTCTACATTCTTTAAACTAGCATTTAAAACATTCAATTATTTGGCCCTAAACTATCATTACAACTATTAGAGTTGAAAAAAAAGTGAGGAGAGGGAATTAACTTCAACATCATGTCTACTGGATGAATAGATGTGTAAGCTTTAGCAAATTATTTAACATCTTTGTACCTCATTTATGATTAAAGAGAAAATGGTAGGGTTTTTGCTTTCAGGAAGATGGATTAGACATATGTTTCTCTGTTCCTCCTGCTAAGAACAAAAAATCCTTGACTGTATATTTAAAAATAAAAATCAATGCAAGAAGACTCTAAAAGGTAGAAAGAAGAAGGCAGATGAGCTACAGATCTCAGGACAGAACCAGCGACACAGCAGGGACTCCCTGGGCTTCCTGTTTGCTTCTTAAGTCTCAGACATGGAGTGAAAGCAGCGGGCAACCAGAAATCACCACAGGGTATGGACAAAAAACCCCAACAAAAGCCTCCTCTCTATAGACAAAGAACCAGTAAAAAAAAACAAAAAAAACCACAAAAAAACAAAAAAACAGTCTAAAAAGACAGAAGAGTTTTAGATGGGAACCACTCCACACCAGCTAAACACCATAAAAACTCTGCATCCCCTCCAGCACTCAGACAATAAAAGCTGAGTGGAGAACCTAGGCTTCCATTCTCACCAGGCTGTAATGACGCATCCCCAGCTACTCCAGGTGGATCAAGAGAAGGCTGAATCTAAAGCCAGCATTTTCAATGGTGCTGCGGAGTAATGTACCAACTTCATCTGATGTCGGTGGAGATCATGTGTGCAACCTGGACTTCCATTCACATCAAACAGTAACAAGAGAGCTCTCCCTTTCATGTGGGGATGGCGTTTTAGAAGACCTGGTGGAGATCCTAGATTTTCACTGCAATGCAGTGGTAAGGAGGCCAGTCCCCATGATGTCAAAGCCACATAGGAAAAAGTAACAAGGTACTCCTGACCCTCCCAGTTAGGGTGGTATCAGTGGCAGCCTGTGGAGAAACAGAAACTCTACCCCCACCCAGAAGTAATTATACCCACATCCTCATTCCCAGGTGTCATTAGAAGCTAAGTACGGAACCTGAACATCTACCCCCACCTTCAATACTGAGGCAGCATCCACACTTTCCTTGCTGGAGTAGTATTAGAAAAGCCATCTAAAAATTCAATTAAATGAGATCCAGAATTTTAAAACATTACATTCTGGATGTCCAGATTTCAGTTGAAAACCGCTCATCATGTCAAAAACTGGGGAAATCTCAATTTTAATGAAAAGGACAATTAACAGTTGCTGTATTTGTTTTCTATTTCTGCTGTAATAAATTATCACAAGCTTAGTGGCTTAGAACAACCTAATGTTATCTTACAGCTATCGATGGCAGAAGTCCAAAATTGGTTCACCTGGCTGACATCAAAGTGTTGACAGGGCTGCATTCCTTATGCATTCCTTGTGGAAGGAATCCCATTTCTGTCCTTTCTCCAGCTTCCAGTTGCCTGCATTCCTTGGCTTATGTTCTTCCATCTTTGAAGCCACCTAGGGCTCGTTGAGCCTTTCTCATGCTGCGTCACTCTGACACTCACTCCGCTTTTGCCTCCCTTTTCCACTTATAAGGACTGTGCTGATTCTACTGGCCTCACCCCAGTCACCCAGGAGAATCTCCCCATTTTATGATCTCCTGATTAAAAGACTTAATTCCATCTTATCCTTAATTCCCTTTGCCATGTAACAACATATGCACAGATTCTGGGGATTAGAATGTAGACATCTTTGTGAGGATACATTATTTTTCTACACTGAAGGCAACTTTACAAAATCTAAGTAGTCTTTTTAAGTTCTCAGAGTTATTTTTTGAGTCCCCAAATACCCTTGCTGAGATGATGATTAACTGGAAGTTTTATACCTCTAGTCTATCTCATTATTCAGAACAAGGAGCTTATCACATGTCCCTGCTGCATGGGCTTCTCTCCTCCATGATAAATTATCTTCCCTAAATATAAAGCTAAAAAGCAACAGATCACACAGTAATAGGTGCTCTCTTTTTCAAAACAAATATGCATATATGTGAGTACATCCATAAGAAGGGGAACCAACACTTTCATTCTGGGACTTCCCTTGTAGTTTAATACTCACCCAAAACAATTTGCCTAAATGCCAACAACTGTAAGTCAATACATCAGCTCTCCATCAGAAGCAAAAAATATTACTTTTTTTACTGAGTAGTTTCTAAAAGAGAAAAGGTCTCACACTGTAAATATGTAAAGCATCATGGGACATAAAAGGAGGTAAAGTTTCTACATTTCACTCAAACTGGTAAGATGTTGGCATCAATAAATTCTAAGATAATATATTTCACAATTACATATGTAGTGTGTATATTATATATATATATAAATGATACATAATATATACAGTTTGACTTGTGCAACATGAGTTTGAACTGTGCAGGCCCACTTAGTGCAGACTTTTTTCAATAAATATACTGGAAACATTTTTTGGAGAGTTGTGACAATTGAAAAAACTCACAGGCTGAGAAGCCTAGAAATATTAAAAAAAATTAAGAAAAAAGTATGTCATGAATGCACAAAATATATGTAAATACTAGTATATTTGATAATTTACTAGCATAAAGTATATACAAATCTATTATAAAAAGTCAAAATTTATCAAAACGTATGCACATCAACACAGACTGCACATGATGCCATTCACAGTCAAGAGAAATGTAAACCAATGTAAAGATGTAGTATTAAATCATAACTGCATACAATTCATGATAGTATGTGCTGTAGTGCTGTAGTAATTTCATAGTCATCTCCTCTTGCTATTGTGGCGAGCTCAAGTGTTACCCTTATCCCCTTAAAATGAGCAGTTCATCTCTCCAGTACATTGCATTTTGCAGTAAAAGGCGATCTCACAATTCTTGCATATTTTTCATCTCACCTATTGTAAACCTAGAATAACACCATGAAACCCATAGAAAGTGCTACTCTTGATGTTGGAAGTACTTCTAAAAAGCAGAGTAAAGAGCACTTTATAAAGCCTTTGCAGCAGCTATGCCAGAAGATGCAACAACCTTTCACTTTGTGTGAAATACCTTTTTATCTAGTATTACAAATGCAGCTTTCATGCTGGCAAAGGATTGCTATAAGAAAGACATACCTACAGCATCTAACATGATTCAAGAAATGGTAAAGTCATTATATTTCAACTTAAAGCAAAAAGGAGGTGACGAATTGAAAGCTGGAGAATTTAATGCCAGCAAAGGATGGTTTGACAATTTTAGGAAAATATTTGGCTTTAAAAATGTCAAGATAACAGGAAAAACAGCTTCTGCTGATCAAGAGGCAGCACACAAGTTCCCAGATGCCATTAAGAAAGTCACTGAGGAGAAAGGATGGAGTTTTTAATGCAGATGAAAGTGCTCTATTCTGGAAGAAAAAAAAAATGCCACAAAGGACATTTACTAGAAAGGGAAGTGAGCACCAGGATGCAATGCAGGAAAGGCCAGGCTCACTCTACTGTTTTGTATAAATGTAGTTTGGTTTACTGTGCTTATATCTGTAAAACTGCTAATCCTGAAGGAAAGATCTGACAGCAGATTCCTGTCTTTCGGTTGTACAACTAGAAGGCCCGGACAACAAAAGCCCCCATCTTTTGGATTGATTCCATTGATGTTTTGTCGCCAAGGTCCGGAAGTATTTTGCCAGTGAGGAACTGCCTTTTAAAGTTCTTTTGATATGCCCCTGACCACACAGAACCCCATGCGTTTAACACTAAAAATGTCAAAGTGATCTACTTGCCCCCAAACATATCTCTAATTCAGCTTCTAGATTAGGGCATCATAAGCACCTTTAAGACTCATTACACACTGTGGAAAGGATTGTCAACAATAAGAAAGAGAACCCCAATAGAGAGAACATCAGGAAAGTCCAGAAGGAATGCGCCATTGAAGATACCATCACTGTTATAGAAAATGTTGTGTTATCTGTAACACTGGACACAATAAATTCCCGCTTTAGAAAACTGTCCAGGTGTTGTGCATGACTTCACAGTTTTTACGGCAGGGCCAATCAAGAAAATCATGAAAGGAATTGTGGATATGGCAAAAAAAAAAAAAAAAAAAAAAAAATGGTGGAAGGAGAAAAATAAAGGGTTTCAAGATATGGATCAGATAAACTCAAGACATAATAGGGACACAACAGAAGATGACTAAATGGAAATGAATGCTTCTGAATCTGTGCCAGATGATGAGAAACAAGACAGAAGAAACAGTGCTAAAAAAGAAATTGACACTAGATAATCTTTCAGAAGGGTTCTGCTTATTTGGCTTTTGATTTCTTTTACAATATGAACCCTTCTATGACATGGGCACTGAAACTAAAGCAAGTGATAGAAGAAAGATTGGTATTGTAGGCCAGGCGTGGTGGCTCACTTCCCTAATCCCAGCACTTTGGGAGGCCGATGTGGGTGGATCACCAGGTCAGGAGATGGAGACCATCCTGGCTAGCATGGTGAAACCCTGTCTCTACTAAAAATAAAAAAAAATTAGCCTGGCGTGGTGGCACGTGCATGTAGTCCTAGCTAGTTGGGAGCCAGAGGCAGGAGAATCACTTTAACTCAGGAGGCGGAGGTTGCAGAGAGCCGAGATCGCGCCACTGCACTCCAGCCTGAGCAACAAAGCGAGATTCTGTCTCAAAAAAAAAAAAAAAAAAAAGACTGGTACTGAATGGAAACATTTTTAGGACAGTAAAATAGCAGAACATTCAGGCAGACATTATGGTGTATTTCCATAAAGTTACACTGAGTGTGCCTGTCTCTCCTGCCTCCCCTGCTACTTCTTTCACCACTACTTCTTTGGCCACCTCTGAGCCAAAAATGCCTTCCCCTCTTCTTCTTCCTCCTTCCCAGCCTACTCAATGTAAGGATGAAGACTTTTATGTTAATCTACTTCCACTTAATGAATATTAAATATATTTTCTCTTCCTTATGGTTTTTAAATAGCATTTTCTTTCCTCTAACTTACTTTATTGTAAAAGTACATTATATAATACATATAACAAATATGTGTTAATTGACTGTTTATGTTACAGTAAGGCTTCTGGTCAACAGTAAGCTATTCACAGTTAAGTTTCAGAGGAGTCAAAAAGTTATACGTGGATTTTGACTGCACAGGAGATTGGTGCCCCAAACCCCAATGCTGTTCAAAGTTCAACTGTATATGAATGTATATATATACACATACACACATTCTAAAGAAGCCACTAAAAGCTGATACAAAGAGACACACTAGAAAAATTAAAAATCTATAGATACATACAGTGGAATTCTAAAAACACATTCAAGTAACCTACAGGGAGAAAAAAGATAAAAGAAAGAAAGGAAAATGGAAAGAACAAATAGAAAACAAATAAAAATGGCAGACTTAAGAATTAATATATCAATAGTTACATTAAACGTAGTCTTAATACACCAAGTAAAAGAGAGTTATTGGCAGGACGGATTAAACACATGGCAATTCTAAATATTATTTTTATTTCTGTTTCCTTGTTTTGCAATCCTAAATTTGTACACACTAAAAAATATAACTATGTGTGAAATAAAATATGATGCAACTGAACAAAGACATAGACAAATTCACAATTACAATTGTTCAATTCTCCTTTCCCAATAATGGATCAATCAGAAAATCAGCACATATATATAAAAACACAATCCACCAACAAGAGCTATTTAACATTTATAGAATGCTCCAATTCAAAACTACAGAAAAACCTCTCTTTTCAAGCATTCACGTGACACAAATGAAGATAGACAATATTCTGGGCCTTAAAACAAACAAATTTAAAAACATTGAAATCATACACAGTGTGTTCTGTTATAACAAGGGAATCATCAAACTAGAAATCAATATGAAAAAAACAAATATTTGAAAACCAAATGACATTTAAAAAACATAATCCTTGGGTAAAAGAAGGCATATCAAGGGTAAGTAAAATGTACATTGAACAGGTTAAAAGATGAAAAAAAACCCATGAGATCAAAATCTGCATGACACAGTTAAAGCAGTGGAGAAAAGGAAATGTGTAACACTAAATGCTTATATCAGAAAATGGGAAAGATCTCATATAAATAACCTAAGCTCTCACATTGAAAACTTATTTTAAAAAAGAGAAAGGAAAAATAAGCCCCACAGAAAAAGGATGGAAATAATATGGTAAAGAAGAAAAATCAATAAAATTGAAAATGAAAAATAATGTAAAAAGTCCACTTAAAAAGCTGATTGTTAGAGAAGATTAATTAAATTGACAAACCGGTTGTAAGACTGACAAAGAACAAAAGAGAAAGGCACAAATTACCAATATCAGAAATAAAACAGGGACATCACTATAAATTCTACAGACATCAAAAGAAAATAAGGGATTAGGAATTAGTATAAACATATCTATACACATACATTTGACAACTTAGATAAATAGATCAATTCTTCAAAAAGCACAAACTACTACAACACACTCAATATAAAACAGATGTTTTGAATAGTCCTATAAGTAATATTTAATTTAATTTGTAATTTAAAAACTCCTACCCAAAAAATTCAGCCTCAGACAATGTTACTATTGAATTCTAACAAACATTTAAATAATTAATATTAACTCTACAGATTCTCTTCCAGAAAATTGAAGAGGATAAAAGAATTTTCAATTTATTTATGAAGCTTATATTACTTTTATATTCAAATGAAAAATACAAGGAGAAATAAAAGAGAAAAAATAAGGAAAATTTGAGACTAACATCCTCATAAGGCTGGAAGCAAACATTATTTAAAATATTAACAAATAGAATTAAGCAATTAGTAAAAAGAATTATACACCATTACCAAATGGGATTGGTTCTAAGAATGCATGCCTGGTTCAATATTTGAAAATGTAATCAACCATATTAACAACCTAAAGAAGAAAAAAGACATGATAGTATTAATTGATACACAAAAAGAGTTTCACATAATGCAGTACCTATTGATGATAACAACTCCCAGAAAAGTGGCAATAGAGTAGAAGTTTCTCAGCTTGATGAATAGTATCTAAAAAAATATATAATAATACAGCACTAATCTTATGCGTCATGGTTTAAGATGAAATACTTTTCTCATAATTTTGGAAACAAGGAAAGGATGTCTGCTCTCACGACTCTTACTTAACATACTACTAGAAGGTGTAACTATTACAAAAAGTTGAAAAGAAAAGAAAAGGCATAAAGGTAGAGAAAGAAGATGTACAACTCTTCCTAATTGCAGATGACACATAGAAAATTCCCAAATTAAAAACATATCCTCAAATGAAAAAGTAATTACAGTCAGGTATCAGTATGCAAGATAAACAAACAAAGTCAATTGTTATTATATATAATATACAAAATAGCACATGAACAGGGAAATTAAAAATACAGTTATAATTGATAAAAATTAAATACTTAGATAAAAATGTAATGAAAGATGTATAAGACCTATGTCCTAAAAACTGCAACACACTGATGAAATAAATCAAAAGATCAAAATAAATGGAGAAATCATTTTTTGCTTAGAATTGGACAACACAACAAAGCAAAGGTGGATGCCAATTCTCCTAAAACTGGTACAGGTTTAATGCAATTCTATTAAAATTGCAACAAGATATTTTGCAGATATAGACCAACTTATTTTAAAATTTATGTATAAAGACAAAGGAACTAAAATAGCTAGAATGATTTCGAAAATGAAAAATGCAATGGGAAGAATATTTATTGCATGGCTAGAGTAATTAAAAATATGTGCTATTGGCAAAAAGGTGTACAAATTGAACAGTTGAACATTATGAGGACCTAGAAATACACCCTTTCAAATTTGCCCAAGTGATTTTAGACAAAAGTACAAAAGCAATTTAATAACGGAAGTGGAGCCTTTTCAACAGGTGGTGCTGAAGTGATTCTGTAGACCAAGAAAATGAACTTCTGCCTAAACATCATACTTTGTACAAAAAGTAACAAGAAATGGATCATGGACTTAATTGTAGAATATAAAAGTGTATAACCTTTAGAGAAAAATAAAATAAAATGTTCAGGAATCTGAGCAAGGCAAATACTTTTTAGGCTTGACAACAAAAGTGGGAAAAAAGTTGATGCTTTGTGTTTTATCAAAATTAAAATTTTATCAATATTTTGCTGTGTGAAATGCTCTAAGAGAATGAAAAGCTACACATTTGGAAAAAATATTTGCCAATCACATATTTGCAAATCACATATCTAACTGAAAACCAGTATCTACAATTTATAAAACTCAACAGTAAAAACATCCTGATAGAAAATAGGCAAACTATTCAGCAAAGGGAATATGGATCGCAGAAAAACACATGAAATATGTTCAACATCATTAGCCATTAGAGAAATGTGACTTAAACCACAATGAAATACTTATAAGAATAAATGAAATAAAAATTAAATAAAGATATATGGTAGACATAAATAAAGGTATATATATATGTATATATACATATATAATACCAACGCTGGTGTGTATTCAGAGAAATGGAATAACTCGTGCACTTTTGTGGTAATGTAAAATGGTACAGCCACTTTAGAAAACAGCTTGGCATTTACAAAACAAACAAACAAACAAACTATGCAGCTACCTACATATCATACAACCCAGCAATTGTACTCTTGAGTATTTATCCCAGTATGGGGGGGTGGGTACTTATGATCTTACACACCAAAAACTTGTACACAAATATTCACAGTAGCTCTATTTATTGTAAGAGTCTAAAACTGGAAATGATCTATATATTCTTTTAACAAGTGAATGGTTAAATAAATTGTGATATATCCATGGTGTGGAATACTATGCAGAAATAAAAAGGAATGAGCTGTTGATAGTCAACAATGTGAATGAATCTCTAGAGAATTATACTAAATTTAAAAAGTTAATCCCCAAAACATGACAAACTGTCTAATTCAATTTATATAGCATTCTTAAAATGTCATACAAAAGGAAAATGACAAAATTATGAAAATGGAAAGCAGGTTATTTGCTGCCAAGCGTTAAGGAGAGGCTGGGTTGTGAAGGTGGTGCATGTGGCTGTAAATGGTCACCTTGAGGGATCGTGGGGTGATGGACTTCCTCTGTATCTTGACTGTATCCATGTTCATATCCTGGTTTTGTGGCAGTGGTAGTATAGGTTTGTAAATTGTTACTATTGGGGGAATTGGCTAATGGATACATGTGATCTGTTTGTATTATTTCTTACAAATACAGGCAAGTCTACAATTAAATACAAAATATTTTGCTTTAAAGAAAATTTCTACTCTCTAGGTTTGCCATCAGATTAAAATATTATGAAAGTAACTGATGCCTGATGCTTAGTAAGCACTCAGTTTATCTGATTTTCTTCCCTTTTCTCCTCTCCTACTCCTCCATAGATAACCTTGGCTTCTTGAAGACTGAATTTGTCCCACCAATGGGATATACCATGTCCTTCACAGCCTCTCAATTTTGATAACCTTGTCAACTTGGACTCCTCTGGGACCAGGGCCTGTCCTTTTCCATGTTAGGAGCGTCCGGAGAAGGATTGGTCCAGTACATACACGGCACAAGTGATCCATAGCAGCAGCTGTTAAGACTAGCGGTTAGGTTTTGATGACATCTTTGATATCAAAGTGAGGGAGGCAAGAAGGCCTGGATGCTACCCTATTCATCTCCCTTCTCCGCTGTAATCTCTTGAGGACAGACAGCAGACGAAGACACTAAGAACAATCTTGCTAATAGTTTCCAAACTCTGAAGACATGTGAGGTGGAGCCCAAACCTCAGGCTACTGGTTACAGTCAGGACTTGCCTCCTCAACCTTCCTTGTCCACACGCACACCTTAATCCCAGCAGTCTGGACTTGGTAATTAGAAGGACCCCAATGTCCACTCCCCATCAGGGTTCCTAGATGCATTTCCTTCCTGTGTTGTCTAACCTCATAGCTCCAAGTGTTAAAATCAACTCCTTTTTGCTACAAATAAGTGAGCATTTCCACCGACAGCTATATTCCCAATGTACAAGTAAACAAAAAGCAATCATTAATGTCTCTGTCCTTCGGAAACTTAGAAGAGAAGAAAGATGAGAGAGGTCAAAGGGTAAGGGCTACAGTTGCCCCTGCCCTAGGCAGCAGACTCCCTGTGCTGGCTGCAGGGAGAGAAGAAGGAGTGAGGTTCTTCCTGCAGTCAGTGGACCCACCGAGTGGAAGAGCAAAGGCAAACAGGGCTTACGCCAGAGAGTCTCAGCCAGTGTCCTGATGGGGAAGAAGAGACAGCTACCAAGGCCTCTCAGGCTTGGGGCTATATGGGTATTACCTTGATGATCCTGTAGATAAAGTAGCCAGGCATTCCAGGGTCTGACTGTCTCAACAATAGCAACTCATCAATCTTTTAAGAATACACTACTCACCACCAATGAGGCTTTTACATTCTCCACCAAGTGGTTTTACCTTAATGAAAACCAGTGCATTATAATCAGGTGTTATTTGACTATGACCTATTGGCATAAATTAATTTAGCACATCATATGGACACCTAACAACCTGGGCAGCTTCAAGCCTCAAGAGAATAAACACGACTATGAGCATGGAAATAAGAAGGCATCACAGGGACTGGTTGTCAGTTAAGCTAAACTAGCCCTAAGTAAACATGGTCCATGGAGTGGTGGTGATGTTTTGTGAATGGACCAGACCCAGCCAAAAGTACTGCTGTGATTCTGCAGTGATCCACCGCTACTTCTGATGAGCAACCAGAGATCCTGCTCTGCACCACAGTTCTGTGCTGAATGCCTGGTGGACTTTGAAATACAGCATAGTTAGGAACCCAATTGCAAAGCCCTGAAACCTCCACTTGTTATGGATGCAGGTTACAATCAATACACGGGGAGGTTGTGTGTATGTGTGTGTTTTGATAAATACCTAACAGATTGTCCTGGCTAATGTTCCTTTGGTGACTGGAACACACAATCCTTGAAGTCTTCTTTCTGATTATTTATTTTTGCTCTCATGAAAACTCTATTGACCCCTTCTTATATTCTCAATAATAATAGTAATAATAAACATAACAGTAGTGATAAAATACTAATTACATGCAATCAGCATATACTCAGTAATTACATATGTCAGGCCATTTTACCATTTTATGCCCCCAAACCCCTGCGAATCTGATATTTTTCTTTTTCTTTTCTTTTTCTTGGATTTTGCACTTGAAATTAAGCCTGAGAGGTTATATAAAAGGTTACCCAAAGTCAATGAAGTTAATATAAATTATAATTACAGTCTGATTCAAGAAAAAGTTATTTAATTTTTTGCTACCTAGAATAAATTTTCTCTCTACCTCTCTTCTCCAGGGCCAATCAATCAATTTGCTCATGTTGTCATCCATTCAAATGGCAGAATAAGGCAGCTACCCTAGCACACAGGAAACACTGAACCCTTCTCTGCATTGTAGAACAGTGTGAGTGTGTTTTTCCTGCCCACGCCAGGCTTGCTTTGTTCTGAACCTACTCCAGTAGCCAAGGGCATGACAACCCAGGGTCTTCTAATCAGCCAATCACATATTGGAGGAGAGAAAAACAGGTGGTAGCTCTAAACTGTCTCTTCTTCCACCTGAAAATAGCTTCCCCACTTCATTCCACCCCAAGCCACCAGCACCAGATCTACGTCTTTAAACACGGTAGCCTCTGAGATCTTTATCCCTTGGGGTTGAATAGCAAACATTCATGAACGCCCCCTACAGAGTAAAGGGAGTTCCCAAATTACATGCTGTAGAGGTACTGAAAGACATTTGACTTTGAAGTTCTTGGAATACTGTGGTCTGTTTTGGGTAAAGCTTTTCCAACCAGCCAAGGGTGGATGCTGTATTCCCCCTGGGTCCCCATGTGCTGTGGACACAGAGGAAGCCTAACAGTGACTAGAAGGAAGAGGAGGGATCACACCACCACACCCCAGTAATCCCATTTCAGTGGCAAGCATCCAAACACCCTTTCCCAGACAATGACGCAGTTGTTCCTTTATTTACTATATGAGGAGATGTCATCAAACTCCCTTTTATAAATAGAGGCGGCTTCATGTGTTGCCCAGGGCTTTAGAGTTGATGTTTGCTTACATTTCAAAGTAATAGAGTCATTTATTTTCTTTATAGCTGCCCAACAACTTTAGGTAACACTTTTATATCTTTTCTCTTGTGAAGACATCAGTGCTTTTATTCAACACACACCAAGGCTCAGGAAAACAGGCCATCCCTTTACAGCAACCGTCAGGGAAACTACTGATTTTGATAGATTTAGGTTCTCTCCTCCATTTTCAGTTCATCTTTTTATTTGTTAAAAAAAGCCTTAATGGGCTTAGAACTTCTGCTGGAAATATAGAAACCTCAAAGAAGAATGTGGAAAGGACAAGAGAGGCAGTACTTTTGATTTAATTAGACACTTGAGAAGATATTAGAAATTCAGAAATGGAATCAAGGTGAACTATCCTGGTGCCAGCCATCTTCCTGTCTCATCTCTGGCCCCTAGAATTCATTCTCCAAATGGATTTTACAAGTCGATATTTCAATTCATATCCATCAATGATTGGTTTTGAGGCCTTGTAAAATAAAGCCTGTTAGCCTGACATCCAAGGTTCTGTCCCTACTAGATCCTGCTCTCTTTTCCAGCCATTCCTCAGAGCTTTGCTCTGGACTCTGCCATCCTAATTATCAAAAAGCCCTAACAGTGTGAGCTGCGTGGTATTTATGCCCGTGCATTTTTGCACTCGTGGTGCTATTTCATTGATGCCTCATCCTTATGTACGGTCTCCAGTACATGGAAGTCGAATTTGGCCTTTGTGCATTTTTATTCCATGCATGTGGGTTAATGGTCCTCAGGTATGATGTTGTTTGTGGGAACTAATGGAGTAGAGATTGAATGGCTGAACACAGCCATCTTATTACCAGCCTCAGGCTAATTACATTTATTTAAAACTTCATATCTCCATGATATGGAGTTTTAATCCAGACTTGATATGAATGTTTTACTATTGACCAGCGTGCTAGAAGTTCTGATTCTATGAAAAGTTACACACACAGTACTTTCCTCAAGCATTTATAATGCCAGAGGAAATGCACCTACACACCTGCATACACGTCTTGTACACAAACTCAGAGTAGCGTTCATTCATTCATTATTTCATTAACTCAATATTTAGTGACCAGCTACTTTGTTCTCAATCTCATTCTGGTGTTGTGAATGTAGCAGTCAATACAACATGATAGATTAATGCCTACTCTTAAGAAGCTTTAATTTGACCAGAAGAATGAAAATGAGTAACAAATGAAAACACTTTTATAACATAATATAATATAATACATATAAGTATAGTATCTAGAAATCAGAAGACATAGATCTGGGAAGCTACTGAAGATTGCATTAACCCTGCACTTGCTCCAGCAAATGAGAACATAGCTTGTCCTCTAGGGTAGCCTTAAAAACCTTGCTAACTTCTTCAGTGCCCACTGTAATATTTCCTGTTTAACCTACATTCTTTCTGCTCCAATTTAAATCATTCCCTTGGGTAATTCCTTTTAGTACCTGAGATCTGAGAGATCCAAAGGGCATAGGGAGTCCTAGAAAGTTCAGGAAAAGTGTTGAAGAATGGGGCTTGTTCAATTTAAGCTATAGTAGAATTTGGGAGTCTGAAGAAAGCAATTATACAGTTGGCAAAGTGCCAGCATGGTGGGGCCAGCACCTCCACAGCCATTCTCCAGCGTCTTCTACAAACATTTAATAATGATTGATTGCAATGTCTTTATTTACAGGTCTAATTTTATGCATGTGGTATTCTATTTAATTACAAGAATTACATTAAGAACAACTGCTAATCATCTGCTTCAGCTAATTTCAAAGAAAAAATGTCTAATAGTACTTTTACATTTTCTAATTAGGTAAGTATTATTAGTTTTAATTAATGTCTTAATTAGATGCCATTATCTCCTGCTAGCACTGGTACATTCTTTCGAACCAGGTCTTGATTACTATCCTGATATGTGTTCTGTTATTCTATTATTATTACTATTATTTTCAAAGAACAAGTGCCTGGTATCATTTTCTATTTAGAAAAAGCTTTTCTGCAGCAAAATAGTGCCATTTCTGAGCGACATTTTTGGATTGTGTTCTGCTGCTGCCCAGTCTCTCTGATGATGATGAAATGGGTACCAACAACATACTGTCCTTCTGATGAATGTGGTTGATTGGTGTCTCACTTCAGTCCTATCATCTATCAAATGTGACTTCTAGGAATAAGATGGCTAGAGAGCCAAAACTATGTTTCGCAGAACTTTTTAATGAGACATCCAAATTTGATTTAAATTTGGCCTATCTGATACACTTGCAGTTATTTTTTTTTTCTGATGCATTTTGTAACAGGTGTGGTTCAGAGTCCTGGAACTGGCTTCCTGACTGGGGCATTACGGTATCCCAAATGTAGTCATATCCAGATTGTATAAGCTTTTCTCATCATAGAATAGTCAGTGGTCACCTTGGCAGCCCAGGTTTGTTGTGTGGCTTTGGAAGTAATACTTAGACATTCAATTTACACTACTTTATTAATTTTCCTAACCCTCTGTAGGCAATGTTATACCCTATATTAAACCCCTTCCAACTTAAACTGATTAGAATAGCATCTATCTCCTGGAAGTGAAGTGTTTCAAGGAAAAATTTAAATCCATTCATAGCATCCTTTCTTAGCTATTACAATAAGCAAGCTCTCTGGTGGTATAATTCTCACAAAGTTGTGATTATTAGTGCTTTCGAGTCTCTTGGGGTAGAGTTTATACGGTAACAATGGATTCCAAGAGACAAAAGTCATAATCGTATAAGAAGAAAAAGTGGGTCATATGTGACTAGCTGGTAAGAAAACACTTTTATTCTGGGAATCATTTTTTGGAGGGATTTCTTCATACCACCACATCATCAGCTAATTATTTAATCCATATTTGAGAAAGGTCAAAGTGCTAAGCAGTGATGCAATAAACACTTTTATTCTACTTTTTATTATACACTATTTCAGACATATAAACAGCATAAATAGTATAAACCCCCAGATACCCATAGATAACATCCAAAATTTCAAGTTACCGCCAGTCTTGTTTTATTCTTACCACCACCCACTTCTTCCAACTTTGGTTATTTGGAAGAAAACCTCAGATCACATTATTTTATCTGTAAACATATCAGCGTGAATTACTAGAAGCTAAGAAAGATTTTTCTTTTAAAATATCCATATTATCAGGATCAAATATATAAATAAACTAGCAATACATTTTTTAATATCAGCAGGGATTTAGATAGTATTTAAATTTCACTGGATATATGTATTTTTAAGTTTGCTTATTTAAATTTGGGTTTCAAACTTATAGCAGTCGACTGATGTGTCTCTTAAGTTCCATTTGAATTATTGATCTATTGTTGATCCCTTTTTACTTTTTCTTTGCAACTGTTTGTTAAAGAAACAAGATGTTTATCTTGCAAAGTTTCTAGTCTTCCTCCTAGTCTCATTTCACATGTTCTGTTTCTAGTATTCCTGTAGATTTGCTTTTACATTTTGTAGATCTTCTAGAGCTTTTGGCAAAATTGCTTCATAGGTGGGTTATATATTTTCTTCAGAAACACACACTGTCTAGTTGACTTTCTTGGAAGTGATGTTGGCAGCTATTAATGATCACTATCAAGATTCATCAATTTGTTAGGAGTTAAAAATGACTCCTAACTTTTGTCACTCTTTTTCATATTAGTTTGAACACTTTAAAAGGAAAAACTCTATCCATTATTTGGATATCTTGGATATCTTGAAGTACAGTACATGTTGGAAAGGAAGAGTATGGTATTTTATTTCTTTATATACCAACTTTTTAAACTTACAATATATTTTCCTGGTATCCTCTGAAGGAATTCCTGGATTTAATTACACTGAATGTGCATCAGTTCTCTCTAGTATTTATCATCATTGATGCTAAAGTAGTCTCATATATAGTCAGTGGTATTCTTTTTAAAATTTATAATTGAGATATGTTAATAAAATGTTATTAGTCTCTGATAACTTTCTTGTTATCTAGTCAAACTAGAGCTTCTGAATTCATCTTTTACTTTTTCAACTCAGCCATTTCTGCAAGGAGTTTTGGTTCCTTTTAGTAGAAAATGACATTTAAGAACACACATTGTGTGCTAGAGTTGTTCATTTTCTCTGGCTTGGTATTTCTTCATAGACTGTTTTGTGAAATAGCTAGAAAATATGTATTTCTTTTTAGAGATAAAATGCTCACAGGGTCATTTTGGTGCTTCCAATTCAAATTCAGGACTATATTGTCTTTACTTAGCTTTGGTGAACTCATTTCTTTTTTTTTTTTTTTAATCTTGATCCTTAAGGATGCAAGAAAATTAGTCATTGCTTTATCCCGTATTACATACTCAATGGTCTGAGGATAATAATGCCAGCATCACCTTCAACATTATGACTCAGCAAATAAAATAGTTGGAGTTGTTTTATTTTATTTTACAATTCTCTTTTTCTTTGTGGGATAATCCACTAGTAAGATGGGGATATTATTGCGTTTCACATACTTTGAAATAATTCTTCTTCATTTAATAATATCATCAACTTGATACACATGTAAATGTCTTTGTCTTCATCATCTTATTCATTGGGATGTTATTTTACTTTATAAGTATCTAAAATATTGACATGCTTACAAAGTCAAATCTATAAAACGCTATATATTCGGGACAGTCCAGCTTCCATTCCTGTCTCTTCTACCCTTTTGTCTTCTTGCTCACAAAGGTAGCTTTCTGTTCAATTTTATGGTTTATGCTTTCATTGTTTTTCTTATAAACAATGTGTGTGTGCTTGTATATGGTGTGTACATACAAAAATAAACATTAGTTAACTATTTTATATATTTATAGTAAAGAATAAATTTTTCTCCACTTTGCTGTCTTTTCCCTTATATTCAGGACCTTACTCACAATAACATACAGAAGCATTCCCCATTACTTTTTATAGCTATCTCTACTCCTTTTTGTAGATAGAGCTATCAGAATTTATTCAGTCTCTTAAGTGTGGACATTTGGGTTGTTTCAATCTTTTGCTAATACAAATAAGCTACATGTGCACACATTCCTTTTGCATATGTCTTGCAATAGATTTTTTTTTTTTTTTGAGACGCAGTCTCCCTCTGTCGCCCAGGCTAGAGTGCATACGCGCGATCTCGGCTCACTGCAAGCTCCACCTCCCGGGTTCACGCCATTCTCCTGCCTCAGCCTCCTGAGTAGCTGGGACTACAGGCGCCCGCCACCACGCCCGGCTAATTTTTTTGTATTTTTGTAGAGACGGGGTTTCACCGTGTTAGCCAGGATGGTCTCGATCTCCTGACCTCATGATCCGCCCACCTCAGCCTCCCAAAGTGCTGGGATTACAGGCGTGAGCCAACACGCCCGGCCCCAGTAGATTCATAGAATGTGAATTGCTGAAATTAAAGGGTAAATGCTTATGTAAGTTTGATACATATTGCAACATTCCACTCCCTAGGTATTATATCATTTTTACATTTCCACAGACACTATTTCCCCATAGTCTCCACAACAGTGCATATTGTCAACTTTTGGATTTTGCCAGTGTGTTAGATAAGAAATGATATATTACTGCATTTCAAGTTTTCCTTTATCTCATTATATTCCAGTTTGAGAACCTTTTCATATGATTAAAGGAAATTGGCCTTTCTTTTTCTGCAAAATATGTGTTCATATCTCTAACCCATTTTCTATAGATAAATTAGTATATTTTATCATATTCCTCTCTTTTTAGAAGTTTTTTTTGGATATTAGGCATATCAATACTTTGTCAGTGATATGTCATAAATCACATTAAAGTTTCATTGTCACATTAAAGTCACCATTATCAATGCTACTGAGGAGAAAAGAAAGGCAAACATTAATGAACATTCGTTTGCCAGAATATAAGCTAAGCTACTGTTCAAAAGTGAAAAAGGGCAAATATAAAGATTTGAACTTTCTTGCCTATTTAAAATTACAAATCAAGGAATGTACAGTCTTCCAAGTAAAAGGACAGAAATTCTAAAGGGACAGTCCCAATTTCTACAGTTTATAGTTTATGAGATTCTCGAAGAATTGACATAATGTTGTGCAGTGTTTTCTCCACTTTTCATTGGAAGATAAAATTATGGGGAGGGGAGCAGGTAATCATCGGGAAGGCAATAAAGTGCTTGCAGGAAGAGAGAATAATTGCAAAATACAAAAGTATCTATAGGTCTGACAAATGACCTGTGTAACAGCAGTGCAGAGAAACAGAACAGGTAAAATGCTATTTACCCTCAAGCAAGTAGTCATAAATGCACCTGATGTTTCCAGGCTTATTAATACAGACAGGGTTATAAAAGTTAGATAGAAAATTTTGTGAAAACTGGGAAGACAAAACTCCATTAAGTTGTTTTTTTTTAACCTTTGAGACAGGATTAAGTGGCGTGCACTCCAACTTAGGAGTCCTTGACCTCGTAAGCTAAAGCAATCCTCCCATCTCAGGCTCCCACGTAGCTGGGACCACAGGCTTAGGCCACCACAACCAGCTTATCTTTTCTGCTTTTATTTTGTAGAGATGGAGTGGAGACTTGCTTTGTTGCCAAGGCTAGTCTGGACCTCCTGGCTTTAAGTGATTCTCCTACGTTGGCCTCCTAAAGCGTTGGGATTACAGGCATAAGCCACTGCACCGAGCCCTTCCATTAGATTTTTAATTATTGTTTTGAAAACATCTTGCTCTTATTTTAGTGATCTTAGTATTTTATATAATTTTTACCTCTTGCTTTATCAAATATTAGAGAGAAAAAACTCCAGCATTCTGGGCTACCTGAGGAAGTATCCGTAATGTTTTTGGTTAGCCTGGATACTATTACAGTGGAATCAAATGCTCTTTGAGATTGAGAACGGCTGCCCTTTCCCAGATGTAATATGTCTTTTTAATGGAAGTCTATTCTACTTCCATTAAAAGCATCTTCTCAAGTGCTTCCGATTGCATTTTCCTGTAAATGCCGGATGCCAACATATACAAGTACATTGACTGTATAAGTTAGAGAACCACAAAATTTTTTTTCTTCAAATATGGAACTTGAAGTCTTCTACTCCCACTTTGTAACTGCTGATCAAAAATAAATAAATAAGTAAGCTCCACAGGTACATTATGTGGCCCTAGTCACAGTACTAGTCATTGGAATAGCAAAGACATAATTCAGCTTTCTCAGTTCCAGTTTCTTGTGATTTTGTCCTCTGCCAAGCTGCTTCTCCTAAACAATGTCAATTATAATCAGACAACATATGCAATATATCAGCCTTTTGCTCAGATCTAATACCTGTCAGATAATATTAGTATAGTTAATGTGGACTATTGATAATTTTGTATTAAGCTTTGAAGTTTAGTAATACAAGCTCCTGTATTTTAGTGGTGGGGTTGGGAGGGATAAATCTTTGATAATTAATCCCTGCTGGACCTAGAATTAAAAACCCAAGCTTAGAAAACTCCAAATCTCTACCCACCTGCAACTTCATCACTGAAGTTGAATGTTTTCTTTTAATCTCGAGGCTCAAGGACAACAGAGGGAAGGACATGGGCAGAAGTAGTAACCATGGCAATTGTGAGCCATCTCTGACCAAAAGAACTCTACAATTGGACAATGTGACATGAGCTGTCATTGTGAGTTCCTACACAGACCGTTGTATTCATCTGTCTTCATTAGTGGTTCTTAACACATAAAAATAATTTTGAGAAATGCCACAGCTAACTTAAAAGACAGAACTAAACATCAGCTTTTCACTAGTCAAGGCTTCAAAAAGATCATTTCGATGTCTTGATAATGGCCGTGTGCATGAAGGTGACATATGAGTTTTAAGTTGTTTTCACATCACTGTAGATGTTCTTGCATCCAACACCACACACTCTGTTGGCTCCTATGAGATAAATGGTGAGGGTCTGACCACAGCTCTGACACAGTACAAAATTCAGTGGCTCTCTGAAGTATGCTGCCCAGAGCTTTGCTTTACCAGTGATGATGTCCTAACCCACTGCTAACAAACACCTACAAAATAACATTTTTAGCCAAACTGGCCTAAAATCAGAAGCGGAATTCTATTCTTAATATTGTGTCCACCTGCTGTTTCTCTTATAAACTATGGTTAGCATGGTGAGTAGGAATATATTGATCATAACTGAATGGTTCAATTTGATGTGGGTTGTGGTGAAATTTTTGCAATGATTTTATATCCCACATACTAGGATTTCAACATGTTGATAACACGTTGGCTAGTGTGCAGGCCTAAGGTCATGTGGACTTGGTTGCAGATGGAGACTTCTTATACTATCAGGAAATTAGCCTCACCCCTCAGAATTTTAGTTTCCCTATCTCTAAAATCGATGCAGTTTCCTCTTTCTGAAATCATTTTCTCTCTTCTATCCACTTGGTTTACTGTCTCAGCTTCTTCAGTTCTCAGCTCACACATCACAGTATCAAGGTTTTTGCAACCTTCCTGCTCAGAACACTTAGCCTTCATATGGCAAACTCTACTTCCCTTCCCTGATTTGTTTTCAATATCACTTATCATCTGACATATTATGCATTCACTTGTTTATTGCACAACTCCTAGCTAGGATGTTGATTGTGTTGATGTGATTGATTGCGTGAAGAAAAGACTTTTGTCTGTCTTGATCACTGCTTTTATCTTTCAGCATTTAAAACGGTCCATGTGATGTAGCAGCTTATTCAATACATTGTAGAAAGAATTGAATACAATTATATAAAATAAGATAATTTCCATCTTAAAAGGATGCTGAGAAGACTATGAAATAATTTATTCACCAAATATCAAGCACAAATGTTTGTGTGTGTAAGAATCAACACAGCTACTGGGGACACAGAGGTGAATTATGTGAATTTGGCCCTAGCCTTCACATATATACTTGTGTGTGTGTGTGTGTGTGTGTGTGTGTGTGTGTGTATATACATATATATATAGCATACATATATACACATATATATACATATATACATATATGCACATATATATACATATATACATATATATACATATATATATATATATACTTTTTTTTGAGACAGGGTTTCACTCTTGTCACCCAGGCTGGAGTGCAATGGCACGATCTCAGCTCACTGCAACCTCTGCCTCCTGGGTTCAAGCAATTCTCTTGCCTCAGCCCTCAGCCTCCCGAGTAGCTGGGACTACAGATGCATGCCACCACGCCCAGCTAATTTTTGTATTTTTAGTAGAGACAAGGTTTCACCAAGTTGGACAGGCTGGTCTTGAACTCCTGACCTCAGGTGATCCACCTGCCTTGGCCTCCCAATTTGTTGGGATTACAGGCGTAAGCCACCGTGCCCAGCGATTGGTCATACATTTTAACAGATACAATGAGATATTAAAATACAAACTGTACAGTAAGTTAATTAACTTTGAAACTACCACAAGGGGGCAAGTACATGGTAAAATGGCAGTGTACAGCAGGAAAACATTAACAGTCTAGGGTCAGGAAGGCCTACCTAGAGATGTAATATTTTAACTTGAGACATATAGAATAAGTGAGGATCATTTCTGGGATTGGGAACCATTCCTCCATGCCACACAGGGAATAGCATGTGTAAAGGCATTGAGTAGAAACAAATGTGTTATTTTGGTGACCTGAAAGAAAACCAACATGTCTGGAATAAAGAGAATGAGGACAGCTGTGTCTTGCAGTGAGGCTGAAGAGAAATAGGCTGGATGGCATCCATTACAATACCTGGTGCACAGTGGCTGCTCAGTAAGTGGTAGACTTAAAATAATCAGTGCACATATGGAATACGTTCTTGCTTCATAAATTTAGAAGAAAGTGGCGATGACACAATCTCTATGGTGGCCATAGAATATGACAAAAATGACCACTGTATGTGCCTGGGTCTCGTCAGAAGAAAGAAACCAATCTAAATACTTGGAACAGAATAAATTTAATGCAGAAAATTGGTCATATGGTGATGGAAAACCAGAGAAAGCAAATAGGGTCTTAGCAATGACCCAAACAGGAAACTACTGCACCCCAAAATGGAGGAAGCAGAAGAGCAGACAGTGTTGTTGGAAACTGGGAGCAAGGGCCAGCTAGTGGAAGCTGGACTTCAACGTGATTGGAGCAAGCCCTGGGACATACTAGAGGACAGACGAGCTCTTCTCCAGATGACACAAGCTGAGGCAGAGAGGGAAGGAAACATGCTCCCATAAGATGGCCCTTCTCCAGACTTCAAATCATCCGTTAGTACCTACCGTTGGCTGAATCTCATGGCGAGCCAGTTGGCAAAGGATCTTGGGAAATGTAGTTTCTGTAATAGAGAACAGAAGAGCAGAAAGACAAGGAATTGAGCACAGGGAATGGGGCACAGAGAAGTCTGCAAATAACCCCTACAAAATCCCTTTTTGATGGTAATAGGGATGCTAATTCTAGATTCCTGCTCATCAGAAGCTGTAACTACACTTTATAGGCTGCACTCCATGTCTAAAGCAGTTATGGAATATCTGTAAAATATCTGTTTCTAATGCAATGGTATATAAATATGATATAAAATGCAATGATATATGTATTAATAAACCATGTTGAAGAATCTCTTCGATATCCCCTAATTAAAATGTAAAGTCCTAGGTTTTTTTAAACTTCTCTTTATTTTAAAGTGATCTTATTTAAGTCAACTGATAAGGAAAATTGAAAGCTCAGAACAATAGCAGAAAGAAAAAAAAATATTTTTCCCATCATCCCAGTATCTGTGGATAGCTACTATTAACATGTTGTTGTAGAGAAGATACTTAAAATTTTAAAATTAACATAATTTTAACTACTTGGATAAAATAACAAAATTAGCTTGATTTGGTAGCTGCAATTTTCCTAGGATGTGAATTAGAATTAAGCTGCCATATGGGAAAACAATTTTCTGTCCTGGACACTGGCCAATACCCCAACATGCTTATTTCAATATGAGAATGTGTTTTTGGTCCATTCAGTGTCAGAAACAGAGTAATTATAAATGTGTGAGGGAAAAGCCTTATTTCTTTTTTGAAAATACAGTGACTTAGCGAGTGATACAGTATGAATGAAAGTTTTGAAGTTGGTTCATGGTGTATAAAGAGAAACAAAGTAAACAAAGCTCTTAATGGAAATACATACTTGGGACCAAACAACAGCCTATCTAAATGTTTTTTTTTGGTATTCATTTGGAAATTAATCAGATAATAATCCTCATGTATATGAAGGTCTGATCCATTTTTAATATCTTTTTACAATTATTTTTATTTGCTAATTTTACATATTTGGGGTAATATTAAGTATAGTTTTGTATTTATATTAACGTGGTAGTAAATATTATATTCCTTTCTAAATTGGCAATATTGTTTTTTTAAATAACGTTTTCTCCCTTAGGTCTTTAGATTATAGACACTTAAAATGAATGGTTTCAGATCAATTTTGAGAATGGGCAACAGGACCAAATTTTTTTCTACTTGAAATGGAAAACAAAAAATCTTGCTGAAGGCTAAGCTATCTTTTTAGCTAAGTGAGAAAACATTTCACAGAGTATTTACTGAAAACAATAAGTCCCTAGTAGGCATGAGTCAATACATATCAAGTCAAAAGTAAACTATTACTTGGAAGTCAATGTACTTTACTGAACATATGGAGAATTTACATTGAAACAGGCACTGGCATTTCAAACCCAGACTTTCCCCCCCACTTTGGTGGTATAATGTACAGCAACTCAAGCAAAATCATGTGTCTAACTATATCACGCAGGAAAGTTGCATTTAGCCAACTTCCAAGAAAATACTTGGTTTTATTTACTCAAAAAACCTTCCTGGATGTTCAGTCCAACAGCACACTTCGGAGCATCCTGTCTTTCTCGCCTGAACTTGCAGTGGTCTTGGAGAGGATCACCGTTATGGGCACAGAGTTTGGAGCCACACACCTGGATACCACACTCCACTTTAACAGTGGCTAGTTCTGTAATCTTAGGGAAATTAGGTAACTTCTTTGAGCTCAGGTCTTTCTTCTTCTGCCTCTTGCCCCCGCACAGATAGTAACTACTCAAGGAACTTTACCTTACACTTTTTATTAACTAAATATTTTCAGATATGTCCACTTTATGAGAAGGAAATATCTGATAGCTGAGTGACAGAAGTCACTCTTACCTCACAAAGCTGGCTTCTCCTTGACACTTGGACCTGACTCTATGCACAGTCATCCTTAACCTACAGTCTTGCTGGAAGGTATCTGAACTTGGATGTATTTCCTGGCTGTTTTCTGAACAGAGGCTGTACAAGAGGGCTGTTACACAGCAATGACAGAAAAGAAGCTTCCTGAGAGACCAATAGACCTGATTGGCCAGTCAGGAACTTGACATCACCAGAGCTAATATTGATTACATTTCAATCTTATATCTCGTTTTAAGATTGAATATAACCCATTTTTATTTTACGAATGAGAGGGTTTTTTTTTACTTTTGTTATTTGGAAATGGAAAGGGAGACAAATCACATTCCCCAGGCAAGATGATATTCTGTATTACCCCAGAGTTGGGATCCATTTCCAAGGATCGTTAGTCGGCTAAGCAGCCTTGATGCCCCAGGATGGGGACTTTCACACAAGACAGGTGGTGAAGCCAGGGCACCATGCTGCTAGCTCATGCACCGTACCCTTCAAGGGGCCAGCAGAAAAAGAGAAAGAGAGTATCAGTGAGTGATGCAGGATGTGTTGCATTCTTCAAGAAAAGGACCAAGAAGAGTTCTTTATACTACTTTAGAGTTCTTTATACTATGTCATTCTTAGATAATTTCTTTTCATCTTTTGTTAGTCAACAATTGTATTTGGAAGACAGGATCATAGGAAAAAATCTAGATATGCTAAATCATAGGCTGCAATAATCTCCTCAACCACTTGTCTTGTTTAATCTGGAACTTCAACTGACTTGTCTTAAAAAGTCATCAAAGAAAATCTTTCTTAGTCACAATTACCTTCTTCTCTAACATGAGTGACCTGAAATTAATCAGTGGCATAGACTGTGAGAAGAACCAGTGGCATAGACAATGGAAGCACAGGAGGGGGACTGCTTACTTAAGGTGGTGGGGATCAAGAATGATTTCATGAAAGTTCTTGGCCTGGTTTGTAGCAGAGTACATGGAGTCTCTAAAGGCAGAGATGGAAGAGAGTAATACCATAGTAACCAACATCAAGGGTGTGGCCTGGTGGCTTGGTGGGAATGGTAGATAATACCATGTCACTGAGTTAAGATGAAGAAAACAATAGTTCATAAAACTGAAGAAACATTTTTGACAGAAAAAAAAGCCTAAAAGGCTCTGATGATGCATTAGAATTTACTATCAAATGGTAGACCTTGGATTTCTTGTTTTTGTGTGTTTGATTTGAAATTGTGTGCCTGTGTGTGTGTGCATGTGTATACATGGCATAAATTCTATAATCTGAATTATTTGAGGAAGACAACCTTGGCAATAGTGTAAGTAACTGTCTGAAGAAGGAGAAAAAAAGAGACAGATATTGATTATGAGGCTGTTAAAATATTTTTGGCTACTGTTGCCTCAAATGTATTTGAACGAACTCTAATTCCATAGAATGTTACTAAATGTTGCATAGGGGAAAACAGAAGTGTCTGTAGTCATAGGGTTTTAGTCAGTTCAGAGCTAAGTAAAGCAAAACAGATTTTTATCACTGCAAGATATTTAATCAGCTAATATTTGTCAGGCCTCTGAGCCGAAGCTCAGCCATTGTAACCCCTGCGACCTGCACATATACATCCCGATGGCCTGCAGGAGCCAAGAAGTCGGGAGCAGCTGAAAAACCACAAAAGAAGTGAAACAACCGGTTTCTGCCTTAACTGATTAACCCACCTTACAACATTCCACCACTAGGACTTGTCCCTGCCCTACCCTAACTGATCAATCCATCCAATCAATTCTCCTGGACAATGAGTCTCATGATCTCTCCACCATGCACCTTGTGACCCCCTCCCGTGCTGACAACAGATAACCACCTTTAACTCTAACTTTCCACTGCCTACCCCAGTCCTATAAAGCTGCCCCTCTCTTATCTCCCTTCACTGACTGTCTTTTTGGACTCAGCCCACTTGCATCCGAGTGAATAAACAGCCTTGCTGCTTACACAAAGCCTGTTTAGGTGGTCTTCTATATGGACACGCATGACAATATTTACAACAAATACCAAGGAAGAGCTAAGAGCACATAGCATTTCCCAGGCTTATTAGACTGTGGGATCAACCTCTTTAAGAAAGCATTTTGCAGAATTGTTGTTCACAGGTCATTCTGCAGTGTGAAGTTTTTTTTGCAATAAGATCCTTACTCTAGAGTTAACTTCACTAGGAAGTACACTCTGGGTGTTTACCTTTAGAGCTTCAGTTTCTACAAGAATTTGGCACCGGTTGGGTCTTGTAGAAATATTTACTGCATGGAGTTGAAAGAAGAGTCTGGACTGGGAGAAGGATGTATGGATAAAGAACAAGGTAGGAAACTTGTACTTGCCTGCTTCTTCTTACTGCTTTATTCTTGGATAATTTCTTTTCAGCTTTGGTTATTCAGCAATTCATATTTGGAAGATAGGATCATAGGAATGAATCTAGACATGCTAAATTATAGGCTGCAATAATCTTCTCAATCACTGTCTTGTTTAATCTGGAACTTCAACTGACTTGTCTTAAGTCATGAAACAAAATCTTTCTTAGTTAAGATTTCCTTCTCCAACATGAGTGAACTGAAATTAATCAATGGCATAGATAATGAGAGGCAAGTAGTGTGGCAAGGAAAGACAACTTAATTTACAGAAAAAGTGTGGTTTTATAGTTAGAAAAGTTTCATTTGAATGCTAGATTTCCTGCTTACTAGTTGTGTGACAAAATGAATTAGATGTTTGTGCCCATCATGGTTCCAAAACAGTTTATGATGTTTTAGGAAAATAAAAACTCATATATATTGCTTGTGAGAAGAATATGCCCAATTTGTGGCAGTGAATAAGAAGCAGAGACACAAAGTGCTTTTGGGGGAACAGTGATTCTCTGTGGCTGGAGCACAGATTTTGAAGGGAGAGTGTAGAAAGAGGTAAGAATGTAAAAATGCACAGATGATTGAGTCTGGAGATATTTTAACAAGATTGTGGAGGGAATCCAAGCCAGGTTCAGGCATGTGTACCTACTGCTGTAGACAAGGCATAGCTATTAAGGGAGTCTGAACAGGAGAACAATATGCGAATGATTTTCTTTAGAAAACACAATCTGATAATGCTTGTATGTTTGTGTCAATTTGATTGGATTATCAGGATATGCTTCCCAGCTTCAAATAGGAATTGTAGCCTCAAGTTCAGGAGCTTTTCTTCCTTTTGAATTTGTCATGTTTTGCAATACATAATAGAAGCTAACTATAATCCACATTTGTTTAGAGCAGGCACTTTGGCACCAGGACACCAGCTCTGTCCCTGACAAGTTCTGTGGTCTAAGTTACTTCAGCTCAGCAGTTTTCTCATCTGTGAAATGGGAATGTTAATGGAACTCTCCTTATAAGGGAAGACTAAATTAACTAACAGATGCTACCGTAGTGCCTAGCACATAGTAAATGTGCAAAAGTTGTTGGCTCCTATTTGTACTACTATTTTTGCAATCCTGGAATTTTTCCAGTCAATCACTCACATTTTTACAAGCTTTCCTCTCATGGAGATTTATCTTCCAGATAATCCTTTGGATTTGAAATTCATCTCTACCACCTCGCTCTCACAGTCAGTGTTTTGAAAAAAAAAAAAACATTCCCAGAAATTTCATAATTCCTAAGCTTTAAAAAATGTTTACATGTAACTTAAATATTTTTGTAGTTTTTAAATCTCCTTTTTCTCAATACACCTTTCTTTGCCTAGGCGCATGCATTTTACAAAATTCCCTCCACTTCTCTCTCAGGACTTCAGGAATCTTCTGATTTAGGAAATTAACTCATCAGTAATTCTCCTGACCATGGTGAGGAAACACAAATATTACGCAGCCAGTCTTTATTTTCTGACCCTAAACCAAAGAGCTGTGATTTGACAATTTTCCTTGGTCTGAGGCACAGTATTTGCCACAGTCCTCTTCTTATTGTTCACGTTGCCGTTTATGATGACTATCATCAGAAAACCACGTCAGGTCACTTTGTGGAGACATTGCTTCTGCTGTTCCCCTCCTGTTCCACCTCCACCTTTCTCACCAAATTCCCTGGGTTGTAAAGCCCCAGATTGGGTGGTCCAGAATTACAGTCAAAGGTAAGAGAAGGAGGCTGTGGGTCACTGGTCTGCAGAGCTGTAAGACTTTCTGTACACCTGGAAGTGCCCAGACAAGCTGTAGTGGGAATTCTTTTGAAAAGAAATGCACTCAAAGTTAATGAGATAAGGTATTTTCCTGCCTTCATGAACACACTTCCCACTTTTCCTGAAAAGTCCTTAGGAATATGTTATTCTTGTGTTTGAGAGTTGTACTTTGTATAACAAACCTTTCCTTCTTATACTCATCTACAAGGGCCAATTCTCATCATTTCCTGTTTGGACTGTTGAGACCCATCCTCACTCACAATCTGGCCTCCACATCTCTTCTCTTCCTCTCCAATTCTTTATTTGTCATTCTGAAATTTCAAATACAGTGTGATCATATTGCTTTCCTATTCAAAATCATTTACAGTTTTTCCACTAAAAAATGGTAAAATCCAAGCTGCCTGTGTGACACTGGAGATTCTGCATGCTTTGGCTTTTTCCTACCTTGCAGATTCATAGCTGCCTCACCTCCCTTACACTTGGTCTGGAAACACTGGGGAGCTTTTATTTTTCCTTAAACCCCGCCCCCATCTGAAGCCTCGCCTAATTGTTAAGCCTTCAAATGTGTTGCAATCTCTGCTTTTCCCTTCGCTTTCATATTGTCTGGGTACGCTTGGGATATAGCTGTGGTTCCTAGGCTAGCTACTGGCCCTCCCTATGGCTCCAGAGCTCCTGTGCTCACACCTGTGCGAGCACTGGTTATTGTACGATTTAATTGCCTGTTCATGCACCAGTCTCCTCTCTTGGGCTCCAACGGCAGAGGTTGCACAAGTAGAGTGGATGTTCACCCTGCATCACATGGCATTGAGGACCTCCCAGTCTTCTCTTGCTTCCTGCCAGGCCTACAAATGTGTCACAGATTCTCAGTCACAGCAGCCTGCTCTGTGTCGCTGTACCTCTGTACCTCTCCCTGACATGTGAACATCAATGCACAGGTCAAGATGTGTCACCAGGGTAGGTTTCCTAAGGGTTTTCATATAGATTCCAGTAAAAAGGGCTTCCTTTTCTATTCAGCACATCTTTCTTGCCTATGTGATGTCTACAATTGTATCTCTAGCATATTATTGCTATCAATTGTTTGTGAGTATATGTCCTACTTCTAGACTTAAATTGTCTTAAAAGACAGAAATATTCTTGATTTTGCTTTGTATCTTCTGAGCCTGGCAAAGTGCTAATTAAAGTAGATGCTCATTATGAATGCTGTGTTAAATGAAGAAATGCACAATGTAATATTATCTGTTCTGCCTGGGGAGTAATTTTGTTTTTTATTCCATTGATTTGGCCATATTCTTGATCAATGGTTCTCAAACTAACTGAACATTAGAAACAGTTGGAGACTATTTTGTAAACATCCTCAACCGGTGTTATTCAAATGTTAATGTGTGTAGGAATCACCAAAGATTCTTGGACTCTGATTCAATAGGTTTAGAATAGGGCCTGAGATCTTATGTTTCTAACAAGCTCCCAGGAGATTTGGATGCTGCTGAGCCAGAATCACAGTAAGTAGAGGGTCCTGGTTCTTTGCATCAGAATCTCTGGGGATCTGATCTGGGAATACTCCTAAGTATTCCTGAGAATTTCCCAAGTGTCTGTGATAAAGCAAGATTGTCATCTACATTAGGAGTTGCTGTGAGTGTCCTATCACCTATCTCTTACATACTTTACAATATTATTGAGCAACTTGCCAGAAATCATGCTAGAGGCTTTGGCTATATGGATGAAGATAAGACTGTTCTTAACCTTATAGAACTCACAGTCTAATGAGAGAAACAGAATATATAAAATGAATCCCTATACATTGAGGTAAATGTAAGAAAAAATAATCAAGGCACTGATATTGGCAATAAAGATGAAAGAAAACATCTATATTTAAACTAAGATTTGAATGCTACATTTCCACTCCTCATGGGATTAGAGGGGCAGTGATGTTTTAAACAAAGTTAGAGACATATAAAATCCCTGAGTTGGGAAAAAATGTGGTGAATTTTAGGATCTCTCCAAAGACTCTTGTGTCTGGTACAGAAAGTAAAAGTGGGAGAGTGTCATGTAGTAAGGAGGGCAGGGTCCAAGCACACACATGCTGGTGGCCTAACCTAGCAGAGCATGTGGGCACAACAAGAGAAACTTTCTCTAATCAACATCTAGCATGCTGTGGAGCTTGACCCGGTCTGTCTTGGTTCCTTTGAGACAAGACCCATCTCAAGCTAGATGCCCATCAATGGCAGTTGGGATAAAGAGAATGTGGTACATATACACCATGGAATATTATGCAGCCGTAAAAAGAATGAAATCATGTCCCTTGCAATGATACGGAAGGATTGGAGGCCATAACCCTAAGCAAATTAACATGAGAACAGAAAAGCAAAGACCAAATGTTCTCACTTATAAGTGGAAACTAAACTTTGAGCACATATGGACATCAACATTGGAACAATGGACACTGTGAACTACTAGAGGGGAGAGGGAAGAAGAGGGTCATGACTTGAAAAACTACCTATTGGGTACTGTACTTACTACTTGGGTGCAACATATCCATGTAACAAACCTGCACATATACCCCCATGTCTAAAACAAAAGTGGAAATTTTAAAAATTTACCCCACATCTAAAATAAAAGTAGAAATTTAAAAGAATAGCAGTGATAATCCTTCAACTTATCTACAAGCATTTATATTTCTGAATTTCTGGAAATATTATTTATGCATAACAAGGACAAGATGGACAATAAAAGCTTTCACTTTCACTTTTCAATGACTTAATTTTTGTTTTTCATTTCTCTAAACCAGCAATCAAAAAATATTCCCATCAATTTATATCTGGGGCTAGTGTGTTGAAGAATAAATACCATCTAACTATTCCTACCCTTCCTTTCTACTACAAAAGGGAAGCATGGAATGTCCTATCTTTGATCAGGCAAATAGAGGTCATTTCAAACGTACCTGAGCCTCCATCATATGGCAAGATCTAGGTCTCTTGAGATAACATTAAAACAATGAAGTGAACCAGGATACATGCATCTTCTTTTTTTTTTTTGTGATGGAGTTTCGCTGTTGTCGCCCAGGCTGGAGTGCAATGGCACGATCTCGGCTCACCACAACCTCTGCCTCCCAGGTTCAAGTGATTCTCTTGCCTCAACCTCCCAAGTAGCTGGGACTAAAGGCATGCGCCACCACACCCAGCTAATTTTTTGTATTTTTAGTAGAGATGGGGTTTCATCATCTTGGCCAGGCTGATCTTGAACTCCTGACCTCATGATCCACCCACCTCGGCCTCCCAAAGTGCTGGGATTACATGAGTGAGCCACTGCACCCGGCCTTTTGATACATGCATCTTCTACCAGCGTATCTCTTGCCCTATTTTATAAGTTGTGGGGAGGGCAATGCCTAGCCCAAAGAAGTTTTTAATTTGGTTTTAAAAATGAAAGAATTCATGAAAACTTATATATATATAAATATATATGTATATATATGTGTGTATATATACATATATGTGTATATATATAATTTACATGTATATGTGCATATAGGTGCATGTGTATATATCATACACACATGTATAAATTATGTAAAAAATGACAAATAATTTTTTTATGAAAATAGACTTTTTAGTGAAAAGCTTAGAAATTCAGTATTCTAAGAATGCATTGGTTCTATGTTTATCCCTAGTATTCTTTTTCTCTTTGTTTCTTTCCTCTAGACCCAGAATCCGTAGCCAGCATGATGAGTTCAGAGACCTGGCCCCTACCCTGGGAGTAGCACATTCAGTCAGAGAGGTTTAGGTGGATTCATCCAAATACTTTAATCCCAGAGCTCTGTCCTACAAAAACCAACAGGCTTGCTCAACTGTAGCAGTCAACAAGAATTCATGGTGCTTGGTTGGACTGCATACATATTATCTTTTTCCTTTAGAAAGCTGTGAATTCCTTGGCTGTTTTATTTTTGAAATAAATGTGTCAATTCCATTTTTCTGCCATTTCTGCTACTTCTTTTCTCTATAGAAACCTGGATTTGTTACTGAGCTTTAGGTATAAAACAGGTTTATTAAGCTTAATTGTTTTACTATTACCATAGTAACCATTGTATTTCCGTCACAGTAACTCTGAACTGTAAGCCAGTAAGCCATTGGTCCTGATGGTAAAGATAGAAACCCACCTCCCTGCACCTCAGATTCTACACCTCAGAGAATTTCCAGGCTCTAATTCCTTCAATTATGCCCCTTCTTTCTAGCATTTTAAGTGCCCCTCTCTGATTTTTTTTCAAACTCACACCATGGTGGTCTTGATTCAACAATGAAGTCACAGTAGGCATTGCAGTGGTTATTTTATGAATCCACACAATTTACAGATTGCTCCTGATAAAGCTCTAAAGAGTTTTCACAATGTGTTTATTCTGAAAACTACTCTCTACATAGCCCAGTATTTTTCCAATACAAATAAATTTTAACCAACATTACAACAACAAAAAATTTTGATGTGCATTGAAATAGCTAGTCAAATTGGCCTCACAGTAGCAATAAAATAATCTGAGATAATAGTTTTGTTTGATTTTTTATTTCATGCATAATTTATTTACGAGTAAGCAACATATATTTTACATTGTTCCTCATGTCATTGTATGTTTTAATACTGTGAAGTTTACTCTGAACTCTTTGGATCCCAATCTTAAATCTAATCAAATCAAAATAAATATATAGAACAGCTCAATATATGACACATAGTAGGCACTTAATAAATAGTACCTATTTTATTAACATGATTATTTCCTTTTTAATATTATTATGTGAATATATTCTAGATAGAAACTTTTAGAATCTTATTACCAATTATATGTGTTAAGTCAAGTTTAGCCTAAAGATGCCTCCTTCCATATTTTAAGTTCAACCTAAAAGTTTCTCTGTACATTGTGAACTATAACCTACACAGAGGTGTAAACAGACTGTAGTCTACTCTTGTGCCAATCAATCACTGAGCTTTGGTTCATCAAAGGTGGTCAATGTTCAAATCATGTTCAAATAAGGCAAATGCCGAGCTGTAAACAATATGGCTGTTTCTGTACCTCACATCCACTTTCTGTATCACTTTCCTTTTTCTGTCCATAAATCTTCTTCCCCCATGTAGCTACACTGGAGTCTCAGTGAGCCTGCTCTGGCTTGGGAGATTGCCCAATTCATGAATTGTTCTTTGCTAAATTAAACTTTGTTAAATTTAATTTGACTAAGCGTTTTTTGTTTTGTTTTGTTTTTTCCTCATGGTAAGGGCATAGAAATGCAGAGGGCAAACCCAATAAAGAGAGGAATCAGATATGGGAGAAAATAGTTTTAGATACAATGAAAAATTGAAATAATAGTTAACTCTTAACACTTGAAGTTCTCATAGTATGACGGTAGGTAAGAAACCATGGAGAGGAATTGTTCTGAGGGATTTCTCATCGTCATTCATGTAGCCGTTGAATTTGTAAAAATGTATTCTATTTTCAGATGCTAAAACTAAGGATCAGAGCTATCAGGGAAATAAGGCAGCCAGTGAAAAACTGAACTAAGTCTGAAACAGATTTGTCTTATGCCCAAGTCCAAAGCATAACTTAGCCCTGGAGCAACAGAGTGAGTTATCTGTGCAAGCACCTCACCATGTCAACTCTGGGGGCAACTCTGTCAGTCTCTCCTGCAAATTGGGGCATGAGGAAGAGTCTGTTTAATCTGCAATAGTATCCAAGAGGCAATGATTGGGTACAAATCATCAATAGTGACAATTCCTCTCTAAGGTAGGTTTCTAGTTGGATACAACAGCAATCAGTATCAGCTGAACAATGATCATTTACACTGAATAGTGAAACAGTACCACTGGAAAAATCATCAGGTTTATAGACCAGCAAGCTGAGTGCGTAAAATGTTACTGTAATGATCCATGCCAAAGTCTCTCTATAATCCATGCCAAAGTCTCTCTTCTGTCAGTTATCTGTTTGTCTATATCACTCTACAACATATTATGCCCTGTGGGACAATGGCTTTGTGTTCAGATGACACATGCTCAGCCAAACAGTGTTAAATACGTTTCTCAACACTGAAATTCTCTGGCATCCTTAATAGCTATATATCCACAATGTGAAGCAATTTTCTAAATTTTGTGAGAAGAACACCTGTGAAATATTGTTAGAGGATGTGTATTCATTGCTCAGAAACAGAAATCCTCCTTCAATATTTGACCTAAGTGATTTAATATTTAAATCTTTCATTTATGTTACAATTGTATTTTGTTTAGATTCTTTCTTTGAGTATATTCTAGTAACAAGTTTTGAACTTATCCTGGAGGAGTTACCCTGGATCACTTCATATTATTTCAAGTCAAAAGGGAAAGACAAATGTAGCCAAGATAACTGAGACGATCAAAACTGCAAATTCAAGAGGCATTTACTTGAAGTTAAGAGTTGAGAACATAGGGCCAGGCGCGGTGGCTCACACCTGTAATCCCAGCACTTTGGGAGGCCAAGGTGGGCAGATCATGAGGTCAGGAGATTGAGACCATCCTGGCTAACACGGTGAAACATGCTTTCTACTAAAAATAAAAAAAATTAGCCGGGTGCAGTGGCGGGCGCCTGTAGTCCCAGCTACTTGGGAGGCTGAGGCAGGAGAATGGCGTGAACCTGGGAGGCGGAGCTTGCAGTGAGCCGAGATCGCGCCACTGCACTCCAGTCTGAGGGACACAGCGAGACTGTCTCAAAAAAAAAAAAAAAAAAAAAGAGTTGAGAACATAGAGGTCAAATAAGCACCCAAGCTATAGTCACAGGAGGTAGAAAAACGATCACCAAACCTTTTTGATTGCATGTTCTATAAGAAAAACAAGTACATTCACCTCCAACATACAGGTACTTCTGTTCAGATATATTATGTATGCAATTAAATAAATTAACAAGGTTTAAAGTTGAGCTAAAGATAAAATAAACAATGTATATTTTAATAACTTGCCATTCATTTTTGCTTTCTGTTATCATTAGCTAGTAACTTAAGGGCACAATATACTCAAGGCGATGTTTATTCTTCATAATAATGATAGAAAAAATATATTTTAGTCTTCCAGGTAATTTTAATACTTAGTGGACAAGTGACAATGATGAGAGTATATCAGAAAAGGGAGAGATATCATCATTGCTATTGTCTTATAATTTACTTGTGTTTACATTTAGCACAAGTAAATGTTAAGTACACTTACATTATTGTTTTTAATCGACAGTCTCATAGCAGCAATCTGGTTTGTGAAGATTTGTGTACATCAGATACAGTAATATGTTCTGCAAATCCAAATGACAGGACACAAGCCTCTGATCATGATGGAGGCAGGAGGCAGAGATAGAGGCTCTAGGCAGAGAGAGACAGGTTCCTGGTGAAACCCCACCTTTAAGCCAAAAAGCCTAAAACCTGGGGCCCAAAGTGAGAACTTCTATTCCCGTTTGCCCACTCTCTCCAGATTGGTTCTTTGTGAATAATACCTTTTCACCAATCAAATGTTGCCTTTTCCAGAACTACCTATGGGCTGCCCCATCCCCACCATCCTGTGCCTATAAAGACCCCATACTCAGTTGGTAGAGGGGAGAGATGGCTTATGTTCAGAGAGAAGATGGCCAGGCTTTGGGGAAGAAGAGACAGCTTGACTTCGGGGAAGAGACAGCCAGACTTTAGGGAGAATTATCTGCCCTTCCTGTCCCCTCTCCAGCTCCCCTTACACGGACAGCCATTCCCACCACTCGATAAAATTATTTGCCTTCACCATCCTTCAAGTGCCCCCACAAAAGCATTTTTCTTGTACACTGGACAAGTGCTCAGGATCCACCAAGTGTGGGTACCCAAAACAAGGCCGTCACACCAGCCCTTTGCCCTTGCTGGTGGAGGGCAGCTGCCCCATGCAATGAGGCAAGGGGCTAACTGAGCTGTTAACACACAGCTGTCCACAGGCAGTGGAACTAAAGGAGCATTGTAACACTCGCTCTGGGTCCTTGGGGCAGGTTGCAGGCATTCGCTGCCCTGACCTGGGCGCTGCCGCCAGAGCTTGCTCCTGCTGGCACCTGGAGTGGCTGGCCAAGTCTCACACTCGCTCATTTGTCACTGGTCTGGTCACGGGCCCCGCAGAGAACTTGCTCCTGTGTGAGTTCCCCGAGTGGCCAGCCGGGTTCTGCACTCACTCGCTCAAGTGCTCCCTCCCGCAAGGGGTTGAGCATGGCAGGCAAAGTAAAAGTTTGCCCCCATCTCAAGTCCCATGAACAGCCTGAGAAAAATCCTGCATCAGTCAGGAAGGGCGAGGAGGGAACTCTGGTGAAGCTGTCTGTGCCCTGGACTGACTTCCTGCTGGGCACGCCTCACCCATCCTGTGTCACCTGGCACTGATAGGCAGGAGAACCTGCCAGAGTGCCGTTGTCAGCCCATGCTAACCCACTTAAGATTATTTTCTGCTCTATAAGTTGACTTAAACTATAAAGTGCTGTTCAAGTATTTTGTTCCAGGACATCAATAAATAATCTTAAATTCTTCCTGGGACTCTGTGGCAGGCTGATAATGGCTCTCAAAGATGGGTCTATATCGTTATCTCAGCAATGTGTATTACCTTATTTGGAAAAAGGACGTTTGAGGTATAATTAAGTTAAGGATCTTGAGATGAGACTATCCTTAATTCTCTGGGTGAGCCCTAAATTCCATCCCTTGTGTCCTTCTAAGAGAGAAGCTGAGAGAGATTAGGCACATACACAGAGGAGGAGGCAACTTGGCCTGAAAGGCAGAGACTGCAGTGACATGGCCAAAAGCCAGGTGATGCTGGCAGACACCTGAAACAGAGAGGCAAGGGCCATATTCTTCCCCGGGGCCCCAGAGGGAGCACAGGGAGTCCTGCTGACAGCTCGATTTCAGGACTCCAGCCTCCAGCACTGTAAGATAATAAGTATCTGTTGTTTTAAACCTCAAAACTAAGTTTGAGGTAATTTGTTATGGCCGCCACAATTAAACTCACACTGGCATCAAGTGTAAATTTAGAGTCCCTGATATAGAAATCAGTAAACATATATGTAAATAAATAAGTTAATATGGGAAGGGAGGGGTCTAATTTAGCAACTTTTAAGTGGGCAATCAGCGGGGATGACTTTATGGAGGACCTGGCAAGATGGGACCTGAAAGGCCCAAGTAATAATAAGCATCTGTGCCCTTGGGTGAAGACGCAAATGCAACGAATATGTGTCTAAGATCATATCAAAAATGTTCACGTTTTCATCATCTTATTTTCTTCTGACAACAAACATCCTAAGATTGATATACATTCCCCTCCTTATGGGGAAGAAGTGCAGGCTCAAAGATACTAAATAACATGTTCAAGATCAAACACCTTGTAGGTGCAGGCTTGGAGTTGTGGCCTGGGTCTCCTGATTCCAGGTCCAGTGTTCAAATGACATAACATCAACAGCCCTTGGCCTCCTCTTCTGAAAGAGAAGCAGTATGAATTTCAGGTCTCCCCAGGCCCATTGCAAATTCATTTTATGGTTCTAAAATGAGTGCATAAATTTGTGGTAAATGCAAGTAGGAAAATGTGCTTCTATCCTGCATGGCAGAGTCCCTGGCACATGCAGAAACTGAGTGCAATTGGCATTAATTCTTATAAGTCCCTATACTGAAATGAATTAAACATGTGACACTGCTCTCTCCTCCATGCAGGAAAATGTTAGCACAATCCCTTAGAGTACATAAACAAGGATCCCTCAGGTTTTTAGTGTAATATATAAAACCAGAAATGGCCTTGAACATTCTCAGAAGCCAAAATCCTTTCTCCAAATCCTAAATATTCTTCACAATGTTTTCATCTTCGATGCTCTTTTCCAGGGACAAATTCCTGTTATCCTATTAGCTAATTAGCATTCAGTGTGTTTCTTAAAGCGCTCAAAGAAACATTCAACTTTCATTCATTTATGACATCAGATAAAGTCATCAGAAAATGCAATCCATTCTTTCATTGTTCTAAAAGACATGCTAGGCTGCATTTCACTGAGAGAAATAGGTGTAGCAAAGCCATAACCTGCTAGTAATATCAATGACACCAGAGGGTAAGCTCTTAAATTTTTTCCAGAACTCATCATGCATTGGTGACCAAAGATTTTGAAAATGCGTTTCAAAGGTAAAAATAGGTCTTCTTCCCTCAAAACCAGGATTTTAGAATTGAAATTCCATCTGTAAATTGGTCCATCCTATCCTAACCCTGCACCTTCCACAGGCGATAGGAATGTGGCCCCAACACACAAAGGCATGTGCCCTGATAATTCCTGTCCTAAGTCCTTTCTGCTTGGCCTGCTCTCTTCCTACATTTGCTCCCATCTGGCCTTGAGTCTGGTTGTCTCTCCTAGCTAAAGGCTGAGGGGCATGTCTTCATAGTTGGTGCCGGTGCCCAGTTTCTGTCTCTAGTGTTACTTGCTTCTCTCCAGGGACCTTGGCACAAAATCACATCACCACTGGGTCTTGCCTCAGACCAGCCTACTGTCCCAAGGAATCTGATTTCTTGCTCCAAGTCACTGGTGGGGACTCTTGTCTGGTGACCTGACCACTCTGTTTGCAGACGTTTGTAGTCCTAGCCAAATTGAAGTTCTTAAGGGACTCCCAAGCTCAAAGCTTCTTAAAACACAGTCTGCCGTTTCTAGTCTATATAATATACTAAACTATAGCACCTCTCATGCCCCAGAGAATATACAATCTAGAAGGAGAGACAGATATGTAAACATATAAATTTGGTGCCAGTTATAAATACAGTAATAAGAAACACAGGCATAGAAGTTGTAGGAAGAAGGGAATGATCAACTACAGTTAAAGAGCAGAACCATCTTTGCTGAAGAAATTAAAATCGACTTAGTCTTTAAGCAATGATTAGGATGTTCCCAGAGAGACGAAGAAGAGAAACTTATTTACCTAATTTCAAGAAAAAACAGAGTTACAGGGCCAGAATGTGAAACTGGCTGATTGGGCAATTATAAAGCTTCAGGAATTGCTAGACCAGCAAACAAGGTCATCAAAGACTGACAGCATCAGCCTGGAGGGCCTCCTGAGCTAGGATCAGAGGTTTCTTATGAAGGCTCTCAGTAGAACTCATATCAAGTATAAAGCCATTACAATGACTTTGTGAAAATGTTTCCAAGCTGCAGTTTTCAATCAAAAATTTTTTTAAAGCTTCCCTGTTTCTGAGAACTTGCATAAATGGGCAGACAAAAAGTGTAGCCCTGTTTCACAGGCTAGGTAGGGATGGCAGGCAGAGCTGTGTTAGCTTTTGGCCTCCTCTTTGCTCCCTGGTAACTCCTGGCTGCAGAATCCTACAAAACTGTAATTAACAAATGGAATTCCCATTGACTGTGCAGGTTCTTTGTTGAAAGTGTGATAACTCGATGTCTGATATTTAGAGGTTAGAGACTGGCCACTGTCTGTCTTTTTGACTGTCCTCATATGTGTTGACAGCATTGTCCAAATCTAGTGTCTGGCTCATGGTAAGCCCTAACTATGTGCTTTTTAACATTCACGTGAAAGATAAATATCATCACAGGTGCAATGCAATCAATGCAACATATGAATTTCAAAATTATGAGACCACAACAGAGGGAAACTATTTTACTGGAAAATGCATGTTCTTTGGTGTCAGCTACACCTAGATGCAAACTCCAATTCTGCCTCTAACTGGGTGTGGGACTGTGAGAAGTGTGTTCAACCTTTTTAAGTTATCATGTCTTCAAATGTAAAATTGGAATAGACACCAACATACAGATTTTTACCAATTGAGATAAAATTTAGTAACAAATATAAAGGTCAACATAGTCCAGTGATGCAGAGCACAGAGACTTGAGATATATTACCAAGGTTCAAATGCCAGCACTGCCACTTCCTACCTGCACCTCATGTCCTTCATCTTAAAATTGGGATGATGATGGCATCTACCTTGCAGAGATTGTGTGTGAGGGTACAGTGAGTCAATATGTGTGCATCTCTGTTATAGCTGGGTCATAGTAATTGCTCTGTCAATTGTAGCCATTAATATTGGAAGGTACCTGGAATGTAAGAAATGTCAATAAAATATAGTTGGATGATGATAGAGCTTGAAGAGCTTGAGCAGGTACTTATGGGGCCTGAAGTGTCCTAGAAGTGTCCTCAAATCTTAGAATTCATAGGTTTGCACAAGACTGAATGGGATAGCCATAGAAGAGTGAAGCTGAACTGAATTCCTGGTCGACTGACAAGCAAGAGCAACTGAAACACCAAGTGTGCACTATGGGCAGAAACTGCAGTGAAAAAGCCTGCTATGGAGGCCACATAAAATGATGAGAAGAGCTTTAGGATGAGTTTCCTAAAGAGACTCTCTGAGGCAACAGAGACGAAGAGCCCCAGACTGGGGGTAAATCTGTTTTAAAATAGAGTATCATCTCAGTAGAAAGATGATTTGAATCAACTACCAAATTTCTCACTATGGACATTAGTTACTTTTTAAAAAATATATTATCTTTTACAAATATGGCACTAGTAGTAATTTCATCAATACTAAACTAGATAATGTAGATATCAAGTCCTGTAGGCAATAAGAATATTTATTTTTCCTTACCATGTATTCAACTTTACCGGGCTTTGCCATCAGAAAGTGATGTTGACAAGACTTCGCTGGTGTTCTTTGTTATAACAATTTACTTCTTTCCTTCAGAGGAGAGTTGGAGGTGTACCACATGAAGCATGAACTCCTCTTCCCTTCCTAGATTGTCAACCTATGCAATACGGATATATAAATAAAAAGCTGCAGTGAGTCATTTTCCCCAAGGCTTGAAAAATAAGATTGCTTTTATCAGAAATATATATTCTGTTTGGGAAATTTTTACTCTATATTCTGTGCAGAAGCATGAGAGAACGATCATACAACCAAGCAGCCCTCAACAGGTACTCTACACATACATTTTTATTACTTACTAGATCCACCTCTGGATGGTCCAATGTCAAATGATAGGCTTTATTCCATTCTAATCAGAGAGTAGAGCACATTTTCATAGATCAATGTACACTGGCATCTTTATTCAAGTAAATCTCTGCCTGCTGTTGGCTGCATCTCTTGCAGAGGATTCTACCTAATATGACAGGTTTCTTAGACTAAGAATGAGATACTGTCCCAACACCTTGTTGCATTCCATCACTCTATGGTCCTAGAAAATAGAGGTTAATGAAGCAAATTCTTTTTTTTTTTTTTTTGAGACAGAGGGAACCACGCTCTTCTCTTTTCAGCACTTCTGTATAACTTCCACATTGTAGTCAGATCTGTGTGATTTTATTTTTTCTCCACTCTATGAAAGCTTGCTGAAAGACTGATAGTCTAACCAATATTTATCTTTTAAAATTGTTATTCATATAGATGATTATGCATAATCATGACAAGATTGTTAATTTGGTGATAATGAAAATTATTATTATCCTCTTAAAAAGGAGAAAACTGACACCCAAGAGAAAGAATTTTAGTAGACAAAAGGGGACCGGATGCAGTGGCTCACGCCTGTAATCCCAGCTCTTTGGGAGGCCAAGGAGGGTGGATCATGAGGTCAAGAGCCTGAGACCAGCCTGGCCAAGGTGGTGAAAACCCGTCTCTACTAAAAATACAAAAATTAGCCGGGTGCGGTGGCAGGCGCCTGTAATCCCAGCTACTCAGGAGGCTGAGGCAGGAGAATCGCTTAAACCCGGGAGGCGGAGGTTGCAGTGAGCCGAGATCGCGCTACTGCACTCCAGCATGAACGACAGAGTGAGACCCTGTCTCAGAAAAAAAAAAAAAGATACAGAAGGGAGGAAGGGAAGTGCTGGATACAGGAGGGCATGGTCCCTGGTTAGGGCTCCACCACCATGGATCTGGGTGAGGACAGGCATTTCCTGACTAAATGTTGCATTTCCCAAGACCACCCTGGCCTGCCACTCCCCCATACTGTACCTATAAAAGCCCCCCAAGACTCTAGCAGGCAGACACACAGGTGGCTGGAGCACATCAGCAGAGGAGCACACAGGCAGCTGGACGTCAAGAAGAGCACATCAGCGGAGGAATACCTGGGTGACTGGACATGGAGAGGAACACACTGACAGGCACTGACACACTGCCAGGCCACCCACAGGCAAAGTAGAACAATGCAGAATTTGGCTGGGGAGTTGGAGGACAGCCCTGGCCGGTGAGTGGCCTGACTCCAGGGGAACATCTCCCCATTCCATCCCTTCTGACTTCCCCTGAGCTACCGCCACTCAATAAAATCTTGCATTCATTCTCCAAGCCCACGTGTGATTCAATTCTTCCAGTACACCAAGGCAAGAACCCAGGATACAGAAAGCCCTCTGTCCTGCGACAAGGGAGAGGGTCTAAATCGAGCTGGTTAACACAAGCCTATAGACAGCAAAACTAAAAGAGCACCCTGTAACACACACCCACTGGGGCTTTAGGAGCTGTAAACATTCACCCCTAGACACTGCCGTGGGGTTAGAGCCCCACAACCTGCCTGTCTGTATGCTCCCCTAGAGGTTTGAATAGCGCGGCACTGAAGAAGCAAGCCACATTCCCATCGCACAACCCTGCGAGGGGGACAAGGGAACTTTTCCCGTTTCAAAAGTGCCATGTAATGTAACTAGTAGACAGATTTTCAGAAAACCCCATGGAATATCACTGGAACTAAGTAGAGTCTCTGGATTGATGTCAGGGGAAAGATTGGAGTCAAGTGGCCCAGGACCCACCCCTGGCTCACCCAGGTTCTAACTGAATCCATGGACATTAGAGTCACTGATTAAAGGAGCATTAAAATATGGTAGTGTTTAAGTGTGCTAGCTCAGGTGTTAGATTGCCTGTGTTCTCACCTTGTACCACTACCTCACCAGGTGGACATAGATTCATTTTCATAACCTCTTTGCCCTCTGTTATTCATGTGTTAAATAGGGATGGCACTTTTGCTAACGCTGGGGTTCTTGGAAAAATGGAATAAGATAATACATGTAAAATATTTACAGTAATTACTGCACAATCATAAGGTCTCAGTGATTATCAACAGTGTTATTATCTCTATCATCCTCATCATTGTTGATTCCACTGGCACCCAGATTTCCACCTCCTACATTTAGGAAAAACTTAAACTGACAAGAGCAGAGACTGTGCCAAGGCCATCTATCACCTTTCTTGAATGGGGACCTTGATTTAGGGTGACTAACTGTCCCAGTTTTGAGATTGTACTGGTTTTAGTACTGAAAGTACTCATCCCATAAAATCCTTGATTCCTGAGAAACTGGGACAGCTGCTTACCCCTGAGGAACAGCTGAATCTAACAGATTCCAATGCCCCATTCAGTCAAAAAAGAGAGACTGAAGAAAGGCAAGCTGCCCTCAGGGAACAAACTGAGAGGTGAAGCCAGCTGGGCTTCTGGGTTGACTGGGGACTTGGAGAGCTTTTCTGTCTAGCTAGATTATTGTAAACGCACCAATCAGTGTTCTGTGTCTAGTTAAAGGATTGTAAGTGCACCAATCAGCACTCTGTGTCTAGCTAAAGGATTGCAAATGCACCAATCAGCACTCTGTAAAAACGAACCAATCAGTGCTCTGTGTCTAGCTAAAGGATTGTAAACACATCAATTAGCACACTGTAAAACCACACCAATCAGCACTCTGTGTCTAGCTAAAGGATTGTAAATGCACCAATCAGCACTCTGTATGTAACTAAAGGATTGTAAACGCACCAATCAGCACTCTGTAAAGTGGACCAATCAGCACTCTGTAAAATGGACCAATCAGCGCTCTGTAAAACTGACCAAACAGCAGGATGTGGGTGGAGCCAAATAAGGGAATAAAAGCTGGCCACCCTAGCCAGCAGGGGCAACCCACTCAGGTCCCCTTCCACGCTGTGGAAGATTTGTTCTTTTGCTCTTCACAACAAATCTTGCTGCTGCTCACTTTTCAGGTCTGCACTACCTTTATGAGCTGTAACACTCACAGTGAGGGTCTGCGGCTTCATTCCTGAAGTCAGCGAGACCACGAACCCACCAGAAGGAAGAAACTCCGGACACATCTGAACATGGGAAAGAACAAACTCCGGACACACCATCTTTAAGAGCTGTAACACTCACCATGAAGGTCTGCGGCTTCATTCTTGAAGTCAGCAAGACCAAGAACCCACTTTGTTGAAGTCAGCAAGAGCAGGAACCCACTGGAAGGAACCAATTCCAGACACAAAAGCTTTGTTTTTTCCAACAGGGAGAAAAAGCAAAGTTTGCTGCCTCAAGGGCTGTCCAACCAGTGCTGAGCAATAAGCTTCCTAATACCACCAACTAGGGAAATCCAGGCCAGGGATACCATCAGACCCTCAGCACTCAGGCTGCTGCTCCTTGGGAGACAGGAGCGGTTGGAGAAGAGTCAGATCACTTATTTTTAAGGGAGGCCCAGTCTTGACTACAGTCATCAAATGGGGACCCACAATTCATACATGCGTCAAGATTTCTTCAACTCATGGCTTTATGTGGTCTATAGATGCCAGTATTAATTGTGGAATTGAAAGCATGAGCATATAACTCCAAAGTTACTTCAAGGCAATTTTATAAAACAATTATGAATGTTGTGACCAAAAAGTCATGCCATAAATAAATCAATCCTATATTCTACATGTTTCTTTGCAAATACCCTATGATCTCCTTGTCTCTTATCTCTTTTTATAAGATAATAGTCATGTTCTGTCCTTTCTTGATACAGGATATAAAATTCTTCCACTTTGCTTATTTGTTATTTCAATTTGTACTTCAAGCTGGGTGTCTTTGGCATGACATTTAAAGTAAACTTCTGTTCTTTCCAACAGGATGTATAAAATGTTTGCTACAAATTATAGGTTTGGAGGCAGGGTTTTGCTTTCTTCATATGGCTCTATACCTTTTTGCCTTTCTAATGTTGGCTTTCTAAGTCTCTGGTCAGTTACCTGTTCCCTATACCAGGATGGTTGATAAACCCTTCTCTATTAAGAGAAAAGAGTATATTTCTGACCGGGGTTTGAGCAAAAGGTGGATTCTCCCTCTTGACAGAGCTGTGAACAAAAAAGCTGCTTCTTTTATGGTATACCCAGTGATAGTAACAATGAGGGGAATTTTGTCTGCATTAGCATTCTGTGCCTACTGTCATATGGGATTCATGAGTGTTTCTTTTCTTATCCTATACCTGGGAGGCACCCAGTGTAATGAAAAAACATATTTGAATTTATATGAACAGAATGAATTCTAAGTTAAAATATGGTTCCCTCCTCTGAGAAAACTCTAAGGGGATTTAATTCCAGGCCAGTTTGTATATCTGATGCATGTGTTGAAAGCATGAAAGGTGCTGCCTGCCCCTTTTCCAGCTTCTCATCAAAAAATAAACCCAGTAATGTTGCAGCTTCTCCTTATTCTTAATTTTTAACCCAACAGTTTTACTTCTATACACACATAAATTTAGAGAGAGAGATTTAAAATATAGTTCTTCTAAGCTTCGAAACTTTGAACAACTGGAGATGCTAGAAAGATAATATTTTCTTTTATTTAAAAAATCAACTGTTATTGAGATGAGACTTTCATACAATTTTAATTTTTCAATTTTGAACTTTGGTTCCTAAATTCAACAAAAGTTAAGACAAGACATAGAAGGACATTGCAGCTGTCAATTTTCTCAATTCATAAAATACCAGTAAGAATGGTATCTGATCTCAAAGAAATAAATACACAAGAAAGATGTGAATTACCTTGTCAAAAGAGCCTGAGCAATAGCGACATATATAGATACAGCTTAGCTAAAATAAGGCTTAGCTAAAAGTACCGGGAAAGAGATACAATAGGAAGTGTTAGTCATGAAGTAAACCTGGCTTATGGCGCTTTTATGTGAAATTTTATGACTGTGTTAGTTAGGCTTTTTTGGCAATAAGTAACAAACTCAGCTCACACAAGTTAAAGCATAACTGAAACTTTATTGGCTCAGGTAACTGTGAGGGTTGTCGGGGAAGCTCACAGGAACCAAGATAGTTACAGTTGCCAGGTCTCAAGTGCTAGAACCAAAATTCAACATGGCCAGGACTCTTTCTTTGATCTGCCCTTATTCATGCTGGACTTTATTTTGCAGAGGAAGTTAGTTCCTCCAATAAAAATGATGCTTGGGAACATGTTCTAGGTAAGTAGCTCCAATGGAATGAAGTTTTCTATGTCAATGTCTGTCCACTAAAGTCCTGTGGAGAGCTCTGAATAGGTTCTGTTTGGTTTCGAGATGTCTACTCTGGCATTAGTGTAGCTGGTGGAATGGAAGACTCATTGGCCAAGGTGAGTCATGTGACCAATGAATGGATAAGGAGAAGAAATTTTGTTGTTAGAACTGTAATGAAGGGAAAACATTCTGGCCATCTAAAAATGATAAATGCTTAAGTGTTTTGCTTTAACTTTGGACAAGATAAGCTTGTATGAGTCTCAGTTTCCTTGTCTGTAAATTAGTTATAAAATTTGCCAACTAAGTGTACCAGAAAAATTAAAAGTAACGTGTAAAAATTCCTAGTAAATTGCAGAATTTAATAATTCCTAATACAATTGCAGTAGTTACAGACTTCAATAAATGTGAGTTCCAACCACTATCTGTATGTCTTAGTCTACTTGGGCTGCAATAACAAAATGCCATAAAATGCATGTTTTAACAACTAAAATTTATTTCTCACATTTTTGCTGTCTGGGAAGTCCAAGATCAAGGCACTAGCAAATTTAGTGTCTTGTGAGCACCTGCTTCCTGATTCTATGGACAGCCATCTTTTACTGTCTTCTCACATGCTGGAGATGGCAAGAGGTCTCTCTTGGTCCTTTTATTTTATAAGGGCACTAATCTCATTCATGAGTATTCTGCCCCCCACAACCTAATTATCTCCCAAAGTTCCCACTTCCTAATTCCATTACCTTGTAGGTTAGGATTTCAACATATAAATTTTGAAGGGATTCAAACATTCAAACCATAGCACTGTGGTAACAAGTTAACTGCCCAAATTTTTGTAGTTTAACAAAATCAAAGTTACTTCTTGCTCTCTAAAGGTGTAACTATTGACAGGTAACTCTCTTTCAGTGACAGAGACGACTTAATCTTACTGTTCCAGTATCCTAATCTTGGAGCCATTTATACCCAAGTGGTGGAAGGAAAAATTGATAGTAAAAAAAAAGCACACCTGCTCCCTATAACTCCGTGGTAAGAAGTGACTTGATTACACCTAAAGGCCAGGAAGCATGGCAAGTGTAGGTTCTCGCAGGTCAGCTACCTCTCAGTGACTAATTCATTTTATGAGTAAAAGAGAAACAATTTTGATGAACGATGAGGGTTTTTTGTTTGTTTTTTGTTTTGTTTTGTTTTGTTTTCTACAGCCAATACTGCAGCACTTGGATCAAATGATCCTCAGGTTTTTTCTTTATGTGTGTAGCATTGAGCCAGAAGGACCAATGGCTAAATTGGTCCTTCTGGGAACTCAAAGTTAAAACTACTTAGGCTATTTACAAATACATCAGGATTCTTTGGATCTCAAGCTCTGTTTTGAAGTTATATGACCTCCATGGTACATGTTCTCCATGAGAAATAAAGGTCAGGGCAAGAGGTGCTTCATCTACCACCCTCTCAAGATACTCAAGACTGATCATAGTAAATGGATCAACCAACTTAAAGGAGGGATAAATACCATAAAATGTTCCCACTGGAAACAAGGGTTTTGATTAAAATAAGAAAGATGATTTACTGAATTTGCCCTAAAAGAAATAAATAGAGAAATAAAAGAAAAAGAAAGAAAATAAAGCTCAGACATGAGGAATTAAAAAAAACTTTTATCTGAGGAATATGAGTCCTTTTAAATTATTAGGCCCAGAGAGATGTCAAATGAGATTGCAGCAGGTCATGTCCCACTTCCCCCCTTGAGCTGTGTGTTCATTTCTTAAACCTGCTATTGACACAAATAGCAACACATTAACCTCATAATATTGCTCTGGACACTATAACCAACACCCTATAGCTTGACAATGTGTAGCCAATCACTATCAATGCTGTTTCCCTAAATCAATGAGAAACCCTGACAAACAACTTTGTATCAGCTCGCTCCCTCTTCCTCTTTTTTTTTTTTTTTTGTCTTTAAAAATCTACTTGTGACTGCTGCTAATTGAAGGGTATATTCAGGGCAACTTGAGTCTATGCTCCCAGGTTGCAATCCACAAGTTTAGTGCAAATAAACTCTCTACTTTTGTTAACTTTGCCTCAGCATCTTCTTTTTTGGTCAACAGACACAAGTTTAAAATAAAATTCCTGTGACTCAAGAAACCAAGAAAGCCAGTTTTCATTCAAAAGTATCTGCTAACATTGACTTCCATCAGCTTCTCTTTTTAACATATAAATGAGAAGAAAGAAATAAATCCTACAGCCTTCCCAGGGTAAGGAGTTCGATAGAAGAGTGCATACAACTGAGACTCACGAAAACTTCGATCATAAGTGACAGGTGAAAAATAAATAACCCCCTCATGCAGAAGAAGACAGCAAAAAACATGAGATTCTTAAACTTTTCTCTAAAGGGAGAGGTAAAAAATCTCAGAAATTCACAATTAAACTTTCACATATTTTCAGGCCTGAATACATGTCACTTGAATACAAACTTTTTATTGACAAAGATTATTCAACTGGGTAAGAAATCAGAGATAAAGAACACATTTAAGCTAGATATAAAACATTTATTTTGCAACATGTTGTGTTGTAGATATGAATGGTAAATTGGGATGGAGTTTTCCAACAGGCAATTAGATATTTGTGTTTATAACTTAAACAGGTTTGAAGTGTAGCTATCCATCAGTGGGGTATAACATCTAAGGCCATTCGAAGCCATGAAAAGTAGATGAAGAATTCGCTTTCAAAAATTGGTACACTAATTCTGATAGACTCTTCAACTAACAAAACTGGAAAAAGTGGATTAAATTAAAAACAGAAGAAGGAACAAAGAGAGAATATCTTTCTTAGAATTTGAAAGGAAGTTATCACAGTAGCTACAGAAGAGGGCTTCTGTATGTGACTTGTGATTTTAGGTAGGGAATTTCAGCTGCAGTCATCCAATGGTCTAGCAGAAAAGAAGCAGAGAAGGTCCTGCCAACCTTCCATACCCTGTCAGTGCATCCCTTTGGAAAAATCTAACTGAAAGCCTGGCTCATGAAGTCCATAGTATCAACCTGTTGAGCCAAGCTGTGAATCTTGTAAGGCTATTAAAGAATATTCAGAAATAAGAAACAACAACAACTGTTATGTATACATATATATGTGTGTATATGTATATATGTATACGTATACACGTATACACGTATACGTATACACGTATACACGTATACGTATACACGTATACACGTATACGTATATATGTATATGTGTATATGCATACATGTATGTATGTGTATGTATACTTATATATGTGTGTAAGTATACATATATACGTATATGTGTGTATGTATACATATATACGTATATGTGTGTATGTATACATATATACGTATATGTGTGTATGTATACATATATACGTATATGTGTGTATGTATACATATATACGTATATGTGTGTATGTATACATATATACGTATATGTGTGTATGTATACATATATACGTATATGTGTGTATGTATACATATGTGTATATATGCATATATATGTATATATAAGTGTATATATGTATATAGAACATATATATACACACGTACGCTTTTTGATGAGAAGAGCTATAACTCATTGGGCAAATAAAATGGTTCTAGGCTGTCAAAGAATGACATTTTAAGAAGTTGAGTTTAAGAATTTAAGAACTCTATTAGTCTGTTCTCATGATGCTAAAAAGGGCATAACCGAGGCTGGGTAATTTATAAAGGGAAGAGGTTTAATTGACTCACAGTTCCACATGGCTAGGGAGGCCTCCCAATCATGGCAGAAAGCAACTGAGGAGCAAAGTCATGTCTAACATGGTGGCCAGGCAAGAGGGCTTGTGTATGGAAACTCCCCTTGAAAAAGCCATCAGATCTCATGAGACTTATTCACTCTCATAAGAACAGAAATGGGGAATCCACCCCCACAATTCAACTATCTCCACCTGGCTCTGCCCTTGACACATGGGGATTATTACAATTCAAAGTGAGAGTTGGGTGGGGACACAGCCAAACCATATCAGTAACGAATTAGCTTTAATTGCTCATTCACTGATAGGGCAGCATTCAATCTGTGAAATAGAAAGGTGCTTTGCTGAGCAGAGCAGGGGTGGTGGATCTTATAGGCAGAAAAGACTGAAGGAAGGAGAAATGAGGAACAAAAAGTGAATTGGTGGTTCAAAGTTACTTTCCTGGTATGAATTAATGTCAGATTATCTGGGCTTCTTATAACTGCTTGCTGTGAATCTCCTGTTTTCTTTTGGAAAATAGACCCATTCTTAAATTCTGTTTGATTCTGTGATATTTAGCATAAGTGACTCCATTATGATTTATCTATCAGGACCTTGTTGAGGATCTCAGTTCAAAACAATGGCTGCTATTTATTTTATTTAAGGCTCCCTTGTGAAGGTGAGTCCATGATCCACAGAGTGAGCACTTTCTGGGGCACAGCGGTGGCCAGTCCAGAAAGAGTCCAGAGAGTAGCACCATGAATCCAGACCTTGCTGCAGGTGATACACAAAAACTGTGAAGTAGAAGCAATCTGGCTTCACTGTCCCCAAGAGAAAGCCAAAAACAAATATTTAATGCCAAGATCGTCATCAGCAATATCCTAGAACTCAAATCTGTAGCTGAGAAAGTCCCCAGGGGCACAAAGAGGTTAAAAACTCAGAGAAATGGTAATACAAATAGAATTCTCTATACACAATGCTTCCCTCCCAATCTACCAGGCACCATGCACAGAAAATTCCTCCTGGACTTAATGGCTTCTACACTGGAAAAAAGTGAAATTGGGGCTGACAACTAGCGTCCCCATCATTTTGGATTTCCTTGCAGAAAAACCGTTTCTGCCTCAACCCAAGAGAAGCATTCCAAATGTGTTTAGGTAGAAAACACCTAAAGGCAGCTGTGAAGAATGAGAACAGCAAGAACTAAAAAAATCAGCCCATAAAACCCTGCTCTTTATCTTAGTGAAAGGAGATGCTAAATCACAGTGCCTATGTACTAGCACTATGCTATAGGAGGCATGTTCCATGGGTCTTCTGGGCAGGCACCTACACCAGCCTTTCCACATAGCCACATATCCATTTTGCAATTTTCCCTTCCAGGATGGGCAGTGCTCTTCATGTTTGCAAGAGCCAAGGCTAACATTGACTTAAGCCACCATCTAGTACTGATAAGGAAACAGTGATCTAGGACTAAGGGGACTCATAGGCAACTGCAAAGAACCTCTAAGTAAATATACATACCTTCAAAAGACCTAAACAAACCCGACAGCAAAGACTAGAATAAATAACTAGAATACCTCTTCAATGTGAAGCCATACACATATATCTACAATAAACAAGAACAGACAGGGAACCATGACCTCCCCAAATGGAAAAAAAAAACAAGGAGCCAATGACTAACCATAAAGAGAGAGTGATGTGTTAGTTTTCAGATTAAGAATTCAAAACGATGATCCTAAAGAAACTCAGCAAACTCTAAGACAACACAGAAAAGCAATTCAGAAATGTATCAGGTAAATTTAACAAGGATATTGAATAATTTAAAAATTAAACAGAAATCCTGGAACTAAGAAATTAATTTATTGAACTGAAAAATACGTTAGAGGCTCTCAATAACAGAAAGGATGAAGCAGAAGAAAAATCAATGAGTTTGAAGACAGGCTATTGAACAATATACAATCAGGAAAAAAAAGAATGAAAAAGAATAAGGAACATCTGGAAGATATAAAGAATATCTATATTTCTTGCAAATCTTAGGATAATCAGCACTAAAGGGAGAGTGGAGAAAGAGCAAGGGGTAGGAAGCTTATTAAACAAAACAATAAAAGAACACTTTTCAAACCTAGAGAAAGATACAATTATTCAGGAATAGGAAGATCACACATCACTAAACAGATTCAACCCAATAAGACTATCCTAAGGCGTATGATAATCAAAATCTCAAATATCAAAGACAAAGAAAGGATTCTAAAATAAGCCAACAAAAAGAAGTCAGTAGCAAATAAACTACCTTTAATTCATCTGGCAAGAGACTTCTCAGGGAAAAAAAGACAGGCCAGGAGGGACTAGGATGAAATATTCAAAGTGCTGAAGAAGAAAAAAAACTTTCAAGCAGAAACACTGTATTCAGCAAAGCTTTTCTTCAAATATGAAGGAGAGACAGAGTCTTTCTCAGGCAAAGAAAAAAAATACCAAGGTAATTCGTCACCATTGGACTTCTCTTATGAGACATGCCAAAGAGAGTTTTTTGTTTAAAATAAAATGATATAAATGTGCAAAAAGAAAACATTTGAAGGTGTAAAACTCACTGACCAAAGTAAGTACACAGAATCAATACTTTAACACTGTAATTATGGTGTGTAACCCACTCACATTCTAGTATGAAACACAAATATGAATCTATCCAAAAATAAAAATAACTATGGAAAACTGTTAAGAGATAGTCAATAAACAAAGATGTAAATTAAGACACAAAAATGTCAAAATAGGGGAGATAGAGTTAAAGTGTAGAGTTTTTGTTATTTGTCTGTTTATTTGTGATAAAAGTTACTTGTCATCTGTTTAAACTTACTTATTGTGTCTACAAGATGTTCTCTGTAAGCCTCATGGTAACCACAAAGCAAAAGTATATATATGCATATATATTTTAGTGTATAATAGATACACTGAAACTAGAAATAAACTCTCAAAAACAATAGATTAAAATATACTACTAGAGGAAACCATTAACCACAAAAAAGATGGTAAGAAAGGAAGAGAGAAGTTATAAAACAACCAAAGAAAAGTAAATCAATAATAACATTGCATGTATTGCATGTAAATGGACTAAATGTTCCAATTAAAACATGTAGTGAATGAATAATTTAAAAAAAAGAACCAAATACATGCTGCCTAAAAGAAACTGACATCACATACAATGACACAGAGACTAAAAATGAAAGAATGGAAAAAGATATTCCAAGCAAATGTAACTATACTTTTATCAGATAATTTAGACTTCATGTCAATGACTGTAAAAAGATGTAAATAATGTCACTATATAATGATAAAGAGGTCAATTCTGAAAGAAGATGTAAGAATTGTAAATATATATGGCCCAATGCCAATGCACACAAAGTTTTAACACAAGCATTAGTAGAGTTAAATGGAGAGATGGACCATAACACAATAATGACTGGGGACTTCAACACCCCACTCTCGGTAATGGACAGTTCATCTAGACATAAGATCATAAGATTAATAAAGAAACATCAGTTAAACAACACTCTAGACCAAATGAGCATAATGATGTTTAGGAAACATTTTACCCAACTGCTGCAGAATATACATTCTTCTCATCAGCATGTGAAACATTCTCCAGGATAAACCATACTTTTGGCCATAGAACAAGTCTCAACAAATCCAAGAATGTTAAAATTTTATCAAGTATATTTTCTGATCACAATGGAATACGATGAGGAATTTTGGAAACTCTACAAATACATGGAAATTAAAACACATATTCCTAAATGACCACTGGGTCAATGAAGAAATTAAGGCAGAAATTTCAAAATTTCTTGAAACAAGTAAAAATGGAAATACAATATTCTGAAATCTATGAGATACAGCAAAAATAGTGCTAAGAGAGATGTTTATGGCCATAAAAGCCTACAACAAAACAGTATAAAGATTTGACACAAACAACCTAATTATGCACTTCAAGGAATTAGAAAAGCAAGAACAAACCAAACCCCAAATCAGTAGAATGACAAAAATAATAAAAACCAGAGCAGGTGAAACACAGTGGCCCATGTCTGTAATTCCAGCGCTTTGGGAAGCCAAGGCAAGAAGATCTCTTGAGGCCAGGAGTTCAAGACTAGCCTAGACAACACAGGGAGACCCCTGTCTCTACAAAAAAAAAAAAAAATTAATTAATTAACTTGGTGTGATGGTGCACACTCCCAGGCTCAAGCATTTCCCCCACCTCAGCCTCCCTGCTATGCAAAAGGAAAAAATAAAAAAAAAATTCAGATCAGCTATAAATAAAATGGACACTAAAAAAAAAAAATCAGCCAGGCGCGGTGGCTCATGCCTGTAATCCCAGCACTTTGGGAGGCCGAGGCGGGTGGATCACGTGGTCAGGAGATCACAACCATCTTGGCTAACACGGTGAAACCCCGTCTCTACTAAAAAAATACAAAAAATTTAGCTGGGTGTGGTGGCGGGCACCTGTAGTCCCAGCTACTGGGGAGGCTGAGGCAGGAGAATGGCGTGAACCCGGGAGGCGGAGCTTGCAGTTAGCGGAGATCAAGCCACTGCACTCCAGCCTGGGCGACAGAGCGAGACTCTTTCCCCCCCCCAAAAAAAAATCAACAAAATGAAAGGTTTGTCTTCAAAAAGTCCAGCAAAATTAACAAACCATTAGCTAGATTAAGAAAAGAGAAAGAAGAGTCAAGTAAAATTATAAATGAAAGAGAGAAATAACTGATACCACAGAAAGGCAATTGACCAATAGAGACTATTATGAACAACTATATGCCAACAAATTGGAAAACCTATCAAAATAGACTAATAACTGGACACATACAACCTACTAAGATTGAACCATGATGAAATGCGAAACCTGAACAGATCAATAATGAGTAATGAAATCAAAGCAATAATAAAAAGTCTCCCATCAATATAAAGCCTAGGACCTGATGGCTTCACTGTTGAATTCTACGAAACTTTAACAGAAGAATTAATAGCACTTCTATTCAAACTATTCCAAAAAATCAAAGATGGAGAATACTTTTAAACTCATGCTATGAGGTCAATATTACCCCTATACCAAAACTAGACGCCAATATCCCTGATGAACACAGATGCAAAAATTATTTTAAAATACTAACAAAGTGAATCCAACAACACATTAGAAATATTATTCACCATGACCAAGAGGGATTCATTCCAGGGATACAAGGATTGTTCAACACATGCTAATCAATGAACATGATATATCATATTAACAGAATCAAGGAAAAAAACAAATCATAAAATCAATAGATGGTAAAGTAGTATTTGACAAAATTCAACATACTTTTATGATAAAAACTGAACAAACTGGATACAGAAAGAACATACAAAAATAAAGGACATATATGACAAACTCATAGCTGACATCAGAATCAATGGGGAAAATTGAACTTTTCCTCTTAAGATTGGAAATAAGTCAAGAATGAATACGTTCATCACTTTAACATAGTATTAGAAGTCCTAGACAGTGCAATTAGACAAGAGAAAGAAGCTAAGTGCCTCTGAAATGGAAAGGAAGAAGTCAAATTATGCTTGTTTGTAGACAACATGATATAAACACTACCTAAAAACTGTTAGCATGTATAAACAAATTCAATAAAGTTGTAGGATACAAAACTGATGTAAAAGTTTACTACCATTTATACATGCCAACAGTGAACAACTGAAAAATAATCAAGATAGCTATTTCATTTACAATAGTAACACAACGTATGAAATACTGTAGAATAAATTAAATCAAAGGAGTGAAAGTTATCTCCAAGGAAAACTATAAACACTGATTTAATAAACTGAAGACAACACACACATACAAACAAAAGATAGCCTATGTTCATAATTTTGGAAGAATTAATATTGTTAAAATGTCAACACTATCCAAAGGGCTTTACAGATTCAATGCAATCTCTACCACAACACCAATGACATTCTTCACAGAAATAGGAAAAAAAAAAAACAAAAAACAACTAAAATCTGTATGGAACCACAAGAGACTCTAAGTAGCCAAAACAATATGGAGCAAAAAGAACAAAGCTGGAGACATTACACTACCTGACTTCAAAATATACTACAAAGGTATAGTAACCAAAAAAGTATGGTATTAGTATTAAAACAGACACATAGACAATTGAAAAGAATAGAGGACTCAGAAATAAATCCATGCATTTACAGCCAACTCATAATTGACAAAAGCGCCAAGAACATACACTGAGGAAAGGACAGTCTCTTCAATATATGATGCTGAGAATACTGGATAAGCGTATGCAGAAGAATGAAGATAGATTCCTTTATCCACCATACACAAAATTCAAATCAAAATGGACTGAAGTCTTAAATATAATACCTGAAACTATGAAACTTCTAGAAGTAAACATTGGGGAAACACTTCAGGTCATTGGTCTGAATAAAGACTTATAGGAGAAGACCACAAAAACACAGACAACAAAAGATAAATTAGACAAATGGAAGCCATAAAAAGGAGACTATGTTATTTGCCACAACATAAATGGACCTGAAAGACATTTCACTAAGTAAATAAGTCATATGCGGAAAGAAAAATATTGCATAGTCTAATATATATGTGTAATATTAAAAAATAACTTAAATACACAAATATAGAGAGCAAAATATTGGTTAGCAAGGGCAGGGGGAGGTATGGAGAGGAAATGGGAAGATGTAGGTCAAAGGGTATGAAATAGCAGCTACATAGAATGAATAAGTATAGAGATCTAATGTACAACCTGAGGACTAAAGTTACTATAATTGTATTATGTTAAGAATTTTTGTTAAATAAGTAGATTTTAGCTGCTCTTGTCACACACAAGAGTAACTGTGTGAGATAATAGATATGTTAATCTGCCACACTACGTAACAATTTTACTATGTGTATGTATACCATAACATCACATTGTAAACCTCAACTATACTTTCTTTGAGCAAAAGTGTATATTTTTTGGAAAAGACTAATATAACCAATAACTAGTGAAACTGGTAGTGAAAAACATCCAGAAATTTGTAAGTGTACATCATGACAGATCCTGCAAACATTAAAATAAGAATATTATTTACAAAATTGTCTACTATGTTTCAGAACATAAACGGACAAATTCCTAGAGAGATAGTTTACAAAACTGACAGAAAAAAAAGAATGCTAAATAAGTCTGTATCTATTAAAAATAATGAAACAATATTTTTAGAACTTCCTATAAAAAAACTTCAGGCCCAGATGACTTCATTAATGAATTCTAGCAAATATTTAAAAAAGAAATGTAACAATCTTAAATTTGTTTTTGAGAATTAAGAAAAAATAATATTTCCAACTTGTGAGAAAAATCTGTCAAGGCCATCATAAGAGAGGTAAATGGTATGTTACCTTTTTGCATGGAGATAGATACAAACCCTTTAAAAATTTGCAGACACTCAGCTAACTATACAAAAAGAAAATAAATTACAACCATGGTTGAATTTACTCTAGGAATATGAAGTTAGTCTAATAGTCAAAAATCAATAGTTGCAATTCTCTATATTAACAAAATGAAGGAGAAAAATCGCCTCAATACATACAGAAAATCAAGTGATGAAATTAAAAAGTCATCAATGATAAAATCTCCTAGAATCCTGGGGATAAAAGGGCTCTTCTTTGACACACTAAAGAATATTTCCTAAACACCTCCAGCATGCATCATACTTCATGGTGAAATATTAGAAGCATTCCCTCTGAGACTGGGAACTAGATAAAATGCTTACTGTGAACTGTCAAAGTGGAAAGGCAAAAAGAAAAACAGTTGAAAAGTATTAAGAATTAGGTCATTAATTATCCCATTCTATTCAGGTTTCTAGATATATGAAGAGTCATGATAAAGAAATATAAAAAGTGGTAAAGTGATGCATCACTGTGTATATAGGCTGCAGAACGGAGGAAGGGATTCCATGTGATGGTGATGAAAGGGAGAGAGTGGAGGAGAATCAATGAGGCAGCTGGAGACACAGAAGACAAAGATCAGAACATTGAATATTAGAGCAAAGTTTTAGAGATGCATTGCTTTTTGCCAGGTGAGCATTGTATTCACAGGCTAATAGGTGCCCTACCTAGGAAGATTTATGGATTCGAGGAGCTCAAGAATCTTTATGGTTAGGCATTTATTCAGTTCACCCATATGGATTTTGGAGTTGCCCTTTAAAATAACAGGAGTTTGAGAGAAAAGGAAGACTGTGGCAAATTCAAGTTTTCTGAGAAATGTGGGAAGAACTAAAAGTTCAGTACACAATTGTTCACAAGGAGACATAATAATTGCAATAGCTAAGTGAACTTAAAAAATAATTTACATTGTTTGTTTTATTTCAATAGTTTTGGGGGAATCTGCTTGATTATACAGATAAGCTCTTTAGCGGTGATTTCTTATATTTGGTGCACCCGTTACCCAAGCAGTGTACACATATCCAATGTATATTCTTTCATTCCTCAACCCCCCTCCCACCCTTCCCCTTGAGCCACCAAAATCCATCGTGTCATTCTTATGCCTTTGCATCCTCATAGCTCAGCTCTCATTTTAGTTTTAGTTTTTGAATATGTAAAACATGTATATAGTTCTAAAGTAAAGATTATATACACAGCTATACTCAGAAAATTTGTATATCCATTTCTTTCTTTTTCTTCTTCTTCTTTCTTTCTTTTTTTTTTTTTTTTTTTTTTTTTTTTTGAGACAGGGTCTGGCTCTATCACCCAGACTGCAGTGCAGTGGCATGATTTTGGCTCACTGTAACCTCTGCCTCCTGGGCTCAAGCCATCTTCCCACCTCAGCCTCCTGAGTAGCTGGGACGATGGTGTGGACCACCATGCCCCACTATTTTTTTTTTTATTTTTCTTAGATATGGGATTTGACCATGTTGCCTAGACTGGGCTCAAACTCCCAAGCTCAAGATATCTACTTACCTCAGCCTCCCAAAGTGCTGGGATTACAGGTGTGAGCCACCACACTCAGCTTCCATTCCTATCCAACTTTTTTCTCACAAGTAATTGTTATCTTCAGATTCTGGTATATACTTCCTGTATTTCTTTTTGCAAGAAAGCATGTAAAATACCTACATGTATACAAACATGTAAGTATATATCCTCAGTGCTCCTTCCTTTTTACATAGAGGTAGAGTTACTTACAATACGTAGTAATGTCTACTTGCTTTTTTCACTTCATGATACATCCAGTAAATCACACTATATTATTTGATAGAAATAAATCTTATTTCATAGTTGAAAATTACTCTTTTTTTTAATGACACACAATTTATTCAACCAGTAACCTATGGATGAACATTAAGGTTGTGTCTAATACGACACTATTGCTACAATGCTGCAATGGATAAGCTTATAATTATTTAACTGCCTTTCTTACCTCTGTCCACTTGTCACTCTGTGATGACAATAAAGCATCAGTTGCCTGTAATATAACTAGAGAAATCTGAAGAACCTTAGAGAAAATGGTCATTAGGAAGAGCTGTCCTGAATGATTGAGAGAATATTCATTGGACACCTAGCTGTTTTGTACCTGAGGTTGATAATGTGATATTTCTCAAGAAGCCCCAAATGGCTTTGGACCAGTTTATAATAAATGTGCTTTCCTTCAGTCATTTCAACCTGTTCCCTGGGATCATGTCAGGAGTGTGAGCTGTGCTGACCTGTATAAAGAGACATCACAACAGGTCAACAGAGATGAAACAGAGCTGAAGAAACAAGCTAGAGATGATGAATAGAATCAGCCTACACCCAGTGCTCACCCCGAGACAGGCTACAGCCAAGAAATCTCCATCACAAACCCAGTAAGTGCCAGGACCTTCCTCAGAAAGGGCAGCCTCCCAGTAATCAGAAAGATATGCAAGGCTGCATCCTACCTGTCGCAAACCACCCAACAGAAGTAGTGTGCTACCAGGCAGAGGCTGGGGGCCTCTTGAGAGTGTGTCACTGGCAATGGGTGGGTGTCTAGGAAAGCCAGGATTTTGCGTAACAGGGCAACGAGCATCAGGCTCTATTGGCCACTCATGTAGAGTATGGCGCTAGCCATTCCAGCCTTCCAAAACAGTGGAAGCCCCAGCGGATTCAGGAAGATTCTGGAAGAACCATGATTACTCAGCTCTGGTGTCTACAGTTCAGCTTTAAGACTTTAGGCTTAAGACTCCTACTAACAACAAAGGTCCTCTGTCATAGCTGATCTAGAGCACTGAGCAGAAAAAGGAATTGTAGAATGCCTTGTGTGGGTGTGGTGACATTGAAAAGGCAAAAGTATATCAGCTGGGGTTCAAGGACAGAACAAACATAGTGAAAGCAAGGAAGACAGAGATAAATTTCCAAGTTGCTGAGCTGAGATTCCTTCATTTGTCTTTGGCTTGCAGTGGTTGGGCAGCGCTCCATACACTAGGAATATAATGAGTATTTCTGCTTGTTAGAATTAGAGGGACCGAAGGACAGGAAGAAAGGATCAATGTTAGAAAAGCAATCATGAGTTACAGAGCAGCAGACTAGAGACCAATGTGACCACAGCAGGGACAAAGCAAGTTTCCAGCAGAGGGCAGAATTAACCAGGATATCTGGATGCTGAGGCCATGGGAGGCAAGTCCAGCATGAGGAGTGAGCTGTTTAGAACCTGAAAGTAGAAGTGGATGGGCCCATTCACAACGCATGCAAGTGTTGACAGGACTGAAGTGCACAAATGCAGAGGCAGAGTTCAGAGCAGATCAGTATGGACCGTAAGTATTTCCCTGACTTTTATTTTTTCACAGGCATTAGGAATGAGGTGGCCTCTTGGGGTGCACATCTCCATTTGGGAGTTAGAGTTGAATAGGGCATAATTGTCTGTCTTCTCTTGTTTTTTTGTTTTGTTTTGTTTTGTTTTGTTTCCTTGATTCTTAGCCTATTAATGGGGAAGAGACAGTCTGAATGCTTCCTTTAACCAATGACTCAGGAATGATGCCTTTGTGCATCACCTCCTCCTGTTTTTAATAAGGCCATTGGTCCAGACCAGGAGACTGAACAGTGTAGGTCCCCATGGATTTCTTTCAACTAAAACTTTGTATTTTTAAAAAGCTTAATTGCGATCTTTTGAAGTGCCCAATTAAAGATTTAAAGAAATAATGAATATCCTGAGGTGGTCTGTCTGCCCTGGGGTTCCTCTGCAAATGAGGGACACATGTTTCTATTCAATTACAGGAAACATTTTAAAACTGGCTCTTTTATTTCCTGCTCCTCATCTCCAGTTCAATTTTTCTCTTCCATCATTTTCTGCCCTTTCACCCTGCAGCTCTGAAGTTTGCTCTGACCAGCACTAGACCACTGCTTCCTCCTTTTGTTCTCTAAGAAACAACTGAGCCTTTGCTGGCGGAACAAACAAACAGCAGCATTCTTCAGTCCAGGGGTATTTTGAATCCTCCAGAAAAAAGCTGGTGTGGTTACCCGTGAGCTGACTCAGGACATCTGCAAGACAGAGGTTTTACACAGCCAATCCATTTGAAGTGGTTTACATCAAGTGTCACCATTCCAATGATTAATTTTAGTCCTGAGGGTTTAAAATGTAATTGGGGGGTTAACCTTCCATCCAGCCCTGCACTTGGTACAGAGTGGGCAGACTCCTTTTTTGCTCAGTGGTGGTTCTATGCTGGGCTTGACACCAGGCTCTGTTCCCTGTCGCCAGCCATACAGCAAGTCCCTTGAGATCAGGTCCTATGCATTCACACATTCATTAACTTTTGCTGTCTGCAAACACTTACTGAGTGCCTCCATGTGCTGGGTACTCTGTCAGGTGCTGGGGATTACCCGAAAAAGCCATTACCAAAGGAGGTATGGTTCTTACCCACATGGAGCTGTACAGACTTCTGGGAAAAGAGACAGTCAACTGTTCTATAAATGTCTAACTATAACACTGTGAGCACACAGTGCTATGAGTGTACAGTTTGATGTATTTGGGAGGTCAAAACATTCCTATGAAGTAGCAATTTATCCAAGGTCTACATGTTAAGTAGGAATTAACTTGGTAAAAGAGAGGGTGGGGATAGCACTGGAGGGAGAAAGAGCAGCAAGTGGGAAGGCCTATGGTGGGATGACTCATGCACTCCAAATGTTTCTCAACAGAGACATTATTGGGTGGAATTGTTACCTACATAGAAAAATATTTGGCATTTTTACCTTCATCTGAGAAAGGCTAGGATCTGGGTCCCAACTTCTACCCTGCTTCTTATGACAACAAAATGATTCCCACATTTTGAAGCATCTCCAAGACAGCTTTATACCTCCAGTTAGGAACCACTACATTGGGCTCTAAAAAGCCCTTTGTCTTTGAAGGTGACTGGCAGGATTGTAAAAAAGGAATTGGTATGAAATAACTTGGAAAGAATGGTGGTACCCAGATCTCTTAGCCCTCTTAGGGAGTGGATAAGTAGGTCAGTTCTTCAGAAATTGATTCCTAGAGTCAATTCTTCTAAACCGGTGAGCCACTTACCTCACAACCAGTTGGACTGATCACTGAGAGTTTTAGTCTTGCCCCTGTCTCTGTGTTTGTTCTTCGCTCTGCTGTTTACCTCTGTATATGTTTCGGATCTGCTGTTTTGTGACCATGAACAAGAGCTCACAAGAGGGTAGGGGCAGATTCAAGGTCAAATGACAAAGAAGGAACAAACAGAAAATAGAAAACTACAAAATAAATCCTCATAATTCAGCAAATGGCTTTTGATGAACTGATATTCAGTTAACTGACCCAGAACCACATTGTCTACCATCTTAAAGTGGGCATCTTTCTGATAAAAGCAATGGGAAGGTGGAAGGAAAGGTGTTAACTCAGTAGGTTAGTTGCAGCATGGAAAATGGACTGGAAAAAGTAAGAGCAGATCCAAGAACACCAGTTAGGAGGTTAGCATAATAGCACACATGAGAAACAATGGTAGCTTAGACCAAGTTGATAGATAGAGAAGTGGATGAATTCCATAGACATTTAGGGGGTAAAATGGACAAAAATGGGTGATGACATGAGGGTAATAAAGACAAATGTGTAAAGCTTGGTGGTAGTGACATGGACGTAGAGAGAGAATACTGGAAGATGGCCATATCTGAGTGGGAGATATCATTAATTTGGTTTTGCAGATGTGTTTTAAAGTATCCAAGAAGGTATATCTTGTAGTTGTACAACACAGTCTAGGGCTCAAAGAAGACAGCTGGTTTAGAAACATAAATTTAGGTAGCCCCTGCATATAGATGATGTATTAGCTTGTTGGGCCTGTCTTAACAAAGTATGAATTGAGTGGCTTAAATAACAGATTTACATCCTCATAGTTCTGGAGGCTAGAAGTCCAAGATCAAGGCCTTGGCAGGTTGATTCCGAGGCTTCACTCCTAGGCTTGAAACTGGTCATCTTCTTTCAGTGCCTTCATATGTTCTTCCCTTGGTGCCGATATCCTCTTTTTATAAGGACAGTGGTCGTATTGAATTAGAGCCAACCCATACAATCTCATTTTACTTTAACTTCTCTTCAATGCTTCTACTTCCACATACAGTAATAGCCTGATACACTTGGGTTTAGGATTTCAACATATAGATTTTGGTAGGATACAATTCAGCTCACAAGAGATAGCAATTAAAGCTGGAGATGTGGTGTAATTTTGCTTAGAGGAAGAATATATAGTAAAAGGAGAGGGTCTAAGACCTCTAAAGTTTAATTTTCAAAAAGAAAATAGTGGAAGATAAATCCCTAACAAAGAAATCCCTAGGTCATGGAAGCCAAGGGAATTGAGTGTCTTCAAAAGTAGGCAGTTGTGAAACTGTGAAAATTTGATGAAAAATCATATAGAATGAGGATTGACAAGGAATCCTGCTTTCTGTCTTATTTACTCACTGCCTAGCTTGGTGACTGGCACCTAGTGAGCATGTAGTACTAAATTAATTATGTATTGCCATATTTGAGTATACAGTGGGGAGAAGAAAAGGAGAGGGAATGTTGGGTATCACAGAAATGGCTAACCACATCTGTGCCAACTTGAATAGGATGAACATCTCAGATCATCAGTCCCAAATTATATAAAATAAGTTGAATGATGTCTATCTCACAGGGTTGACCGAGATTATATGCCTGACGAGGATATCAAAGACACATTGTGACTATTATTCAAGCTTCCCATTAAAATACATTAACTTTAGGCTAGAAAATTGTCTCAGATTGGCTAGAAGTAGAAAAAAACAGAAAGTGAATCCATATCAAGCCACATTCTTACTACAGAACAAAATGGATTAGATCTAGAAAGGCTGTTTTCACATGTGAATTTCAAAATGCGTCAAAGGCTGAGACAGGACTCTGCTGCAGTGTGAGAGAAGGCAGACAATAGCAATGAGACAAGAGGGGACATATGGACAACTCACTGTCACTAATGTCTGTGTAGGAGAGTCTAATTTTACAATCACATGAAAAATAAACATACCCAGAAATGAAATATCTGATTTATCTTATTTATATGTGTGTGTATATATATAAAACCCAGATATGCATGTATCTTTCTCTGAGTGAATACTCTAACCCCTTGATAGGGGAACAGTCTCATGTAAGGACACCAGAAGCAAAAGGGCCTCTTGCCATGTTGCTTTATGTTTAGGCAAAATTTAGAGTCACATGTCAATTAGTAAACTGATTATAAAGCCATAGAAGTCTGTGACCCTTTTCCTGTATTTCTCTGCCTTGGTGTCAATATTTCCACATCTGGGTACCCAGAATACTCCTGACATCCAGAATAAAACAAAATGAGGAAAGGGAGAAAAAAACAAAATAGGAAAGGGAGAAAATGTTACTTTTTTTTTTTTGAGACAGAATCTCACTCTGTCACCTAAGCCAGAGTGCACTGGCACAATCTCGGCTCACTGCAACTTCCACCTCCGGATTCAAGCAATTCTCCTGCCTCGGCCTCCCGAGTAAGTGGGATTACAGGTACTCACCACCATGCCCGGCTAATTTTTGTATTTTTAGTAGAGACAGGGTTTCACCATGTTGGCCAGGCTGGTCTCGAACTCCTGACCTCAGGTGATCTACCTGCCTTGGCCTCCCAAAGTGCTGGGATTACAGGCATGAGCCACCATGCCCTGCCGAAATGATACTTTTGAATCTTTATTATAGGTCAAATACTATGGTGAGAGTTTTCATATAATACCTTATTTAGTCTTACCATCAATATTTGAGGAAACTTTCCTAGTCTCCACTTTACAGGCAATGAAACTGGGGATTTGAAATGTTAACTTATCCCAGTTCACAGAATAAGTCAGTGTGACCTCGATATGGTGATGTGCTGGGGCTGGCTCCTGCCGACTCTCCAATTTGTGCTTCTCTTCCCAAATCCACGTTCAATGGTCACTCAACAATGGCCTAGGTAAAAGCTCAAAACTGGCCTAGGTAAAAGTGTTTATACCATGAAAAAAGAAAATGCTACAGATGAGTGTTTTTTTTTTATTTTTTAAATTTATTTTTATTCATTTATTTTTTTTCCAGAGAGCTGGTTACTAAGCATTTACCAGAATCCCCTGACTGAGATTAGGAGCAAATCCATGCTCTCGCCAATCTATTATCATTGGGGGTGACAAGGTGGAGGCTTTTTCTCCACATTATTCTATTAGACTGAAATCTGCCCTGAGGTGGCAGAGACTAAAGCGTCATCATCATTACTTAAGAATTGAATTATCTGCTTTATTTCACAATGCCCACATTTGAATTAACTGTCATCTCTTATATGAACTTTTGCAGGTCTGTGCCACACTCTAAACCTACATAGAATCAATGAAACTCACCAACCTTAATAAAGTGTTTGTTAATGGAACCAGTTTACTCGACTCAGGACCTAGGTTAGATAGGTGGGTGAAGACTCATGAATGTGGCCAATGGAAAGTCACCCACTGAAACAAAGCCAGATGGCAAGAATTTACAAAAAGGCTCCAAGAAAAAATAAATCAGAATATTAATAGCTGACATTTGTGAAACACTTATATGGCAGAAATTATTCCGAGGAATTTACACAAATTAACACATTTAATCCTTGCAATAATCCCATGAGACAAATATTATGAAACTCTGTCTTACAGATCCAGTATCTGAAGCCCAAAGAGCACAAACAGCTGGCAATGAGCTCAGCCATGATGTGTGCTCTCAGCTGCTAACAGAGATCCTGGCACATAGGGGCCCTCATTGATATTAACTGAAATGCACACAAGGCCAGATGTGCAGCACAGGTTTCCTGGACTTTTCTTCTTTGTGGCAGTTTCTGCAGTATATTTTCCAAAGGGTGATTTTCATAAATTAATTTCAAATCTCTGCTTGTCATTCTAATCTGACCCATCTTAAGATGGCATCTGATAAAGTTGGGAAAGAAACATAGGGATAAAGTATGTGATGTTTCTTGTAATACAAAAGAAAATAAACAAAAATATTTAAGCAGATCTGTCTATCTATCTATACATCAATCCATCCATATATATATCTGCTTAAATATTTCTGTTTATATGTATATCTATCACCTATCTACCTATCTATATACATATATATGAAGAGAGAGAGAGAAAGACAGAGATACTTCTCAGATATTTATTTATTTGTCATCTGTTGTCTCTTACTGACTGGCATCCATTTTCAAAATGGACCTCCACAAAAGTCAAAATTCAGTACATTGGCCTTGCAAAATATTGTGATACAAAGCCAGTCCTCAAGGAATGGGGCATAACTGCCCACTGGGAGGCACAGGGCTTCACCATGCATCTCTGAACTACTGACTTGGGTCAGCCTCATGAAATATAAAAGGAAATCTTTCAGTTGGTTTAGCCCCCAGGAAGAGAGCTTCAATGCCAAAAAGCTTCTCCTTCTGTGCCTGCTTTGAGTTTCCTCTTTCCAGTGAGTCTAAGAGGCTGGGGAGTGGAGTTTGGGTGATACTTCCCGGGACCTGCGATAAGTCCCTCCCTTGATCTGGGTCTCCACTTCCTCATCTTTAGTAGACTTATAAGAAATGGTCCTGAATGGTAATGCCTAGGTTTTCTTCTAGGGTTTTTATGGTTTTAGGTTTAACGTTTAAATCTTTAATCCATCTTGAATTGATTTTTGTATAAGGTGTAAGGAAGGGATCCAGTTTCAGCTTTCTACATATGGCTAGCCAGTTTTCCCAGCACCATTTATTAAATAGGGAATCCTTTCCCCATTGCTTGTTTTTCTCAGGTTTGTCAAAGATCAGATAGTTGTAGATATGCGGCATTATTTCTGAGGGCTCTGTTCTGTTCCATTGATCTATGTCTCTGTTTTGGTACCAGTACCATGCTGTTTTGGTTACTGTAGCCTTGTAGTATAGTTTGAAGTCAGGTAGTGTGATGCCTCCAGCTTTGTTCTTTTGGCTTAGGATTGACACATGCACACGTATGTTTATTGCGGCACTATTCACAATAGCAAAGACTTGGAACCAACCCAAATGTCCAACAATGATAGACTGGATTAAGAAAATGTGGCACATATACACCATGGAATACTATGCAGCCATAAAAAATGATGAGTTCATATCCTTTGTAGGGACATGGATGAAATTGGAAACCATCATTCTCAGTAAACTATCGCAAGAACAAAAAACCAAACACCGCATATTCTCACTCATAGGTGGGAATTGAACAATGAGATCACATGGACACAGGAAGGGGAATATCACACTCTGGGGACTGTGGTGGGGTCGGGGGAGGGGGGAGGGATAGCATTGGGAGATATACCTAATGCTAGATGACACATTAGTGGGTGCAGCGCACCAGCATGGCACATGTATACATATGTAACTAACCTGCACAATGTGCACATGTACCCTAAAACTTAGAGTATAATAAAAAAAAAAAAAAAAAAAAAAAAAAAAAAAAAGAAATGGTGATAAGATAATCTCTAAGATTTCCTTCAAATATAAGATTTTATAATTCAAAGAGTCTACTATGCTGTCCATGCGGAAATGTTAGTTGTTGCCTGTAAGCAATCGTGTTGCCTTGGCCTAAACAGGTCTTTATTTCCAGGAATATCCTCACCATGACAACCATCGATTTCAATGTGGCTGATGGGCTGCTTTCTTAAAGTCCAGTGATTTTAGGACTTCAGAAATTAGGTGATAAGCTAGAGTAGACATCGACCACTGCCTTTGTTCTCTAGGAGCCCTGGTATTGTAGTAGTGTTTGTAAAAGTCTGCTTGATGTCTTTAAGAAAAATATCAATCCCTTTTTCTTCTAGCACTACTGATATTTTTCTCCAACTAGAGAAAAATAACTTTATATCCAAAGTTACATCATGAGAATGCCATCTTTGCTGGTAACAAACCTTTTCTTGCTTAATTAGGACAGCCTGAAGTCTGTGTGAAGAAGAAAGTATAAAATAACCAAACTTTTTTTTTTTTTTTGAGACGGAGTCTCACTCTGTCACCCAGGCTGGAGTGAGTGCAGTGGTGTGATCTTGGCTCACTGAAACCTCTGCCTCCTGGGCTCAAGCAATTCTCCTGCCTTAGCCTCTCAAGTAGCTGGGACTACAGGTGCCTGCCCCTTGCCTGGATAATATATTTTTCTTTTTTTTTTTCGTATTTTCAGTAGAGATGAGGTTTCACCATGTTGGCCAGGCTGGTCTCAAACTCCCGACCTCAGATAATCCGCCAGCTTCAGCTTCCCACAAGTGCTGGGATTACAGGCATGAGCCACCATGCCTGGCCAGAAGATTTTGATTTCTGAAATATTCTCTCTTCCTCTCTCAATCAGTGTCCCACTTTCTTCTTCTTACATCTTCACACTTTCCCCCACCTATCCTTATTTCTCTTTCTCATCTTTGCCTTCCATCTCTCTCCGTGCCTCTCTCACTCCTGCTCTGTTTGCTTATCCCAAATCCTCTTAATCTCTGTCTAATCTCTTTCTTCTTCTTATACTGACTGCTTCTTTTTTCTTTTATTTTTCATCCTGTTTCTTCCTGCCAGCTCATGTTTAACAAGAATAACCCCTGTAACATGACATTCTTTATAAGTGAAGTGATTTAAAAAAAACTTTCTTAGATGTAGCTCATTATTTTGGGAAATCATGTCTATAACTCGCAATTCAACAAGGATTGAGTTTGTGCAGTATGACAGAGACCATGTTGAGTGCTGAAGTTTTATGAAGACAAATAATTCACAGCCCTCTATTAAGAATCTGAAGCAGGTGGCTGGGGGGACATATGTAACTGTTTTGATTGAGGAGTCGAAGTGTGTGATGGATAATTTTGAAGAGTTTTTATTTTTTTCAGTAGCATCCACAATTGTGCTCTGCCAGTCTCCCTTTTGCTGCTGAAAGTTAGACTCATTTAGTGTCATGTCTACCCCATAGGGTTTAGTTGACATTTATTGCTTTATATTTTCTAAATAAAAGCCTTGGTACTAAATGTTTTCTCAGCAGTTGCAGATTCATTCACCATAACAATGCCTGTTGTACCATGATGGAGACATTTCCAATTTTAATTCATTTTGAACCAAGCATGAGAAAAATTATATGCAAGAGTTAAATATGTTCTGCCATTCAACTGCTAAAAGTTGAAAAGAGCTATAACCTAATATCTCCATGCATACGAAATGAATTCACAGATTTGCACGTAAAATAAACTGAAATTCTGACCTTTCTTCTCAGTCTATAGGTTGTCTTCTCTGCCTGGGCTATGCTCTCTTATGATAATTCTTTATATTAACGCATTAAGCAATGAGCCCACAGGGTGAGTTAGGTTTCAGCCTAGGTCAACTATGTCTTACAAACATACACAAATTTTGCCTGTAAATAACTGACTGGTAGATGCATGCCTATATATAACTCAGTATCGTATTGGTATCTAAGACAGACAGGCTGGAACCAAGTTTTGTTACCAAACCCATTATCAATGTATTAGTCAGAGTTCTCCAGAGAACTCTGTATTAGTCTCTCTCCAGAGGAAGTGTCAATAAGCACTGTTATATGTGTAGTATATATGTATATTTATTGAGAGAGACAGAAAAATATTTATTATGAGAGATTGCTTCACTCTATTATGGAGGCTGAGAAGCCCCACAGTCTCCTCTCTGCAAGTTGGAGGCCTAGGAAATCCAGTGGTGTGGCTTTAGTCCAATCCCAAAGGCCTGAAAACCAGGAGAGCAAAAAGTGTAAGTACCAGTCTGAGCCTGCAGGTCCGAGGACCAGGAAAATGATGTCCAATGATAGGAAAAGAAGGAAGTCCCCGCTCAGGCAGAGACTGAATTTGCCCTTCCTCTGCCTTTGTGTTCTATTCAGACCCTGCATGGATTGGATGATGTCCGTCTGTATTGATGGGGATGATCTTTACTCAGTCAACTAACTCAAACACTCATCTCTTCTGGAAACACCCTCATGGACACATCCAGAAAGAAGGTTTTTCAGCTACCTGGTCATTCCTTACCCCCAGGCATGTTTACACATAAAATTAACGACCATAACCAGTCATTCAGCGTGTACCTGGTATGTGCTTCCTGCAATTGTTCCAATCTGACCATGTAGCCTACAGCACATGCTATATGAGGCCTTATGGATTGCAAGCTCTTGGACACTTACTTCCCATTCGATGTATAAAAACCCAACAGCCCAGACATAGGGAGGCTGCTGGCATCTGGCATCTCTCTCTCTCTCTTTTTTTTTTCTTTGATCTTTCAACGAGTGAATAGTGTTAGGTGCACATTGGTTCTTAAAATAAGATATATAAGTGAACAGGACATGACCTGTGACAAAACAGGCTGACAAAGGTTTTTATGGAATTACGAATAAGCTTGTGCAGGAGGCAGAGAAGGGTCCCTAAATGAACAAGGTGGCCAGATGTGATACCTATTCTGATTATAACAGGGAAGAGGGAATTATACAAACCAAAAGACAGAAAATACATTTCAGAAAACTGAAGCAAGTGTGAGAAGAGGAGGAAGAGGGGGCGACTAATAATATTTGAGTTTGAATAAAATAGATCCTGATACAGAGACTCAACGTCAGATTATTTTCCTCTCTCATGATTATAGATAGATATAGGGATAAATATATTTCCTTAATTGGGCAAGGGATCATGTTATTCTATACTCACTGACAAGAAAAAAAGAAATAAAAGTAACTCTTCAGGAGATTATTCTGTGAGAGCAACCACCCAGCTCACATCCCACTAGACAAAAGTGTTTCTCTAAATATCATCAGCTCCCAATGAGAGATGTTACCAAGGGCATTAAAAATGAGAAAACCTATACTTTTTGATAAGGGCCACTGGGCATACTAGCTTCATCAAATTTGAACTTCGTTGTGTAGCTTTTTTGGAGAATGGGATTCCTGAAAACAGCCATACACAGATAATTTAATGAACCAAATTCATGTCCTTCAAGTACCTGATTTGAAATCTAGTGTTATGCCTCTTGCATCTGATAAATCCTTCCCTCTGTCACAACCAATTAATTTCAGGAAGGAACTCCTTCCTTGCACTGGATAGCAGAATGCAATGCCGGCTATCACTCAAATGTTATTTTTTTTATGAATGAGATCAATAACCACAGCAGAAAGGGTAATGCTAGGGCAGCTGGTTTGGTGGGGCTAAAGGAAGATCTGGGACAAATAGATCGTACACTCTTGTTTTCCTTTGTCCTTTTCTGCTGCTGATCTGACAGGTGGCAGACTCGGAAGATGCTGAGTCTTGCTTGCCTCTGGGTCCTGCTGGATTGGCAGAGATAATGAAGCATGTTCTTTACCATTGTTCATCACTAGACTCCTTAAACATGTTAATGGACTTCTACATTCGCTGAATATCCTGTGCATATCTCTTGTTATAGGAGGACATGAGGCATAGAGGATTCCAATACACCAAATTCATCGAACTGATATTTTAAGGCAAGCATAGGCAAAAGTTTCCTAAGGACAAGATACTTCTTATTTACTGGAAAATCTGAAATAAAGACTGAATTCCATTTAAGAGGAGAATTGTTGGTGTTTATGTGTGTGGATGCTGTTATCAGTGGAGGAGTTTAATATCCCTCCTTCTGGTCGTATTTCACAGATCACGGTAGTTCAACAAAGGAGTACTAAAGAATAGAACTTATGTAGCATCAGGACAGTGGGTGCAACAGTAAGTCTGGGAAACAAAGGCAAAATAAATTAGACAAATTTTTTTTGAAAGCAATTTGATAATGTGCATCAGAAATCTTCAAATGATTATGCAGTTTCATTCAGTAATTCCACTTTTGGAAATTGACCTTAAAGAAATAATCATATACAAAAATAAAAATGTAATCACAGAAGTTCATTATGGCATTATTTCAACAAGGAAAATTGAAAATAACCTAGATCATTTTAACAGATTTTTTTTTTTTTTTTTTTTTTTTTGAGACATGGTCTCACTCTGTTGCCCAAGCTGCAGTGAAAGGGCATAATCACGACTCACTGCAGCCTCTACCTGCCTGGGCTCAGGTGATCCTCCCACCTCAGACTTCAGCCTCCCAAGTAGTTGGGACCACAGGCACATGCAACCACACCAAGCTAATTTTTGTATTTTGTGTAGAGATAGGGTTTTGCCATGTTACCCAGGCTGGTCTTGAACTCCTGGGCTTAAGTGGCCCAAAGTGCTGGGATTACAGGTGTGGATCACCACACCCTGGCCACCAATATAATTTTGACTGGAAAGAGCTAGATGTAAATTTGTGCATGCAGCGTGTGTGTGAGTGAATATGTGTATGTGGAGACAGAGAATGCAAAGAAATGCATCATTATAATTTTACCAACAATATTCTATGAGTGCTTGATTTTGGCTTCTTTTGTTTTCCTCTGTAGCCTTTTTACCCCTAATTTACAAATCATTACCATAAGTATTTTATAGTTTTACACTTAGATAAAGTCAACAGTTTGGCAGTATTTGTCCCCATTTACCTGCTGTTCTTGCCTAAGAGTGCTTTACTTCCTTGTCTCATGGGTGCCATGTTTGGGCATGTGACACACCTTGGTCGTGGGATGAGAGCAGAAGTGGCCCATCTCACTGTTGAGAAGGAACTCTCATAGCCTCTAGTGTTCTGCTGTGTCTCAGTTCTCCTAGACCTGACAACAGCATGCGTCAGTGTCCGAGAGAGGTGCATTGCCTTTAACCTGTATCTCAGATTAAAGAAGACATGGAGCACATCAACAGGTGACCCCCACTGGAAGACATAAGCCATCAATGGGAATCCAGCCTTTTTGTTGTAAGCCACTGGGAATTGAGGATTGTTTGTTACCTAGCCCAAAAAAAGATACCTAACTAATATGGTCTATTTAGATATATTTATATAATATTTTCCATTTTAAAAATTAAGTAATAATTAATTAGCTGTTTATCTGAAGCAATTAATTATCATTAATATCACAGACCTGAATATAGACAGGTTCATATGTCCCAAAAGTAAAAAAAAAAATAAGCAAACAAAACTTTGCCTAGTTTTTCAATTTTCCTGATCAGATACATGAACGAATACTGTTTATGCTCTGTCTTCACTTTTTGCCTTTATTTCTCAATTCCTGTAAATGTAACTTCTGCTCATGCCAATATAGTCTATGATTTTGTATTCATAGTTTTGATATTTTGAACAGTATAGGCAAGTTATTTTGTGGAATATTCTTTGAACGTTTTAACGTCTGATTTTTCCTTATGAGTGGATTTGTTTAGACATGTTGGTAGGCATTCCAATAAAAACTGATGCCGTTTTCTTCTCAGTGAATTTAATTAGGAGGTACACATTGTTGGTTTGTCCTGCCGCCAGTGATGTTGACTTTGATCCTTAGTTAAGATGGTGTTTACCAGGATTCTCCACTGTGAAGTTACCAGCTTTCCCTTTGTAATTAATGGATGACTTTCAGAGCATGTACATATCCTGCTCCTCATCAAACACCCATTAGTTCTTGTATATACTGTAGCTTTGTCTAAAGTTATAATTGTAAGATGGTTGCCATGGAGACAGATAATTTTCCAGCTCCATCCTTTATTTTACATTTATAGTTGCCTTTATACTGTAAAGAAAAGCTTTGCCATCTTCCCCATTTTTTTATTTATTCCTAATTTTTATCCAAATGGACACGTGTTTTCATTTCATTGAATTATTTATAAGCCATTATAGTCATTATCCGCTTTAATGAGCAACTATCCAAATTTGGCCAATGAGAGTTCCTTCAATCTGGCTATAAATCCTTCTGATGTGCCCCGTCATTCTTGAGATATTTCCTATTTCTGACCCAGAAGAAGATATTCAAAGTGACCGTGGACATTCCTTGTCCTAGACCTGAAATCAGCCATTTCCCAAGGAGCCCAGGTTCCTTTTCATGGAGAAGAGTATTTAGAAACCAACATGTGGGCTTCTGATGTCCTCCTTGCTTTGTGTGCCACTGTTTCTAGGCTCAGTGGAGCTAGGAAGAATTAATAGATGGAGAGATGAAAATATTTTGACTTCTCCATATATTTATCTCTAATTGTCTAAAACCTTGTCTACATTTCAATATCTCCAATTCCAATCAAACGCCATAGGATTCACTATACTTTTATTCGTTTTTCATATTTGTAAGCCCCTCAACCCTGGGAGATCTGATCCCTGTTACATTCATTATACTTTGTTTTTTACTTAAATCTATCAGAAACAGAAGGTAGTTTCGGAACTGCTAACTCATAGTACTGGATAAAGAAACCTAATAACATGAATACAAGAGTTTGGGGTTCGTCCACAGCTAATTTTGTTTGCAGTCTGAGGGTATATAGTCAAAGCACTTCCCTTAAAAGCTACTTAAGTTATAACTGATTTTTTTCAGAGTAGTTATGATATTTGTTTGAAATTAAGTTATGCCATTTTCTTTTGTTTGAATTCCATTTATTTCGTTTTAGGATTTTTCTTCTTCCCAATGCTTAATGATTTTATTTTATACTGTAGAATGTGTAAACATTAACTTTGCATTCTAAGTCAAAACTATACAAAAATATAACCAAAGAAGGATGCTGCCTGCACTTTCAACATTTCTACTCCATTCCTGTTTACCTTTCATAGGTCAGAAATCTCATAAACATATGGCTTAATTTTACAGTGTTTCTTAGTAATGATATGTTCACAACACAAATATTTTTACTTATCAAATTATCTTACATAAAATACCATATTTTTAATTCCCTTTTAAATTTAATTTTTTTGACTTAGCAATATTTCCTGGAAATCATTCCATAACAGGTGTATGTATCAGAGTTTACTCACCCAATCTCTTACATATCGTCATTTATTTCTAATATTTGTAATGGCAGATAATGATGCAATTAATAATCTTGTGCATATGTATTTTGATATTGTTGGTGATTTGTCTTGAGAATGCATTCCTAAAAGTGACAGTACTGGGACAAATGCTTTTTGTTGTTGTTTGTTTGTTTAGTTTTGTGAGGTCTTTCTTAATTCTCCTTCATAATAGTTATGCCAATTTGTGCACCTACCTTAAGACTTATTTGACAGTACCTGTTTTCGCAAAGCCATGCTCTGGAATGCATCCTTGGTGTTAAGCTTAACTCTCTGTTCAGTTTTTCCCCTAGAATTTCTGTTATTTGAATTGGAAGTTTGGAAGAAGTGATACAATGCGTGAGCTCAGTCCACTAAAGTAATCAGAAATGTTCATACTAAACAGAGCGCTTGGCATGTTACAGCTTTGACTGCATTATGATCACGTCCACATTGCACTCAGTAGATCTGAACCTCATCCAGGAAGAAGATTAGGGACTGCTTGGGTTTTCATCCACTGTCTAGCATAGAGTTCTATATTGGTGTTGCACAAATATATTTATTTAACTAGCTTATTTGTTTTAAAGAGACGGGTAATAAGCAATGGGACCCTGAGGCAAAAATAAGAAGAAAATAGACAGAGGCCATGTTTTTAAATTTTTTGCTTTTGTTTATTTTTTCTCCTTCACAACCATAGCCGCACTCCTTCTAGATTGTACCATGCCTTTCTTTGTTTTTATAATCTTGAAAAGCAAATCAAAACCGAAACCTAAACAAGGGGTCACAAAGTGAAGGGCACTGCAAGAGCCCATGAGAAATTACCCGGCTACTTGATGAGATATTTGGATGGGAAAATGACTCCTTGATGAGTCTGAAATACAGTATGTCTCTTTTCCTGGGCTCTCCATTTCCTGCTGCCATTTCTTACATCAAGCCCCCAAGACAGGAGAGTTTCTCAGGGAATTTAAACTGACAGCTCCGTGCTGATTAGAAGCCATAGGACAGGGCATCTCCGGAATGAGATCAATGTCAGAGTGCTTTTGCCCACAGCAGCCACAGGGGGAGAACATATAAAATCAACCAGTTCTTTGACACATTGTTTATTAGAAGAAAATATAAGAGTTAGGAGTGTGAGGAAGAAAAAGGAAAGGGTTTCACATGATGTCCTAGAAAAACTTCCAGCAACGACAATGGGAGACAGACTTTTCCCCACTCTGAACAGTGTGAATAAAGGCCTAGATATCCACATAAAAGAGCACCACAACTTGAATCTCCAGATATTCAGAAGTACCCGGCATACAGTTAGTCTTTTGAGATTGTTTTCTGTTTCTTTCCTTCACAGCAGATTCTACCTAATTGGAGTCTTCAGGACGAAGCTTAGAATATCATCCTATTTCTACAGGTGTGCCCCAAGAATGGGCTTTTACACTTGGTTAGCCAAGTCACAGGAAAGGTGATTTAATATTTTCTAGCTCTGGGAAAGGGACTGGGCAGAACAGAACACACCTAAATTAAAAGAAAATGCTTGCCTATTTTGGACTCATTTCTTCTTCGTTATTGCCAGCCTGCTCTGCCCAAAATGAAAGTCCTCATCCAGGGTGAGAAGGAATATGCTGGTTGAGGGAGAGGTTTTTGTTTTTTGATTGGTTTCTATTTCCCTAAACTTGGCAGAGTTCTCTGAAAGACTTAAAGTTCCCCAAAATTTGTGAGTAAAGAAATATAAATTAATGCAAAATAATTTAATGGTATGGTCACCTTTTTGTGTGATATGGATAGTGATATGGAAAACTTTATTTAGAAACTTTATTCTTATGAGGAAGAAAAAAATGTAACTAACACCTCAAATACAGCTCAGTGATAACAACATTGAAACATTCAAGATTCTAGACTCAGATTTAATGTCACCTCTTCCAATAAGCCTTCCAATGACATCTGAAAGAATTGAGTACTTGCTCCTATTATTCTAGAAATCTTTTTTATAATATGACCATTTTATATAAGTCTTAAAAATGTAAAGCAACAGTATATCCTTTTAAGATATATGGGTATAGTAAATACATACAAATATGCATGTGAATGAAAAACCTCAGGGAGGCACATTGGATGAGGAAATGTGTTTTGCCAGAAATGTTCTCTAATGACTCACGTTGCACTGGAAATATGTATCTATTTATTGTCCTTCTCTTCTGTGACAGCAGAAGGACAGGGAGATTATTTTCTTCCTCTCTGGATGCTCAGGAATGAGCAACAGACTTTGCCTATAGATGTTTAAATATGCATATTGCACAAATGAATAAGTGGATGAGTGAACACGTTAAGTCCCATGTGGGCTGATCTTGAGTATAATCCATCACCCTTATCTGTGATACCACACGCCAACCTGATTTCCATCTATCCTGATGTCTGCCTGTCCAGTTAGGTAATTTTGTTTCTTTGGTTGAGAATGTTGATACCTGTTGAAGCAAAGTAATGAGTGTGTGGATGTGGATGTGTGTGTGTGTGAGAGAGAGAGAGAGAGAGAGAGAGAAAAGCATTTGGGGTTGTGAATGTTTTCCGTATTGAATACTATATTGGTGCTTTCTTTTGAACCTGTTTCAGTAGAAATAGAGTCTGAGGGCTGGGTGTGGTGGCTCATGCCTGTAGTTCCAGCACTTTGGGAGGCTGAGGCAGGTGGATCACCAGAGGTCAGGAGTTCGAGAGCAGCCTGGCCAACATAGTGAAACCCCCATCTGTACTAAAAATACAAAAAATCAGCTGGGCATGGTGGCAGGCACCTGTAATCCCAGCTACTCAGCTACTCGGGAGGCTGAAGTGGGAAAATCGCTTGAACCTGGGAGGCGGAAGATGCAATGAGCTGAGATCACCCCATTGCACTCCAGCCTGGGCAACAAGAGCAAAACTCCGCCAAAAAAGAAAAGAAAAGAAAAGAAAATAAATGAAACAGAGAGTCTGAGTAGAGTCTGAGGGCACTTATGTTTAAGACAGGGAAGGAGAATGCTGCTGTCAAGAGACCACAGCTTTGGCATAGCATGGCAGCTGGATGTTGTAGGGGGCTGGCCAGGGGGCACCTGGAGGGCAGGAGGATTGAGGCCATGAAGTAGAAGGTCACAACCTGATAATCTCATGCACCACCAATGAACACATTTTAAGATATTATCTTTGTTGAAGTACAATTAAGCACACTGTATTTGTGCACATACTCAAAGTGTACAATTGTGTAAGTTTGACTTACATATATGCCTGTGAAATCATCACCTCAATAAAGGTAGTGAGCATGGTGATCATAGCCATCCTCTTAAAGAGTGTCTTTGTTTCTGCAATTTCTTATTCTTATTCCCATCCCTCCCGTTGTCCTAGGGAGCCATTGATCTCTGTCCCAGGGAGTTCTCTCTCAGTGTAGAAAATTTTGCATTTTCCATTTTAAATAGATGGAATGTACCTTTGTTTTCTCTTTGGGAGTCTGGTTTCTTTCACTCTGAATATTTCTTTAAAATTAATTGTATTATTATTAGTAATAATGGCGATGATCAGTCTCTTAACCAGGTTATTTATATACATACTCATTTAATTAATTTCATTTATAATGTTCAGCCAAACTGAATTATTAAAAGGATACTTAAAAAGATCCTTGTGGAAACTGATTTGTTTCTGACAAGGACAATCACTCTATTTATAGAGGCTAATTCTTTTACTCACATAAAAGAAACATGGCATTGTTCTTATACAAGTAAAAAAAAAAAGAGGATGTAATACAATGATTATCTGTAATTAATTCCATATGGGAAAGAAGAGCACAGTTTCCTCTCATATACAAGACATTTTTATTTTTCAGAAATTAAAAAATATGCATCCTAGCCTTAAAGTTCTGTATAAAATGTCAGTTCTAAAAGTTTTTTTTTTGTGAAGCTCTTTATTAACTGGTTTTATACTTTGAAAATTCTCTCAACGATCTCTAAGTCTGGCTTAAAACTAGGACTGGCTTCATTTCCAACAAAAACAATAGTATTAGGGGAAAGAAACTAGGCTTTCCCGTAAAATTTCTTAATTGAAAGGAAGACAGGAGTTTCAGGAGCAGACAGAGTTTTTAGAAAGCGATATTTTGAATACAAGGAAGAAATATCCATTTCACAGACATTTAGGAGGAGCCAGCATGACATTAATATAACCCTTATTTCAGTGAAAGATAACTTAGTTCAACAAGTTTTATTTTTTAATTATTTTACTTTCAGTATTGTGGTCGAAAAGAAAGTGTTATGTGTCAATGGAAGTATCAAAGCAATATAATCCTCTCCTACCAAAAAAGGCTTCTGGTATTCCAACCAGCACTCCATCAGTCAACAATATTTGTTTCTTATGTGCTTCATTAGCAAGATGCTGTGCTAGATGCTGTGGGCAATAGAGCATACTTTAAGGCACCATCCCTCCTCTCAAGGGGATGAATAAAGCAAACTTTTGATAGATAACTAAGAATACTTGGTGGTATACAATAAGTTTTCAAGAGCACAGAGGAGTGAAATTCCTCTGATAACAGAGAAGTGGTCAGAAGAGAGACTCATTGGTGGCTGAATTGTCCTGAGAACCTCAGGTTGGAGGACTGGAAGATCAGTCTTGAAGTGAGCAGGGTTAGATGGGTGATGGAGGGGGTTCCAGGAGAGAGTTCCTGGCTGGAGGAATAGGGGAACTGAGATGAACAGAAAAAGATAATCTCAAAGAACAGTAGTCTCTTGAGGGAATGAGGAAGATGAGCAAAGAAGCAGAAACGTGTCAAGGTGTGTGAGGTTTGGAGAACCCAGAAGGAAGCCTGGCTTTTGTCCCAGGTCTCTGAACAGATATGCCTTTGCATTCTTCAGATAACTCTGTAATGTCCTTATATTCTTATCCTCCCTAAACGCCTTGCAAAACTTCTATGCTAATATTCATGACTAAAGAGGAAACATTGATAGGAGTTGCAGAAACTGACTGCACCTAGCCCACTGTTAGGGGGATGGGAAATGATTAGCCTCTGGCAGTTATCTAGAAAGTCCAGAAATACTGACTTTTTTTGTTGATGTTCTAGATGCCAGTGTTCTGGGGTAGGTGGAGCAGGTGTTGCTGTCCACATACCTGAGCCTCAGAACTTCTTCCGGGATTATGTGACTCATAAATCCAGCAACAAGAACTGACTTTTCCTGGCTGTCATTTCAGGGTTCTTTTCAGAAAACCAAGCAGCTACTGGATACTGACCTTATTCTAAAGGCCAACAGAAGTGGAATAAGGTGCAATTTGGAATTCAATCAATATTGAAGGATGACGGTGACCTTTGGGAAATAGGATTCAGCGATGTCTTTTTAAATTCTGTTATTTGTACATAACGCACTCTTACAGATTTTTTAAAAAATCCAATTCCACATGAAAAACTTTTACACTGAATTTATTACATTTTTAAAAATACATAAACTCAGACTTTATTTTTTATTTTTTCTTATTTCCCTTGCTGCTGCCTATAGGATCTTGCACACTTGTGGCCAGTCACTCTAAAAGCAGCAAGCATGTCTCATGGGACTACAAACAGAGAGGCATGCATTTGTATTTTTGTGGTCCTAGGACATGGGACCAGTGCTCATGCTGTAGGGGTTTGTGCCCAGGGAGGCTTGAGGATGCCTGAGAAAAAGTGATTGGGTGTCTAAACTCCATGGCAAAATGTCGCTTCCTAAATATGCCATCTGAGTCCTTGAGAGTTGTAATTACTCATGGTGGCATTCTAGCCCTGTCCTCTTTCAGCCTTAATAAAAAAATCAACCAACAAGTAGTGAACATGAGACCTAAAATGTGCTCCTTTGCGTTGATTATTTCTTGGCAAATCATGTTTTAGAAGCTCATTAGCAGTATGTTTTATCAAAGAAATAAAAGAGTTTCACACTTTCTTTTCTCTCAATTATCCTGTGATATTTCTATTTCCTTTTGCTGATATCTCAGTGAGTAAATTTACTCCTGGACATTATTTTAACTCATTTTGATGCAAACTGACTGAGGGATAAGTAATTGTGAATTACTGAGGTCAAGCAGGAGGTTATGCATATCGCTTTTAAATGTTACTGACACATCTACCATTTTCTTATGAGAAGTTTATTGTTGGACCATGTTTTCTTAGTACTTTTAATTAATTTACCAATTCAATGTAAGGGTCTTGGGGAGAAATATGAAATATCCTTCTTAAGAAGTAAATTTTTGATTCTTTCCTTTATAAAGTTCTCAGAAAACATTGCTCTTTATAAATGTTGGCAAGGGGCTATACACTAGGTTCTTGAATTTGAACATTAAGAAAATACTGTAGTTTGATAGTATGTTTCTTGTTTTGTTTTTGCTTTGTTGTTTTGTTTTACCTACACTTAGAGTCCTGGATTATATCTGGAAACCAAGAAGCCTGCTGTTATTTCTGTTTACCTCTCAAATTCATTGTTTTCTTAGAGCTTGGTAACCATTATCATTGTTGTGTTTTTCCTTCACTGGAAACATCACTATCCCCGGGGATATTTGTTTATGATTTCATCCAGTGACTCCTTCCAGTGCATAAACGCTCTTAGTCAGTAGGTTGCCCTCTTCTGCTCTCATGTGTTCGTTACTACCCTGGGCAATGGAGCTATAGACATGGAGGAAGGGAGCATACTGTGGGGCCAGAGGGCACAGGTAAGCAGACAGTACCCAGGAGTGGGAATCACCCTGGAGAGGGGTGCAGAGCCTGGCAGAGAAGAGCAGAAACACAAAGTGTAGACAGGAGGCATTCCCGTGGAGGTGAGGTGGCTGGTGTGATGGGGCTGGGAGAAGAGGAAGAATAGACAAAGCCTAACCTCAGAAAAAGATGTAATACCTGAACTGAGTCTCAAATCAGAAAGACTTCGCTCAGTAGACAAGAGAAAAGGGCAGCCCACCTAGAAAATGTAGAATATGGAAAGGTTTCAAAAGGTATTCGCTTGTTTGGGAAGCTTGTTGGCTTGAAATGATTGGATCACCCTAAACAAGTGAGCACCTTGTCAAAGAAGAGAGTCAGGAGAAGGAAATAAAGGGTATTTAATTAGGAAAAGAGGAAGTCAAACTATCCCTGTTTGCAGACGACATGATTGTATATCTAGAAAACCCCATCATCTCAGCCCAAAATCTCCTTAAGCTGATAAGCAACCTCAGCAAAGTCTCAGGATACAAAATCAATGTGCAAAAATCACAAGCATTCTTATACACCAATAACAGACAAACAGAGAGCCAAATCATGAGTGAAATCCCATTCACAATTGCTTCAAAGAGAATAAGACACCTAAGAATCCAACTTACAAGGGATTTGAAGCACCTCTTCAAGGAGAACTACAAACCACTGCTCAATGAAATAAAAGAGGATAAAACAAATGGAAGAACATTCCATGCTCATGGATAGGAAGAATCAACATCATGACAATGGCCATACTGCCCAAGGTAATTTATAGATTCAATGCCATCCCCATCAAGCTACCAATGACTTTCTTCACAGAATTGGAAAAAACAACTGTAAAGTTCATATGGAACCAAAAAAGAGCCCACATTGCCAAGTCAATCCTAAGCCAAAAGAACAAAGCTGGAGGCATCACACTACCTGAATTCAAACTATACTACAAGGCTACAGTAACCAAAACAGCATAGTACTGGTACCAAAACAGAGATATAGATCAATGGAACAGAACAGAGCCCTCAGAAATAATGCTGCACATCTACAACTATCCGATTTTTGACAAACCTGACAAAAACAAGAAATGGGGAAAAGATTTCCTATTTAATAAATGGTGCTGGGAAAACTGGCTAGCCATATGTAGAAAGCTGAAACTGGATCTCTTCCTTACACCTTATACAAAAATTAATTCAAGATGGATTAAAGACTTAAATGTTAGTCCTAAAACCATAAAAACCCTAGAAGAAAACCTAGGCATTGCCATTCAGGACATAGGCATGGGCAAGGACTTCATGTCTAAAACACCAAAAGCAATGGCAACAAAAGCCAAAATTGACAAATGGGATCTAATTAAACTAAAGAGCTCCTGCACAGCAAAAGAAACTACCATCAGAGTGAACAGGCAACCTACAGAATTGGAGAAAATTTTTGCAATCTACTCATCTGACAAAGGGCTAATATCCAGAATCTACAATGAACTCAAACAAATTTACAAGAAAAAAACAAACAACCCCATCAACAAGTGGGCAAAGGATATGAACAGACACTTTTCAGGAGAAGACATTTATGCAGCCAACAGACACTTGAAAAAAATGCTCATCATCACTGGCCATCAGAGAAATGTAAATCAAAACCACAATGAGATACCATCTCACACCAGATAGAATGGCGATCATTAAAAAGTCAGGAAACAACAGGTGCTGGAGAGGATGTGGAGAAATAGGAACCCATTTACACTGTTGGTGGGACTGTAAACTAGTTCAACCATTGTGGAAGTCAGTGTGGCAATTCCTCAGGAGTCTAGAACTAGAAATACCATTTGACCCAGCCATCCAATTACTGGGTATATACCCAAAGGATTATAAATCATGCTGCTATAAAGACACATGCACACATATGTTTATTGCGGCACTATTCACAATAGCAAAGACTTGGAACCAACCCAAATGTCCAACAATGATAGACTGGATTAAGAAAATGTGGCACATATACACCAGGGAATACTATGCAGCCATAAAAAAGGATGAGTTCATGTCCTTTGTAGGGACATGGATGAAGCTGGAAGCCATCATTCTCAGCAAACTATCGCAAGGACAAAAAACCAAACACTGCATGTTCTCACTCATAGGTGGGAATTGAACAATGAGAACACTTGGACACAGGATGGGGAACATCACACACCGGGGCCTGTTGTGGGGTGGGGGGACAGGGGAGGGATAGCATTAGGAGATATACCTAATGTAAATGACGAGCTAATGGGTGCAGCACACCAACATGGCACATGCTTGCATACGTATCAAACCTGCGCATTGTGCACATGTACCCTAAAATTTAAAGTATAACAAAAAAAAAAAAGAAAAGAGTCAAACTCTGTAAAACATTTGAAGAGATTGATTCTGAGCCAAATATGAGTGACCATGGCCCATGATGCAGCCCTCAGGAGACCCTGAGAACATGTGCCCAACGTGGCCGGTGTGAGGCTTGGTTTTATACATTTCAGGGAGACATGAAACTTCAATCAAATACATTAAGAAATACATTGCTTTGGTTCAGAAAAGTGGGACAACTTGAAGCTGAGGAGCTTCCAGGTCATAGGTAGGTTTCAAATTTTTCTGGTTGACAATTTGTTGAGTTTATCTAAAGACCTGGAATCACTAGAAAGGAATATCTGAGTTAAGATAAAGGACTGTGGAGACCAAATTCTTATTGTGCAGAGGAAGCCTTCAGGTAACAGGCTTCAGAGAGAATAGATCATAAATGCTTCTTATCAGACTTAAGGTCTGTGTTGATCTTAGTGCCAGAGAGGTATAATGAAGCATGTCTGACCCCTACTTCCGGTCATGGCCTTAACCAGTCTCTCAGGTTAAATTTTAATAGTGTCCTGGCTGAGAAGGAAGTCCATTCAGATGTCTGGGGGGCCTTAGAGTTGTATATTTGGTTTACAACCTTGTAGTGGTGCACCTTACACAAGCAAGAGGCAGGACAAAGCCTTGGGGGCTCAGGGACAATACAAGTCAAAGCAGGTGACCTTTACATTTTCTGTTTTCAGGGCAAGTGGCCACTCTTTTTAGGCAAACCCATGACATCGCTCTTTGTGGGCAGCCTCTGAGACTGACAGAATATTCCAGTGCAAAAGAGGTAGTGATGAGAAAGAAGGGGTGAAAGGCAGTAAAGTCAAAGAGAGAGGAAAGAAAGCTGGACTCTGGGAAGCAGAGACATCAGAAGCAGACTGTTGGAGTAGGAAAGAAAATCTTTTCATTTGAACACAGAGGCTTATGTGAGGTCTATATTGAACACATTTTTACTTCTAATGGTACCGTGGAAGAGAAACCTGATAGGGGATGCTATGGCATTATGAGCAATGTTTCAGAGTGATTTTCTCTGGTGCCCTGGTCTTCCTCAGTCTTCTGACCTTCTGTGAACCCACCATGCTGGCCCTGTTCCTAGACCCACTCTCCTCTGCTCCATTTTGAGTTCTTTGAAGTCGGGCCTCTCCATTCATCTTGAAATCACAACCATAAGCCTGGCTCAGAAGTTCAGAAAGTCCTCCAAGGAATTGAAAGGACATCAGGGATTCAGAAGCTAATTGAGAAAACAATTTTACACACAGCGTATTTTGACCACAAAAAAACAGACCCATTGGAAATGGGCAAGAAGGCAGCATGAGCCAAAAGACACAAATTAGGTCCAATGAGCAGAAGCAGCAAGCTGAATCTTAGACTCTGGAAAGAGGCAGGTGATCATTTGGCATCTGGAATAATAAATGTGAAAAACAAGGATGAAGGAAATACTTCAATGGGAAATAGAATGAGGGGAATATGTTAGAGAGTAAAGAGAGATTAAGAGAGGCAGCTCAGGTTCCTGCAGGGGTGGAGGGAAAGAAGCATCCAGACGCACCTCTGGAAATACACCAGGGGAGTCCAGACCCCCAACTTCCCACCCAAGTTTCCAACAGCAGGTTCTGTGTAACCTTCTACCCACACTTCCCTGGTGTTCGAATAATCTGGAGCTCTGTGATCAACCTCTGGCAGGAGATGAGAAAGCCTCAGAAATAAAACGATAATGCTTCCTGCACGACTCTTTGCAGATTTTGCTACCTGGAGCCACTGCCCTCAACTTCTCTGTCCTGCCTGGAGAGTACTGAGTGAAGGTCTCTGTGCCCTAGGCTTTTAATGGTAGCAATCGTTGCAAAGAGACAGGATATTTGAGTCTTTGCTCTGGTTTCTGTCCATTGTAGGTATGAATAGGGCTTTATAATATGAACTCATAAATGCTATGATCAAATTTTAAAAAAGATTTGTCCTTCACAGGCATTAAACATGCTGGCACAAAAATGAGCAGAAGCGTTCAAAAAACCAGATCATAAACTCAGTGCTTTCTAAAGTGGTTAAGTTTCAACAAGAGTTATATATCAAGCTATTTTAAACATTTGTTTTATGTCCCCACCTTTTCTTTCAATTTTGCTACCATGATTTTTGTGCAAAATATGGCAGAATGGATCATCAAGCTCTCAAAAGCATCATTAAGTAAAATGTAAAAGACAAGGTTTATCAGACTTAGTACTGAACAATATATATTGATATAAATATATATTCACTATTCCAAAACAATCTGTCTTGAGTATATCAGGGTTTTCATTTCACATTCTATGATGGGCCTTTCATCTCACTGGGTAAATCACTTATTTACTTTGATATCACTAACAAGACTATTGAGGATCCTTAAATTTGACTGAAGAACCCACCATATTTTTTCAATGATTCATCAAAAAAGAAAAAATTAGGAGATATACCTAATGTTAAATGACAAGTTAATGGGTGCAGCACACCAACATGGCACATGTATATATACATGTAACAAACCTGCATGTTGTGCACATGTACCCTAAAACTTGAAGTATAATAAAAAGAAAAAAAAGAAAAAATTAAAAGGTATAGACATTAATAAATCTGTTTGCCTTGGCTCACAGTTGAAGGGTAGGGAGTGGCTTATCATTTGTCCAAATGCTAATGCAATGACAAGACAAGACCCACACAAGGTCTCCAGCATGAAAAAGAGATGAAAGTATAAATGATTGCAAATGTATTCATCTTGATTCAGGTATTGGGTTACTGCTTTTTTAGCTGCTGGGAGTTTCCACTTCAAGCTGGGGAGGATAAATTAAACAGATGTAGTTTGTAAAATGTAAATAAAAATCTAACCCATACAAAACTCTACATTTCAGATTTGTTATACCCTGATGGCTCTTCAGGGGACATGTGCCTCAGTGGAAGGCAGGGCTTCAGCACCTAGGAGATAGTGAGGGCTCAACACATATCTGTTGAATGCCCTTCTCTTCTCTCCTTCTATTAATGGAAGAAAAAGTAAAATAAAAATGCATCCACCAGAATGAACTGTACATATGTTGCTTTTAGATAAGAGACCCATTATTGGTTTTAGAACCTATTTACATTTATATATGTATGTATATATTTATATAGGCAAATATATTCCATTCTACTAAATTTTAGAATCATGAAATGCATTGCAATATAGTTGAGCAATGTGAAAATATTTGGTGGCCCTATATGTCAAGCATTCTGAAAAAAGCTGTTGATTATTCTTTGAAGATTGAGTAAGACAGCAACCCTTCCCTGGAGATAGGATGAGATGAGATAAGGTATGACTTATATGCAGTCCATCCCTCTAAGGCAGTGATTTATGCCTTAATATGCATAGAAATCCAACCAGGGTGCTAGGAAACATGAAAGTCATCCACCTCCACCACTGGTTCCAGGTAATCCATTTCACTACATCTGGGGTTAGGCCCAGAAGTCTGCATTTTTAGTTGAAGCCTTAGGTGAAGGTGAAACCAGAGTTTTGTAACTTGGCCAGCAGTTTCCAAATCTATGTGCAATTAAAATTCTCTGGAGAACTTCATTAAAATTTCAGTGCTTGATCCTAACACCCAAAGATCATAAAGAATTGCTTCTGATGTAATATTTTTGAAAGATACTCAGATTATTTCAAAGTGCAGTCAGGGCCCAGAAGCACTGCCTTAGAGAACCAGAGGATTGAGATTAAGAAATTCTGGCAAATCAAAACAACAGTGAGGTATCGACTTACTCCAGTTAGAATGGCTGTTATCAAAAGTAAAAAAATATAACAATTGTTGGAGAAGATACGGAGAAAAAGGAATCCCTTATACACTGTTGGTGGGAATGTCAATTAGTACAGCCATTATAGAAAACAGTATGGTGTCTCCTCAAAAAATTAAAACTAGAACTACCATATAATCCATCAATTCTACTACTGGGTATGTATCCAAAAGAATTAAATCAACATGTCAAAGAGTTATCCGCACCTTCATGTTTATTTCAGCATTATTCACAACAGACAACATATGGAATCAACCTAAGTATCGATCAGTGAATGAATGGATAAAGAAATTGATAAATTTATGCAATGAAATACTATTCAGCCATAAAATAGAATCAAATCCTGCAATTTGCAATAATGTAGATCAACCTGGAGAGCATCATGCTAAGTGAAATGAGCCAGACACAGAAAAACTAATACTGCACGATCTCACTTACATGTTAGAGTCTATAAAGCTGATCTCACAAACTTAGAGAATAGGATAGTGTTTACCAGAGACTGGGTCGGGTAAGGAGGAGGGGGAAATGGAAATAGTTTGGTCAATGGGTACTACATTACAATGATATAGGAAGAATAAGTTCTGGTGTCCTATTTCACAGTAGGGTGACTATAGTTAATGATAATGTATTAAATATTTCAAAACATCTAGAAGAGAAGATTTGGAATATTCTTACTACAAAGAAATTTTAAATATTTGAGGTGGCAGTCATGCTAATTACCCTGATTTGATCATTACACTGTGTATCCATGCATTGGAACATCATGCTATATCACAAAATATGTACAATTACTACATATCAATTAAAAACATAGAAAGAGTGGAATAAAAATTCGATGTGAAAAGAAAAATAACAAGGGGATTTATCTTATAATACATATTATTATAGCATAATGGATATCTGCTGAAAATATAAGCAAAACTATTAAACAAAGTCAAATTGATGTATTTGCAAATATTGCTAATCTTTTTATATTGTTCATGGAAACATTTTATTCAGTCAATTTTTCTAAGTCACTGACTTGAGATCCCATATTTTTGAATGCCAAATATAACATTGAAAAGAAGACAAAGAAAAAAAGACCCTCTGGCAGATGGCTTACCTGGACAGGACCTACCTTTCCAGATGTGACCAGGCTTCTTGAATCCCAAGTAGAGAGTCAACGTCCTTGTCACCATCGCCATAGAAATCACCATCAGCAGGAGAGCAGCTACTTTTTATTCTACTTTGCCTTTTATATTCCAGGCACTTTCATGCTTTACTTAGAGATAATTTTGTTTAATCTCAACCATAGTCTCTGGAAGACAGAAAGAAATCTTCATTTTAGACACGCATTCCAGGTGACTGCTATATATATTAACTTTGAGGGACATTCCCTCCCACTCCTTTTTTAAAAAAACACCACTAGTGTGTGTTTTATGCCGGTGTGATCTTTCTAAAACTAAGTCTGAGGAAAGATTGCCTTGCTCTTCCCTCTCAGGGGCTACCCATCACCATGAAGTGGATCACTCTGTCCTGTCCTCAGAGACTATGGTTATGAGACTTCAGAGAGAGCATCTGTGAGTGTCTAGAAGCCAGAGGCCAGCCCACCTCTCTAGCTTCACCCAGCAGCATTCTTCCCCATCACAGAGCACACACAAACAGGCATAGGCACATAAACAAATTCGAAACTGTTTGCAGAAACACATGTACATACTGAGGCCTTCCATCATACCACCTGCTCTCTCTATGCTTTAAATTATTTCTCACAGCATCCCCTACTTTCCCTGTGGCCTCAGCTCCCTTGTCAATATTCAACCTCCTCTCACAGCCATGCTTTCCATCCATTCTGCCCAGTGTCTGGATCCCCGAAAACAGTGGCCTGCTAGGTATGAGCGGAGAGCAGGTCCCAAACAAAAGCCCAGAGGTGGAGCTTCATGTGCCGTGTTATGTATACACTTGTGTGTATATATGTATGTATGCACATGCTCATGTGTGCTGATGCCAGTGAGGAGCACTGATTGATGAAAATGGAAAGCCTGTCTTTGGAGAAGATTGATCTCCATGAATCCACTTAACAGTAATCACAAATTCCACTGGATAAGCAAATACTTTACTCTGACAATTGCTCTTTTCCACGTCTGATGCTGCCTGAGGCCCCGGGTAATGCGGCTTCTCACTGGCCTGGTGTTGCCTTTGTTTTGCAGGGAATATGTCCACTCCTTCTCCTAAATCTGTGATGGGAGTGGATGGCTAGGGCACAGTGGTCATGGGTTGTGAATGCTGCTCTTTTCAGGTGGATCCTAGGATGAACATGGAGCAACGCAAGTAATGTAGTCTCGGACAATTACAGACATCAAATTGAAAGCAATATTTAGGTTCATCCAATTAACCTCCTTCTACAAATAGAGAACCAGGTCCACCATGCTAATGGTATCATGGGACTAAGTCATGTTGCCCCCCTGCCTGCTGCACTTGTGTCCAGATAACAGGCAAGCTTTGTCCCAAAAGAGGTCCTTATTGAGGAAAGGAGATGAAAATGTTGCATTGGATCATGAGCTAATAATATTGGAATACACGCAACAGTTACTAAGTTCAAAGATCCTAGGGCTCTCAGGTCAAGGGAGGCTGGGCCACCGGGAAAGGTGGATTTTGACTTGTTCAGATTGTTTTCTACTGTAGTAGCCAGAGTTCCTCTGCATGTTTCCCTGTTATTCTTACACTGTTGAGTTCATGTGGTCCCTTTGTTTTTTGTTTTGTTTTGTTTTGTTTTGAGACAGAGTCTCGCTCTGTTGCCCAGGCTGGAATGCAGTGGCGCGATCGATCTCCGCTCACTGCAAGCTCCACCTCCCGGGTTCACGTTATTCTCCTGCCTCAGCCTCCCGAGTAGCTGGGACTACAGGCGCCCGCCACCATGCCCGACTATTTTTTTGTATTTTTTAGTAGAGACGGGGTTTCACCGTGTTAGCCAGGATGGTCTCGATCTCCTGACCTCGTGATCCGCCCGCCTTGGCCTCCCAAAATGCTGGGATTACAGATGTGAGCCACTGTGCCCGGCCATGTGGTTACTTTTTATAAAAACAAACTGGTTCCCATTCCTTCTGCATATTCTGAAATATTTTATCTAAATACTCAGAGAAACTCCATTTTTAAAAAAATACTTTTCTTACTGGCTAAATGAGCTAGACTACTATTGTTTAGTAAAGGTAGCTTTATTCTTTTCAATCTTCTGGAAAAGAAAGCAAAGTATTCAGCTAGGAAAGTACATATAAATTTAAAAGGAAACAGAAATTCTATATTTTAAGGTGGGACACAGGTTGTCAAACTGTCTACTCCAATCGGAGCTCTGATCCTTTCTATTTAACTAATTTATTTATTTATTTATTTATTTTAGAGACAGGGTCTTGCTCTGTCACCCAGGCTGTAGTTCAGTGGCACAATCACAGCTCACTGCAGGCTCAATCTCCTGGGCTCAAGTGATTCTCTTACCTCGGCCTCCTGAATAGCTGGAATGACAGGCGCACGACACCATACCCAGCTACTTTTTTTTTTAACGTTAGTAGAGATGAGGTCTCACTACATTGCCCAGGCTTGATTCTTTATTTTTCACACGAAATGTTGAATGTCATAAAGCCCCAGGTCTACACCAAAACACAAGATGGGTCCATCTAAGCCTGGGGGTTGTGGAGGCAGAGAGAAATGGGGAATGACTGTAATGGGTATAGGGATTCCTTTTGGAGTGATGAAAATTCTAAAGTTATATTGTAGTGATGTTTGCACAACTATGAGAACATATTAAAAACTGTTAAATTCTACATTGTATATTGTTGAGCTGTATGGCATATAAATTACATCACAATAAAGCTTTTTTTTTTAAAGGAGGTATCTTTGAAATTCACATGCATAGAGACCAACAGCACTAGGTTGAGACAAGCACTATTCATGTTTCTGATAAACTCCAGCAGTGTTTTATAACATCGTAATTTTCAGTAACTATTGTTATATACCATTTTTCATCTACGAAGCTGCCTCCAAGTTGTAACTGACTTCATTTAGCCATTGTGCCTTTTCTATGTGAAGTAAATACATACAATACAAATTTCCCTCTTCTCCAAGTCACCCCAGATTTGAAACCGGAGGGAAGAAGTGATCGCATTTAACATAAGTGGTTGTTTCAACAGCTGATATATAGTTACACATTTTTAAGGGCAGATAGTTCCATCTACTTCCATATGTGAGTGTTCTCTTTTAACCAAATTTATTGTTTGGTTACAATAATATCATTTACCATTATTTCAAAATTATGGATGGATTGTAACAAACAGCAGATTGTAATGAGCTCACATAAATAATTGTTAGGTATTGCATTAATTAAATGTTGCAGAATTCTTTTCTTTTTGTGTGTGTGCCTGCCTCATTGTGCCAAGAGATGGTATCTACTGTTTATTAAGCAACAGTAAATGCAAAGAAGTGATGGTGATAAATGGTTTTATAGAAATTCTCAATATTGTACTGTCACTTGTATGTGACTCGTGAGTTTGCATGAATAATGAATATGGTGAAATGGGATTTGTTACCCACATTTTAATTAAACGTAAGATGAAAGACCACAGAGAAGGAAATATTCAGTAGGGGTATGATTTATGTGAATTATCAGCCCTTTATATGGTGGGATTTGAGAAGCAGTGTGGTCTGCTTACTTTCATTTTGCTGTTTGGCCTGTGTCAGTGTGAAGCTCAATATCGCTGAAGCTGTTTTATCAATGGCAAGTTAATTAACCTCTCTGAAACAGTTTCCAAAGATTCAACAATAAAAATAAAGCAATAGCCTCCTGGAGTTGTTGTCAGGATTACATAAAATAATGAGTCCAAGATACCTATGACAGTATAGTAGGTGTCAAAAAAGGTGAGTTGGATTTCATTAGAAGGCTGATCCCAGGGGTGTTCTTTGTATGAGGTAATTTGTCTCTTCTACAAATTACAATGTACTTGAAAGGCCATCATTAAGTCTTGTCTCCTTTTTGGGTCTTTAAGTCATTTTAATTCAAAAAGTACCCTAAAGAGTTCCCCTAAAATGTGGGGAAGTACACGCATTAATAAACCAGTGGTGATGGTATAAATTAAAATATATTTTCTAGAATAAATTAAAATATATTTCTAAAATATATTTTCTAAAATTATACCCAAAAATGATTTGGGTATAAATATATTTAGTATATATTACATGAAAAAGTATATTTTAAAATATTTATTATAGGACATAACAAGACATGTTGATAAGGATTTAGGCATAAATACGGTAACCACTGCATTGTTTGTAATGTAAACATGTAGGAATAGCTGAATATCCAACTATAGGGGAAGAGTTAAATACATTTCAGTAGTTCATTTAGCAGCCATGCGCTCTCTAGCCCCATGCCTTTCTTCACACTTAGAGCCAAAGCTGAGAGAGAAGGAATGTAGGAAACCACGCCTGCCTTTGACTGGACCAAGCAGAAACCACAAATCAAGGTGTTAAGCACACAGGAAGAACATCTTTGTAATAGTTATTGGGTTATTCTCAAGATTACTGCCTCTACTGGAGAGCTTCAGAAGCAGTGGAGACCTACACGTGTATCTACATCTATGTCTATGTCTATGTCAATATCGAGAGAGAGAGAGAGATGATGAAAAGACAGTTATGTATAAATTGATATATAAAAGCTTCCCTCAGATTTTATATTTATAAAACTATTTTGAAAGTTTTATTTATAAACTTTTTCCCAGTGTGTCTAAGATAAAACTGCTCTGAACTTTAAGACAGATTCCATATTGAGATATTATTTATTGATGCTTTGCAGACAACAGAGAAGACCTATGAGGTAGGCTACTGTAAAGACATCAATCTATACACTGTTGATTCCACAGGTGTAATTATTGCTCCAAAGCTGCTACTAACTGCCCATGTACACAGAAAACATATCTGAGCTCCACACTGGTGAGAATCGTGCCATAGCCAGTTAAAATTATACTTTGTCCTGATGATTTGTTCTGAGTAATAGATATTTCTACCTAAATGTAAGATTAGAAATGGAAATAAAGGAGGGGTAGAATCAGTTATTTAGAAGTTGTTTTCTCCTCTGTTATTTTCATTTACTTATCAATTTTAAATATATAAGGCATTTAAGGCACTAAAGCCATCAGTACCTTTCTGAGAATGAGTTTCAGAAATTCAGCTTTATAACAGCTATAAATAAACCTGTTCTGGGCAAATAAATTTTATTATGGCAACTAAATAGTGCTTCGGTGTTAATTTATATTTCCAAATTGATTCTCCCAATTCAGTATACTTATAACTAATTTGTCCTGCAGAAAGGTTATTTTTAATGTCTGTTTTGTATTATTCATGTAAATTTTCTATATTAATGTATACATTCATAAATACAAAAATACTCATATGACAAAATATTATACAAACATATTAAACTGCACACAATAAGTGAAAATAACAGGATTAATGATTTAAGGGTAATATGTAAACTGTATAAAATACATCATGCATATACTGAGAAATGTTACAAGTAAACACACAAAAATAATAGCTATTGCCTTTATGAAGAAATTATGTTTTTTAAAATGTTTATATCAATACTTTTTTTCATTTTTCATAATTTTGATAGTGAGTATATGGTAGTAAAAGCCAAATAAAATACAAGTACTTTCCTTTAGTTGTGTCGTGAGAATTAAGTATGATTTTTCATGTGACAATACCCATGATAGCACAATGCTCAATGAATGATGGGGCTCAATGAATGCTCCTTTTCTCAGATTATATTTGAAGAAAATCAGGATCATTTCTTTCTTCAACATATCTTTTCCACAGTCTTTCATAGTTCTTGAATTTTCACCATTGTGAATTTTCCTGTTTGAGTCTTGAAGTTTTTAAATGATGAGCAATCCTATAGCAATTCAATTTATCCTGGGATGAATCCAGGATAGGAAAGAATCTCCAGCAACTTCTAGTTGATTCCTTGGCATCAAGAATGAGTTCCCCATCAGCTGAGGAAGAGTCTGACCAGACTTCCTTTCCCACGGCTGTCAAGTCAGTGTTTAAAGATTACCCCTCCCCTAAGGGTACTCCTGAAACTGGCCTAAACAGTCCAAATTATCACCAAGAGAGAGCTTTCTTTGACTTAAATGGTTATCTCCTGCTAAAATGTAATTATTCTTCTAAAGTTCTCATGAACTTATTATAGGTCAGATGCACTTAAGTGCAAATGAATTGTGGCAGAGTAAAACTGGCCTGAAATGTTGTTGGGCCTTCGCCAGGGAGGGCATTAGAAACTGGACACATTTCATTCCCCTTGGATTTCCTTCATATGCTGAAGTTGGAAAAGAGGCGTATTAACTTTAGAATAACTACTGTAATTTAAAATTACTACTCCACTTATACTTTCTGTAATCATCATGACAAGACTTCAGGGCAACTATTATTATTATTATCATTACTATTGTGAGTTTTTATATTGTTATACTACCATCACAGAGACTGAGACATCAAGAGTTTGGAAAACTTATCCAAGTATTAAGTTCACATCTCCTGTTGCTTAAACTCCCAGGTCCTCTAGGGGCAGAAGAGAAAATAGATAAAAGCAGTCATTCCTAGAACAGTTGCTGTTCTCCAGGATTCTCAATGTTGGCTACATCTTGCATGTGCAGCCCAAGAAGGTGCATGGGGAGAGTCCCTTGCTAACTCACACTCTCTAGGATGTCAGCTGCACACATCACACGCTTCTTTCATTGTTAAAATATGTGTAGGTCTCTCCTGGCTCCAGGCTCCTTCTTTATTTCTACACTAGTCAGAAAGTGTCCTGACATTGATCAAGAGCATTTATCATGATAGAAGTTTCCAATGAGAATTTGGAAAAAAAAATTAAAAGTGACTTTTGTTTGACCTTCTCCCTTCTCTGTGCTGATATTTTTGGATGACAAGTGGGGAAGATGGTTTTTATTTTTCAAGCTAAAATTCAAGGGTTTAAGTGGATCTCTGCACATGTAGTACATTGTTATCATACATACCTACATAATGTTTACATAATGTCTACATAACATCTACATACATATCTCCATAATGTTTTTGCCTGTGTGTGTGTCTTTATAGCTCTTGGTTTCTTTGTCTATTGCTGTATCTCTCTATGCTTTATTCTTTCTAGTATTTGCCTATCTAAGTCTATTATAAGAGGTGAACTGTTGTAGTGAAAGGCAGACTCTGAAGCCAAAATTTCTGAATTTGAGTCCCAGATCCATGACTTCTATGCTGTGTGCTTAAAATAGTCTCTGTAACATCACTGTTAGGTGATAGCTATTGTCATTATTATTAATCATTATTATTAATATTTGTATCTACCTAAGCCAGTAGGTGTGACTCGCCAGAATTCTTATTTTTTTTTAATAAATACATCTCTGCTTATACCTATTGTGGAACAGGGGCCACTGTCACTCATGTGAAAATCAGTTAGGCCTGTGATTTGATTTAACCTAGCTGCAGAAAAACAGAGGCAGCAGATTTGAATAGACTTTGTTTCCTTCCCTCAGTTGTATCTTATTAGTATGTCACATACTTCAATTTCAACTGTTCTGAAAGTCAGCTACCTATCTATGAGCAATCTTTCAGAGCTACTCTATGTAAATATCATATATATGAAGTACCATATCTCTTAAGTTGGATTTCCCAAACACTTTCTCCACGTTGGTGGGGAATGATTCTTTGAATGGCTGACTGCTGACCACCCACAGGGGTCTGTTCCAGGCTGCCATGAAGTGCATGTAACCCATGCTACTTAGTAAGTCACATGATGATTGCTTTACTTTATTCATTCAACAAACAAATTAAATGCTAACAAAAAGAAGATTAAATTATAAGTTAAAATGTTTACTAACATAAAACAATACCCCAAATGAGGTGATACAAAAGTAGTCAAAACAAAACAAAAAGAGAACTTTCTTCCTGTTCTAAATTATAGTTGACCCTTAACAACATGGGAATTAGGGGTGCCAACCCTCCTTGAGGTCCAAAATCCACATTAACTTTTGATTCCCCTAAAACATAACTATGTATAGCCTACTGTTGACCAGAAGCCTTACCAATAACATCAACAGTCAGTTGACACATGTAAGACTAGTATCTATTTATATTGTATGCATTCATGACATAGCTAATGTTTTCTTAATTTTTCAATATTTCTAGGCTATGTGGTTTGTCTAAGAGTTTTTCTTCAAATTGCTGCAAATCTCAAAAAAATTCAACCATATTTATTGAAAAAAGTATGTTTAAGTGGACCTGTACAGTTCAAAACCATGTTGTTCAAGGGTTAACTGTAATCTCTGCTCAGTCCAACATTATTTACCAGCACCAACACATTTAGGTGATAGTTTTCTTTTATATTTTAAACACTATCCACTGATGTGAAACTTGTCCCTTCTTTCTTTGTAAATGTTTATTTCTATTAAATATAGAAACAAGAATTTATATAACACATAGCATTAATAATAATAGTAACACCCATGTGGCTGCATAAATTTTATTGCTGCATAACAAACTACCCCAATACCTAGCACCAAGAAACAATCACATTATGCTGATGACTCTATGAGCAGGAATTTGGGCCTGATATAATGGGGATAGCTTGTCTTTGTGTGCCAATGTCTGGAGCTTCCTCTGGGAAGATTCAAAGCTTGGGAGTAACATAGCTTTGGTCTGAACTCAGAAGAATAATCAGTAATTTTAAAGACTGGTGCCTGGGCTGGGAGGACTCAAAGACTATAATTGCTGAGTGGAGCACCTACAGAGGGTTTGGCTTCCAGACCTCCCAGCAGCCTCTAGGTCATCACACTTTTTGCACACAGCAGCTCAGAGGTCCCACAAGCTCTGTAGTGAACAGGGGAGAAGCTGCAGCTCATTTTCTGACCTCATCTTGGAGGTTTCAAAAAAAATGCTATTGGTTGAAGCAGTCCCAAGTCTACCAAGTTTTAAGTGTAGGGGATCCATAACTCACTTTTTAATATGAGGAGTGAAAAAGTAAGAAGAGCTTGTTGGTTGGGAGATATTGTTGCAGACGTCTTAGTAAAATACCCACCATCCAGCTCACAAAACAGAGAAAGATCAGTCTGTCTGAATTATTCCATGATTAATTTCTCTTCCCTTCCAAAGAGGAAACAACTTTTTCTGTGAATCTCCCCTTAGCTGTTTTTTAATCTCCAAATAATGTATTATTTTGCTTTTTCATTTATTAATCTGTGTTAACTTTGTTAAAATGGTGGACGGTAGTTTTAAACATGCCTGCAAATTCTGTTTTGCATGAAAAAAAAGAGTTGGAGTCAAACCCTTGTTCCGTGAATATGAGCTGGTTTACAGACCTGCTTCCAATAAATTGAATGTGGAAGAAATGGACAGTGTGATTTCTAAGGCTAGTTCATAAAAGGTGATGAAACTTCCACCTATCTTTCTTGGAACATATGTTTTTGATGCCCAGAACTGTCATCTAAGAAGTCCAGCTATCCTGCAACCACTGTGCTAAAGACGTCATGTAGAGAAACCACATAAAGATGGCTGAGATGACCAGCTATACAGCTCTCGGCCATTTGAGTCTTTTAAGCCCAGATATCAGTCACGTGAGTAAGAGAGCTGTGGAGTTACTCAAGATCTAGTCATTGTTATAACTGCAACCTTATGAGAGCCCCTGGGCAAGAACCACTGAGCTAAGCCCAGGCAACCGTCAGTACTGTGAGGGATAATAGTGGTAAATAATTGTTATTTTATTAGTTCATGTTTGGTCAAAATTCCTCCACAAAAACATTGGATCTGATACACACACACACACACACACACACACACACACACACACACAATATAATATATATAGGAGTAGATTTTTAAACTATTTTTTAAATTAACTCCATGTTAATTGGGCTTTTTAATTTTCTGTCTGTACTGGGGTAAATTTTTCAAGTTTTTTTTCTACACATTTCTCCATTTCATCTAGTTTTTCAAATGTATTTGGACAAATTTTTCTAAATTTGTATTTTCTTTGTCTTTTATAATTTTATTGGTATTTTCCTTTTACTTGATTGTGTAGCTAATGATTTTCACACATATTTAAAGAGCTTTGCTTACATTTATTTATGGATTATATTTTTTAATCTCTCAAATTAATATTTATTTACATATTTATAATTTCCTTTCTTCTTATCTCATTTGCTTTACTCTTTCATTATTGTCTGAATTTTTAGGGTTTCATACACTTATTTTTACTCCTATTGATATAGCCATATAGTGCTAAAATATTGGAGCTAGAGATAGGTATGTCACTATGGCATAGATTTCTTACTGTGTTTTCATTTTCAAACTTTAAACATTATGAATATTCAGTCTGTGTTTCACTTTATTTACAGATGTCTAATAGTATGTTATATTATTTCCAGATTTATTATCTTCTAAAAAATAGAATGTTGTAGCACATTGTCCTGTGGTCAGTCAAGAGTAATATTTTCTGGTATACTACATTTTAATAGTCAGATAATTCTATCCGCATTACTTTTATTCTTTGGAATTTATAGCAGTATTCTTTCATGCTATCATCAATTTTCATTAATATTTCTTGTGTATTTGAAAGAAGGTATATTCTTTATAATTTGGGGTACAGATTTTGATGTATGTCTAAAAGATTCTTTTTTATTTCTGTTCCTATGTCTTCGATATCTTTAGTGATTTTATTTGCTGTTATTGAATGCCCTGAATTTAATTAAGGTAAGTTTATTAAAGTCTATTATTAATATGCTTTTATATATTTATTTTTACATCTTCTGTAATTTCTGCATTATGAAAATTATTTCTCCATCTTTGAACAAATAAATATTTAATATTTTCATTGTGATACTTTAACATTCCAAAAGGTCCTGTCTCTGATAACTCTTTTAGTCTCAATCTTCTTCATAGATCATGACGGAGAAACTACTTTCCTTTTGTTTTCTATGCCTCATATACCATTTTTTTAACCATTCTGTCTCTTTCCTTTATGTGTATTTCCTGCACAGTGTTTGATTTTACTTTCTAAGCAAATCTGAAAATGTTATTTTCAGTTGGTGAGTTTGACCCATTTACATTTATTAGTGTGATTAATATGCTTGCCTTCAGGTTTTTTAAATGTTTTCATGTTACAGTCTCTATATGAATATATGTATACACAATAATAAACCTAGACACTCACACACAGACACACACAAAATACACACATATATTATATATATTATTTCACTATGTAATCTACGTGGTTTACCTTTGTTCATTTTTGGTTTTTATTTCTATATTTAGGAAGCTATTGTATCTAGATTTTTTTTTTTTTTTGAGACAGTGTCTCACTCTGTAACCCAGAATGGAGTGCAGTGATGCAATCTCGGCCCACTGCAACCTTCAAGCAATTCTCCTGTCTCAGCCTCCCAAGTAGCTGGGACTACAGGTGCATGCCACCACGCCTGGCTAATTTTTTGTATTTTCAGTAGAGGCGGTGTTTTACAATGTTAGCCAGGATGGCCTTGATCTCCTGACCTTGTGATCCACCCGCCTCAGCCTCCCAAAGTGCTGGGATTACAAGCGTGAGCCACTACACCCGGCTAGATGTTTTTTCATACATTATGTTCTTACAGATTTCATTTACACTAATATCCTTATAACCCTCTTTCTCTATTTCACTAGACCAATAGATGCGGACTAGTGGTTTCCTATTATGAGTAATATTGAAATGAGCAATAATGAATGCTCCTTATTTTCCTCCCTTAGCATCCAATTAGAGACTACATTTCTCCTCCAGTTAATACCTATAAGCCAATTAGGGAGCTTATTCTACTTTCAAGAGTACAGAACATTTGCTTTTTATGAGTATTTGGTCATTCATATTTACCCAGTAAGTATTTTTTCTTTATTTCTTTGTTTTGAAATTAGTCCTCTCTTACACTTTCTCGCTTCTCTGAAGCCACTCAGAAGGGGAGACAGGTGGCAGGACGCACAAGGAATTTTGCCGCACTGGGTTGAAAAGCATCATGAAAGCATTTCAGGTTCTTTGGCAAGTGCCTCTGTTCCCTCCAAGGTAAATCGTGAAGAACACTAACAATCTCTATTAATGTTATTCAAATTGGTTTCAGTAGGCTGTGATTCCATATTATGTTAATTAGCTTGTTTTAAAATTTGTTTTCTAAATTAATCCCAAAAGCAGTGAGTTACGGAAGGATATATGAGAGCCTTTAAGACTCTGAGGAGTCTTAAATAGGCTAATGTATGTAGTGAATCTCCAAGAGTAGGATTTTGCATCCAGTATACCACAACGTTATATGACTATGAATCCTCTTTCTCCAAAGTACTCACTAACCTCTTCCCAAAGTAGTGTTTTATGAACATGGATTTATAGAGGCTGGTCTCCATCAGGAGATTTAAGAGATGGCATGATAAAGCCACCTATTCTGTATTCCATCTGTGAAACAGCAGAACTCAGATATTCTATTGAGAGGAGGTAAATGATATTCTTTTCTGAACATTTATTTGTATCTTTTGATTTTTACTGGGGCTGAGTAACTTCTTGGAAAGTAAAATGTTCAAACCCTTTTAACCTTTTCTGTATAAATATTGTCTCAATCAAGGTTTTGTGCTCCAAGTAAGAGAAACTGACTTTAATTGAGTTAAGCAAAACAAGAAATGTATTAAAAAGCCATTGTAACTCAAACACTGATGGTAGTCAGGAAGCTGCATTTGGTTAGCTAGCAGAAATCACAGAAGACCTGGATGCTCAAGAACGTAACACAACATCCGGTTGTTACTAGAAGTTGTCTGGGCAGTATGCAGCCACCACTAAGCGAGCACCACTGCCCCTGCACATTCATACACCATGAGTTCTAACCAGCCTGTGTCTCACTTAACTCCTGATTCTACATCTCACGGAGGAGTGTTCGGTTGGCAAAGTCTATGCTGCTATCTGTCCTTTATCTTTGCTGGTAGAGCTAAGAAGAGAGATGGCTTGGCTCCTGGAGCCTTATGATGGTGGAGGATGCCTGGCTTTCACCAAGGATGTGGTTCTGTATTTCCTCACAACTTTCTGTTTAAGCATTTGGACGCCAAACGAACAAACAAATATACAGTCAATTGTCCTCTGCAGATATATGCAACTATATCTGAAGGATTTGGGGGATCTGACAAAGGCCTTATTATAAGAAAGGGCATGAAAACCCTCAGAGAAATTTTATTAAGGAATATTATCAAGTAAACCAAATGCTACAACTATTCATGAACTTGGAGAGTACCATTGAGAATATTTGAGATGGAGGCTCCATGAGAAATTAGACTACATAGTTAAGTAGGTAGTAGTTCATAGTTATTGAGATATGGATGTATGTATTAACACGTGTTAATATATCCATGTGTTAATACATACATCCATATCCATTTTTCCACCCAAGGCTGTGAAATATAAAGAATAGTTTCTAGGGGCCAGACACGGTGGCTCACCCCTGTAATCCTAGCACTTTGGGAGGCTGAGGTGAGTGGATCATCTGAGGTCAGGAGTTCGAGACTAGCCTGGCCAACATGGTGAAACCCCATCTCTACTGAAAATACAAAAATTATCCGGGCGTGTTGCCATGCGCCTGTAATCTCAGCTACTCAGGAGGCTGTGGCAGGAGAATCGCTTGAACCCGGGAGGCAGAGGTTGCAGTGAGCCAAGATCGCGCCATTGCACTCTAGCCTGGGCAACAAGAGTGAAACTCTGTCTCAAAAAACAAACAAAAGAAAACAAAACAGTTTTTAGAAAATGTATTCAGTCACTAATTCCCTCATTTATTTATTTACTTGTTAATCCAATTATTCAATCTGTGAATACTGTCAAGAAGATGAAAGACTATCTTTGAGGAGCTTGAAGGAGCTGACATGAAAGCACGTCATTATAACAAGATGATACATGAAAGGATGTATTGAACAAACATTTATTGAGCACTGTTTATGTGCTATGCATCTGGGGCATACCGATATTCAATACTTTGTGATGACTCTCAAAGAACCCCAGTTAATGATGGAAATAAATGCCTAAATAAGTGCAGTAATTACAGTCCTGTGTGGAAAGTGCAATAATAGGAATACAGACAATGTTAGCACAGAGATGATTTAATAGACTCTAATGCACATTAGAACAAGTACTTGGCAATTATTAAGTACACTGGATGAAAAATAGTAATAATATTTTCTAATTTGTCAGGTTAAAAATTTGCTGATTCTAATTTTCTTTTCCCAGCAAATTGTCCCTTTATTGAAAACATTATCTGGCTTAATTCCCCATATTATAAAACACTTTACCATTAAATAGCCTTTAGTCAGCAACCTGGGATAACTTCAAGTTACCCTGGGAGAAGGAATTACATTCAGGAATTGCATTTGCGATTTGGTATTTATATTTGTGTTTAATGGAAAAGGAGGCAATGAAAGTATTTAAATAAATAATATGCTGTATTGTATTATTCTCAGTTTTCATATTGCCAAGTATAGAAATAAAAGCCCAATTTCTTCTCAGTCTCAATTTGCTCACCTTATTCATGCACGGATTCATTTGTTTCTTCAATAAATACTTACTCTGTGTCAAGCCTATGCTGGACCCTGGTGTTACAAAGAAGAAAATAGCATAGACCTGGATTTGAGGTTCTTAAAAATTACTGCAATATTAGGTGATTAAATACAATAAAAACAGTTTGTTTAAAGAATGAGCACATAGGGTTGGGTGTGGGGTTCACTCCGGCAATCCTAGCACTTTGGGAGGCAGGTGTGGGAGGATCACTTGAGCCCAGGAGTTGCAGGGTGCATCAAGCTATGATCATGCCACTGTACTCCAGCCTAGGTGACAGAGTGAAACTCAAACCCTATCTCAGCAACAACAGCAACAACAACAACAACAATGTGCACATAGGAAGCACAACTCTTCATGGAGGAGCCCATATTTGTAAGTTTATAGCAATAGATCAGAACCATGATGACTTTTCATTGCAGAAGTCAGGAAAGGAAGAAGAACTTACAAAACTACAAGTAGGGGCAGTGTGTAAGGAGCAAGACAAATGCTTTTTTTAGTGAAACAATCACTTAACTGCATAAAATTATTTAAAAATAACAAACCAAACCAAAACAAAAGCAACACTTAGTCTCTGGAAATTTTCGTAAGGGCATACAGCAATTGAGACACAAATATTCAACAAAATCTACTAAATCTTTGTAAGAACAGTGAGTCTGTGTAACAAATTGCCTCCCAAGTCAGTGTGACAAAGCTCTATTCTGGGTAAGTGTGGCTAAAGACTCCAGGTTCCCACTCTTACCAGCTGCTGGTCTAGAGCTACAGTGGCAAGTGACTGTTGTCCCAGCTACTGTGGAGTCTGAGGCAGGAGAATCACTTGAGCCCAGGACTTAGAGGCTTCTGTGAGCTATGATTATGCCACTGCACTCCAGCCTGGGTGATAGAGGAAGACCTTGTCTCTAGTAAAACAAATCAAAATAAAATAGAGCTACAAATTGAACCCAAGAAGAGCTAGCACCAGCTTCCCTCACCCCACCCCAGCTCTGTCCTGAAAATTCTCTATTATTTGAGGCTGCTTTGGCCAAAAGTACTGAGATTCCCACACAATTGTAGAATGGCAATGATAACTAAATTAATATAGACTGAAAATATTCCTTATCAAAATTCCAGCTTCCATTTTATACAGAAATTGACAAGCTGATCCTAAAATTCATTTGGAAATACAAGGGATGAAAAATAGACAAAACAATCCAGAAAAGGAAAAACAAAGTTGGGGGACTCACACTTCTTGATTTCAAAACTTTCTACAAAGCTACAATAATCAAAACAGTACAGTGCTGGTACAAGGATAGGTCTATAGATCAATGGAATAGAAATCAAAGTCCAGGAATAAATTCATACAATCTGTGGTTGATTGATTTTCTACCAAGTGCCAAGACTATTCAATGTGGGTATAAATAATAGTTTCATCAAATGATACTGGGACAACTCAATATCCATATAAAAAGGAAATAAGTTAGACCCCTTCCTCACATCATGCCCAAAAATTAACTCAAAATACATGATAAGCCAAAATGTAAAATCCCAAAATATAAAACAGTCAGAAGAAAATGTAGAAGTACATCCTCAGTATATTGGGTTAACATTATTTTTAGATATGACCGAAAATAATCCAAAACAACAGAAGAAAAAAATAGATAAATTGGATTACATCAACATCAACATGTTTGCTGCATCAACCAATACCATCAAGGATGTGTGTAAAGGATACTAACAGAATGTCAGAAAATATTTGCAAATCATGTATCTGAAAAGAGAATTATATCCAGGCTATATGAAAATATCTTAGGACTCAATAACAAATGATAAATAAGCCAAGTAAAAATAAAAATTTTTCTAAAGAAGATACACAAATGTCCCATAAGCACATAAAGAATGCTCAACATCATTTGTCATTAGAGAATAAGTTAAAATCACAATGATATACCACTTCACTCATACTAGAGTGATTATAATAAAAGACAGATATTAGCAAGTGTTGGCAAGTCTGTGAAACTCTCATACATAGCTTCTGGAAGTGTAAAATGATATAGTCATTTTAGAAAATCCTTTGTCAGTTCTTTAAAATGTTAGATATTGAATTAGTACATGACCCGATAATTCTAGTCCTAGGTATATATCCAAGAGAAATGAAAATGTATATCCACCTGCAAACTTGTATATGGATGCTCACAGAAATTATTCATAGTAAAAGTGAAAGCAACCTAAGTCTTCATAAACTAATGGTTGGATGGACAAAATTTGGTATATCCATAAAATAGAATATTATTGGGTAACAAAAAGGAATGAAGTATTGATACATGTTACAACATGAATGAACCTTGAAAACATTATACGAATTGAAAGAAGCCAGTTACCCAAAGAAAATGAATGTTATGTAATTCTGTTTATATGAAATAAGAAGAGCAAATCTGTAGAGAAAGAAAATAGATTAGTGGTTATCAGGAGATAGGGGGACAATAGGGGGCATGGGGACGTGACTGCTAATGAGTAAGCATATTATTTTTGATGTTATTCTAAAATTAGTTGATGATGATGGTCCCACAACTCCGTGTAAATATTAAAAACCTTTGCATTGCACAGTTTAAGTAGGTGAATTGTATGACATGTGAATTATAACTTAATAAAGCTGTTTAAGGAAAAAAAAAAAAACTTCTATGCATTATACCTTTTGTCAGGTACCTTACTTTGGGTGTGTACATGGATTACCTACATTTCCTCTACCCTCTGAGATGGATACAGATTGGAGGGAGGTGTCACGGTAACTAAAACAGTCCAGGCATCCCTGGCATTAGCACTTACTTATTCAAGGTGGGCCTTGTATTGCTCCAAAGTGGGAAATATTCCTGGGTAATATTTCTGGTTTATTCCATATGCCCACCAGTAGGTTTGCTACTAAACATCCTCGATGCTGTGCCCTGGGCATGATGCTTCTATTCATTGCCGTCTCTCTTCCACAGGGCTCTGCTGACAGTCTTCTCTCCTGCTCCACTTGTCACACTGGGGGCTGCTGCTGTTACTCTGGGTGTGCCACACCATACAGGGTGCCTCTGCTGCTCTGCATTGCCTCTTTGGCCTTGTCGGATGCCACAGACCATGTCTGGTGTCTACTGCTGGTCTGCTAGAACCTCACCAGACTCCCTGGCCACACATACAGTCTAAATCCCATTGTGATGTTCTGTGCTGCCAAGTATTGTGCTTTGGGATCAAAGTGTTGAGAAGGACAGTGACTCTTTCAAATGTCATTCCATTGGGGTCAACTCTAGTGATTTCTCACTGTATTTGACAGTTTAGTGCAAGAGCTCTCTCAGTTTTTAGAGTCATACGTTTCCCTGTACACATTCATAGAGCTGGGGAGAGTGAGCAATAGCCAAGACATTGCTGAAATCACAATGTGGAACTCCTCAAGGCTATGCATGTACATTATTGCAAAGAATAAGGCTTTGTTCCTCATCCATCCTCTGGTAGTCACAGCTTTATTTTAATTAGAGCTGTTTCCATAAAGCTAGCATAGAGATATGTGTCTGTCTACAGGACGAGTTCGTGAGATGTGCCCAAAGCAATGGTAAATAAGGCTTGAGTTTTCTAGGAGGCAATTCAGTCCTTCTGCAAATAGATCCTCACCTCTGCTGCTACATTTGGTATGCACTTTTACCTTGGCATGCACCACGGTGCCCTGTGATTATTAATTTACTTCCATGTCTTGGTCTTCATGTCTCTCTGTAGATCTTTAAGGGCAGGGACAATACATTATTCAACTTTATTTAAAAATTCTAACATCTATCCTAGTGTTAGATACTGAGCAAACATGCAGCAAATGTGTCCTGTATAAATGAAACAAGTCATATTCCAATTTTTTTGTTTTCCTCCTGGTTTTACTTAATGAAACTCATTGAACTAAAAATATCTAATCTTTATATTCCTCCAGCAAACTATGAGACTTAGTCCATTTTAGATTCTTATTAAAATTTACTGAATTGCCTTTTTTGGTATTCATAAATGTATGAAAGTGACTTACCAATTAGTGATAATTATTATTAATTGCTTATTAATAGATTATAATTGGAGCCCAGCACATATTGTTACAGGCCTTATCATATTTCAGGCAACACTTCGATTTTAAAACAAACATTAAAAAAAATTCTTATTTGATGACTCTGAGGATAGACCTCCCACCATAAGCCTTTATCCATGCTAGAGTGGAATAGACAGATGCATTTCATTTACAGCGTAAGATAAAATTGCTCTTTGATATTCAGTACTCTGTGTGGGGAAAGCCTTTTTTTTCTTTTCTGAATTCCAGTAATTGTCTTGTTTGTAGTCCCTTGCTGCAGACCTTTGCCTCCTGCCAACTGCTTGCCAGACGTGGTCTCAATGTTAAGAAGGGAGAGGTTCCCAGAGAGCATAAGATATATATTGAAATCAAACATTTTTCTAAAACTATTGTTTTCCAATTTCCACTAAATCATACCTTTTGTGACCCTTCTTACTCAGTGGATTTCAAAACACTTAGCAAAAGAATAACTAAAATAAAAAGTCATTACTCACAGATGCTTTGCACACCTGAAGGGTAAAGTTGGTTTTTCTTTTGTGTGTTATTTATACCAATGACACACCATTTCTTTATTATTTTTGAGTTTCATTCTTTAGGTTAACTGGCTCCACTTTGATTTCTGCTGCTCAGCTATGACACAACAATTGAATTTAAGTATCAGCCTATTACTTACTCTGTATGTTTCAAAATTCAAGGTCAGAATAAAAAATTAGAAAACAAATGGGGACATCAAGTCTTTTTCTCTATCTCAGTCCATAAAAATCATAGTCCATAAAAATTCTAAATTCACAGAAAGTGTTCAAAACTCCTCTCTGCTGGCTACTCTCTGTGTGACCTGGGCAAAGTTACTCAGCCTTTCTCTATCATGAGTTTCTAATCTAAAAAAAAAAATAGTGCATTGTTTATAATACCTATGTTATAGGCTTGCTTGAAGAATAAATTGGTTGTGACGTTAGCAAGGTGGCAAACTAGAAAGATCCAGGCCCTCATTCCCCAATGAATATATTAAGGAAACAAATAGAGGCTGACTAAAACAACTTGCTGGGATTTCTGAAAATCAGTCAAAGATCTATATGACCAACTGAGAACTCAATCAAGAAAAAGCCGCCATGTTCAATACATTAGGAAATTTCATGTGTCCTATCCTACACTCCCTTCCGTGCGGTGTGCCATAGTTTGGGAAGTGGCAGCCCATTCTCTAATTCCCTCTGTGAACCACAGAGAGCAGAGAAGACCTAATTTTCAATGTCTTATCCTGTCTGGGGACTGCTTGAAGGATTGGTCTCTGTGTCACCTAACATGGAGCTCAGATAGCCAAAGAGTACAGCTTGAATCTTAGGCTAGTAAAAACCACTGGAAGCATCAAGCATGGCTCAAAAAGCGAGGAAAACTATAGACTTGTAGATGTTTGAGGCTAGAGCTTACTCACTTAGGAACACAACAGAACACCTAAGGCCCAGGGAAGGAACATAATAAGTAAGAGTCACATAGAAAATAAGAAATTTAAAAATAACTGTGTAGGGAGAGAAATCAGAAAAAAATAAAATATAAATAAAAGCAGATACACAGCCTAGCAAAGACATCTATCCAGAAAAGTCCTGAGAAGACCACAGGTCTTCATATTGGGCCAATTACAAGTCTCAGAACATGCCCTGCTAATTAATAAAGCTTTCCCCTGCAGGGAGCCAATCTGCAATGAATAGGATTGGTGGCTGTTCTTTCAAATGACCAATTTTCAATTAAAGATTGCAAGCCCAACAACAACAAAAAAAAAACAAAAACAGGAAAAATCAACTCATTCAATGGTACAGAATACATTTCTATAAGCAGTCCCTGAAGCAACACAGGCATTGGACCCACTAAACAAAGACTTTAAAATAACTATCTTAGATAAATTCAACAAGCTAAGCAAAAACACAGACCAATAACTAAAACAAATAGGAAAGTGATATGTAAACAAAATGAGATTATCAATACAGATAAAAATTATTGTATTTATTATTTTAAAAAGAACCAAAGAGAAATTCTAGAGCTGAAAAACAAAATACCTGGATGAAAAATTTTAATAGAAGTATTTAACAACTGATTTGAATAGGCAGAAGTAAGAAAAAACAGATTTGAAGTCAGGTCATATTAAATTATTGCATCTGAAGAGAAAAATAAATACACAGGAACATAAACAGAAAAAAAATCTCCGTGACCACAAATTTTTAATGGAAATACAGTACAGAAAGAAGTAAAATCTGACATTGACTATGTAAACTGGGAAAGAGAGGAAGTCAAGTCTAGAGTTTCTGTGATTTAAGATAAGTTGTTATCAGCATGCAACACACTATTGTAACTATGAAATGTTCAATGCAAATCTTATGAAAACCATAAAAATACAATAGATACACAAAATATAAAGATAAAATAATCCAAGCCCATCAATACAAAAAACCATCAGGACCTAAAGAATGACAAGGGAGAAAAAGAGTAAGAGAACTACACAAAAGACAAAACAATTCACTACTTGTAAGAGTAATTCCTTACATAGTAATCATGATTTTAAATATAAATGAACTAAACTCAAAAAAAAAAAAAAGATGTAGTGTGGCTGAATGGATTAAAAACTGAGATCCAACTGTTTACTGAATAAAAAGACTTAATGATAGATTTAGGGGCACACATAAGATGAAAGTGAAGAGATGGAGGAATGTATACTTGCAAGTGATAACCAAAAAGAACGAAGAGTGGCCACACTTCTATCAGACCAAAATAGACTTTAAGTCAAAAACAGTCACAAGCGACAAGAAGGTCACTGTATAATAATAAAATGGTCAATTCTAAAGGAACTTATAATAATCGTAAATATATATGCACCCAACATCAAATGACCTAAATATAGGTTGAGTATCCCTTATTTGAAATGCTTGGGACCAGAAGTGTTTCAAACTTGTTTTTCTTTTTCTTTTGTTTTGAAATATTTGCACATATATAATGAGATATCTTGGGAATGAGAACTAAGTCTATATATAAAATTCACTTACGTTTTATATATGCCTTATACATATAACCTGAAAGTAATTTTATATAATATTTTAAATAATTTTGTATATGAAACAATGCTTATGTAGATTGAACCTTCAAAAATTTAAATTGTCACTATCTCAGCCACTCATCTGAAAAATCTGTGATTGTTTGGTATCACCATTATTCTTGACTGCTAATAAGCAATCATTTTCCTACACTTATTCACACAAAGGTACTTAACAGTATTAAATGTGACTGCAACTCATCACATGAGACCAGGTGTACAATTTTCCACTTATGGAATTATGTCAGTGCTCAAAAAGTTTAGAATTTGGGAGTATTTCAGATTTTGAATTTTTAGATTACAATGCTCAACCTGTATATAAAGCAAATATTAGCAAATCTTGGGAGAAATAGACAGCAATATAATAATAGTAAGAAACTTTCATTCTCTATAATGTATACATCATTTAGAAGGAAAATCAGTAAGAAAAAAGCAGAACTGGATAACGCTATAGGCCAAATGAACCTAACAAACATATATAGGACTTTCTACTGAATGGCAGCAGAATATAGTTTATTCTCAAGTGCACACAGAACAGCCTGCAAGACAGATCATACACTATGACATGAGACAAGTCTTAACTCATTTAAAAGGATTTAAATTAATTAATACATCTTTTTATCACAATGGAATGAAAATAGAAATCAATAAAAGAAAGAAAAGTTATAATAGATGGAAATTAAACAATAATCTTCAACAACTATTCAGGCAAAGCAGAAATTAAAAAGTAAATTGAAGAATATCTCAATTTAAATAAAAAAACACAACATATCAAAACCTATGAAATGCAGCAAAATCATCACTCAGAGTTTATACCAAAAATACCTACATTAATAAAGAAAAAAGATCTCAACTAAGCAGCTGAACTTTGTACCTCAAGAACTAGGAGAAAAAAACTAAACCACACATTAGCAGAAAAAAATAATAAAGATTAGAGGATATATAAATGAAACAAGGATGGACAAACTAAGAGTTAATTTTTTGAAAAAATGTAAACTAAGAGTTAATTTTTTGAAAAAAAAATAAACAAATTGGCATTTAGCCAAAAGAACAAAGAAAACAGAGAAGACTTATAAAATGAGAAATGAAAGATGAGACATTACAACTGATCTCACACAATAAAAAGAATCATAAAGGACTGTTATGAACAAGTATATGCCAACAAATTAGAAAACCTAGAAGTAAGAAATAGAGAGTTTCCTAGAAATGTACAATCTACCGAGACTAAATCAAGAAGAAATAGAAATCCTTAGCATACCAGTAACAAATAGGGAGATGGAGGCAGTAATAAAAAATGAATGAAAGAAAGAGAGAAGGAAGGAAGGGAAGGGAAGGGAACGGAGGGGAGGGGAGGGGGAGGGGGACGGGGAGGGGGAAGAGGAGGGGGAGGGGGAGGGGGAGGGGGAGGGGGAGGGGGAAGGGAGCCGGGGCTAGATTGTTTCAAGGGTGAATTCTGTCAAACATTTAAAGAAAATTAACATCAATCATTTCTAAACGCTTTCAGTATATGCAATAGAGAATAATTCTGAACTTATTTATAAGGTCAGAATCAACCCAACAGCAAAGCCAGGAAAAGACCCCACAAGTAAAGAAAACTACAGGTCAATACTTTTGAGGAATATTGATGCAAAACTCCTCAAGAATGCTAGCAAACAAAATATAGCAGCACATTAAAACAATCAAACACCATAACCAAGTAGAATTTATTCCCGAGATGCAAGGATGGTTCAACATGCACAAATTAATCAATGTGATACAACACCACATTAACAGAAAGGAGGATATCAATTACATAATCATTTCAATAGATGTAGAAAACATTTAGCAAAATTCAACACATTTTTATAATGAAAATTCTTAACAAACAGCATACAAGGAACTTACCTCAATACAAAAAAAGTCATTATGAAAAGCTCTTACTAATATCACAATCAGTGATGAAACGCTGAAAACTTTTCTTATATGAAATAAGGCAAAGTCTATTCAAAGTAGCCTGGAAGTCATAACAAGGGTAATTAAGCAAGAAAAGTCATAAAGACCTCACAAAAAACTTTTTAAACCAATAAAATTGATTCAGTAAATTTGTCGGATACAAAATCAACATCAAAAAATCAATTGCCTTACTATACAGTCCTTTAAACAAGGCAGAAGTTAGGGATGCTGATCCTCCATGCAGAAAATAAATTGTATATAACTTTGACTTCCTCAAAACATAACTACTAATAGCTTACTGTTAACCAAAGCCTTACCTACTGATAACATAAAGAGTCAATTAACACAAGAAAATGTTATTAAGACAATCATAAGAAAAATATATTTGCTATTCATTAAGTGGGAGTTGATCATCATAAAAATCTACATTCTTATCATCTGTATGTAGAGCAATCTAAAGAGAAGAAGAGTAATTGGTGTTGCTTTCTCAGGAGTGGCAGAAGCAGAAGAAAATCTCCATATAGGTGGACCTGCACAGTTCAAACCCATGTTGTTCAAGGGTCAACTGTACACCAACAATTAACTATCTGAGAAAAAAAACTAAGAAAACAATCCCATACATAATAGCTCTTAAATGAATAAAATGCTTGGGAATAAACTTAACCTAGGAGACTTGTTTACTGATAACTACAGGATCTTAATGGAAGAAATTTAAAAATACACAGATAATTGGAAGGCCATCTGTTGTTCATTTATTAGACTAATATTGTTAGGGTGTACATAATTCCCAAAGCAATCTTTAGATTCAATACAATTACTATCGAAATCCAAATGACATTTTTCAGAGAAATAGAAAAAATGTCCTAATATTATTATGGAACCACAGATGACCCTAAATACCCTAAAAATTTTTTTAGGAAGAACAAATACCCTGCAAATATCACATTCCCTGATTTTAAAATATATTACAAAGAGGCTGGGCGTGGTGGCTTAAGCCTGTAATCCCAGCAATTTGGGAGGCCAAGGTGGGTAGATCATGAGGTCAGGAGATTGAGACCATCCTGGCTAACATGGCGAAATCCCATCTCTATTAAGAATACAAAAAAATAAAATTAGCTGAGTGTGGTGGCAGGCACCTGTAGTCCCAGCTACTCGGGAGGCTGAGGCAGGAGAATGGCATGAACCTGGGAGACGGAGCTTGCAGTGAGCCAAGATCGAGCCACTGCACTCCAGCCTGGGTGACAGAGCAAGACTCTGTCTCAAAAAAAAAAAAAAAGTACAAAGCTACAATAATTAAAACAGTATGGTACTGGCATTAAAAAAAATAAACAAATTGAACAGTGTAGAGAGCACAGAAATAAACCCATGCATATGCAGTCAACTGTTGTTCAAAAAGGGTGCCAATAATACATGAAAAGATAGTCTCTCCAATGAACAATGTTTGGACATTTTTAAATCCACATTTAAAATAATAAAACCCTAATCTTAAACTATATAGAAAACTAAACCCCAGATAGATTAAAGACCTAAACATAAACCCAGAAACAATAAAACCCTTAGAAGAATAATAGAGAAAATGTTGGAGACATTGGTCTTGGCCATGGTTTCTTGGACATTACTCAAAAGCACATAAAACAAATTAAAAATAGATAAATTGGACATCACAATGAAAAATTATGTGCAATCAACAAAGCAAAAATTATATAATCAGCACAGCAAAAAGCCAAATTATGGCACTGGAGAAAATATCGGCAGACCATATATCTTATAAGAGGTTAATATCCCAAATATGTGACAGTCTTCTACAACTCAATAGCAAAAAATAATATGCATCAATATCAGCAGCAGCAGCAGCAGCAGCATTTCATTTTTAAAAGGGCAAAAAACATGCATAGATATTTCTCTAAAGATGACTTACAGTTGGCCAATGCATATACAAAAAGGTGCTCAACCTCACTAATCATCTGGGAAATACAAATCAAAACTACAATAAGATATTACCTCATATCTGTTTTAATGACTATTATTAAAAAGAAGAAAATAGATAAATGCTGACAAAGTCATAGAGAAAAAAAAGAACAATGTACACTGATGGTAGAAATGTTACCTGTAACCACTATGGAAAAGACTAAGAAGCTTCTACATAAAATTAAACATAGAATTTCCATTTGATTCAGCAATTCTGCTTTTGATTATACAGTTAACCCTTGAAGAATATGTATTTGGATTTCACAGGTTTAAATTTAAATTGAAATTTCTTAAATATACGTTTCTTAAATGAAAACTTAAATGTAAATTTTCTTCTGCCTGTGCTACTATGAGATAGCAAGACCAAGCCCTCCTCTCCCTCTTCCTTCTCAACATACTCAATGTGGAGACAAAGATGAAGACCTTCATCATGATGATCAACTTTCACTTAATGAATAGTAAATACATTTTTTCTTCTTCATGATTTTCTTAATAACATTTAATCTAACTTACTTTATTGTAGGGATACAGTATAAAATTTATATAACATAAAATATATATTAATTGACTGTTTATGTTGTTGATTAGACTTCCAGTCAACAGTAGGCTATTAATAGTAAAGCTTTTGAGGAAGCAAGTTATATGTAGATTTTCAACTATGTGGGGAATTGGCACCTCTAACCCTCATGTTATTCCAGGGACAACTGTATATGCAAACTAATTGAAATCTGGATATTAAAGAGATTTCTGCACTTCTCTGTTGCTATAGTATTCACAATAGCCATAATATGAAAACAACCTAATGTTCATGAACAGATCAGTGGATAAACAAAGTGTAATATATACATACAATGGAATATTTACCTTTAAACAGAAGGGAACCCTGTCATTTATAACAACGTAGACGAATCTGGAGGATATTGTGCTAAGTGAAATAAGTCAGATACAAAAAGATGAATACTGTATTATATAGCTTATATGTGAGTTGTGATTACCAGGGATTTAGGGGAGAGGAAAATAGGGAGGTGATAATCTAGCATTCACAGTTTCATAAAAGACTTACGATACAAGTCTGGGCACTGTGGCTCATGCCTGTAATCCCAGCACTTTGGGAGGCCAAGGCCAGTAGATCACTTGAGGTCAGGAGTTCGAGACCAGTCAACATGGTGAAGCCCTTTCTCTACTAAAAATATAAAAAAATTAGCTGTGCATGGTGGTGCACACCTGTAATCTCAGCTACTCAGGAGGCTGAAGCAGGAAAATTGCTTGAACCCAGAAGGCAGAAGTTGCAGTGAGTCGAGAGCATGCCACTGCACTCTAGCCTGGGTAACAGAGTGAGACTCAGACAAAAAAAAAAAAAAAAAAAGACATAATACAGCATCAAAAGGACTAATATATTTAATATTGGAGTTGTAGAAGGTGAAGATAGACAGAAAAGGACACAGAGTTTTTTGGGTTTTGTATTTTTGTTTTTTAATGTTCAAAACCTTCATGCACTTGAGCAAAGACATAGACCTACAATCAACAAATTTGAAAGGTTTATTAAATCTGAGTTGAATAAACTCAAAGACTGCAATACTTAAATTCATTACTATCCAACTGTTGAAAGATAACAACAAAGAAAATCTTGAAAGCAAAACAAGAAAAGTGACTCATCATGTATGATGGATTTCTCAACAGAAAACTTACAGCCTAGAGACAATAGGCTGGCATATTAGAAGCATCAAAAGGAAAAACAAAACCTGTCAACTGAGATCGTCATTTCCAATAAAAATTAGGGAGAAATTAAGACAACCTCAGATAAACAAAAATGTACAGATTAATGACCACTAGACCTTCCCTATAATAAATGTTAAAGTGAGTTACCATTCAAGTTAAAGTGAAAGAATGTTAGAGACTAACTCAAATCCTTAGAAAATTTAAAGTCTTGTATTAAAAATAATAGGCAAATATCAAAAGCAGTGCTATTTTATATTGGTTTGTAAATCCATGTTTTACATTGTTTTAAGACACAAGCATTAAATACAACTCTGTGATAATGAAGGCATAGCATATGAAGATGAAAGTAAAGACATCAGCAACATAAAGGAGAAGGTGGTGGGTGAGGGTAGGCCTGCAAAAGAGTAGAGCTTTTATATGTGATCAAAGCTAATTGATTATCAGTATAAAATAGGTTATTACTTTAGGATATCATATGCAATCTCCAGAGTAACTATTAAAAAATTTTATGGAATGCACACGAAAGAAAATGAAAAAGGAATCAAAACATGTTACTATGAAAATTAAACACAAAGAAAGGCACTAACGGAAGAAATGAGAGATCTAAAATGTTATAACACAAATGAAAAACAAATAACAAAACATCAAAAGTAAACTTTTCCTTCTCTGTAATAACTTTATCCGTGAATGAATTAAGCTCCCTAATAAAACGACATAAACTGAGAGAATGAGGTTTTTTTAAAAAAGTAGCAGGATCCAACAATATGCTGTCTAAAAGAAACTCAATTTAGATATAAGGATAGACACATACATTGAAAATTAAAGGATAAAAAAAGATATTTCCTGCAAATATAAATAAAAAAAACTCGGGATGGTAAACCATATTAGAAAAAATAGACTTTAAGTTAACAATTTTTATAAGAAACAAAATACATTACTGTCAGACATTACATACTGATAGTAGGGTCAACACACCAAGAAGGTATAACAATTAAAATGATTATGTACCACACATCAGAGGCCTTAAATGTATAAAGCAAACACTGCAGAATCAAAGGGAGAAACAGACAACTCTACAATCATAGAAGATACTTAACTACCCCACTTTCAATAATGGATAGAACAACCAGACAGAATATAAATAAGGAAATATAGGACTCTAACAATAGTATAGACCAGTTGGACGTAACATACATATACTTAACCAAGGAGGTGAAAGATTCATAACCTGAAAACTATAAAATAGTGCAGAAAGAAATTAAAGACAAATAAATAGATATTGTGTTCATGGATTGGAAGACAGTATGTGAAGGTTTCAATACTACCCAAGTGACCTACACATTCAAAGCAATTTTTATAAAAATACAATAATGTTTTTTGAAGAAATAGAAAAATCAATTCTTAAATTTATGTGGAATCTCAAGGAACTTTGAATGGCTAAAACAATCTTGTGAAATACAACAACAACAACAACAACAACAAAATAGGAAGTGTCACTTTTCCTGGTTTCTATACTTATTATAAAGCCATAGTAACCAAAACAGTTTGGTAACAGCATCAAGACAGATGTATAGAGCAATGGAATACAATGAACAGCCCCTAAATAAACCTTCACATACACAGTCAAATAATTTTTGACAAGCAGACCAATATCATTCAATGGGAAAAGGATACTCTTTTCAACTTACAATGTTAAGAAAATTATACATATATTCAGAAGAATGAAGTTGGACCCCTGTTTACATCACAAGCCAAAATTAACTCACAATGAATCAAAGATCTAAATATAAAAGGTAAAACTAGTAAAGTCTCACAAGAAAATAGGGGAAAACTTCATGATTTGGGATTTTTAATATTTTCTTGGATAAGACCCAAGAACACAAGCAAACAAGGAAACACACAGATAAATTAAACTACATGAAAATTTAAAACTTGTGTGAATCAAAGGACACTATCAACAGAGTGATAAATCAACCCATCTGTATTAGTCCATTCTCACACTGCTGTGAAGAAATAGCAGAGACTGGGTAATTTATAAAAAAGAGGTTTAATTGACCTACAGTTCAGCATGGTTGGGGAGGCCTCAGGAAACTTATAATCATGGTGGAAGGCACCTCTTCACAGGGTGGCAGGAGAGAAAATGAGTGCTGGGAGAAGGGGGAAGCCCCTTAAAAAAACATCAGATCTTGTGAGAACTCACTCACTGTCACGAGAACAGTATGGGGGAAATCACCCCTATGCTTCAGTTATCTCCAACTGATTCCACCTTTGACAAGTGTAGATTATTACAACTCAACATGAAAACTGGGTGGGGACACGGAGCCAAACCATATCACCATGAAATGAGAGAAAACATTTGTGAATATATATCTGATACAGAATTATTATCCAGAATACATAAAAAACGATAACTCAATAATACAAAACCCCCAAGAAACCCAATTAAAAAATTGACAAAGAACATGACTAGATATTTCTCTAAATAGGATACACAAATGGCCAATAAACACATGAAAACTTGCTCAACATCACCAATCATCAGAGAAATGCAAATCAAAATCATAATAAGATACCACTTCACACCCATTAGGCTAGCTATTAATAAAATATAAAATAAGTGCTTACAAGATGAGGAAAAACTGAACTCTTGTTTGTTGTTGATAGGAAGGTAAAATAATGCAGCTACTGTGGAAAACAGTGTGGTGGTTTCTCAAAAAATTAAAAATAGAATTACCTTGAACATCAATATAAATTTAATTATGAGAATTTCCATTTCTGTATATATGTTCAAAATAATTGAAAGCAGAAACTAAAAAAGATACTTGTGCACCCATGTTTGTAACAGCATTACTCAAGTACTCAAAAGGTTGAAGTAACCCAAGTGTTCATTGACAGATGAGTTGATAAACAAAATGTGTTTTTTGTTTGTTTGTTTGTTTGTTTTTTGAGACAGAGTCTCGTTCTATCACCTAGGCTGGAGTGCAGTGGTGCAATCTAGGCTCACTGCAAGCTCCGCCTCCCGGGTTCAGGCCATTCTCCTAACTCAGCCTCCCGAGTAGCTGGGACTACAGGCGCCGGCCACCAAGCCCAGCTAATTTTTTGTATTTTCAGTACAGACAGGGTTTCACCCTGTTAGCCAGGATGGTCTCGATCTCCTGACCTCGTGATCCGCCCGCCTCGGCCTCCCAAAGTGCTGGGATTACAGGCGTGAGGCACCGTGACCGACCAACAAAATGTGTTTTAAACATACAATGGAATATTGTAAGGGCTTAAAAAGGAAAGAAATTCTGACACATGCTACAGTATAGATGAACCTTGAAGATATTACACTAACTGAAATAAGTCAGTCACCAAAGGACAAATACTCTGTGACTGCACTTACATAATGTATGTAGGTCAGCCAATTTCATAAAGTTAGAAAGTGTAATGGTGATACCCGGGTGGAAATTGAGAAATGGAGTTATATGATCTTAATGGGTAGGGAGACTGGGTCTGGGGAGACAAAAATGTTCTATGGTGGTGCTGGTTGCACAAAAATGTGAATGTACTTAATGCCTCTGAACTGTAACTTAATATGTTTAAGATGTTTAAAAAAAGTTGTTCAATGAATTAATTTGATTAACATTAGAAAGTGCATACAAAAGCACCCAAAGTATTAAAAAATGCTTTATTAAGCATTTATCATTATTTTATTACTACTAATAATTTTAAATAAATAAGAAAAACACTCCCAAAGAAACAAGAGAAAAAATGGAAAAAGCATGACAATATGATGGAAAATAAATACAAAAAAATGAAGGGAGGGAGAGAGGGAGGGAGGGAGGGAGGGAGGGAGGGAAGTAGGCAAGCAGGCACTAGGAGGAGCAAACAGTGCCGAACGAAACAGAAGAGAATAAAAAGCCCAAGAATAAAATGTGGTGAGAATTAATTTGGAACCGGGTCATACTGGAGAGCTTGGAGAACAATTTAAAGAACATATATCTAGTGAATAGAATTTTTAAACAATTTAAATTTAAATAATTTTTAAAAGACAAGGGTTACTTGTTTGGGAAATGTTCCACAGATTAAGGACAAAGGAGCGAAGATTTGTCAGTTCTTGGTGACCATTATATTAGCTCTTTCTCTGGGGGTGGAGGGTGAGTGGAGTTAGAAATAAGTTTGCACAGGATTAGAGCCAGAGCAAAAGTGAGGAAGTGAAGAGAACAAATATAACCTCTTCTATTTGTTTTTAGGAGTTGGTAAAAATGAAGCAGAAAAATAGCAGAGAGAGATTTAACCAATGTTAACCACGCAGTTCTTCCTTATTTCTAGGAACGTGGCCATGTGACTGATTCTGGCTAAAGAAATGTGAAGAAAAACAATACATGTCACTCCCAGACTAAAGCATTTAATTATCTGTCCCTGACTCTTCATCCCGCTCTATGAATGCTGTAATGAATCCAGAGCCTTGTATTGAGAAAATGATATAATATAATGATGATGCCTTTGTTCACCTGCATCCCTGAGAGGTTTTGGTGAGGAGATTTCCCACCCCAGCCAACTTTCTTTGGGCACCTAGCATGCATAAAAAATAGTCCTTTGATTTTGATAAGCTATTGAATTTGGAGGTTTTATTTTACTGCAGCCTAACTTAGACTAACCTGAATAATACATTATCTACCATAATCTTTTCATCATCAAAAGAGAAATTCACAGCAGTGCCCAGTCTCAGGTGAAGATTTCTGTCAGAGAGACAATTCATACTTACTGTGTAATAAATTTCTTTTTCAAGCTTAGAGAAAGAGATGAAGAAGAGAGACTGCCAATGGCTCTGTGGAGATACAGCTAAGGACCACTGTGAAATTTTTGTTTGTAAAATGCTTCTAGTGAAATGTTCAGAGTTTTAACCTTTTGTATTCACAGATATAAATCAATTTTCTGGCTTATTTTTGTTATGTAACCATTATTGGGTTTGTACTATGAAAATGTAGCTCCTCCCATTGTAAGTAGAAGTAAAAGAAGAAATGTCAAATATGCTTTGGAAAAAGCAGTGTTTGTTCGATTTGTAGCCTGACCTATGAAAGGTCCCAGGAATGTGATTATCATATAGAATAGCAGTTCCACTGTATTCAGCATGACTTTTTTTCCATGAGAGTTTTATTAATTTACCAGTTTTCTAATGGCAAGCCAATTACTCTGTCATTGAGGCATATCTCAATATTGATAGATGAAATGATAGAAAAGGTAATATCCTTATAAATAAAGACCATCTACCAATCCAAAAGAAAGCCATTAAGACACCAGTATATGTATATTGGAAGGCTAACAAACTTACTCTTTCGGCCTCCCATGTAGCTAATGAGAAGTAATCAGAAGTCACAGGTTGGAACTTGAAGAAGCTTTTGCAATGGGGTAGACTAACTGATAGATATAGCTGGCCTTGTGCCCTTCACATTGCATTCTTCCATCTTCTGTCTTTATGCACACCAGATAGGACGCTAAGTGGCACAGGTAACATGTAGTGACTAGTACAGAGACTATGATAAGCACAGCAGATAAGAAAAACAGAAATCGCTTGAGTCTTTAAAAACACGAGTGTAATGCCACATTGTATCCAGTTTGCTTACACCCAGATCTCTGATTTAGTGATAATTCAACCACTTAAGTTACTTTTGATCCTATTTTCTGTTACTCACAGTCAAATATCCTAAGCAAAAATTATCATGTAACAAATGCTATTCCAAGCCCTGTAATATATTTTTTTCAGTTTGAAATGTTGAAGCCACCTATAGGGATATCATTCCCTACTATAAAGATGAAGAAACTACCCAAGTGTGGGCAAGGGTGGCATTCATATCCCAGGATCAGGAGCAGACAGTCCTGTATCTGAATTCCAGTTGCTGTATCCGATTCATGTATGGCTTATTGGACTTTTTGTCTCATAGCTTCCCAAAGAAGCTGGGTCACAAGCGTCCAGTCTTCTCTTTCAGCGTGGGACATTATACTCTCCAAACCAGAAACCTTTCACTATCACCTGTTAGATCTCTTTCCTGCCAGCCTTTAGTTGTGTGATTTGGGACAAGTAACTGATTCCCTCCAAGTCTTTGTTTGCATGCTGAGTTATCAAAAAGATTAAACGCTCTTCTAGCTCCTGACATAGCATAAACGCTAACATATGGAGAGAGCACTTACCTATATGCCAGACACTGATGAAACATGCTCTATAGATTGACTCATGCGATTTCCCCAACAGCCCTAAGGGAAAATTACTATTGTTATGGTGAGTTTACAGATAAATAGAGGCAGGAAGAGTGTAAGTGACTTGCCTGTGATTGTTGTGGTATCATAGAACAGGGATCCTAGCCCGGAAAACCTGTACCCAGAGTCTATCCTCTACCCCCTCTGCCATACCTACATTTGTTTCTGTAGCCTCATGCTGCATTTCATTCCATCTAGTGAATGGCCACATACTGCCAAGAGACCATACCACCTTCCTGTCCCAGTAGAACACTGTCTGCGGGACTCACTTCCCTTGTAGTGTGCACATCATCCCAAATGCACACATGTTGCCGTAAGTCTTACCTGACCATTTTTTGCAGTGCAGTCACACAGTACATCACTCTCTCCTAACCCCCAAACTAATTATGCTACTAGTCACACCCCTCATTGCATACACCAAGTTAAATGACTAATTATATAATCCCAGCAAGCGATCCTATTACAGTTGCAGCCAAGCACCTCATTACAGCTTTCCAGCCCAATATCTCATTACATGGCCTGGATACATCCAATTGCCTGCAGAGATACCTGTCTCATTACACCTTTGTGAGAAGCCCATGTATAAACCTAGGGCTTTGGACATTAGTATCATTAGACCTGTTCTGTCACAGCCCATTTCACACCAGTTCTTGACAACCCATTCACGTGAGCTCCTGAGAGGCAGGCCTTGTCCCACACTCGGGCTCCAGGGGAATAAAATTAGAAAAGTCCTCAGAAAGCATGTGTTTAGACTCAAACTACAAAGTCGGCAACACTGTGTCCATGGGTAGTTGTCAAGATTGAAGAATCTTCTTCTGCTAAACATAAATAATGCCTGCTATCATTTCTTCTGATATTTCTTTTAAAACACCCACATATAACATGTTCCCTTGAATGAAGAACAAAAAAAACAGAGAAAAAAGAATCACCAGTAATACCACTATTCTAATAAAGTAACAAACTTCATGTTGTAAATTGTTTTGGCTATTGATAATAATAATGTGTGTGGTAAGGCAGAATTATGGCTCCCAAAAAGGCTCCACAGTCAAAAACGTATGACTGTGAATATGTTACCCTAAGTGGAAAAGGGAACTTTGAGGATGTAGTTAAGGAGACTGATCAGTTGACGTTAAAATAGGAAGATTTTTCAGAGTTCTCTCGGGAGGTCCCATGTAATCACTTGAGCCTTTAAAAGCAGGAGAGCCCAGCACTTTGGGAAGCCAAGGCAAGATGATCCCTTGAGCCCACGAGTTTGAGAGCAGCCTGAGAAACATAGCAAGACCCCGTATGTACAAAAAACATTTAAAAATTAGCTGGGTGCACTGGTACATGCCTGTGATCTCAGCTACTCACTTGAGTCTGGGAGACCAAGGCTACAGTGAACTGTGACTGTGCCACTGTGATTATGCCATAATGCCACTGCACTCCAGCCAGAGGCAAAACCCTGTGACAGAGCAAAACCCTGTCTAAAAGAAGGAGTAATTCAGACAGTTGAGTGAGAGTGTGAGTTAAGAAGCCCAAGAAGGGTTCCATTTGCTTTTGCAGGCTTGAAGAGGGAGGGATCCATGTGTCAGGGCAACAGAGACCTCAATCGTACAACTACAATGAACTGAATTTTGCCAACAACTTGAGTTTAAAGGTAATTCTTCTTCACAGCCTGCAGAAAGAAATGCAAGTCTGCAGTCTTCCAGCACCTTGATTTTGGCCTTGTAAGACCCTGAATAGAGAATTGAATATATTGTGGTAGACTTCTGATTTATACAATTATTATATAATAAGTGGGTATTATTTTAAGCTGATAAAATTGTAATACATTATCAATCAACAGAAAACTAATACACTATACATGATTTTTAAAAATCAAATTATACTATGCATCATATTTTAAGATCTGTTCCTATAAGAATATATTGAAAGTAGTTTACATATCAAATAGTTTGCACATGGACAAAATATTTAATATCTGTATGATATTTACTTTTTTGTCTGGATTATAATTTATGCAAATGATCATCTATTTGAGGACATAGAGATTATTGTTATTTTTGCCATTAAAACTATGGTATGGTGAGAAAACTATTTTTGTACATCTGTCTTTGTAAACCCAGTGGAAGAATATGTGTAATCACTGTTTAAATTTTACATGAATATATAGATGGAATGCATAGATAACACAAACAAACCATGGCTATATAAATAGTCCATCATTTATATGTATAAAAAACTTATAAGTTAGGTCTCTGAATCTTCTTATACACACAAATGCACGTTTGTGGATACCAAATGAATCTGAATCAATTTATTCGTCTTAGTTCAATCCTCAAGTTCCTGACACTTTGCATTTAATAACTGAAGTTTTTCTATGGATTATATGCTCTAAATAACTTAAACAGTTAAAACAAAGCATGCTTTTTGAGCATGTACTATATGTAGGTCCTCGTTTTGGTAGGTTGAAAAGAGAAGTATCACAGCTGTTCACAGAGGCAGAGATGGCTATCTGACACCAAAACACACCTGCTCCTTTTCCATTAAAAAGTGTGGTTTCTGAGAAGAGACTGCACAGCCATGAACCTTATTCCCCAGAGGGCTGTGCATCTTCTTGAGCACAGGTAGCAGATTCTTGGCCAATGGGAAGGTGAGCAGAATGATAAGGGTTACTTCTTGGTTAAGGCACACCTGCTTCATCCTCTCTTCATGTGCTTGCTGGGTGCAGGAGATCCAGCAGAGGACCTTAGACCATGAGGGAATTGGAAAGTGCACAGATGTACAAAGCCTGGGCTACTGAGTCACTATTTGGTGCTTTTATGTACTTGGTGCATTACTGCTAGTCCCCATGGATAATAAATAGTACTATAATTGTTTATTCTTACATAGTACACTCATATATAGTTTTACATTACAAACCTAGTCCACGTACATAGAAGCACATATTAAGAATTCCCTAATCAACTATCACACATCTATTATTGACTGTACAATAAAACCTAATCCACACGGATATTGATCCATACTGCAAATCCTTAATATTACATAGTGCATACATTCGTTCATCGGACATAACACGTTTTAGTCAAGAAGTCCCTTGCCGACGTGGATGTCCCCTACCAATTTTTGGACTCTTAATCTACCAACCTCCGAGAAATCATCATCCCGCTAGGGAGTGCTACCCTCCTCGCTCCAGGCCCATGATACTTGGGGGTGATTATACTGAAACTATACCTGGCATCTGATTCTTACTTTAGGGCCATAGAACTAAGATCGCCCACATGTTCCCTTAAATAAGACATCTCAATGGACTAATGACTACCACCCTATGAACCAGTCACGGGAGCACTGTCATGCATTTGGTATTTTTAACTTTGGGGGATGCTGTCACTCACCATCGCGGAAGGCCTGGTCCCTGCCAAATCCACTGTAGGCAAACTCGGATTTAATTACTGACGAATCAATTGTAGAAGCTGAGCTTATATTGAATATTCCGGGGTGGCATATAATAACCAAAAGATGTTAATTAATTCATGCTTGAAGGACATAACAGTTAATCAATAGGGACTCACGTACGCACGTGTGTACACTCACGCACGCACGTACATACGTACGTACGTACGCTCAATTTCTTTTCTTTTTTTTTTTTTTTTTTGAGACGGAGTCTCCCTCTGTCGCCCAGGCTGGAGTGCAGTGGCGTGATCTCGGCTCACTGCAAGCTCCGCCTCCGGAGTTCACGCCATTCTCCTGCCTCAGCCTCCAGAACAGCTGGGACTACAGGCGCCCGCCACCACGCCCAGCGAATTTTTGTAATTTTACTAGAGACGGGGTTTCACTGTGTTAGCCAGAATGGTCTCGCCACGCTCCATTTCAAGAACTATTTCCGATTAGATCCGCAAACCACCCCCATCTCTGACTTTACCGTCAGCGTAGGTAAACATACCCTTACCAAACCCCAAAAACAAGAGACTAAAATGCAACCCAGTCAGAGCCCAGAAATCATATTTTAACCACGAACACCCCAACAGCTACCCCTCGATTGATGTAATTTTCCTAAAAAATCTTAGGACCCTCCTACTAAATTAATCCTCCATTTTGTATAATAAATATAATAACTAAATATCTGCCCTACTACTAACACCTTGAGCATATCCCTCTGAAAGCGCAGCCCCATATATCATATCCCAAATCAGTCATACTCTAATTATGAGTAATCCTCTCAGCCAAACCTCTGCCAATTCAACTTTAAAGACCCTGAATTTCCAGAACTGTAAACGACTATTTATACTTAGTTCTTTCTTTATCATATTTTCATTTTTACACTTAAGTGTTTATGCAGTTAATGTAGTTTAATTATTCAAAGCAAGACATTGAAAACGTCTAGGTGGGTCTGCACAACCCCCAAAAAAGATAGGTTTGGTCCTGGCATTTTTATTAACTCTCAGTAAGATTACACATGCAAGCATCCCCACTCCAGTGAAAATGCCCTCTAGATCACCGGGATCAAAAGAGCAGGTATCAAGCACGCACAAATGCAGCTCAAAACACTTTGCTCAACCGTACCCCCACGGGAAACAGCAGTGATAAATCTTTAGTAATAAACGAAAGTTTCACTAAGCTATACCAATATTTAGAGTTGGTCAATTTCTTGCCGGCCACCATGGCCATTCAAATGACCCAAGCCGATAGAGCTCCACGTAAAGAGTGTTTAAGGTCTACCCTCAATAAAGCTAAACTCCATCTAAGTTGTAAAAAAAAAAAAAAAAAACTCCAGCTGTAGCAATAGCCATGTGTGTTTGGGCTTTTTATGCGCATGAATAATGTATTTTCTTTTTTTTTTTTTTTTTTTTTTGAGACGGAGTCTTTCTCTGTCGCCCAGGCTGGAGTGCAGTGACGCGATCTCGGCTCACTCCAAGCTCCGCCTCCTGGGTTCACGCCATTCTCCTGCCTCGGCGTCCAGAGTAGCTGGGACCACAGGCGCCCGCCGCCATGCCCGGCTAGTTTTTTGTATTTTTTAGTAGAGAAGAGGTTTCACCGTGTTAGCCAGGATGGTCTGGATCTCCTGACCTTGTAATCTGCCCGCCTCGGCCTCCCAAAGTGCTAGGATTACAAGCGTGAGCCACCGTGCCTGGCTGAATAATCTATTTTCATTGTGTTATTTTTGGGTTTTGGAGTTTATAGGATACAAGAGATAGCATTACTTTTTTAAACCAAATATTTATTTGTTTATTTTTCTTGGAACAGAGTCTTGCTCTGTCCCCCAAGCTGGAGTGCAGTGTCACAATCACGGCTCACTGAAGCTTCTGCCTCCCGGGTTCAAGTAATCCTCTCACTTCAGCCTCCTGAGTAGCTGGGATTACAGGTATGCACCACCCCACCCGCTAATTTTTGTATTTTACTAAAATACAAAAATACAAAAAGTAGAGACAGGGTTTTGTCATATTGGTCAGACTAGTCTAGAACTCCTGGCCTCGAGGGATCTGCCCACCTTGGCCTCCATAACTGCTGGGATTACAGCTGTGAGCCACGGTGCCAAGCCAAGATAGCATTACTTTAGCTAATGTATTTTCACCCTTTTTTGAGCATAAGAAATTGTGAATACAAAGTTAGCAAATAAGAAGTAACTAAGGATCAGTTACTTGCTAAATGTGTGTGTGTGTGTGTGTGTGTTTGTGTGTGTGTGCTAAAGCTGATCATCTTTATAATTACAGAGAGTTGAGAAAAGAATCAGAGGATTATCACTGGACAGGATCTCACAAAGATTGTGATCACCAATTATACAAGTGATTACTGACAACCTCTTCTCTTTTAGGCCATATGTTGGGTTCCAGGATACAGACATTATATGGAAAGACAATTCGAGCATCCTCCCACCCTAGATCTAGCGGGGCAAAGTACACTAGGATCAAATGCTAACAATTTAAGAATTTACTTGGCATGCTTCAGAAAAGAGACATTATATCTCACTTTCCTCAGGGGAATGTTAAGCTTTTCTTTTTTTTTTTTTTTAATCTCAGAAAGAGTACATTTGATAGGAGACTCAAGAACAAATGAAAATTAAATGACAGGGTGGGCCTGGCAGGGAGGCCCAACCAGAAAACTGATAAAGCATCATGAACAAAACATGAGAGCAGAAATGTGTATTTTTGCTATTGAAATGTTGAAGAAAATCTGCCTCATTTAAGGGAAGAATATTGAAGATAAATATAATGAAAGATGTGGTATACTGGGATTACTTTAAGTGGAAAAATAAATTTGATATCAAAAAAGCAAAAGTTTTTCAGACCATAACCAGTATTTCAATTAAAGAGAAAACAAAAGAGGTTTTTTAACCAGGAACTAAATAAAGATGACCATCACCTTTACTAATATTTAATGTATTTGTTAACAATATTTGCTGTTGAATTTACTAGAAAAAAAATTGTAGGCATTAAAATAAAAAAGAAAAAATATGAAACTACATGTGCTTATGATATGAATATGATTATATATTTTGAAAACCCCAAAAAGTTCATGGAAAAAGTACTCATTGGGCAGGAAAAAGTACAAGACAGAGCTGGAACCTCTTACCAAACCAGGCCAGAAAGAAGCTGTCAAAAACTACTACCAAAAGGAGGCAGAACCCAGCCTGAATGAACTTTAACTTCCAGTTATAGGTTGATTTGAACATCTATGGGTACGATAACAACATTAGATCAAACTCATTAGATACGTAAGTCCGTAACCTTCTGATGATACTTCGAAAGCAACTTTTATTGGACATCTTTCAAGAGTTCCAAGGAAGCCACCCATTATTCTTGAAATTTGGCAAATAAAGGGAAAGAAGCAAGCATTTATCCAGATTTTCCAGCTTGAACTATAACTTATAATAATTGAATAGTTTATTAAAAGTTTCTTTTAAAGAAGCATTCTACCTAATAAGTAAAACAGAAATATTGAAGTTTGAATATTGCAGCTTGCAATGCTAAATCAATGAATAGATTTCACTAATCATTGTCAATGACTGCTAATAAAAAGATAAACATACATTATGAGTTTCCTGAATTATCAATAGTACCTATAAAGTAGGCTTACCAATGAATAAATGAATACATTAATTAATTAATCTGGCTACCTATTTGCAGAAACTAAGAGACAGAGGAATGTATAAAATACTACCATGAATAGCCACTCTTTGAAATTTTGACTGCCAGGAATTCTATGAAACAAATAAACAAATCTTCAACAAAACATTGCATTGTTGAAAACATAAATGAGGAAATATTAGTCACGTCCATACATAAATACACAAATTTAACACTAAATATTTAATAATAGTAAGAAATTATTGTTAATTTTGTTTTGGTGAGATAATATTGTGGTTTTGCTAACAAGAAGAGCTTTTATCTATTAGAAATACATAGCTACATATTAATTGGTGAATGGTATGATGCCTGGATTTGCTTCACAGTTATTCTAGGGGCAGAATGAATAAGTGGAGATATAGAGAAAATAAGATTTGCCATGAGTGAGTTGGCCTTTATTGAAGCCAGGTCCATGAAGATTCATTGCACAATTTCTCTTTTGTATGTTTGAAAATGTTTTGACTATTTTTTTAATTGCAAGTGTTATTTAAACACTATTCAAAGCTCAATAGTCAAGATTTCAAAGGATGTAGTGAAACACATTATTGTATGTACTGTTTGCTTAGGTATAAACTGTAAAATGCTTTTAGGAAAAAATTTATTATTAGAATTAAAAGTGTTAAAAGATGTATGCCATTGACCTAATGATGTCCGGAACAGGGATCTAGTCTAAAGGTGAAATTAGAAATACATATAAGAACATATGCCCCAAACAGTTTATTAAAGTAAAATATAGGGGCAACTAAGACATTCAATAATATTAAAAAATAAGTAACTATGTCTATTGCATTGAATATCACATTGATATATCTGATTTTTTTAAGAGCTTTCATGGCAAGGGAGTCTCAACTCATGATAAAATGCAAACTTAAGTAAACTGGGCTCAACAAGATATTATGTTATTGCATCTGTGTAGGAAATACATTTGTATTCAACCATTCATTCATGATTGATTCAACTCACATTCATTAAGTGCCTTCTATGAGCTGGATGCTGTAAAAGCTACTGGGGATACAGTGAGAAGAATGACAGACATGGTTTTCACTTCCAGTGAATGTAGTTGTTGGCTGGTTTGTTGACTTGTTTCCATGGCAAAAGATTGGATACAATCATAAGCAAAACACAGATCTTTCTGCTGAGATCTTTCAAAAATGTTTCCAAGAAATGGCTAGACAATTACAAAAAGTAAGTATTATGAAATATGTTACCTGAAAACAACTATGGAGGTACTCAGGAGAAATATTTCCATAACCCCTCTAAAATGGTTGTGGTGACTCTAACACTAGGACTTAATGGATAAGTAAGAGTTAATGAGCTAAATGGAGTATAGAGTGAATAAAAGGACAAAGCATCTAGAAAAAAATGTCAGAACAAACAAAAGAAAGAAGGTCATTGAAGTTAAAACAGTCTAGTGTAGTGAAAGATGTGGTCACCTCTGATTGTAGCTTGCAACTCACTGGCCAGGAAGGCAGGTTCCAGGAGTCTTTTGGCATGGGGTTGAGGTCTGAGAATAGGGTTCTGACTTATCCTAGGGAAATGGAAAACCGCTGAAGGAATGGGCTCTAGAGCAGGGATGTCATAGGAATCTGGGGGATTTAAACTTTGCTCTTTATACTTTTTTGTAGCTGGCAAATTCAGAGAAAAATAAAGCTAGAGGAATTTAGATCTGAAATTCTGGGCCAACACCAGTGTAAGTTCTTCAGTGGAGGTAACAAATGAGAAAATGGCATTTAAGGAAGATTAAAGAAACACCAGGGAATGAGTCAGTTACAAAGAAGAAAAATAAAGCCTGGAAGAAAAGTTCATAGTATCCATATATAAGAGATGTGAAGGATCTGAGTAAAAGAGCTGACAGGGTGATAAAAGAATAGGTGAATTTGAGATCCTTTGAAGAAAGAAGTGACAAGACAGTGACAAGTAAGCTGTGAATGACTGAGAGGGAGGACTCCAAATGACTGAGAAGGCTGAGACAGGAGAGGATCATGCTATGACTTATTAGAAGGAAAGAAGCATTTGCATTGACAACTAACCACCTGAGATACACAGGCTGTCCAGCGTATTTTTGAAAAGTGTTATTAAGTGCCTTTAAGTCACTTCTGACTGAAATGAAGATCACGTCCCCCTCCCACACACAAACACAATGCAGTGTTTGTGATATACTTGTTAATTTGCTCATGCCATAAACATGCAGTTATCAACTTTTGGGAGCCAAACACTCTGTAACGGTTAAGTTCTTCAAGGAGATTGGGAGCTATTGAAGTCTAGATTTTGAGGATCAAAGTGGCCATTTAAAAAATGTTGTGACAAGTAATTAAGTGAGCCATGGTAAGGATTTTCAAAGATATTCACATGGGAACAACACACGCAGCTCAAAATGCAACACAAAGAAATAAATTGCTATTTATTTCCTTCTGGATCATTTTTATGAATTCTATGGTGGAGCACTCTTAAATAAAGTAGAGCCCTTCATCATAGGTGGAATTCCTACTAAATAAAAATTATTTTTAAAGGTGAAGGTACTACATTATATTAGAGCAAAAATAGGTGGTCTGGACATGAGTGCAATGGATTTCTGTGCATTCATCTTTGCATACATTTTAAATGGACAGCTGTCAAATTCCTTGCATATGCTGAATTCAAATTTTAGAACACTAGTTGATGAATCAACATTTTAGGTTCTCTCAGGCTGACAGTTTTCTGCTTATCCATTGATTTGATAGTTATTTTCTCATCTGTTAGCACAGTAGTGTTTTTTGAATGTTATTGCATCCCACCTAATGGAAACTGGAAAAATAAAAGTGCTGATACCAACAGTAAGAACTCTGGGTCTCTTAATGGAATACAATGGAGACTCACAGTCATCTGCTATGCTGGTCAGAGCAATCCTTAGCTTCTATCAAATCAACATCAGTAAATTTTAGTCATTAAAGAAAAAAATAAAAGTAATGATGGAAATTAATATTCAAGTTTGACATGCCATTAAACATATTAGACTATTTTTAACTTCCTGTAACTGAAAGTTGTGGTTATAATGAATGACAATCGCTTGCTTTTCTCCATTTAATAATTGTTCACCTTTATGGTAATATATTTTGAGGTAGTGAAAGAGGGAATTGCTTGCTCAGAACTTCAGGTGTTTTTGTCCATTTTTTTCCATTTTAAACTCATAGCAATCTTTTGAAGGGATAATTTTCATCCCTATTTCATTGATGAAGAAAACAAAGTTTATTGACATTAATAAACTAGACATTTAAAATAATTTGTGAATGGCAGAGGTGAGAGTCAAATCACATCCTAACTGTATATCTATATCCACATATAAATTCAGGCTAACAAGTTCCCTTAAAAATTTTTTATAAAAATATAAATGTATTTTTTTTCTGGAAAACTGTAGAAAAAACAGGACTTAGCTAATGAAAATCTGCAATTGCCTTTCCCTGTTGTTATCATTAGCCACTCTTTCAACCTCAATTCCCCAGAAATCAGAGCTTGAGATTATGGCCTAGTTCTGATTGTTGATGGAGCATATGATTTCCAGAGGTAGAAATAAGAGATGAGAAGTGATGCAAGCATGGGGGGGGCGCGGATGAGGCAGGGGCTGATATGAGTATGAGTGAAAGATATGGTCACCTCTGTAAGTGTTCTGATCCTCAGACCTTCAGAGCAGACACATTATGAGACTCAGGATGGTCCCTATGGAGAAAGTGGATTCATTTAACCACAGGATCCCATCTCCATTGGTCAAAGGTTTACCTGTGAGGACTTAGGGACCCCTGTCCCATGCTACTTGCAGGTTATAAATGCATGGGCACCAAGCCGACATCCAATGTGGGAGACAAGCAGGACTTAGCCAGGCCCTGGGGCAAGGCCTTAGCAGGTGGTTCCTGTTTGAAGTTAGAACCCACATAGGACTGGTGTCTGTAGTGATGCCTAGGAGCAGAGAGAGACCAGGCCAAGATGAAACAACTTGGTGCACAAGAGGTGACTGACATATGCATACATAGGTAGGTGCATAATACATTTATATGTGTGCACATATTATGATCATCCTTCATCTATCCATTTAATAACGATTTTTTAAAAACTGCAATGTGGCCGGGTGCGGTGGCTCACGCCTGTAATCCAGCACTTTGGGAGGCCCAGGTGGGTGGGTCACAAGGTCAGGAGTTTGAGACTAGCCTGGCCAATATGGTGAAACCCCGTCTCCACTAAATACAAAAAAATTAGTTTCGTGTTGTGTTGGGCGCCTGTAGTCCCAGCTACTTGGGAGGCTGGGGCAGCAGAATCGCTTGAACCCGGGAGGCAAATGTTACAGTGAGCCGAGATTGCACCACTGCACTCCAGCCTGGGTGACAAGAGTGAGACTCCACCTCAAAAAAAAAAAAAAAAAAAAAACCCTGCAATGTAACTAATTTTGTACTAAGAAATAGGAACAGTGTGTGTGTGTGTGTGTGTGTGTGTGTGTGTGTATTTTTAAATTCATATACACTCACAGTCAGAGCCATCAAAAACATAAGGTATCCTGAGAAAAGGAGATGGATGAGGACCAGCACTAATGATGCTGTCAATGTTCTAGTAGAATTATGTGAGTGGTCCTCAAGGCACATAGGTGGTCAGTTCTCCTTGTAGGGAAGCTTAGGAGAAAGAAGCTGATGTTTCCAGACAAAGGACACTGGAGTGTACAGAGACAACATCATGATAAAGCTGTTTTCTATAGATGTGAGAGACTAACACAAACCTAAAACCTAGAACCAAAGTTGATAGGTAGGCAAATGGTATCATTTCCTTTTCCTTTTCATCCTGTGGTAGAGAATGTTCTCCTAGTAAGTGAGCTGGTGGATTGGAGAAAGATCCCTAATAACAGGAAAATCATTAGGAAGTAATGATAATTTGGACAAGATGTAATTGGACTCCACAATGAGTGGCTGAGGTTAGGGTAGGGTTTGAGAGAGGAATGGAAATTCAGGAGCTATTTCACTGGAAGAACAAATAGGAAACAGAGACTAATAAGTGAAGGGAGGAAGAGAGAGAAAGTCACAGATATTTGCAATAAGCCTCTCCTAGGTAACTGCATAAATTAAACAGTGATGCCATTTAACAAAGGTGACACACAGGTGAAGAAGTTTAAAGGTAAGGGAATCAATGACATTTGGTTTTTGTGTGTGATGTTTGAGGGACTTTATGTGGTATGTGTGTGTGTGTGTGTGTTTGTGTGTGCGTGTGTCTGAGTATTGTCCAAATGGAGATCGCAGATTAACAATTGCTTAGAGGCCTCCAGATTCCAGACAAATCTGGGTTTGTTGAAGCCTGGGACAGGATGCATGAATGCAACAAAAGTACAAAAGTTGGGAAGAAAGACTGAGAACAGGATGTGGAATACCCAAGGCAGCAGAGGAGGGGCTGGCAGGGGATTTTCTTTCTAGAGAGAAGACACAAGGAAGGGTGGTTGTGGAAACCCAAGGAAGAAGAAAGTCTTAAGATGCTACAGTTAGCATTCCCAATGCCATTTAGAGATCCAGATAGATCTTGTAGAGGTGTGCTTGGATTTTAGCAGTTGCAATCACTGATGACCCAGGGTAACACTGAAGGGATGTGACAGTAGGCTGAACACAGTGAATTTCTGTTTAGGGCAGGTGGGAGAAGGCGAGGGCACAGCAGAGTAGCACGCATTCAGTAGGCACAACATTGATAGAACCGAAGGAGTAAAGGAGGAAACAGAAAAAAGTTGGTTTTCTTTAAAAAAATTTAACACATTGGCCTGCTGAAAAGTCTCAGGCATAGAGGGAAAGACTTAAAGTTTTAGGAGAGCAGTGAATAATTAACAGGGCAAGATTTTAAAGTAGGGTTGAGAAGGTGCAGCTAGTGTTTTTGTTTTTCAATTGTTTACTTTTTGTCTTGGCTCTGTCATGAATCAGTTGTGTGCACTTAATGTGTTCATGTATCTTTATCTCACTCAGAAAGCAAAAGTTTGAATTACATGATCTGTGAGACTTATTCTAGACCTAAATAAATATACTTTAAGCATGCAAAATCATCACACTTTATGAGAAAACTGTGTGGGCTTCTGCTATAATTTGTACCTTTCCTTGGCCAACTTCAAATATGTTGGCTGTTTTGATCAGGGCATGGGCAATGAAAGTCCACTGGGGCCTTAATGGACAGTCTTAATCAAGAAAGGTTGTCACCTTCTGGATCTTCATATTCATCACCTCATGACCTCCCCTTGCCTTCTCAGGGGGATAGATCCTAGAAATTACTGTCATCGAAATTTAGCAGGGAACTCATTGTTTTCAAGGACACCTATATTGTTTAGAAAGACACTCATATTCTAATGCAAACAAGCTGTCCAGGGCATGCTTAATTTTATTTTGTATGACATATGGCATCATGACTATATTTTTAAAAGATCTGGAGAATGCTCTCTGCAAGCTTAAGCATAAAACAAAATGGCTCCATGGCTCCCAGGACTGTGGGCGACTGCATGTAATTAATGAAGAGGAGGCTAATTAGGACCAGGGGTTACAGCAGGTGATGATTTTCTCCAGCTGCCCTTGGCACCTGCTGACAAGTTGTAGTGACCCTTTGCTCCTCCGACTATCATCTGAGAATTTGTAGTCTCAGATTGCCCCATTAAAAAACAGAGAATGAAGAAACAATCACCCTGTTAGGTCATCTTTAACAAGCTTTCACCAGAGACAAGAGGCCCAAGTCTTGCTGCAGAAACTCTAATGACTTCCCCATTCATTGCATATGCTTAGCAGAGTGGATTCTATAGTAGGCCAGAGAAAGCAATATTAGGATAACGATGCTTGCACTTTTAGCGCCCACTTCAGTCTGTTTCCATGTCAAAGGAAGTCTCCAAGTTTATAAGATTATGGTGATTTTATCGCAGGTGCCTAAGCTCCCCTTTAGAACTCTACCACTCAACATATCCACTTTGGTATGACCATTATTATAGCGAGGATAATGTTCTTTTAAGTCTCTTTTAATTTCAGAAAGGAGTGCGCTCATTTAAACTAAATAAGTAGCTAATTTTAGACTTAGAAACGTGGAGAGCCAGAAGCAGAGAAGTAAATGTGTAGAATGAAATATTCTAAATATATTAAAAGTCCACATATGGTCTGAAGTCCTTAGCATTCTGTTAGTAATAAAAGAAACACAAATAAAACTACTTAAGTAGAAATAAGAATATACTGAGTTATTTAATAAAACAGAAGAATAGTAGGAATATTACACACAGGGACAGGAACTTAATTGTACCTCTCTATATCTTATCTCTGCTCCAATTGTAACCAGACCCAGGTTTGGCTCCCCATCGCTGGAAAGCTGAACACAAGAGGTAAGGATTGGGGGAAGGAGAAGCAGGTTGTAATCAGAGAGCCCAGAAATCGAGAAGATAGCCGCAAATCGAGAAGACAGCCGCAAATCGAGAAGATAGCAAAGTAATATTCTCTTTTTTTTTTTTTTTTTTTTTTTTGAGACGGAGTCTTGTTCTGTCGCCCAGGCTGGAGTGCAGTGGAGCGACCTTGGATCACTGCAAACTCCGCCTCCCGGGTCCCGGGTTCACGCCATTCTCCTGCTTCAGCCTCCCGAGTAGCTGAGACTACAGGCGCCCGCCACCATGCCCGGCTAATTTTTTGTATTTTTTAGTAGAGGCAGGGTTTCACCGGGTTAGCCAGGATAGTCTCCATCTCCTGACCTCGTGATCCGCCTGCCTCGGCCTCCCAAAGTGCTGGGACTACAGGCATTAGCCACCGTGCCCTGCCCGAAGTAGTATTCTTAAGAAGCATCTTAAATTTTAAAATTTACCATAGGGTTTTTAAAGAAAAACCTCGTGTGGGAGACAGGCGGGAGTGGTGCCCCATGCAGGGTCTGTGTGACCTGTTGTGACTAATTGCCTTGTCCAGAGGTCTAGCTGGCATAATCTTGACTTTAGCCTGATGGTGGTGTACTAAGTGTTTGGAACTCTCTCTAAGTGGGAGGATTCCTCAATGAGGGCTCCATGTCTGGTTTGTTTCAAGATGAACCTCTAGGATTTCTAAGCACGAGCGTAATTAGATAAGCATGCATGGCTGGAGGGGAGTGTCTAGAGAATGAAAGAATGAAGAGGTGAGGGGAAAGAATGAAGAAACGTAGTGAGTGGTTTTCAAAACTGAAGTCCTTGGTTATGCTTTCCACTTGAGGTTTCATTCTTTAATATTCACTTGCAGCCTTTGAAGGAGAAAGACGGTTTGAAAAATTATGCCAGGAAAGTGCCAAGGAGGCACCCACGAAAGCTGAGAAAATTAAGCTATTGAAACCTATTTCAGGGAAAGTGAGGGCCTAGTGGGAAATGGGCATTGTTCAAGCAGAAAAAGCTGCAAGCATGTCAATGAAGGAGTGAAAAGCCAAGTTCACCTTTATCTATGTGGAGGTCCTATAATTACCAGTCCTCACTAGATCCAACTAGTATTGAGGCGGTACAGTGTCCTCAAAACAGGGGATGTGCAGGGGATGTGTGCGAGAGGAGAACTATACATATGCATTGCATATGGTTAAGGTAGAAAAGAAAGAGTAATTGTATTTGGCATGTCTGGGAGATGCAACATAAATTAGATGGTGCTAGCTTTGAGCCTTGAAAGACAACCATGTGATCACAAAGGTGAAGTAGGCCTCCATGCAGATGAAATAACACAGGAGTAATGCAGGATTATGGGAAATGCACCTGGCTCAGCACAAAATGGAATAGGTAAGATGTTGGGGTCTCCATGACACAAGCTGAAGGAAAAAGTTCTCCTCTGGCGTCCTTGCTTTCTGTGCCTGGGAATTTGGTATTAATCTCAAGTTAAATGGGAAGACCTTAAAGGATTTTAGCCAGATTTAGCTCTTTCAAATTTTTATTTAGGTAACTTTATTGAACTTGGAAAAAGGTAGAGAGGAAGCCATAGAGATGGAGACACACTGGGAAAGAATTTTAAATTCAAATTCATCATCAACTTATATTTTATATTTTAGAGAAAGGAAAATGGGAGAAATTTATAACATTTATTGCATTTTACAAGTTATTTTGGCTGGTCCCTTATCAATCATGCAAAATACTTGAGTAGTTAAAATGGCTTCGATTTTTTTTCAGTCGTTCAAATATTATTTTTTCTTATTAGGTGCTTGAGTGACATGAGTCTCTTAATCATTTAAAAATTAAAGCATCATCAACCAGCACTGTAGAATTAAGAATATAAGGCATCCCATTCTGCCCTGCATATTCAAGGTAAGTGTGATCAGAACCTCACTTCATACTGGGTTTCATTCCTTTCATCTCCTGTGTCCCAGGGGGGATAAGACAACATAGGAAGAGAAAAACAAAAACAAAACAATAGGGTGGAAAAAAAAGGAAATAAAATTACTGGGCCTTACATATCTATAATTCAGACTGCAAAAGAGTTATTCCATTCTTCAGAGGAAAAATAAATAGTGGACTTTGTTTTATATTTAGAAAACTGTGTCATATAACATTTAGCAGGCTGAATTTATATTGTCTTTATGACTAATACTTTAAATATATTTGCCATCAGGTCTTCCATTAATTATATAGTCAATGCAACCAAATAGCTGGATTTTTTACAATAAAAATTTCTACAATTTTATGCCATTTCTTATATCACAATGTGATAATCAGCTGTGTGATCTAAGATTCTCGGCTAGGAGTCATTGTGACTGGTCTCACCTCAGTTCTTCCTCTAATTTGCTATGTGAATTTTTAGTAATTTCACCCCACTCATTTTCTAATCTACAAAAGAAGTAATCTGTACAAAGTCTCTTCTAGCACGGAAATTCGCAAATTTGTACCACCAATTTTTTGAGGATATGTAATATTTCTGAAAACTAAAAGCACATGCTGGCCTTTGACAGACAAAGAAAACGATTCTTCCACAAGCCCACTTTGTTTAAAAACAGCCTGATTCCAGATAGGGGCGTTAATGGGGTTATTTTAAAGTTAGTCAGCCTCTATGCCCTTTCTTCCAAATGACCAGCTGTTACTGTTATTTTGATGCTTGAGTTTTCTTGTTTCTTAATCATGGCTCTGTTTACACTGTTTCTTGAGGAACAACCCTTAAAATGATACTATCTACAATTTCATTGCCACATCACTCAAACTCAATGGATAGTTTTGTAGCAACATCTCTTGTGTCACAAACTATTTTTCAGGAAGAAAAGCAGGTTTTTAGACTGGGAAAGGGCATCTGGCTTCTTGACAAGTATACTATAACATGGTATTTAAAGCCAGATTCCAGTATAATATCAAGAGGTCATTCTCATTTTGAATGAAATAAATAAAAAATCTCAGCATGCTTAAACCAACATATTGAATTAGGAAAGCTAACAGATACTCATTTTCTGTCCCTTCTTATATCTTCCCAGGTAAAAATACTATCTGTGTTCCATTGATTAAATAATTTGTATTCACTGGCCATTAATTGAAAATGATCTCCAGTTTATCCCATTGTATTATTGCTTTTCAAATTTCAAATCTAATGTCCATCCATCGTAGAGTTCTTCCACAGACATCCTTAGATACAAACGGATCAAATCCAATATCACTTATAATTTATAAAAAACTAAATTAAAACATAATAAATCTGGATGTAAAGCAGCCAAAATGGCCGAATAGGAACGGCTCCAGTCTACAGCTCCCAGCATGAGCGACGCAGAAGACGGGTGACTTCTGCATTTCCATCTGAGGTACCGGGCTCATCTCACTAGGGAGTGCCAGACAGTGGGCGCAGGACAGTGGGTGCAGCGCACCGTGCGCCAGCCAACGCAGGGCGAGGCATTGCTTCACTCGGGAAGCACAAGGGTATAGGGAGTTCCCTTTCCTAGTCAAAGAAAGGGGTGACAGACGGCACCTGGAAAATTGGGTCACTCCCACCCTAATACTGCACTTTTCCGATGGGCTTAAAAAACAGCACACCAGGAGATATCCCGCACCTGGCTCAGAGGGTCCTACACCCATGGAGTCTCGCTGATTGCTAGCACAGAAGGCTGAGATCAAACTGCAAGGCCGCAGCGAGGCTGGGGGAGGGGCGCCCGCCATTGCCCAGGCTTGCTTCAGTAAACAAAGCAGCCAGGAAACTCGAACTGGGTGGAGCCCACCACTGCTCAAGAAGGCCTGCCTGCCTCTGTAGGCTCCACCTCTGGGGGCAGGGCACAGACAAACAAAAAGACAGCAGTAACCTCTGCAGACTTAAATGTCTCTGTCTGACAGCTTTGAAGAGAGCAGTGGTTTTCCCAGCAAGCAGCTAGAGATCTGAGAACGGGCAGACTGCCTCCTTAAGTGGGTCCCTGACCCTTGACCCCCGAGCAGCCTCACCAGGAGGCACCCCCCAGTAGGGGCAGACTGACACCTCACACGGCCGGGTACTCCTCTGAGACAAAACTTCCAGAGGAATGATCAGACAGCTGCATTCATGGTTCACAAAAATCTGCTGTTCAGCAGCCACCGCTGCTGTTACCCAGGCAAACAGGGTCTGGAGTGGACCTCTAGCAAACTCCAACAGACCTGCAGCTGAGGCTCCTGTCTGTTAGAAGGAAAACTAACAAACAGAAAGGACATCCACACCAAAAACCCATCTGTACATCACCATCATCAAAGGCCAAAAGTAGATAAAACCACAAAGATGGGGAAAAAACAAAGCAGAAAAACTGGAAACTCTAAAAAGCAGAGCGCCTCTCCTCCTCCAAAGGAACACAGTTCCTCACCAGCAACAGAACAAAGCTGGATGGAGAATGACTTTGACGAGTTGAGAGAAGAAGGCTTCAGACGATCAAACTACTCCGAGCTACAGGAGGAAATACAAACCAAAGGCAATGAAGTTAAAAACTTTGAAAAAAATTTAGACAAATGTATAACTAGAATAACCAATACAGAGAAGTGCTTAAAGGAGCTGATGGAGCTGAAAGCCAAGGCTCCAGAACTACGTGAAGAATGCAGAAGCCTCAGGAGCCGATGCGATCAACTGGAAGAAAGGGTATCAGTGATGGAAGAGGAAACGAATGAAATGAAGCGAGAAGGGAAGTTTAGAGAAAAAAGAATAAAAATAAATGAACAAAGCCTCCAAGAAATATGAGACTATGTGAAAAGACCAAATCTAAGTCTGATTGGTGTACCTGAAATTGACGGGGAGAATGGAACCAAGTTGGAAAACACTCTGCAGGATATTATCCAGGAGAACTTCCCCAATCTAGCAAGGCAGGCCAACATTCAGATTCAGGAAATACAGAGAAAGCCACAAAGATACTCCTCGAGAAGAGCAACTCCAAGACACATAATTGTCAGATTCACCAAAGTTGAAATGAAGGAAAAAATGTTAAGAGCAGCCAGAGAGAAAGGTTGGGTTACCCACAAAGGGAAGCCCATCAGACTAACAGCGGATCTCTCGGCAGAAACTCTGCAAGCCAGAAGAGAGTGGGGGCCAATATTGAACATTCTTAAAGAAAAAAATTTTCAACCCAGAATTTCATATCCAGCCAAACTAAGCTTCATAAGTGAAGGAGAAATAAAATCCTTTACAGACAAGCAAATGCTGAGAGATTTTGTCACCACCAGGCCTGCCCTAAAAGAGCTCCTGAATGAAGTACTAAACATGGAAGGGAACAACCGGTACTAGCCACTGCAAAATCATGCCAAATTGTAAAGACCATCGAGGCTAGGAAGAAACTGCATCAACTAACGAGCAAAATAACCAGCTAACATCAAAATGACAGGATAAAATTCACACATAACAATATTAACTTTAAATGTAAATGGACTAAATGCTCCAATTAAAAGACACGGACTGGCAAATTGGATAAAGAGTCAAGACCCATCAGTGTGCTGTATTCAGGAAACCCATCTCATGGGCAGAGACACACATAGGCTCAAAATAAAAGGATGGAGGAAGATCTACCAAGCAAATGGAAAACAAAAAAAGGCAGGGGTTGCAATCCTAGTCTCTGATAAAAAAGACTTTAAACCAACAAAGATCAAAAGAGACAAAGAAGGCCATTACATAATGGTAAAGCGATCAATTCAACAAGAAGAGCTAACTATCCTAAATATATATGCACCCAATACAGGAGCACCCAGTTTCATAAAGCAAGTCCTGAGTGACCTACAAAGAGACTTAGACTCCCACACAATAATAATGGGAGACTTTAACACCCCACTGTCAACATTAGACAGATCAACAAGACAGAAAATTAACAAGGATATCCAGGAACTGAATTCAGCTCTGCACTAAGTGGACCTAATAGACATCTACAGAACTCTCCACCTCAAACCAACAGAATATACATTTTTTTCAGCACCACACCACACCCATTCCAAAATTGACCACATAGTTGGAAGTAAAGCACTCCTCAGCAAATGTAAAAGAACAGAAATTATAACAAACTGTCTCTCAGACCACAGTACAATCAAACTAGAACTCAGGATTAAGAAACTCACTCAAAACTGCTCAACTACATGGAAACTGAACAACCTGATCCTGAATGAATACTGGGTACATAACGAAATGAAGGCAGAAATAAAGATGTTCTTTGAAACTGCAGAGAACAAAGACACAACATACCAGAATCTCTGGGACACATTCAAAGCAGTGTGTAGAGGGAAATTTATAGCACTAAATGCCCAAAAGAGAAAGCAAGAAAGATCCAAAATTGACACCCTAACATCACAATGAAAAGAACTAGAAAACCAAGAGCAAACACATTCAAAAGCTAGCAGAAGGCAAGAAATAACTAAAATCAGAGCAGAACTGAAGGAAATAGAGACACAAAAAACCCTTCAAAAAATTAATGAATCCAGGAGCTGGTTTTTTCAAAGGATCAACAAAATTGATAGACTGCTAGCAAGACTAATAAAGAAGAAAAGAGAGAAGAATCAAATAGACGAAATAAAAGATGATAAAGGGGATATCACCACCGATCCCACAGAAATACAAACTACCATCAGAGAATACTACAAACACCTCTACGCAAATAAACTAGAAAATCTAGAAGAAATGGAAAAATTCCTTGACACATACACCCTCCCAAGACTAAACCAGGAAAAAGTTGAATCTCTGAATAGACCAATAACAGGCTCTGAAATTATGGCAATAATCAATAGTTTACCAACCAAAAAGAGTCCAGGACCAGATGGATTCACAACCAAATTCTACCAGAGGTACAAGGAGGAATTGGTACCATTCCTTCTGAAATTATTCCAATCAACAGAAAAAGAGGGAATCCTCCCTAACTCATTTTATGAGGCCAGCACCATCCTGATACCAAAGCCAGGCAGAAACACAACCAAAAAAGAGAATTTTAGACCAATATCCTTGATGAACATTGATGCAAAAATCCTCAATAAAATACTGGCAAACCAAATCCAGCAGCACATCAAAAAGCTTATCCACCATGATCAAGTGGGCTTCATCCCTGGGATGCAAGGCTGGTTCAATATACACAAATCAATAAATGAAATCCAGCATATAAGCAGAACCAAAGACAAAACCACATGATTATCTCAATAGATGCAGAAAAGGCCTTTGACAAAATTCAACAACTCTTCATGCTAAAAACTCTCAATAAGTTAGATATTAATGGGACGTATCTCAAAATAAGAGCTATCTATGACAAACCCACAGCCAATATCATACTGAATGGGCAAAAACTGGAAGCATTCCCTTTGAAAACTGGCACAAGACAGGGATGCCCTCTCTCACCACTCCTATTCAACATAGTGTTGGAAGTTCTGGCCAGGGAAATTAGGCAGGAGAAGGAAATAAATGGTATTCAATTAGGAAAAGAGGAAGTAAAATTGTCCCTGTTTGCGGATGACATGATTATATACCTAGAAAACCCCATCATCTCAGCCCAAAATCTCCTTAAGCTGATAAGCAACTTCAGCCAAGTCTCAGGATACAAAATCAGTGTACAAAAATCGCAAGCATTCTTATACACCAATAGCAGACAAACAGAGAGCCAAATCATGAGTGAACTCCCATTCACAATTGCTTCAAAGAGAAGAAAATACCTGGGAATCCAGCTTACAAGGGACGTGAAGGACCTCTTCAAGAAGAACTACAAACCACTGCTCAATGTAATAAAAGAGGATACAAGCAAATGGAAGAACATTCCATGCTTATGGGTAGGAAGAATCAATATCATGAAAATGGCCATACTGCCCAAGGTAATTTATAGATTCAATGCCATCCCCATCAAGCTACCAATGACTTTCTTCACAGAATTGGAAAAAACAACTGTAAAGTTCATATGGAACCAAAAAAGAGCCCGCATCGCCAAGTCAATCCTAAGCCAAAAGAACAAAGCTGGAGGCATCAAGCTACCTGACTTCAAACTATACTACAAGTCTACAGTAACCAAAACAGCATGGTACTGGTACCGAAACAGAGATATAGATCAATGGAACAGAACAGAGCCCTCAGAAATAACGCCGCATATCTACAACTATCTGATCTTTGACAAACCCAAGAAAAATAAGCAATGGGGAAAGGATTCCCTATTTAATAAATGGTGCTGGGAAAACTGGCTAGCCATATGTAGAAAGCTGAAACTGGATCCCTTCCTTACACCTTATACAAAAATAAATTCAAGATGGATTAAAGACTTAAACGTTAGACCTAAAACCATAAAAGTCCTAGAAGAAAACCTAGGCATTACCATTCAGGACATAGGCATGGGCAAGGACTACATGTCTAAAACACCAAAGCAATGGCAACAAAAGCCAAAATTGACAAATGGGATCTAATTAAACTAAAGAGCTTCTGCACAGCAAAAGAAACTACCATCAGAGTGAACAACCTACACAATGGGAGAAAATTTTTGCAACCTATTCATCTGACAAAGGGCTAATATCCAGAATCTACAATGAACTCAAACAAATTTACAAGAAAAAAACAAACAACCCCATCAAAAAGTGGGCAAAGGACATGAACGGACACTTCTCAAAAGAAGACATTTATGCAGACAAAAAATACATGAAAAAATGCTCGCCATCACTGGCCATCAGAGAAATGCAAATCAAAACCACAATGAGATACCATCTCACACCAGTTAGAATGGCAATCATTAAAAAGTCAGGAAACAACAGGTGCTGGAGAGGATGTGGAGAAATACGAACACATTTACACTGTTGGTGGGAGTGTAAACTAGTTCAACCATTGTGGAAGACAGTGTGGCGATTCCTCAGGGATCTAGAACTAGAAATACCATTTGACCCAGCCATCTCATTACTGGGTATATGCCCAAAGGACTATAAATCATGCTGCTATAAAGACACATGCACATGTATGTTTATTGCAACACTATTCACAATAGCAAGACTTAGAACCAACCTAAATGTCCAACAATGATAGACTGGATTAAGAAAATGTGGCACACATACACCATGGAATACTATGCAGCCATAAAAAAGGATGAGTTCATGTCCTTTGTAGGGACATGGATGAAACTGGAAACCATCATTCTCAGCAAACTATCGCAAGAACAAAAAACCAAACACTGCATATTCTCACTCATAGGTGGGAATTGAGCAATGAGAACACATGGACACAGGAAGGGGAATATCACACTCTGGTGACTGTTGTGGGGTGGGGGGAGGGGGGAGGGATAGCATTAGGAGATATACCTAATGCTAAATGATGAGTTAATGGGTGCAGCACACCAGCATGGCACATGTATACATATGTAACTAACCTGCACATTGTGCACATGTACCCTAAAACTTAAAGTATAATAATAATAAAACCAAATAAAAAAACATAATAAATCTGCTTTTTACCTTTCTACTACTCTTGACAAATGTATTGATCCAGGCAATTTATTAATCTTAGCAAAGTTTTATTTTGTGAATGTAATTTTAAAAAGTAGACACCTTGAGGCAGTGTTATTATAAGCAAAAATTATGACAATCACTTTGGAAGATTTGGTAATACACATCAAAATTAAAAATAAAAATCTTTGACCCAGTAAAAATTCTACTCATTAGAAGTCAGCCTTCCTTCAGGCAACCGTGTGTGTGTGTGTGTGTGTGTGTGTGTGTGTGTGTGTATACATATTTAGATATATATTTACATATTTATATATCTATATCTATATCTATCTATGTCTATCTATGTTGCTTTATTTCTATCTTTCTATCTATCTATGTATTAAAGGCATAAGTCCAGGAAGAAATTAATGACCATCAGTGAGAAGTTGATAAAACATACTGAGATGCATTACTTAGATGAAATACTAAGCAATTTTTTAAAAATGGGGTAGATTTATATGTGCTAATTAGGAAATACTTCTAAGATAAAACCCAGGTGCAGAATAAAATTCCTATATTTTCTTACTGAGTGCTACAGGGATACATAGTTGTATGTGCGAACATATTTAAATATTTCCAATGCGTTAAACGCTTAAACTATTTCTGAAAGAATGAAGGAGAAACTGACCATAGAAATTGACTCTGGGAGTGGAACTAGGAGACTGAGGATTGCACCAAAAAAAGGCTGTGTTTTCATTGACTATTCTTTTGCATAGTTAGAATTTTTGCCATGTGAAAATGTTACTTTAATCTCGTAAAGCTCCTTAAGATAAAAACAAGATTAAAATCAAAATAGATCATGGCCTTCTTGATTGCAATGCCATTTTGGTGATTCCTGTCATCTTGTCCTTGACCACAGTAGTTCCCAGAAATGTCCAGACATTTGTTCCTCTCTTTGCCTGTAAGGCCCCTCAATCATTGTCCTCCCAGAAAGTACTCCCTTGTCTCTCAGAACCCAGCACAATCCTCAGCTCCTTTATGCATGTTTTGCTGTTTGTCACTGTGAACAGAGGCTGTGGACTGCTTGCTCCATTTCCATGCTGCCCTCAATCTCAGACACCATCTGCTACTTCAGAGAATGGACTAATAAAGACTGCATTTCCCAGATTCCTTTGCAGCTATGCTTCTTGATGTCACATAGATTCTGTTATTCAGTTGCTTTCAGGTCACATTGTAAGGTTCTTCTGTGGCAGTGTCATAGTATTTTAGCATGCAGTCTCTTTTCACCCTTGATGTCCAAGAGGCACGAAGGTATGTGGCACTGATGGTGATTACAGTTTCCTGCTTTAGGCTTTTCAATTCTAAGATCACAGCTGAAGTATTTTGTTCTTGGACTCAGTAGTTTGACTGATAGATTCATGGTGGTGACTATCCACCTGGGTCAATTCTGTAGCATTTTGAGAGTCATTCCTGGAGGGTCTGCTACAAGGATACACTGATAAAAACCAAATTCAATGAAAATGCTCAGAAATAAGAGCAAGTATTGTATCATTTTCTTATTAAAAATTCAAAACAGACAAAAGTGTCTTGTGCTAATTGAAGCCAGAATAATGGCTAACTTTCATGTGGGAGGAACATGGCTGGGTGTGTCGTAGGAGAGGCCATTCAAGTTTTATTGACCTTCTTCCATTTTTTAAAATCTGGGTGGATACATTATTTATTTGCTAACTTAATTCAATGAACTATACATTGACAATTTTGATATTTTTCTGCATGTAAAGTTATATTTCAATGAAAAAACATTTTATTTAAAATTATAAGTTCGATAAAAAATCATTTTGCTCTTTATTTGGCTTGATTTGTGTTGTGTGTTGAATTGTGCTCTCAAAAGAGATACATTAAAGTCCTAATCCCTGGTGCTTGTGAATGTGGCCTTAATTAGAAATAGGGTCTTTGTGGGTACAATCAATTTAAATAAAATCATGTCATCATCTTGAATTAGGGTGGGCCCTAACTCTAATCACCAGTGTTGTTATGAAGAGAGAGACATTTAGACATGGACAAACACAGGGAAGATAGCCATGTGATGACAGAGGCAGGGATTGGATCGATACATCTGCAAACCAAGGAATGCCATGGATTCCCAATGACCACCAAGGACAAGGAAGAGTCCAGGAAAGATTCTTCCCCAGGGCCAACAGAGGAAGAATGTCCTGTGAGCACCTTGACTTCACACTTCCAGCTTCCAGAACTGTGAGAAAATAAATCTCTGTTGTCTACTATCTTTAGCCCACTTAACGTTTCTACTCTCGTGCAAGAGAGAAACAAAAGTCTATCTCTTCTGGAAAACTAACTCTCTTCATGTGTTAAACTTAGAGTGTTTTCTGTTTCCTTCACTGAATTCCGAATGACAAGATCGTCAGGAGGTGGCCCTCAACATACTCTCTCACTCTACTCAAAAGCTATCATCACTGTTTCTTTTAAGTTTTCTTGTCTATTTCTCTACATTATACTGCCATTCTAACCATTTTATGAGTACGATAAACTTATGTTACTAGGTTTTATTCTTAGACATAGCCACCATTTACTAAGTGCTCACTGTATATGAGTTAGGTGCCACCATCCCTATTTTATATATGAATAGACTTAAGCTTCAGACAAATTAAGTAACTTCTTCAAACTTTCTCAGCTAAAACGTTACAAAACAATGTTTGTACAGCACATCTCCAAATTCAAGAGCTGACACCCTTATGCAATTCAGTGTTAACAGAAAACCAGCCACTACGAAATATTTAAATGAGGTTTATTCTGAGCCAATGAGTGACCAAGGCCCAGAGAACATAGTCTCAAGAGGTCCTGAGAAAGTGCACCCAAGGTGGTAGGGTTACAGTTTGGTTTTATGCATTTTAGGGAGATGAGAGTTCCAGGCAAAGACATAAATCAATACATGGAAGGTATACATTGTTTTGGCCCCCAAAGGTGGGACATCTTGAGGCAGGGGCTTACAAGGATTCTTTAGGGTTTTAGGAATTTTTTAGTTGACAATTGTTTGTGAGAGTTAAGGTATTTTCTAAAGACTTGAATTCAGTAGGAAGGAATGCTTGAATTAAGATAAAGGGATTGTGGGGGCCCAGGACCTTGTTATGAAGATGAAGCCTCATAGGTGGCAGCCCTCAGAGAGAATAGATGGTAAGTGTCTCTTTTCAGACCTTAAGAGTGTCAAGTTCTCAATTAATCTCTGCTAGATCTGGGAAAGACCTGGCAATATTAGTGGAGATTCTCTATAGAAGCAAATTTCCGCCACAAAAAGATGGCTTTGCAGGGCCGTTTCAAAATATGTCAAAGACATATATTTTGGGGTAATATTTTTTTTTTCCTTCAGTCTCTGTCTGTCATGTGATGCTATACTGGAGTCAGGTTGGAAAGTCAGCCACATTATACCAGGATAATTTTTTAAAAAAATTTAAGGAGATTTTATGGTTTGTAGGGTGTGACTTAATCCTCACCTTAGCTCTTATTTATAATTTGGTATCTTAGTACCATGAAAAGTCTGTTTTGTCAGACTTATGATGTCTATTTTTAATTTTAATGCTAGTCAGTTGTGCCTAAATTCCAAAACGGAGAAGGTATAATGAGGTGCGTCCAACGTCTCTTCCTGCTATGACTGGTAATTCAGTTTTTCAGGTCTCCCTGTGGTTTGCTTGGCCAAGAGGGGGTCCACTCAGTTGATTAGGGGCATAGGATTTTTATTTTTGGCTTACAATATTTATACTAGTGAGTGAAATTTCTGCTCTTTCAATTAGTGTATTTAGAACATTTATATGAAAGGTAGTATCACTATGTTAATGCCTAAGTTTTCCATTTTATTATCATATTTTCTTTGCTTCCCCTGATTTTTCTTTTGTTGTCTTTCTGTGGGTTACCCTTGACCTATATATAATGTTTTTCTATGTATCTTTTTGTATAGTTCAGTAGCAGTTTCTCTACATACAGCAATATACAACAAATAGAACATAACAGTCCCCTGCTATCAACATGTTACCCTGACATGAGTCTACTGCCATCTACGTTTTACTACTTCGAGTGAAGTGTGGAAATTTTACTTCCACTTAGGTCCCTTTAGCTTCTCCTCTTTTAAATATATTTTTAATCAAATAATATTATTTTAATTTCTATGGTCAAATATGATTTTTTAAACTCAAGGGGGAAAGGTTAGTCTATTGTGTGTCCCCATATTATTGTTTTCTGTCTTTCCTTCTTCATTCCAGATGCTTCAAGATTCTTTCTCTTATCAATTCCACCCCTCCCCATCCCCCAGAACCTACTTTTTTCTTTTTCGAAGAACTTCCTGCAGCCAACCATTGAGGACAGGTTTGCTGGCAACAAATCCTTTTACTCTTCCTTCATCTGAGAACGCTTTTATTTCTCCATTCCTGAAGGATAGTTTCACTACATAAAGAAATCTATGTCTTCTCTTTCAGCACTTGAAAAATATTGTGCCAGTTACTTATAACTCCATGGTTTTTGTTGAGAAATCTGCTTTCAGTCGAGTTAGTGTTCCCCTATCTGTGCCATTTCTCTCTAACGGCTTTCAAAATATTTGTCAGATAATCCCAATATCTGATTCATCTCACTGACTTTCTCAATAGGCTTCGTTTCATTCAAGTAGGGATTTTCCTGGTTCTTGGTACATTGGGTAATTGTATTTTTTTCTTATATCCTGGATACTTTGTCTATTATGTTAGTAGACTCTGGGTGCCGTTTATTAATTTATTGTCCTTTTTTGAGCTGTAAGTGACAAATAAAAATTATATATATGTATAATAACTATTTTTAGTGTTTAATTTTTAAAATTTATTTCAAAGTGTACATACTTTATTCTGTTACCAAATGGTATTGAATTAGTCAACTTGCTTTTTAACTTAACAATATATTATGAACATTATTCAACATCAACAAATTTAATTCCAAAGCATTGTTTTTAATTATTGCATAACATTTCAGTATATAAATGGTATCCTGCTACATATAACCACTCTGCTGTTGCTTGACATTAAAATCGTTACCAGATTTTCATAATTACAATGATATTTTAGCACATTTATTGAAGTATAAAGGTATAATGTTTTAATATATGTACACGTTCAGAAATAACTATCAAAATCAAGCTATTTAACATATCTATCATCTGGGTGTTATTTAGATCTTTTATATTATCAGGCAGTTGCACCATTTAGGTTACCTTTTTGAAGAATTTCCTACAACCAACCATTGAGGACAGGTTTGCTGGCAACAAACCTGTTGATTTGTTGGTTTTAACCTGCTTTTATGGGCTGTAGTTCCCGTGACTAATGAATCTTTGGAGCCTTTGAGACATTGTTTTCATGTAGTTGGTTCACTGGGCGCCTCTGAGGCTCCCACTGCTCCCTACTTGTGTGGCCTGTGGGAGTGGATGTGGTCTCCCCAGGTTGTACCACCAGATGTCTTTCTATGGGGGAAGGATGTTTCTTGATGCTAGGATCTTGCCTAGAGCTGTCATTCCCCGACTCCTCTCCCTCCCACTGCTTCAGTTTCTCTAGGTAGAGAAAAGTCTTGTTACCCTGGAGACAAAGAGGCTTCCCTAGCTAGGCTGCTTGCTGTACTTTGGACCCTATTTGCCATTTCACTTTTCCGCCTCCTCTCTCAGCAGGACAGGGAATCTCAGTGAAAGAGAATGCTTTCCTGCTGCTTATTATGAGCAGGGGTCTCAATCAATCTTTCCTTGCTAGTGGTGTTGGTGTCACCTGATTGTTGTCAGAGAGACAGTTGTTAGATTGGATGTGTGGGGGTGGGGGGCAGCAACGGCATAGGGATGGATAAACCTGCCTGGACCATCATTTGTTGCTGGGTTGTGTCACAGAAAGTGCCATGTTTTGGTGGCTTTCTTTGGGTGGGGGATATAAGACACACTGCTAATGTGTTGTTCCTCGAGATGGCTTTGACCGATACAATTTGGTAGAAGAAACACTGTGCCAGTTTCTAAGCCAAGGTCCTCAGAGATAGGAATTTTTCTATTTCTTAGAGCATGTCTCCTGCATGAAGTCGGCATAGTGTAAGTCTGACTACCCTGAGACTGCAGACAACAGGAAGCCCAGGGTAATGTGGAGAGGTCATATAGTGAGAGGATTCATCAGATCACAGTGTCAGTGAGGATGCCTTAAGATGCTTCCAAACCCAGTCGCCATCTGACTGCAACGTATGAGTGACTTTAAACAAGAACTGTACAGCCAATTCCTAGAACAACAAAGGATAATAATAATTATTTCAAACCACTAAATTCTGTGGCAGTATGTTATACAGTAATAGATAAACAGAACATATATGCAATATATTATTTTGCTGATCTTATAAACTAATTTTGAAATTTTATTTTTTGGATCTCTGCATTGCATTTGCTTTTTCAGAGTTCTGTTTTTTCTTTCTGCTTTCATCATTAGAAATTTTCCTCATGTGTTTGTCCATCCTGAATCAAGAGCAAAACTCTATAATCAGATGGGAACTTCTATGAGATGGGAGGGGCTTGCTGATGGATGGGTTTCTCTAAAAGGGTTTTGAACAACTCCCCTGTGGTGCTGGGAGTCTCAGAGTCCACATTTTCCCTGGTTAAGGGTCTCTAGAGAATAAACCTTTGTTCTCAGCTATGGTGGGAACATGAGACCTAAGGTTCTAAGTGTTTTTATTCAGACTTTAAATCATCCCTCCTTTTCAGTCTTAACCTTAGCCATGCCTGCCTAACTTCCTAGTGTCTCTGGCTCCTGTAGCTTCACAAGGTTAGTTCTGGAAAGTTCCATGTTTCTCTTTTGCATTCTGTTCTGCTACACTATTTACCCACCACCTTTCTTTTACATTTTCCAAAAAAGTGAGAATATCATTCCTCAGTTGTCACCTATCCTATCCTCTTAGCTTATGTGAATGTATATATTTTTTGCTCTTTTGCTACAATTTTAGTGAGTTTTCTGAAGAAAGTGGAGATCAATGTATGTATTCAGTTCACTGCATTTAATCAAAAATTCTCTATCAATGTTTATTTATATCAGAATATAAATAAATGTGCTTTTAAACTTAACTTACATAAGGGATTACGTTCTAAAAATTATGTTTTAGACCTTAGATGAAATAAAAAATATATGATGTTATTGACTGAATATAATTGAGGAAATATGGGCAAGGATAAAATAAGTAGAGAATCCAAAGCTAAGGATAATATGTGAAATGCATATATATGCCAGTTAAAGGTAACACTGAACTTTCCTGAACCCACTATAAAGAGTGAAAGAAGATCAAAACATGAATAAAAAATAAAGACAAACTAATGGCTAGCAACATAACTCTTTCTATTCATGATACCTAAGAGATATTTACATCATGTCTTCTTTGAAAAGAAGACTAACATTTTAAATATTATCATCAATAAAGCCTCTAAAAGTAAATAAAATAATAGAGGCCAGTTCATATAATAATTCTCAAGGTAAGCCAATAATGTAATTCAATTAAGTTAATGCTAGTATATATACAGCACATGATATCAATTGGAGGACATCTATGAATCATGACATTTCATGACATAATGAGAGGAATGTTGCCAGATGGATGAATAATAATAGCTTTTGACTTGACTATGAAAAATAATGTAATAGTCACTTTTTATTATTGCTATTAATAGTATGTATTAAAAATAATTTTATTAACGTGTGTTAATAATATGTCTTTAATCTGTATGTAAAAGTGTACCTTTCCCTAAAATACAGATCAATGTTAATTTATTGAGCTTGTTATGTCTTAAACAAAATCAAACATTCTGAAAACTACAGAAAGTATAAGCTAGTTTATTTATATTCAACATGAGGTAAAGTCAACTCTTCATTTTGTCTGAAAAATAACTGGTAAATCTTTTATGCACACATTTATTGTTAGCGTCAGATAAAATTGTTTCAGAGACACTTTGGAGAATCAGAACACAAAAGACCTAAGTTCTGCCCTTGCTTCTGACAATAGCTTTTTGTGTGATGTTGAACAAGCATCTTGATTTCATCCTTTGTAAGAGAAACGATGTAAACAATTTTAAAATATTATGTGAGTCTGTATTATAAGACTTATGTATGACGACGATATTTTCCACATATAGAATGATATTAAAAACCCTTTGTTTCCTCAGGAAATCATTGCAAAGGGTTTAATTGGTACATAGTCTCCTGTTATGCAGCATATATGGAGTGAAAACTTGACAGGACATTGTGAAGGACAGCATGACCAGTATGTTAAGTTTATCTCTGGCTCTGAGCCAGAAAAACAATAAAATAATAGCCATTAAACATTTCATCTAGTAAATGCACCTATCTGTCATGCAGTGATCCCACACTTGTCAGTATTGATGGACATAATGACCATCAGTTCATTTCAATCTTTTAAGCCACTTTACTCCTGATCAGAGAACAGTACATGGATGTCACACAAGGGTCAACACTATGAAATTGCTTCTTCCAAAGGACATGGGTGGAGTGCAGAGCAAGAGAACTGAACTATCCTCAAAGGTGGTTAGCATCTCTTTCTCCCTCACTATACCCTCTGAAAGTATTTCATTGCTTGGTACAAATGGCAAAGAAAAAAAAAAATATTGAATGAAAAATGACATTGAATGAAAGGAACCAATATTCTTAGTCAAATGGGGTAATTGTTTATGCTGGTTTGTATTATTTAGACTAGATTGAAGGGGCTCCTAAATAACTCCTTTGATTGTCTCTCTGAAGAAGTTTTTCAGATAGAAGGTGGCTTTCTAAGGAAGGCCTAAAGATTGATGGATGAAAAGAAAGTTTAGCTTGCATTGGACTTGTTATCATAGAAGATGCATTACACTACAGATAGATGGGACCGAGTTCTGTCAACCTGCCCATGTTGGCGACACTTAAAAATAGTGTGGCACTAAGCAAGTGATTTGTCTCCATTGGGTTTAACTTTCATCTCTGTAAAGTGGGAGAGTTACTGTGTGCTTATTAAGAGGAGAACTCTGTACTAGGGGAGTCCACGAATGAAACTTTTGATTTTTTTATATCTTACGATACATACCTGAATACTTTTTCTTACCAGTAATATTTTGTGAAAATATTTTATCATACAAGTATTCATTTTAACAGAATGATAAAATGCAGAAAATTATTTTAAAAAGATACTCAGAATACTTGAATTCAAAAACAACTGTTTTTAGCATTTATTTTAATTTGTTTCAATGGATACATGATATTATAATGTGACCAAATGATATTAAATTAGTCAACTTGCTTTTTAACTTCATATATTATAAACATTATTCAACATCAACAAATTTAATTCCAAAACATTGCTTTTAACTATTGCATAATATTGCAGTATACAAATGATACCATGCTAAATATAACCACTCTGCTGTTGCTTCACATTAAAATTGTTACTGGAATTTCATAATTATAATGATATTTCAGCACCTTTATTGAAATATAATTAACATACGATAAGCCGCACATGTATAAAGCATACAAGATGGTAAATTTAGATATATGTACCTACACGTGAAGGTGCTACTACACTCAACATAATAAACATATACCTTACCCTTAGATGTTTCCTCATGAGTCTTGTTAATTTCTCCTGCCCTTCTCTGATCACCCCTCCCTCAACAGCCACTGATCTCCTTTCTGTCAATCAAGAATAGTTTTAATCTTGTAAAGTATTATAGAGACAGAATAGTACAGTATGTCCTTGCTATTACCTGGCTTCTTTCACCGGGGTGAGTATTTTGATATTCATCCATGTGATTGAGTGTAGCAGTTGTTCACTTATTTTTACTGCTGGATAGTATCCCTTTATGTGTACATGCTACATTTTCTTTTTGCCTTCCCTTGTTGAAGTACATTGGTTATTTTCCAGTTTGGGCCTATTAAATATACAGTTGCTGCGACTCTCTGTGCACAAGTGTTTGTATGGATGTATGTTTCATCTCTTTTCTCTTAGGTAAATATCTAGGTGTAGAATGGCCAGATCATATGGTAGGTGTATGTTTAATCTTTTAGAGACAACTTGTGTCCCAAAGTGACTACCATTTTTCTACCAGCAGTGTATGAGTGCTCCAGTTGTACTACATGCTTGACAAACTTGATGTGATCAAACTTTCTAATTTTAACCATTCCAGTAGGTCTGTAGTAGTATCTCACTGGGGTTGTAATCCGCATTTCCCTGATGACTAACACTGTTGAACATCTTTGCACATACAGAACTTATTTGCCATAAAAATGACTTTTTAAGATACTTATTTTAGTACAAGTTTGTGATAACGAATTCTTTGAGATTTTGTGCATCTGAAACAGTTTATTTCACATCTATTTTTGAAAATCCTTCTTGTATACAACTCTAGTTTACTATTTTATTAAGTAGTTAAAAGATACTGCCCAAATGTCTTCTTACTGCCATGGTTTCTGACTAAAAAGCCCCTTTCATTTCCACTTTTCCTTCCATATGTCATGTGTCTCTTCCCACCTCTTTTACAATTTTCCCCTTGTCATGTTTTCTGAGCAGTCTGATTATAATGTGTCTTCGTATGGTTTTGCTCATATTTCTTGTAATTGGAGTTCATTTAGCTTATTGAGTCTTAGGCTTACAGTTTTCATCAAATCTGGGAATTTTTCAGCTATCATTTCTTCATTTTTTTCTGTCACTTTTCCCCCCATAGTTTGTTCCACAGCTCAATGAGTTTCTTTTCATTCATTTTTTTTCTCCCTGTGCTTCCTTTTTTGTAGTTTATATTATTGCCCTGGGTTGTTTTTTTTCAACTTCCGTGCTTCCAGTTAACTTTTGTACGTATGGAATGCAATTATAATACTTGCTTTAATGTCTTTCTGTAGTATTTTAACATCTGTGTCAATTCTGGGTTGGTTTTGCTCCTTAATATGGGTTATATTTTTCCTACTTCTTTGCATTGCCAGACATAGAGAACTTCATATTTTTGGGTAGGTACTGGCTATTTTTGCATTTCTATAAATATTATTTAGTTTTGAATTGGGATACAGTTAAATTATTTGAAAACAGGTTGATTTTTCTGGATCCTCTTTTAAGGTTTCTTTTTATAAAGGCATCATAGCTGTGGTTACCCTGTGACAAGTTATTCCTATCTTCTAAGTGGAGCTAGGACTAGGGTAAGACAAGTGAGGCATCTAGGGTGCAGATGCAAGGTGCTCCTGCTTGGGCTCCTGTAAGTCCTGCCTGGGCAGAAATGCCTACTTGAGATGGGGGCAGTAGGCTGCTGTATTTAAGGAGGCACTTGCTCTGATGTGCCAGTCCTCACTTATATGAACTCAAAAGTGAGTGTCTCCTTAACTTTGCTCCCAGGCTGCCTTGCGTCTGTCTCCCGATTCCCATCCTGCTTTGTAGTACCCTGAGTATGAATTGTACCATATTCCCTCAGCCTGATGGGAACAGGTACTATTCCCATGCCTGTGTGAGCACCAGGCTCTACTCCCTGTGATTCCCTCAGCTGGTTCTTTCCCACTCTAAGCGGTTTCCTCACACATGTGCATCCATCAGTTCTCTGCAGAATACTCAATGCAGCCCCTCTGCAGCTGTTCAGAGTTCTTATTCTGTACATCTCTTTCCTCTCTGTCCTACACACTATAGCCAATTTCATCTCCTAAACCTGCTCTGTCTCCTCAATCAGGGTGAACTCTGAGGTCTGCCTGGGTCACCCCTCCCTCTGCCACAGTATAGGGACCCTCCAAAGGCACTAAGAAAGGGCAATCAGAATGTTTTCATGATTTGCTTCTTATCTCTTAGTGATCATTATCTTCCATTGCCTGGTATCCAATGTCTTCAAAACCTAGTTTCATATATTTCCTCCATTATCTGTTGTTGTTAAGATGGGAGGGCAAATGTGGTCCTTGCTACTCCACCTCAGCTAGAAATATATTACAAATAATGTCTAAAGTATGCATCTATGTTTATATAATTCTACATATTATTTTAGATAGTAGAATTGTCGAGGTTTTTTTTTTTTTTTTTTTATGGAGGGGATCTGTGGCCACTCTGAGTGTCTGCCATGCATAGAGCCCTTCTCTCAGCTAAGATGAATATATGTTCCATATGCTGGGGTAGCCCCCCAAGGACTGGATGGGAGATTTGATAAAATTATTACTCAGACATAAATATTTGGAATAAGTCGTTGCTTACTAAAATAATACAAAGACTGCATTCTTGGAAAATCGTATCAACTTATAGCAGGCTGGAAGATGTTAAGTGAGCAAGGTTTCCTGAGTCTATTCAGTTCCTCATGGGAGAGGGGGTTGGTGGTAATGTTAATTCTCCCTACCGAGAGTGAGGTCCAGCCAGTTCACAGGGAAACACAACTAAGGATTTGTCAAGCCTTTTTAAAATATGTGACCACTTTACTCTGAATTACAAGCATAACCACCTTTTACGGCTGTAAAAAGGGCTTTTAGCAAGCACAAGAGCACTGCCATCCATATCTGATAGGCAACTTCAAGACATAAGATGTTTACTCTGCCACGGGCACAAACTGGCCATGTTGACTGCAGATAATGCAGCAATGAACAAGCATCACGCAAGTGTAGTCACATTGCAGCAGTGAAGTAATGATGACCCCTTGGATGTGCCCAAAGAGTTCAAGGCATAGGACAGCCAGAAGAGATGATGCTAGTCATACGAAATTTGTCCGGGAAAGCAGGACTTACCTGAAAGGTGCCACCTGGAGCGTGCTCAGCAGTTTATGTAGTCACTAGTTAAAAGAAAAGTGCTCCATGTAGGCTTAGATAGTTCAGGGTGATGGGTCACACCAGTTAGATTGTCTCTTAGGGAGTTTGAATCGGAGGCACTCACCAGAGAGTCGTTAGCAGCAGGTGTAGCAGACACAGAGGCAGAGAGTAACTGGGTCAGCACAAGACTCAGCATGAGAGCAGGAGCAAAGCAGTCCCACTGCTGTGTGGATGGAGCAATAATACGGGAACTGGAACTGTGGCTGCTGTGGACTTAGCTTTAATTACCCCTGGCTGGGTGGTGGCTGAAGCTATGTGCAATACAGATGAAGTGCTTTGTGTTCCTGTGTGTCTTGTAATAAATGTTAAAAGTCCCTAATGTTCATGGTGGTGTGCTTATTTACCTTATGATATTTATGAGTTTAACACCAGCTCTTTCTCTTCATCCTCTCAGGCTGCATCATATTTCTCAGTTCATGGTACACAATCACCTTATGTCCATATCACATGACTTTCTTGAATTTTCTCTCCTTTACCTTGATCTCCATCCCTATTCCTCCGCTATTTCACTGGCACTTAATGTGTTGAGCATAAGCCTGTAGACATATCCATCACTTGTAAAATAAATAATGTTGTTTTTTGCATTTATTATTAACTTATCTCAATGATATTGAAGGACATCTTCTATTTGTCAATTTTTCATCCATCATTCTGTTTGAGGAAAATAAATGTCACGTTATGTAAGTTTAGATTTTTGCTTCTAAATGCTACATGATCATCCACAGTATTCCTTGTAACGACCTTATATCCAGTCTCTACATTGCCTTCAGCTCTCCGTAAACATAATGCTTTAATAAATACTTTTGTTCAGGTTGCATTATAAACTTCCAGTGCATAATTGTGATTTATTTTCAGAAGTGGAATTGTTGGGCCATAGGTTATGAGCAATTGACAAAATGTGCTCTCGAATGGCAGTATCAAATTTCTCTTCCATCAGCTTTGCACAGATGTTCTCGGTTCTCCCTATCCTCACAGACTCTAGCAACACTGGTCTTTATAATTCTTACTAATCTTATTGCAATAATGTGGCATCTCATCATATTAGCGAACTTTTCTCTCATTCTTAGTTGATTTTTTAAAAAACACTCCATGTCCTTGTTACTTATTTGGATTTTCCCTTTTTTGGAACTGCTATTAAAATGTCCTTTTTTAAAATCTGGATTTGGTATTAGGGTGATGCTGGCTTCATAGTATGAATTAGGGAGGGTTCCTTCTTTCTCTATCCTGTGGAATAGTGTCAATAGGATTGGTACCAATTCTTCTTTGAATGTCTGGTAGAATTCTGCTGTGAATCCATCTGGTCCTGGACTTTTATGGTGGTAATTTTTTAATTACCATTTCAATCTTGCTACTTGCTTTTGGTCCATTTGGGGTATCTAATTCTTCCTGATTAAGCTAGGAGGGTTGTATTTTTCCAGGCATTTCTCCATCTCTTCCAGGTTTTCTAGTTTACGTGTGTAAAGGTGTTGATAGTAGCCTTGAATGATCTTTGGTATTTCAGTGGTGTCTGTTGTAATATCTCCTTTTTCATTTCTCGATGAGGTTATTTGGATTTTCTCTCTTCTTTTCTTGGTTAACCTTGCTAATGCTCTATCAATTTTATTTATCTTTTCAAAGAACCAGCTTTTTGTTTCATTTATCTTTTGTATTCTTTTCTGGTTTCAATTTCATTTAGTTCTGCTCTGATCTTGGTTATTTCCTTTCTTCTGCTGGGATTGGGCTTGGTTTGTTCTTGTTTCTCTAGTTCCTTGAGGTATGACCTTAGAATGTCAGTTTGTTCCCTTTCGGTATTTTTGCTGTAGGTGTTTAGGGCTATGAACTTTCCTTTTAGCACTGCCTTTGCTGTATCCCAGAGGGTTTGATAAGTTGTGTCATTACTGTCATTCAGTTCAAAATATTTTTTAATTTCCATCTTGACTTTGTTTTTGACTCAATGCTCATTCAGGAGCAGGTTACTTAATTTCCATGTATTTGCATGATTGTGAAGGTTCCTTTTGGATTTGGTTTCCAGTTTTATTCCACTGTGGTGTGAGAGAGTGCTTGATATAATTTCAATTTTTTAAAATTTATTGAGGCTAGTTTTATAGCCTATCATATGGTCTGTCTTGGAGAAAGTTCCATGTGGTGTTGAATAGAATGTGTATTCTGTGGTTTTTGGATGAAATGTTCTGTATATATCTGTTAAGCCCATTTGTTCCAAGGTATAGTTTAAATCCATTGTTTCTTTGTTGACTTTCTCTCTTGATGACCTGTCTAGTGCTGTCAGTGGAGTATTGAAGTCCCCCATTATCTCATTTCTTAGGTCTATTAGTAATTGTTTTATAAATTTGGGGGCACCAGTGTTAGAAGCATGTGTTTAGGATTGTGATATTTTCCCGTTGGACCAGGCCTTTTACCATTATAATGTCCTTCTTTGTCTCTTTTCACTGCTATTGTTTTAAAGCCTGTTTTGTCTGATATAAGAATACCTACCCCTGCTCACTTTTGGTGTCCATTTGCATGAAATGTCTTTTTCCACCACTTTACTTTAAGTTTATGTGAGTCCTTATGTGTTAGGTGAGTCCCCTAAAGACAGCAGATGGTTGGTTGGTGAACTCTTATCCATTCTGCGGTTCTGTATCTTTTGAGTGGAGCATTTAGGCCATTTACATTCAATGTTAGTATTGAGATGTGAGATACCATTGCATTCATTGTGCTATTTATTGTCTGTGTACTTTGTTTTTTTGTTGTTTTTTATCTTGTATTTTTGTTTCATAGGTCCTGTTTGATTTATGCTTTAAAGATGTTCTGTTTTGATGTGTTTCCAGGATTTGTTTCAAGATTTAGAGCTCCTTTTAGCAGTTCTTATAGTGGTGACTTGGTAGTGGTAAACTCTCTCAGCATTTGTTTGTCTAAGAAGACTGTATCTTTCCTTCATATATGATGCTTAGTTTTGCTGGATACAAAATTCTTGCCTGATAATTTGTTTTGTTTAAGGAGGCTGAAAATAGGGCCCCAATCCCTCCTAGCTTGTAAGGTTTCTGCTGAGAAATCTGCTGCTGATCTGATAGCTTTTCCTTTACAGGTTGCCTGGTGCTTCTGTCTCACTGCTTTTAAGATTTTTTCCCTTGTCTTAACTTTGAATAATCTGATGACAATGTGCCTAGGAGATGATCTTATTGCAATGAATTTCCCAGGTGTTCTTTGTGCTTCTTAAGTTTGGTTGCCTAGGTCTCTAGCAAGGCCAGGGAAGTTTTCTTTGATTATTCTCCCAAATATGTTTTCTAAGCTTTTAGAATTCTCTTATTCCTCAGGAACACCAATTATTCTTAGGGTTGGTTGTTTAATGTAATCCCAGACTTCTTGGAGGCTTTGTTCATATTTTCTTATTCTTTTCTCTTTGTTTTTGATAGAGTGGGTTAATTCAAAGACCTTGTCTTCAAGCTCTGAATTTCTTTCTTTTACTTTTTCAATTCCATTGCTGAGACTTTCCAGAGCATTTTGCATTTCTGTAAGTGTGTCCAGTGTTTCCTGAATTTTTTATTGTTTTTTCTTTAAGCTATCTATTTCCTTGAATATTTCTCCCTTCACTTCTTATATCGTTTTTTGGATTTCCTTGCATTGGGCTTCGCCTTTCTCTGGTGCCTCCCTGATTAGCTTAATAACTAACCTCCTGAATTATTTTTTGGGTAGATTAGGGATTTCTTCTTGGTTTGGATCCATTGCTGTCGAACTAGTGTGATTTTCGTGGGGTGTTAAAGAACCTTGTTTTTTCATATTACCAGAGTTGGTTTTCTGGTTCCTTCTTATTAGGGTGGACTCTGTCAGAGGGAAGGTCTAGGGCTGGAGGCTGTTGTTCAGATTCTTTTGTCCCATGGGGTGTTCCCTTGATGTATACTCTCCCCCTTTTCCTATGGATGTGGCTTCCTTCGAGCTGAACTGCAGTGATTGTTGTCTCTCTTCTGGGTCTAGCCACCCAGCAAGTCTACCTGGCCCCAGGCTGGTACTGGGGGTTGTCTGCATAGAGTCCAGTGATGTGAACTATCTATGGGTCTATCAGCTGTGGATAGCAGTGCCTGTTCCAATGGATGTGGCAGGGGGGTGCAATGGACTCCGTGAGGTTTCTTACCTTTGGTGGTTTAATGCTGTATTTTTGTGCTGGTTGGCCTTCTGCTGGGAGGTGGTGCTTTCCATAAAGCATCAGCTATGGTAGTTTGGAGAGAAACTGGTGGTGAGCGGGGCCCTAGCACTACCAAGATTATATGACCTTTGTGTTCAGCTAACAGGGTGGATAGGGAAGGACCATCGGGCAGGAACAGAGCTAGGTGTGTCTGAGCTTAGACTCTCCTTGGCCAAGTCTTGCTGCAGCTGAGTATCTGGGGCATCTCCCAAGTCCTGCAAGAGCAGTCCGCTTCTTTCAGAGGATCTGTGGGTCCTCTCGGGATTGCTGGTTTGTTCTTGCAGTTGATCTGGAGCTAAAATTCACAGTGTGAGCCTCTGAACGCTGCTCTGTCCGTCCAAATCGGAGCTGCAATCTAGTCCTGCCTCCCGTCTTCCATGATGATCCAGCCAATTCCATGGTATTTATATCTCACATTTTTTGTTATTCAGTCCATCCTGGATGGGCAACTGCATTGATTCCATGTCTTTGCTATTATGGATAGTGAAGTGATGAAAATATGAGTGCACGTGTCTTTTTGGTATAATTATCTATACTGCTTTGGGTATATGCACAGTAATAGGATTGCTAGGTCAAATGGTAGTTTTATTTTGAGTTCTTTGAAAAATCTCCAAACTGCTTTCCATAGTAGCTGAACTAATTTACATTTCCACCAACAGTGTATAAGTGTTCCACTTTTTCCACAGTCTTGCCAGCATCTGTTGTTTTTTGACTTTTTAAAAATAGCCATTCTGACTGCTGTGAGATGGTGTTTCATTGTGGTTTTTATTTGCATTTCATTAGTGATGATGAGCATTTTTGTCAATGTTTGTTGGCTGCTTGTATGTCTTCTTTGAGAAGGGTCTGTTCATAGATTTACCCACTTTTTATTGGTGTTGTTTTTGCGCTTGCTGATTTGTTTAAGTTCCTTGTAGATTCTGGATCTTAGACCTTTTTCAGATGCATAGTTTGTGAATATTTTCTCCCATTCTGTAGGTTGTCTGTTTACTCTGTTTCTGGTTTCTTTTACTGTTCAGAATCTCTTTAGTTAGGGTCCACTTGTCAATTTTTGTTTTTATTGCAATTGCTTTTGGAGACTTAGCCTTAAATTCTTTGCCAAGGCTGATGTAGAGAAAGGTATTTCCTAGCTTTTCTTCTAGGGCTTTTATATTTTAAGGTCTTACATTTAAATCTTTAATTCATCTTGTGTTACTTTTTATACATGGTGAAGGGTAAATGTCTAGTTTCATTTTTCTGCATATGAGTAGCCTGTTATCTCAGCACCATTTATTGAACAGGGAGTCCTTTACCCATTGCCTGTTTTTGTTGGCCTTGCTGAAGATCAGATGGCTGTAGGTGTGTGGCTTTATTCCTGAGGTTTCTATTCTGTTCCCTTAGTCTATGTGCCTGGTTTTGTACCAGTACCAAGCTATTTTGGTTGCTATAGCCTTGTAGTATACTTTTAAGTTGGATAGTTTATGCTTAGGTCGCCTTGGTGATTTCGGCTTTTTTTTTGGTACCACATGAATTTTAGAATTTTTTCCCCAATTTTGTGAAGAATGATCTTGGTAGTTTGATAGGAATAGCATTGAATCTGTAAATTGCTTTTGGCACATTTCTTGTCAACTATGTTCTCCATGGTGGCCCCATATTGGGGATTTTATTTGGTGGTTTGCTTGTTTCCTCCTTCCTACTGTATTCCCATTCAAATGTTAGCATTCAGGTAAGGCCTAGCTTTTTTCATGCCAGCAAGAAGAGTTGTACTGTTAGAGCCCTTCACTTCCTAATGGTACAGTATTAGAAATTCACTAATAGAAATCAAAGCTAGAAGAAGTTTTGCTATCTTATTTGTCTATCTATTTGACACAAAGACAAATCACACCAAAATCATATGTGATGCACACAAGAAAACTTGTCTTTTGTGTGGACACTCTTTGCAATATGTAGAGAGGACTATTTTGCTAAGGGCCAGGCCTTGTGTGACTGGCAAGATTATGAATCAGCATGGGTGGGCCCTCCTCTGGCCTCCACAATACAAGCCATGTGGAAGCCCCACTCCCTCAGCCCTCTACCCTCAACTGGCAATGCCTTGCTTGCTTGTCAGAATAGCACATGGTAGAGTTGGCACTCTAGCTATATATCTTGAATGAATGAATACATAACTCCTTCCTGTTTTTACATTTAAATCATTTAAAATGTGAGCACAAGTCAGATATTTAACTCACTCTTTGTATTGTGGATATGTATTTATTTAGTCAGTATTTAATTTACTATTTCTCATTAAAAGTTTGCTTAAGGAAAGTTTTATTCAACTCAAGTAGGGAAAACCTAGAGACAGACAATGATAATGATTCTGGGAAAAAAAAAAACATGTATATGCACATTTACACATACACACACACACACACACACTTATATCTATGCCTTTAGGAGAAAATCAGAAGAGCACAGGTCCCCACAAATATATCATGATTGTTTATTCCTTCTGCCAAACTTTAAAACTCATCCTCAGCTACTCAAAAGTTATTTATAATATGACAGGTAAATCTTAGAATTTGAGCTCTTATAATTAATGTTTCATGATTGTCACCTACGTATGCACATACCCAACCTTCTATCACTTGCTGGTGTTCTCGATCAGGGACCAGTTTTTTACATCTTCCACTTTGCTCAGTTTAGTACCTGCCACATAAATATGTGTTTTTTTGAAAAGCTTGACATGAAACGTGCTATGTCATCCTCCTTGGCCTTGAAATCTCTGAGATTCTAACCCTGTGCCCTGACATAGCGGTTAGGTCTTTATGAAATGCTCATTTCTGAAGACAGAAGTCAGACTGACTGGATTTTAATATAAAGATCCTCCTCTAACTGAATTGTATCTTAGGGAATTTAATTATTTATCTCTAAGTCTCATTCCATTAGATATTATTCTTGCTACTACTATTTTATTTTCACCACTATCATCATAATCTTCATCCTTTTTTCTCTCTTAGCTAAGACAGAAAGAAAGACACTGAGGCCTATGTGTAAACCTCACAAATCTTGTGTTATTTCTGCTGTGCCACGTCCTCACTCCTCTTTCCCACTGCCATGAATTCCAGCCATCTGGTGTATCTGCCTTCTCAGACAAACCAACAGATTACTTGGTCATGTCCTTTTCTTCTTCATCTTACTATATTAAAGGGAAAAAATATTTTGCAATAATGGGTGAATTAATGCCTTGCTTTGGAATTCTAACTCCACATGGTGCCATGTAAATATGCATTACCTTATGGCCAGTGTGCACATGCTGAGTCCCTTTCTAGCTACTTATAGGCATCCTATTTGTAGAGACCTGATGATAATGTGGCAGGTAGAAGGACAAATCACAAAGATACCATCAGAGTTGCCTCTGCTAAAGTCAGTGTGCTCCATAATAGCTTATTCACATGCCTTTCGTGGTATTCAAGGGTCTGATACTGAAAAAGTTAAATGCTTGACTCTTGTTGATCATCATGACCAAAAGTAATCTTTGCAGCAAGTAAGGCACACCTCTATTATACTACAGAGAGGCAAGAGAATGCTAGAGATGAGTGTTTATTTTAAATTTCAGGAACTTTGTATTAAAGAGCTGCAGTGTGCAAGCATGAGCACAGTGTTAACTAATTAAAGATTCATTTACAAGGAAAAGAATCAGATGGATTGCAATAATAATGGTAAGTCTAACTACTTAGTATTCCCCATAGTTTGTCTGCTGATATGAAAGTGAGAACAAATGTGATTGTACACCATTAAAGATTATTAAGCATGGCAAGTGTAAAATTACCTCTGTAATGCATGTTTTCCCTTAAATTCACTGAGTGATCTTGAAGGCATAAAGCTTAAGGCACTTGCTAAAACACATCCATCTTGAGACACCAACTGTCAAATATGGCTGCCTCACAATGAGGCTTAACAAAGAGAATCCTGCTGCCACCTGCACACACAGAGAGAAGCGGAACACTCTTTAGATTAAAGACAACATTGACCCAGTTGTCTTCAAGGTTTGGAGAAAGCCTTAGATAGCTTCCCAAAAGGTTGCAGGAGACCAGGATGATCTGTTCTAATTACTTCAAAGAGGATATGAAATTGTTTGTGTAGCCCATTGTGGGTATGGTCTGTCTCTTATCATGAAGAACAATTAAAATAATTCCCTATAACAGTAGGATATGGTTATCTAGCTACATACTTATTGCTGTCCTCATTTTTATTGGCTGCCAGAGAAAAAGATTTCTACCCACCTAGTATGAATTCTCAGAGGGAAATGCTGTCTATGAGAATAGAAATCTGTGGGTTATTCAAGTTTAATGTCTCCTCTGGACCACATAAATGTTGACCTAGTTCAAGCAACTGACTTTTGATGACTCATTCCCCTTTCAATTGTTCTGGAAGCTACTGTAGAACTACTGAGCAAAAGTTGCAGGGGTACTGATATCGGCTTGGCGTAAGAAAAACTCGCTGGTGAACAAAACTGCCTATCATTGAAAGTAGCTCCTCAGGAAATAAGGAGAATCTTAATAATTAGAAAGATACAAGTTGAGCAAAATTGATAAAAGCAACATAACTCTAATCAGGTATAGTGATATCAGGAGTTTTCAATTTATCTCAAGTAATTTCCTTAGTCACACTGCATGATAGATAATATGATCTTTATTTTATGGATGAATATACTGGAGCACAGAGAAGTAAAAGTATTTGCTTAAAGTCTCACAGCATATAAGGGGAAGTGTATTTGAGGTTAGCTTCTTTGGACTTCAATGTCCATTTTACCCCATTGCACACGGATGCTATGGACAGGATCCCTAAAGGAGGCAGAGGCGAGAGTAGGCAATACATGAGTGATACAGGAACTCCTGTTCTTTAGTAATGTAGGGTCTGATTGTTCTAACCTTCAACTTCAATTCTTCAATAAGCTCAGAGCCTTTCCCACCAGTTTTACATTTACACCTTATATCCCTCTGACTTCCTAGTTTCTGCTCCTGAATCTATGCAGCATTCTTGCTTCTGAATCACAGCAGAGCCAAACACTAAGATCTCTCATCCTCTGTTTCCTAGAGCACATCAAGTCCTATTCAGAACGCGCTCTGTTAATTAACCTCATTGAAGACCTTGTGGAGGGGAGGGAGCACATGGCCCTCCACACTACTCCACCGCATCGCCTGGTTGCCTGATGCTGCTCTGACACTCCTTGGCATCCACTCCCACCATTTCCACTCTCTGACAGATAAACCTGCCTACTTTCTTTAGTTCCCTCAAAATCTGTGGGGAAAGACTTATCTCTTCATGCAAAAGAATCTCTTAAGCAGCAGCTACAATTTTTGATGACTTTGTAATAAGAATGTAGGCAAAACCTAATTGGTCTGTTGTGTGACGACAATAATTCTGGTGCAAGTTTGGCATAAGGATGCAACTGGAGCCAGGCAGACAAGTTAAGATCATTTCAACAGTCCATAAAAAAAAAAATAGATGAAGGAGTCTAAGCTCATTTACTGGTTGAGCTCTCAGTTCTCAAATAACTGCCTGGGACTGTTTGAAAGCCAGCTCCTTCTTTGCCCTCTATCCTGCCCTTCATTCCCCCAGTATGGGGTGAGGCTCAAGAGATGTTAATGCACTGATATAGTCACCACCGGAACAAGCCCTTGTAGTAACAGAAATTGAAAAGAGATTGAAATCTGCCATAGAGGTTGTTGCTGAGAGAAAGCCAAGGAAAGAGAGATAAACTTAGATCCATGAAGACAGATGAAGATTAAAAACAAGACAATAGGTGAAATAGAGAAACGGCACAAGGTTGGGCAACAAAGAGCAGATTAGATAAAGTGGCAGGCAGAGTGTGGTGAATCCATCATGTAAGGGGAAGACAGGTCCTGGAGGACACAGGACTCAAAATACAAATTCCTAAGGGCTGCGATGTTCCAGCTGCCCTTTCAGAAATGAGTAGGAAGACTCTAGCAATTCATAGCAGCCTGTTCTATGTCAGAATTCTTATCTCTGGGCAATGAAGGTGTAAGTTGGATTTCGGGAAAGAAACCAAAATACAAGTCTCTATTAGGGAGATAAGCTATTTCCCACACTCCAAAGAATGTGGCATCACTGTTCAAGCCCTGGGTGGTGAGTCAAGCCCCAAGACACAGGGGTATGATTTAAATGGGTGATGGAGCCACAGGTTGAAATGTGGGGGAAATACATGTGTGAGAGAGTAAGTCAGAGACACAAAAAGACGGGTCTAGAAAAGATATAACATCAGAACAGTAACCTCAATTCATAGACAGAAAATGCGGGGTGGGTAGTAGCTGCTGAGCCTTGTGGCAACACCTCACAGAAAGCTCTTCCATCTCCCCACTTTCCATGTCCACTGCCACAGCTGCTATATTTTACTTCTAGATAATCCCTGTTCCCACGGCTCCTCTTTTGCTCATTCTTTTTCATATTCACACTATAGCCAGAAGAATTGCTCAGATATGAGTGAAGACTTCCTGGAACAAGAAGTCAAAGAGTTCCCATATCTGCCTAACGTTTCTGCTATTATCTTAATGCAATCATGATAAAAAGACAAAACGTGGTATAACCATAAAAGCAAGGAAAATAAACCTGGACCATCAGCAGACAAGTGATGTCTAGAACTCTCTGGAAAACAAAAGGTGCATGAAAAACTGGATGGGATTGCATTCTCTTAGGTTGGTGCAAAAGTAGTTGTGGTTTTGCCATTCATTTCAGTGATAAAAACCGCAATTACTTTTGCACCAACCTAATCGAATATTTTAATGGTAATTAAAGCAGAAATGAGTGAAACTTTAAACAGAATCTGGAAGGGAGATTCTAGTTTTGGCAAACATAGGCCTTAGAGAAATAATAGTGACCAATTAAGATTTGTTAAGGTGGGGTACTTTGAAGATCTTAATATCAAAAAATGAAATCATACTATTCTTCTGTGTAAACAAAGATAGACATTCACTCCCAGGAAAAAAACAAAAACAGAAACTGAGGCTCTAGTATTTTCCATGCATGTAAATGAACTCTCTGAATGCAACTAAAACATGTACTACAGGAACCAATCTAAGCTACAATCAAGGTCTCTTTTCCATCGCTTGAAGTGAAGCTTGTCGGTAGAGTGATAAGACCAAAATAACAGAGCTCATCCACAATCATTTGATGCCTTATTAACACCTACATTAGAAAAATTGAGAGCCACCTCACATCTAGTGTATCAAAGAAAATCATCACAATCACAATCAATAAATAGAAAAACGTATGATAAAATGTTTGCATTTTTTTTTTGAGATGGAGTCTCACTGTGTCACCCAGGCTGGAGTACAGTGGCATGGTCTCGGCTCACTGCAACCTCCATCTCCTGGTTTCAAGCAATTCTCCTGCCTCAGCCTCTCAAGTAGCTGGGACTGGGACTATCGGTATGTACCACCACTCCCAGCTAATTTTTTTGTATTTTTAGTAGAGATGGGGGTTTCACCGTGTTGGCCAGGCTGGTCTTGAACTCCTAACCTCAAGTGATCCTCCTGCCTCAGCCTCTGAAAGTGCTGGGATTATAGGCATGAGCCAGGACACACGGGCTAGTTATAACTTTTTGTGTTCAAAAAGGTTCAGTTAGATAATGCATAAAACAAACACAAGATATTATACAAAAAGAACTCTCATGAAATAAGACTGCAAATTGATGGCAACAGAAATTAACCTTTTGTAAAACTTTTTTTGAGATGGAATCTTGCTCTGTTGCTGAAGCTGGAGTGCAGTGGTGTGATCACAGCTCACTGCAACCTGTACCTCCTGGGCTCAAGCAGTCCTCCCACTTCAGCCTCGGGAGTAGCTGGGACCACAGGTATGCACTACCAGACCCAGATGATTTTTTAATTTTGTAGAAATTAAATGTCTTGCCATGTTGCCCAGGCTGGGAAATTACAATTTAAGTAGATGAAATAAAACATAAAGATTAAGAAATCTTTCATATAGAAAAACCCCAGTGAAGAGACTGGAAAACATGAGCTAAAGGATGTGTGGTATGGAGGATCAATTTTAGGAAGCTTAGTTATATGCTTCTATAACTAAGAGGAGTTCCAGAAAAAAAGAGAAAAGTTTAAAAATATCTAGAGATGGAGAATGAAATTATCAATGAAATTTAAAAAAAGGAAGTCTCCAAGATCAAAAAGACCGTGAAGCTTAAATGTGAATTGACCTAGCAAACTTTTAACACAAAGAATTTTTAAAAGTCAAGCACCTACTCATTATCTTCTTCAAATTTAAGAACACCAATGATAAAGACAGGATTCTGAAAGCTTTGAGAGATAAGAAAATATAACCAGTTTCCTCCAAAGCAACACAAATGAGATTGGCATTAAATTTCTCTTTGGCCAGAGTGATGCAGAGAAGATAGAAGATTTCAAAGAGCCAAGGGGGTCTCCCTGGCAACCTGCAACGAATTAAGAAGCAATCGTATGTGTGAGAAAAAAGTCAAATATGAAAGTAGTGTAAAATATAGGTTGCTTTCTGACAATGTTAATTGAGGAAAAAAATCAAACAGAAAACACCAGGAGACAGAAAATTACGGAGCATTAGATAGAATAGAGCTAACCTAGGAGAATAATGAAACTGACGTCAGGAAAACAGCAATGCAATAGGCTAAAAATTCAAGGTGGTTGAAAGAAGCACAGGGAGCCAATGGCACTCAAGGAGAGGACATCTTTCAGAATAGAAAGGGAAGATGCCAGCAACAGGGAAGATGGATGAGAAGAAAAAACTAGGTAGGTGATGAAACCAGCATTTATTTCCCCTCCCATCAAGAAAAAGGCAAGAAAATCAGGTTTTCCAGGGAAATTCAGGTTCAAAACGTGAAACAAACTAAAAGGTGGCAGAAATTTGAGAAGTGAGAAATACACACAGGAGACTTCTCCTGGACACCATATTGTATGAGTGGTGTCATTGTAATCAGATTAGGTCATTAGGCAGAGGAAGTATTAACTTTGTAGCATTCCAGTGAAGAATATCTGTGGTCAAAATTATATGAATATAAATATTCCTTATCAGATTATAAATTTTAGAATAAACATGTAGGTAAAACTATGGGTGACTTACTTACGATTATAGAGCAGAATATGAACTTTTGGCCTCTTCTTTCATGCATCTTGATGATATGTAAGTTACGGCACAACCGAGAAACATTAGGAGCCAGGGCAGGCAGGAAAGGGACCTACAGAAAACTGACAGTCTCAATGCTGACTCTAAAAACAAGGAATAAATATTGCTAGGATATAGAAAATTGAAGCTACAGTATGTTATTCAAAGTTACATATTTTATTAAAGTAGAACTAAAAATAGCTAAGTAACTTTCAAAATTCCAGAGCAGAGTGAAGAGAGCATTGCTGTGTACATGAGCTAAATTGTAGACCTTTGGCGCTCTCACTGCACCATTATTGCTGACCATTAATTTGCAAATAAAAAGACTGGTGCATGTTTATGCATATGTAGATAACTACCAAAGAAATCTAAACTCAATGCGAAAACAAAGCTAGCTGTCTTTAGGCGTTATTCTGAGGGTGATGTATAGTTTTCATTGAGATATCTTGAGGGCAATGAACGCATGAGGGTTTGAGACAAAAGATTCTTCAATTTCTTTTTAAATACTTCATTTCATTTATGTACTTATTTGTTTTTGTAAGGGGAGGCAAAGGGTTGAGAAAATGCTGGAGGATCCAGTTGTATTTTCTAAGCAGAGGTTAGTAACCAAGGTGATACAGGCGGCTCAGTACTCCCGTGGCCATTTCTGCTTTCTTCCCACCACAGCCACTGCCTCCCCTTGTGCCAGAATTACATTATTTTGGGAAGTGGCCCAAGTGCTTTTGATGTGCATGATTAACATTTAAAATAATAATGCCAACTCGTTTTGTAACTCATAACCAAATAGCTCTCTCTTACACCCTGTGACCTGGTGGCTAAGGAATGCCTGGGCTTCCTGAGCCTGTGAATGAGGGAAAAGGGAGCTGCAGCCTCAGGTTCTGCATACAGAATGAGTGTCCATTAGGCTCATTAATTCATGAGCACTCTTTATTTTAATAGTCTTAGGGTGCCTTGGCGTTAAGGTCACCTTTAGTTTTAAGCTGACATTTACCTCACACCAAAATTAATGAGCTTTCAGAGACAGTTCAAAAAATGCAAGAATCCCCTGAAAATGAGAAGCACTTTAGGGTCCAGAAAAGAATTACATTATTTTTGGCACAATAGGTCTGGCTAATGAAATCCACATTCAATCACATGAGTGGCAACTTGTCAAAGGATCATTTGTTGGCTTGTCCACTTAAGATAGGACCCTCTGTCTTCCCACACACTAATCTTTTCATAGGGGTATAAGGCTTAGGGCATAATTAGGAATATCTCAATCCCAACTAAGGAGGATTCTCTATCTCTTACTCCCAAAATTCACTGAATATGTAACAAATATCATCTAAGACAATATTGGAACCAGAAATATTATGAGGATTGAAACAGTGCAATTGTCAAAAATTAATTGGGCCAAAATTCAGCATTAAACACAGAAGTATAATCTACTTCTAAGTGGCCTAATATTTTGCACAGATTTTAACACCTAATTTCCTGTTTTATTTTGAGTCTTCTAACAATACTGGAAGTTCGGCAGGGAAGATATCCCTCTTAGTCTGTTCATGATGCTATAACAAAATGTCATGCAGTGGATAACTTATAAATAACAGAAATTTATTTCCCACAGTTCAGGAGGCTGAGAAGTCAAGGTTCGGGTACCAGCAGATTTGGTGTCTGGTGATTGGCTGTTTCCTGGCTCCTAGATGGCACCTTCTCTGTGTCCTCACATGGTAGAAGGGGCAAGTCAACGCTCTGGTGCCTCTTCTAATAAGGACATTAATACTTTTTATAAGGGCTCTGCCATCATTATTTAATTATGTCTCAAAGTCCCTACCTACTAATATCAAAACATTATGGGATAGAATTACAAAATATACATTTTAGGGATACCATCTGTCTCCCTAAAATGGTACCATAGAAGTATCTATACCATTTTAAAGGTGAGGAAACAGGAATATTTATTACTGTGAAGATATGGTGAGAATCTTCATACAAAGGTTCCAAAGTCCTCTTTTCACCTTTGAAATGAAACAAAAGAGTGAGGAATCCACTTGAGCATTGTCTTTCTTATTTAGGGCTTGCTGTGTGGAAACTAGGATATTGTCATGTCATTTCTTCTGCTTACATTTAACAAGTTAGAACGGATCTACTTCCCTTCTAGGTGCATTCGCATTCATATTTAAGACCTTTAAATGCAGTCATTTACTTGGGCCATAGATTCCAAAGAGAGTGAAGGGTGGCAGAATATGCTATCCCACATATACTACTTTTGCTCAAGGATTATTTTGAACTAAAGGCACTTAAAAATATAGCAGGTGCAAGAAAGGTGATCTGACCTTTTGCTTTTTCTTCCTGAAAGCAAGAGATAAAACTCCCATATGAAAGACATCATCCCAATACCAGAAACAGAGTAATTCTCTTAAAAAAAAACCATTTTAGGTTTGGGGGTACATGTGAAGGTTAGTTATATAGGTAAACAAGTGTCATGAGGGTTTGCTGTACAGATATTTCATGACCCAGGAGATAAGCCTAGTAGCCAATAGTTTCTTTTCTGTTCCCCCTCTCTTTCCTCCCACTCTCTGCCCCCAAGTAGACCTCACCAGTGTCTGCTGCTACCTTCTTTGTGTCCATGTGTTTTCATCATTTAGCTCCCACTTTAAAGTGAGAACATGTGGTATTTGACTTACTGTTCCTCTGTTAGTTTGCTAAGGATAATGCCCTCTAGCTCCATTCACGTTCCTGAAAAAGACATAATCTCATTCTTGTTCATTGTAGCATTACTAACAATAGCAAAGACACAGAATCAACTTAAGTGCCCATCAAAGACAGGTTGGATAAAGAAAATATGGTACATATACACCATGGAATGCTATGCACCCATAAAGAGAGACTAATGTTCTTATCATCAGCAATGGGAAGTTGAAACGGAAAGAATTCTGTACAAACGAATCTTGTTAAAAGAATTACCTTCCCTCAGCCTCCCCACATAGTTTAGTTATTTTCACACAGTTGTTGCTCCTTATTCAACTTAATATTAAAGCATTTAGGTTTTGCCACTTGTTTGGGTCTTCATTTCCTTAAAAGGGCTTCCATGTCATGTAAAACAACCTGTATGCTTTTTTTCCTGTTAATCTCTTTTATATCAGTTTAATTCTCAAGCCCAGCTGAAAATTCTTAGTGGGTAGAAAAGTAAAATTTTGCCTTTCCCACCAGGAATGAGTTTGTGGATCACCACCCAGATCCTCCTCATTACAAAGAAAAATTGCTCAGTGGAGTCTGGAGTGAGACAGGAGAGAGCTTCAGAACACAGATCCGTCACTCAGCCGTGCAACACTGGATGATCTCTTGGTTCTTTCTTCATTACCTAATGCTCAATTCCAAGTTACAGAGCTAATGCTTGTGACTTAGGGCATAGGCCTCAAATACCAGTTTTTTTCCTTCTCCACTGAAGGCAGTTCAATTGCACATTTATTTAAAAACCAAAATAGTGTCTTTGATCCTCTACCTATTAACTGAGTCCATAGATGGCTCTTTAAAAAACAGTCAATTAAAATTTGGTTCTGCATAGCTATGCTTAAACTGTTTCCCATGGAACTGTCTTTGAGTTTGGGGTTCAGGAATCTATTTGGCCTTTTCTACCCAAAGAAAAAAAAATTATCATCTTCATCTCTAATAAATGGCAGCACCTTAATTTATAATTCAAAAGGAGAAATAACACATATGTGGCTGTCAGGAAAGGGGAAACATTTTGGAAATGGCTTTTGTGAAAGATTATGAAGTCTACCTACTGTACCTTATCACTGCAGAAGGAAAATGATGTTTCTTTTGATCAAAACATGACAAGGAGCACATCAAAATCAATACATGGAGAATTTAATCCTCTGAGCTGTCAGAATCACAAACAGAGAAAGTGAATGTTAATGACAGAAAGGCAAACATGTTTATTGTGGAAAGGTTACTGCTGAGATGCCTGCCTACCCTCTTAGAAAAAGTAAAGAAAGATATTACTCAAGGACCATAAACCTTACTATCAATTTTTTCGTGAAAAAATTAAAAATGGTATTTAACATATCAAGTCTCCAAATCTGAAAGAAAGAATATATGTCCATGTCTTTATCCAAAAAATATGACAAAGGGTTTACACCTATATAAAATATGTTTTAAAAGTGTACTCAAATATTTATACATTTTTAGTGTATTTAAAAATATATGTAAATATTGGCAAATATACAGGAGTAAAGAAAGTGATATAATAAATCCCCATAAACTCACCAACTAGATATAAAATAAGTGTCATGATTTTGGCAATTTTGCTTTATTTCTTGTGTTGCTTTTCTTCTTCTTTTCTGCAATTTTTAATTGTGGAAACATTTAAAGCACAGACCAAAAGCCTCACTCACTCCTAGATATTTCTATAAAAATCCTTTAAAAGCATGGACTCTTTCTTAGGAAATCATAGCGACATTATTTTGCCTGACATAATTAAATATCATTTTCTAATATCATTTTATATTAGTCTATAATAAAATGTTTTAAAAATTATTTTTATCATTTTTTAAATCAGGATCCAAATTATAGATGACTTTAAAATGAAAAATTAACAAATAGTTTTAAAAAAATTCCAATAAGAGTATATTAGAGTGAGAAGTGTGGTCAAATATTCAACACAATTAAAGCAATATTAGGGTAATATTTATGTTATTAAGGCAATTCTTATGTTGTCAATGCAGCATATATTAATGTTTGTTTTTTAAAAAAAGTCTATGGTACCTAGCCTTGGTAAGGCTTTAGAGAGCTGAATACAGTTTTGCATTGCCAGGAGTGTGGTGCATCAGAGCAATTTTCTTAGATATGAGAGTATTATGATAGGTAATGGAAGTCAGAAGAAAATGTTCTTCACATTTAACATCACTCACCTACTGCTGGACACGTATTGTAAGGAAAGAATCTGGACAAAGTAAAATAAATTTTTAAAACATACATTTTCCTAGCAGTTTAATTTTTAAGGCAGAAACATAATGGGGAAAACAGGTGAACCTATAGCATCACGTAAGTTAAATAAATATTCCGTATTAACTCAAGGTTGCATTGTGTAGTCATTAAAATGATGAATATAAAGATTGATGGTAGTATGTACCCTAGAACTTAAAGTATAATAAAATATATATGAATTCCCACATGTTGCGGGAGGTAACTGAATCATGGGGGCAGGTCTTTCCCATGCTGTTCTTGTGATAGTGAATACATGTCATGAGATCTGATGGTTGTAAAAACGGGAGTCTTCCTCCACAAGCTCTCTCTTCTTGTATGCCACCATGTGAGACATTCCTTTCACCTTCCACCATGATTGTGAGGCCTTCCCAGCCACATAGAATTTGTAAGTCCAATAAACCTCTTCTTTTGTTAAAAAAAAAAAAAATTTGAACCAAAAAAAATAAATAAAAATAAAAATAAAGATTGAAAGGTAACATGGAAAAATTTAAATGCATAAAATTTTAAAAAAGAACACAAAAGTGTATGTATATTTTAACTGTATCTACATAAAACGTGTGGTAACATAGATTAAATATTGTAAGGCAACACATAAAAATGAAAGCAATTATATTAGAGTTGGAAGGGTAAAAGTAAGCATTAAGAAATAACAAGGCTTGTTCTTTTCCTACAATTCATTTAATATTACTCATTGTAGAGCATACAGGGAAGTTTAAAGAAACATACAATAATCACCAATAATCTCATCACTTCCAAATAATCACTATTTAGTATTTTGTTTTTTATGTGTGTGTGTGTGTGTGTATATATATATATACACATATATCTGTATATGTGTGTGTATATATATCTGTATATGTATATATATATCTGTATATGTGTATATATATCTGTATATGTGTATATATATGTATTTATATATATATAAAACACTGACATATCATGAGGGTTTTCTCACATAAATATTTTACATAAATTTATTTAACTGTTTCATATTATTAAGCAATTAGGTTGTTTATAATGCTTCCTCAGCAACAGTAGTAAGCACAGGAGTAGCCACCACAAAACCTGCATGGGCTCCATGCTGATGGCTACGGAAACCCTATGATAGGCATTTTTCCTCAGCCTCAGCACTATTTGCTTTCCCATTTTAATTATGTGGAATCTGAGGACCCATGTGAAGTGGTGTGCACAACAGAACTAACAAAATGTTGAGCCATGATTAAAACCTGGGTAAAATAAGTGGCAACTTCATGTTTTTTCCATCTTTCATCTATGATCAACCTTTACGTAAGTCTTAGTTTACATCATAAGTTAGGGGAAAAAGATCTTTGTAAATAATATTATTGGGTCAGCGACATTACATTTTGTCAGAGTTCTGTGGAAGCATTGCTAAAATGTCATCCAAAGCATCCTTGCCTTGTTGTATATGTATATATGCCCACACGTTAATTATTGTATATCATATTATGTAATGAATAATACAGATTTTTTAGTGTGTGTGTATAAATTTACATATATATGTGTGCATGTCTATATGTACATACAAAACTAATATTTTCTATTATAAATTACATATTTATATGTAGTATATAGTTCAGGAGACTATCACAAAATGTATAATTTATATAATATAAATTGTGTGTATGTGTACACACATATACATATATACGTATGTGTGTATATATATGTGCGTGTGTGTGTATATATATATGTATATATATATATATACATCCCTAAAATGCTAATAATGTTGGTGAAAATGTTACCGAAATGCCAGAGGTTTGGTTTCAGTCCTGGTGCTCACCGCACAGAAAGCCAATCACCAAGACAATGAGTATTTCCAGGGACGAAGGGTTTAATCAGGTGCTGCAGTAGAGCAGATGGGAGATCAGTCTCAAATCCATATCCCTCAGCAACTAAAATAAGGGAATTGTATATCAGAGAAGAAACGTTACTATGTGTGGGAAAACAGGAATGAGGGAGGGGTAAGGAAAAGGAGTTGGTCCACAGGCAGCCGGTGATCAGTTAGACAATCAAGACAGGTGAAGGGGTCTGGCGTCTCATTGTCCAGATGTGGTGACCTGCTAAGTGTCAGCTCCTTGATGTCATCTGGGAAGCCTGATGACTGGTTTCCTGAGAAAGGAATTTTGATAAGACAAATGCAACTTTCTCAAGTTTCAAGACCAGGAGGGTAAATTTCTATGTTTATTCAAAAGAGACCATGAATATCAGTTCTATGGGACGATTGGGCTTGTTTCAAAAAGCTTTGTCATGGTTGTCTTAATTTTTCTTTCTTTTGGTAGTAAGAATAAATGGTTTTAATGTGTTCATTGGTGTTTGCATTTCTTTTAATTATATTCCCTATAAAAAAGATTTAAACAGCATCATAAATAAGCATTGTTAGCAATTTCAGTTCCATTTCATTTTGTTTTTATTTATTTATTACATATACTAAATGTACGCTATGTAGATGCACATATGAAGGGATTCTTGATTTTTTTAAGTTAATTTACTTTATGTTATAAATATTAGAAAATGCAAATAGACCAAATATTTAAAAATGGATAAATATGACACGTGCTACACCAGCCATTGTGGAATAATTTATTAGACTAAGCTTTCCTATGAGGCACCTTGAATAGCAGCAGTGTTAGGTATTTTAAGTATTATGTCAAATGCCTAGTATTATATTTTCTGGATTATATCTACGGTCTTGCTCTGTCTCTCAGGTTGGAGTGCAGTGGGGTGACCATGGCTCACTGCAGCCTTGACCTCCTGGGCTCAAGGGATCCTCCCACCTCAGCCTCCGGAGTAGTTGGGACAGGCACATTGTTCCATATCCTGTTAATTTTTTTTTCTTAATTAGAGACAGAATCTCATTATGTTATCCAGGTTGGTCTCAAACTCCTGGTCCCAAGCAATCCTCCTTCCTTGACCTCCCAAAGTGTTGGGATTACAGGCATGAGCCACTGAGCCCAGTGATATTTGTATTCTAGAAGTTGAATTGCTGAGTCAAAGAAGTAAAAAAAGAAACAATGTTTAATTATTATTGGTAAATTGCCTTTCAGAAAGTTTAGTTTTTTAGTCCCCGACCAATTATTTATGAAAGTAATTATTGCCATATAATTTTGTGAAAACTAGATTTATTTTGGGATGAGGGGACAAAATTGACAGCTAAAAAATGGTATCAATCTGCAAAACTTTTTTTTTTCAGTTGATGGTGGGGACAAAGTTGACAGCTAAAAAGTGGGGACATTCTGCAAAACTTTTTTTTTAGTTGATGATAAAGCTAAACATTTTTGTACATAAAACCCTACTATTTCCTTTTTTGAAAAATGTGTATTTATTGTTTTGTTCATCTCTAATAATGAAGGTGTTATTTATTTATCAATTTGTACAAGCTGTTTAGGAATTTACAGTATCCCTCTTTATTTTGTCAATTTATGTAAGTTGATTTATTTAATATTTGATTTTGTTACTTAATATTTGATTTCGTTATTTAATATTTGATTTTGTTTTTGATGTCATTTAAAAGACTACATTAAAATATATAATTAATTATGTTCATATTATTTCCATTCTTTTATGTTTAGTAAATCCTTTCCCTCTTGTATCAAATAGGTGTTTCTCTTTGTTTTCCACTTTTATTCATTAATGCATCTAAAATTTATTTTAATCCTTAGTTTAAGCTAAATATATAATAGATCTTTTTTTAAATTACATTTTTGTGTTTCACTTAATTGGCTGGAATTTCCAGGCCGACGTTTAAGACTCAAGATATGTAGGACTTCACATAGTTATGTTCCTTATTTTAATTCCATTGGTGGTAGTATTAAATTTTGTTTATCATATGTGCTATTCCATTAGTAAGAATTTTTTTATAATGACAAGAGAATATCATGAAACTAAATATTTAATGGGATATGGATATTTGTTCTATTTTTTTTTTAAATTTTACTTTAAGTTCTGGGATACACGTGCAGAACGCGCAGGTTTGTTACAAAGGTATACAGAAGAATACCTGATGCATGTGGGGCTCAAAACCTAGATGATGGGTTGATAGGTACATTAATAAGAATTTTATACACATAGTTATATTGTTAAAAGTTGTAAAGGAGATTACAAGTGATTTCACTATGAGAGGCATTACTAGTGCAGACTCAAACTACCTGGATTATTTCTCCACGAACAGCATTTTCTGTGATTTACGAATTACTTAACTTCTCTCCGCTGTTAAGAGTGATAGCAAAGATAAACTCGGATAATTATGCAATTCAATGTGAGAAGAATGTCCCATGGAAAGTACAAGTAGCAATTGCTATTATTAGTAACTATTTGGCATACTCGTGATAAAATGTCAGCTTTCCTAGTATTGATCTCAATTTACAATGTTGGCTTGAAGAGTACTTGGTCATGATGACTTAGTATTGAATTCAACCTATTGTATTTTATCCTATCCAAAAATTGGATTGGTTTATATTTGTGGTAAAAGATTTCCTCGTTAGATTTGTTATGGAGGTTACAACAACACATTAAAATAAATTTAGAAACTCTGCATGTTTATATTCCAAACTATTTTATTTTTTGTTATTTCTTCTTCTTTTTTTTTTTTTTTTTTGATGGAGTTTCACTCTTGTCGCCCAGGATGGAGTGCAGTGGCATCATCTCAGCTTACTGTAATCTCTTCCTCTCGGGTTCAAGCAATTCCCCTGCCTCAGCTTCCCAAGTAGCTGGGATTACAGGCACCCACCACCACGCCCGGCTAATTTTTTGGATTTTTAGTAGAGACAGGGTTTCACCATGTTGAGCAGGCTGGTCTCGAACTCTTGACCTAAGGTGATCCGCCGGCCTTGGCCTCCCAAAGTGCTGGGATTACAGGCATGAGCCACTGCTCCTGGCCTGTATTATTTATTCTTATAAAGTTTGGAAGAATTTGTTAGTAATATTTGATAATAATATTAATAATGACACCTTATTAATATTATATTAACAAAAATATAAACAAAATTAACTGCTTGAAAATGATTTTTGTTCTTGCCAACATGAAATTTTAACATTTCTCAATTTCTACAAAGCATTTATGTGTATCTTAGCATGTTTTTGCCATGCTTAGGATATTTAAGACAAGAGAAGGAGAGAGATTTCCAAAACTATCTCTCCCTTCAGGGCTGGGGCCTGCCAGAAGTCAAGAGTAGGTGTCGGAGTCAAACTATGAAAATTAGGAACAGGATCAGTATCTCAAAGGCCAAAGATTCACGCACACAGAGCATTTCGTAATGCAGATCAATTGAAATAATTCAACAAAACTCTTCAACCATAACTCCTGGATATATTTAACCTGACATTGGTGCCAGAGTCCATGGCATTGGAAATGACACAAGGTTAAAGGTTGTGGGGAAAACTTGGGGGTGGAGTAGACAGCAGTATACAAAGAACAAGTGAATTGAGTGTGAATAGGGATGTGGAATCACAGTTCCTTGGACATTCTTACTCTGTGCAATTTTATGTCTAATTTCTTTTCTGACAAGTCCCGGATCCTTTTTATCGAACTAATTACTGCCCAAACATCATTATACCACTGAGGAACCCTTACAGCACATAAGTCAGTGTCATTACTTTCATTTTCCTTCTATTGAATTTAATATATAAGGATCTTAAACAACTCTGTTAAAAAAAATCTAATAATCTGATTTAAAATAGGCAAAATATCTTAATAGAAATTTCTCAAAACAAGATACACAAATGGCAAACAGGTATATGAAAGTGTGCTCAACATGATTGATCAACAGAAAAAACATTCTCAGTCTAAAACAAAAGCAAAACAAATACAAGTACTCAAAATTTATTCTGTGTGCATAATTTAATAACTTGTATTGAATATGTGAAAGTGTATTTCTGCATTATGCACTTGCAATCCCATTTGACCCAGGACAGTTTAGATTAGCCAAAAATTTCCATTATTGCCTTACTTGGTTTCGAAATCCCATTTCATATACTTGACCGGGGACTAGCTTTGAACACATCTTTTTCTTTGTATTGATGATACCACAGTCTCTGATTGTTTTGAACCAGTTAATGTTTCTTCTCAGTCTCCTTCATGGCTTATTTCTCCTCTAAATATTGGTGAGCTGGAGATTGAATCCAGCGGCCTGTTCTCTTCTCCACCTTCATTACCCTGCTAGTGATGCCCCAAGGCTTTCAATGTTGTCAGAAATGCCAGGGAAGCCCAAGTATAATCTCCAACCTAAAACACTTACTGGAGAAACTGATGTGGGATTCCAACAGCTGTATTCACTTAGCGTACAGCAGGCATTTAAACTTATTATGTGTAATATGGAACTCTTGACTTCTATATACCATCAAACATATTCCTGCCTTTGTCTTATCTATCTTGCTAAACAGACACACTAATGATCCAGGTATTAGGTACTGAAAACTAGTAATTCTTTCTAATGCCTTTTTCCCCCTTTATACTCCCACATCATTTTTTATCAGCAAATTCTGTAAGTTTCACACTGTAGGAACTGTCCAATAGTTTAGCAATCACCTCTTTTGGGGGTTGAATTATGTCCTTCTCTTAAAAGATATGTTGAAGTTCTAATTCCCAGTACTTGAAAATGTGAACTTATTTGGAAATCAAGACATTGACTATATAATTAGTTACGATACGATGAAGTCATATTGGAGTAGGGTGCATCCTTAATCCAGTATGCCCATGTCTTTATAAGAAGACCACCATGTGATGACAGAGAAACACAGGGAGAAGGCCATGTGAAGATGGAGTATTGGAGTGCTGCACCTGCCAGCCAAGGAACACCAAATGCTGCCGGCAAACCATCAAACACTAGGAAGAAGCAAAGATGCATTTCCCTTTGTTTCAGAAGGAGCATGGCCTCATGACACCTTGCTTTTGGGCTTCTATTCTTTAGGACTATGAGACTATCAACTTCAGTTGTTTTAAGCCACCCAGCTTGTAGCACTTCGTTACAGCATCCCTAGGAAGCTAACACACACCCTGCACAGAGTTCTACAGGGCCTGGCTCGTGCTTCATCTCTGAACTCATCCTGCACCGTTCTCTTCCTTCCTCACTGTGCTCCTGCCACGCCCGCCTACCTTCAGCTCCCTGAACATTCCAAGATGGAACATTCCAAGATTCCAACATTTCAAGATTGTCACCATGCTAGCTGCCCCCTGTGCCTGGAATACTCTTTCCTCAGATCTTTACGTGGCTGTCTTCACTTTTAATCCAGGTCTCCGCTAAGGGTCATCTCCTTATGGAAGCTTTAGTCATTCTCCTCTCCTAGCTAAAATACCAATCTGGTCTACTCACATGACTCTGCTTTATTTCCATTACAGAATTTCACTTTAATTTTTTTTTCACATGACTGTCTATGCCATCTACCAGGTGGTTAAGCAGCACAGGAGCAGGGACCTATTGTTGGTCACTGCTTGCTATAGTCTGAATGTTTGCATCCCATCAAAATTTATATGCTGAAATCATAATCCCCAAGGTTGTGGTATTTGAAAATGAGGCTTTTGGGAAGAACTCTCATGAATGGGATTAAGGCCTTTAAAAATAGGCCTAAGGGAGTTCATTCTCTCCTTTTATCCTGGGAGGACCCAGTAAGGAGGCACTACCTATGAACCAGGAAGCTGCTAATGTACCAGTCCAGAGCCCACATTTGCAGATGAAAAGAATGCTTCTGGGGGGGTGTGGTTTGCTGTGTCTAGGAATTCGCTCACCCTGGAAAAGCACTCTCTCATGGATTAGCAAGAGCTCAGATGCCAGAGCATCAAGAATACAGAAAGTAAGAAAGTAAGAAAACGTAGTCAATATTGTGTTAAGTAGCAACTTGTTATGATATTTATTTGCTTGTCCCTGATAGACACATTTTTTTCATAAAAACTTGGTGAATACTTTCTTTATGTCAGGCATGATTCTCAACACAAATGATATAGCAGTATTTTAGTTTTTTCAGGCTGTCAAAACAAATGTCATAAACTAGGTAGCTTATCAATAAGTGTTCTGGAGGCTGGACACTCAAGATCAAGGCACTGGTAGATATGGTTTCTGGTAGAGGGCCTGCTTCCTGGTTCATAGGAGGAGGCATTCTGGTTCTGGGATATTCTGGCCATTACACTGCAGAAGGTAATTATCTCAGAACCAGATACCAGACAACTAGATACAATCTCTACACTCCAGAAAGAGGCATCCACAATTATTCAAACTAGCCAATGCTAAGCCTGCTTACCTTGGCTTGCCTTGCCTTTCCCGTGGAAATCACAATAATGTCTACTTTTCAAGCTTTTCTGTTGCCCCTTCTGTATTCTGACCACTTCTGGTGTTTCACCATGTGACCTGGTGTGGCCTGCATGCCTCCTCTTGGGAACTGTAAGTAATAAACCATTGTTTAAATGTGACAGTTGTCTCCTGATCCGTTGGCTTCACCATCTCTAACAAATAATAAAACCTAAGTTTTAAAATTCAAACCCACTGGAATTGCTATAGTTAAAAAGTCAGTAAGAAGAGTTGGCAAGAATGTAGAAAAATTAGAACCCTCATACAATGCTGGTGCAAATATAAAATGGTGCAACCACTTTGGAAAATAGTTTGTCAGTTCCTCAAAAACTTAAACATAGAGTTACTATTCCACCCAGCAATTAATTGTACAGTATATTGATTTTATATCAATAAAGCTGTTGCAAACAAAAGTACATAATAGTAGTTAATATCTATTTAAGCATTGGTATGTACCATTTTGAGCACTTTATATATACTAACTCAGATGTTCTAGCCCTTGAATCTGAGCTCTGAACCACCTTGTTATACTGCCTTCGTGTATATTCTTGCCTCTTTAGCTTACTGATTGTATCAGATGAGAAAACATCACTGAATACTGAAGAAGAAACCACAGTTCAAGGAGAGGGACTATGCTAGCAACTGTACCAAGTAGCGCTACTATACAGGCTTGATGAATAAGTAGAATTTAGAAAAATGCAAACAAATATTCTAATGTGTACATTCAGATAAATTACTGGAGCTACTACATTGTCCAAATAAAAGTAGGCTTTTATGTAAAAAGAGCATTATGAAAAGCATCAATAAAGATGACCAAAATTAAAACAAAATGTAACTACAAAAGATATATCCCAGAACTCATTCAGTGGATGAGAGGTAATGTTGAATACTAACCACAAATATCCCACATACATCTTTTATATACGTTATAGGAGAAAAAGGGGGCGAAAAGTTATTGTTTAATTCATTGTTTGATAATGAATTATAAAAATTGTAAATAAATGCAGGAGACAAAAAGAATGAATAAACATATTAAATCCAATAATTATCAAAGTAGAAACATAAAAGCCACCAATAAACATTAATAAACATTAATCAATTGAAAAGAAAAACAGATGTTGACTGAAAATATGACAAATCAGTCATTAAAGAAAAACAACTGTACCTTACATAACTTAGACTCTCATATTCTGTGAATTAATATGTATCTTTGCACTTATTATAATAATCATTAGAAGCAAAATGGCACATAAAGGTTGAACCAAACAGACAATTAAATAAAGATTTTCAGTCTAATAAAAACTTGACAGAAAAGAAAGCAGGTGTGATTATATTTATAACATAGAAAGTAGCTTTTGAGGTGAAAATCATTACAAAGGACAAAAAGGATATTTTATAATCACGAAAGGTAAAATTTCTAAAAAAGATATAACAGTCATGAGCCTTTTTGCACTCCAAAATATAATAGTGAAATATGTAAAGTAAAACCGGCTAGAATTGTAAGGCAAAATTGAAAAAAATCATACTTATTGTAATGAAGAATTTTAATATACTTTCCTATGCTTTTAATACCTTGGTATATTAAAGAGTAGTAGAGTAATAGAAGAAAAAACTACTTAAAATGATAAAGGAATAGAGATTTTTTAAATACAATATGCATCATATAATATAAAATATATGCCAAATAGAAAATCAGCATCATTTCAAGAATACAGACTGTAGTTTAAAATGTTAAATATTTAAAATTTTTAAAATGGGAGAGGCTGTGTATTTGTGAAGGGAGGGAGTATGTGTGAAATCTCTGGACCTTCTGCTCAATTTTTTTGTGAACCTAAAACTGCTCTCAAAAACAGTCTATTTTAAAAGTGCTAAAATAGAAATATAGAAATGTCTCAGATTCTTGACATAGTTCAATACAAGAATCTAAACATGAAACAAAAGTACCAAATAATATTTAGCCCACAACAAAACAAGTATCTCCTGTCTAAATGACAAAATCAAGGTTCAAATTAAAGACTAGATATAAAAACAAACACAATAAAACACACAACACAGATGAATGAGGGAAAAATGATATTTAAAAGCAGATTCACAGCCTTAAAACAATACTGCCTAAACTCTATCATGCTTGACAATAAACCCCAGCTGTTTTTTTGTTTTTGTTTTTTGAGACGGAGTCTTGCTGTGTAGCCCAGGCTGGAGTGCAGTGGGGTGATCTCAGCTCACTGCAAACTCTGCTTCCTGGGTTCATGCCATTCTCCTGCCTGAGCCTCCTGAGTAGCTGGGACTACAGGCGGCCGCCACCACACCTGGCTAATTTTTTGTGTAGTAAAGACAGGGTTTCACCATGTTATCCAGGATTGTCTCCATCTCCTGACCTTGTGATCCACCCGCCTTGGCCTCCCAAAGTGCTGGGATTACAGGTGTGAGCCACTGTGCCCAGCCACCCCCAGCTGTTTTGATTTTGCAGGTCTGGTTTAGGGTCTTGGGAATGTATCTCTTTAACAACCAGCAATATTGACTCTGATGAGATGGTCCATGAGTAGCCTTTTCAGAGTCATCAGGAATGGAGAAAACTATAATGAAGAGAAAGATATATGCCTCATCTTTCCTAAATCCTGGTAATGATTCCCAGAGTCACCTTCCTTCAACTCTTTCTGGTTTCAGCTCTTTCTGGCAGCTCTCAAGACAACTCCAGAAGGCACCTTGAATTTTTTATTTAACATACTTTGAAATATATACTGCTTCCATCCTATTTTCTGGATGGATGGTTGGATGGATGGGTGGATGGATGGATGGATGGATGGATGAAAGAATGGATGGACAAAGATGTACCGAGAAGTGACTTCTGGGCTGGAAACATAAACTCTGCAGTAATAAGCCATGAAAGCCCATGGAATCACCTAGGGAAAGGTACTAATGGAGAGGGAAGCTGACCTGTCCTTAAACACCAAGGAGACTAAGAGGAAAGGGCTACTAAAAGAGGATGTGGGTGTTTTAAGATCTAAAATGTCAGTAATATCAATTGCTACTGACGAATAGACTAAATTGAGAACACAATTGTGTCTTTTGTATATGAAAATGCAGAGGTCACTGATGTATCTTAACAACAAAAAAAAATGAAAATAAACAAAAATTCTAAACAAGGAACAGTAGTAAACTTCCTGTGTGCTTGATAAGCTGGAAAGCGAGGAAGAACCATGTGCATAGAAGTCTGGCTGTGAGGAGTGCAGGGAGGAGGCTCTGTTCTGAGCCTTTTTAGCATCACCGTGGCTTGCACAGAGCTGGGAGGAGGCAGACGGAGTGTTCAGTAATATTTGCTGAATCTTGAACTGAGGGAAAGTGCAGTTTCTCCCATTATTTTCTTCAAAGTATTAGTGCCCACGTTCTTACCTGAAATAAAATAAGCGATTTATTTAATTTGAATAACATTTATTGAACATTCATTATGTGGAAAGCACTTATTCCAGCCACTATTACAGCATGCTATTTTTATTTCATGTGACCCTAGGAATTTGGGTTAAAGAGGAAGTTTCGTTCTGTAGCAGAAGGTCATCTAATAACAGAGGCATAATGGCCACTTAAGTACATTATGAACTCAAAGCTCATGATACAGCTGACCTTTGGCAGACCCCACATTCTTCCTGAGGAGGAAGAAGGAGAGACTCTTGCTGAACTCCTCGGATCCAAGTAAGCATCTGAATGCTGAACATTAATATTTACCATGGAAACTGCCAACTCTCATACTGTACTTAGCTTTTCTTATCGAATCTCTCAGGGGGACAATGAGGACTTTGGTTCACTGTGAATGTTTCAGCGAAACTCCATTCCCCATATAGGCCCTTTCAAAGCAGAAACATAGCTCCTGGAGGGAATCGTGCAACTTCCTTAAAAGACGCATCTAAACTTGCTAATACAGATGCTTGTACAAAAGGGTTGGGAGTGAAAAGGTCACTCATTAAAGCATTAAATGTCTGACCTTTACTTTTTGTTCTAAATTATCCTGTGATTGTACAGTACAGTTCAGCAATACAAAAAGCACTTATTGTGAGCCTATTAGAATGCCTACGGATGGAATCTTGCCCAGTGCTACAGCAGCAGGTAGCTACATTTAATGTTTTTATCTGCATTTTATTTGGCATTACCACTGGGAAATGAAATGCTAGAAATATAATTTGCTGAAAGATCATTTTATTCAAGATTTTAGTAATGGTACCTATATAAATATCTTTCTCTTAAGGAAAAGAAAATAACGCAGGCAGTGAGGAGAAGGGACTTTTCACTAGGCCACCAGATTTGTTTGCCCTGGATTCTGGTGTTAACTCATTTATTAATAACCAACTGAATTCATCTTCTTAAAGTTTTAAAATCATCTGCTTTTTAAGATTTCATTCTAAAAGTTTCTTTACCCATTGATTTAACCTGAAAATCTTTGTATCTTCCTGATTCTTCTCCACGTGATGGTTATGTCTCTTGAAACCCATGAAACCCTAAATTAGGCCTCCCTGGTTCAGAACCAAAAGATTTAATTACCAAGACTTTGTAATTAAACTCAAAAATTAGGCATGTAAAACATCATCCTTCTCTACCTCAAACTCCAAATTCCTAGCTTCTCTTATTAAAGAATTAAGAATATATTACTACAGAGTTTGAAGAATTTTCCTTTGACTCATATTTACTTTTAACCTATATTAATTCTTGAGCCTTATGATTTTAGCAAATTTATTCCCAGTTGCATAAAGGAGTAGAGGCAGAGAACATTAAAGCTGACTTTGTGGATGTACCAATTAGCCTTTGCTGTGTTTCAAACCATCCCAAAACTCAATGGCTGAAAACAGCCAATATGAACATGTTTTATGATCCTGGGCTGGATTGGCTGGGTCTGGCTGACCTAGGATGGCCTCACTGATGTTTCTGAGACCCCAGATGGAGATACGGGGCATCTCAGGGGGTGAGTTCAGGTTTGATTTGGTGGTGCCACAGGGCATTCAGTAGCAAGAGTGCAAGCAACAGTATGTAATGATTTTTCAGATTTCTGTTTACACTGTATTTGCTAATGTCCCACTGGCCAAAGAAACTCACACTGACAATATGAACACTCTCAGGATCAGTGTGAGAAGAACCTTCAGAAAAGCATGGATACAAGGAAGGAAATAAAGATGCCGTTATATTGACACATACAATTATAATCTGTCAACTTATAAAATTAAAAGAAGTTACAAAAAATAAAAAGAAATAAATAAGGGAAATTGGAATTTGTGGAGGGCACTATAGCTAAGCTCAAAAATAGTCCATAGTATTTTGCTAGGGAACATATAGGCACTACTGTTTTTGGAGAAGGTAGATTCAATAATCAAAGAAAATACTAAAAGATATTTCTGTTGAAATTACTAAACTGCTTAAAGCAGTCAGATAATATGTAAACAAATGAGTGTAGCTATGTTCTTTTTTTTTTTCTTTTTTTTTATACTTTAAGTTCTAGGGTACATGTGCAAAACGTCAGGTTTGTTACATATGTATACCTGTGCCATGTTGGTGTGCTACACCCATTAACGAGTCATTTATATTAGGTATATCTCCTAATGCTATCCCTCCCCTAGCCCCCCACCCCCGAGAGGCCCCAGTGTGTGATGTTCCCCTCCCTGTGTCCATGTGTTCTCATTGTTCAACTTCAACTTATGATTGAGGGCATGCCGTGTTTGGTTTTCTGTTCCTGTGTTAGTTTGCTGAGAATGATGGTTTCCAGCTTCATCCATGTCCCTACAAAGGACATGAACTCATCATTTTTTATGGCTGCATAGTATTCCATGGTGTATATGTGCCACATTTTCTTAATCCAGTCTATCATTGATGGACATTTGGGTTGGTTCCAAGTCTTTGCTATTGTGAATAGTGCCGCAATGAACATAGGTGTGCGTGTGTCTTTATAGCAACATGATTTATAATCCTTTCGGTATATACCCAGTAATGGGGTGGCTGGGTCAAATGGTATTTCTAGTTCTAGACTCCTGAGGAATTGCCACACAGTCTTCCACAATGGTTGAGCTAGTTTACAGTCCCACCAACAGTGTAAATGGGTTCCTATTTCTCCACATCCTCTCCAGCACCTGTTGTTTCCTGACTTTTTAATGATCACCATTCTAACTGGTGTGAGATAGTATCTCATTGTGGTTTTGATTTGCATTTCTCTGATGGCCAGTGATGATGAGCATTTTTTCATGTGTCTGTTGGCTGCATAAATGTCTTCTTTTGAGAAGTGTCTGTTCATATCGTTTGCCCACTTTTTGATGGGGTTGTTTGTTTTTTTCTTGTAAATTTGTTTGAGTTCTTTGTAGATTCTGGATATTAGCCCTTTGTCAGATGAGTAGATCACAAAAGTTTTCTCCCATTCTGTAGGTTGCCTGTTCACTCTGATGATAGTTTCTTTTGCTGTGCAGAAGCTCTTTAGTTTAATTAGATCCCATTTGTCAATTTTGGCTTTTGTTGCCATTGCTTTTGGTGTTTTAGACATGAAGTCCTTGCCCATGCCTATGTCCTGAATGGTATTGTCTAGGTTTTCTTCTAGGGTTTTTTATGGTTTTAGGTCTGACATTTAAGTCTTTGATCCATCTTGAATTAATTTTTTTATAAAGTGTAATGAAGGGATCCAGTTTCAGCTTTCTACATATGGCTAGCCAGTTTTCCCAGCACCATTTACTAAATAGGGAATCATTTCCCCATTTCTTGTTTTTGTCAGGTTTGTCAAAGATCAGATGGTTGTAGATGTGTGGTATTATTTCTGACGGCTCTGCTCTGTTCCAAAATGGCCACACTGCCCAATGTAATTTATAGATTCAATGCCATCCTCATCAAGCTACCAATGACTTTCTTCACAGAACTGGAAAAAAACTACTTTAAAGTTCATATGGAACCAAAAAAGAGCCCACATTGCTAAGTCAATCCTAAGCCAAAAGAACAAAGCTGGAGGCATCACACTACCTGACTTCAAACTATACTACAAGGCTACAGTAACCAAAACAGCATGGTACTGGTACCAAAACAGAGAGTGTATCTATGTTCTAATAAAACTTGATTTACAAAAAGAGGTGTTGGGCCAGATTTTGCCTGCCTACTGTGGTTCATCAACCCTTGTCATAAGTACCCATTTCTAAAACTATTGTTTCACAAGAAATCAAGTCAAAACTTTATGATTTATATCAACAATGTTTCTCAGTTTTGGTGGGTAAGAAAATGGGGAGGAGGCTAGGGGAGAATTCTGGCTTAGAGTTTCTTCTGCACTTGCAGTGGCTGGAGGTGTTGCAGTTAGAGGCTGCCTGTGCACATAAGCTAGATCAGGTTTCCTCCTACCATGGTGGCACTGGTGGTGCTGTACTGCTTAAAGGGTAACTAAGGCTCTTGTGGGTGTTCCAGTTGGCAAAGAATATGCTAAAGAAACTCACATAGCAACACTTCTACTGTGTTCTACTCAACATAAAGGCCACTCACAATCAAAGGAATGGAAATTAGACTATACTCTTTGATAGGGAAGTGGTAGGTTTCTAGAAGAGAATGCGGGATGGAAGGAAATGTGACTTCCGTCCTTGGAAAATACAACTGCAATGCACCAAGCAGGGGAAGCAGGGGCATGGTGATCAAAGGTGAGCAGATGACAAATAGAGCTAAATCTGGAAACCTACCAGACTGTCAAGCAAAAGGAGGAGCACACATTTTGCATTCAAAATGTATTCGTTATCCAAAACCAATTAGGTGTCAGATTTAAAAAAGTATTGTTGCACATTACTTAATAATTTTTATTCTGATTCCTTCCAGTAAAATGATTCTATATCAATCTCTCATTGGGTTTCTCCTAAGCATCTCTTGCAGAAAATAATAGGGTTCTTATAGTTCCTAACAATAGAAGGCCTTAAATAATTGGTAGCTATGCTTATTAATATAATCTCTCATACCAGCCATAATGTCAAACAAATTAGTTCTACTACGTGATCTAGCGATTTGAATTTGGGTTAAGAGTAAAATAATTCAGGGCTGGGTGTGGTGGTTCATGACTGTAATCCCAGCACTCTGAGAAGCCGAGGCTGGTGGATCACCTGAAGTCAGGAGTTGGAGACAAGCCTGGCCAACATGGTGAAACTCCGTCTCTACTAAAAATACAAAAATTAGCTGGGTGTGGTGGCAGGCACCTGTAATCCCAGCTACCTGGGAGTCTGAGGCAGGAGAATCACTTAATCCCAGGAGGCGGAGCTTGCAGTGAGCCGAGATCGCACCATTGCACTCCAGCCTGGGCAATAAGAGCAGAACTCCATCTCATAAAAACAAAAACAACAACAACAAAAAGAGTAAATTAATTCAAAGAAAATACCTTACTGTTGAGTCACGGAATGAGAGTCAAATTGATTTGGGCTCAAACCCTGGACTTTCTCAAACATAAATAGAAATGCTAAGTGCCTGGCACAAAGGAGTCACTTAAAAAAATAGACATCCCTCCTTTCTTCAGTAGAGACAGCAGGTATAAATTAAAATAGAACTTCCCAGTTATAAGCATCAGACTATTCTTTTTAACACATCTCTGGGTGACTACCTACCTTTTACAAAGGGTAAGAGTTTCTCAGTATCTAATATTATTTCAATTAAAGCATGCAAAATACCTTTAAATATAAACAGCAATCTAAAAGCTATGTAATAAGAACAGTAGTAACATTTTATAGTTTTGAATAGCATTTACATTAAACAGAAGGAAAGTAAATGTCTATAAGACACAAAAGGATGTATGGAATTTTGTCACGTCCAGAAAAGGCTCCCATATACTTCTTTCATATATGTATTATAATAATTCTACAAAATATAAATTAAAATCACATTTCAACTCTAAACTGATGATGCTAGAATGAATGTCTCCCGGGCCATGTCTTTCCATAGGCCAGATCCCAATTCTCGCTGATTCTAGGACATTAACACTTCAACATTGCCTTGGTTCTTCAACTCAAGAACATCAAAACAAAACTTATAATTTGTTCCTGCAAAACCATGTATCCTGTAGATTCCCCCATATTTCCTTCTGTTGGAGTAGAAACATCCAGGCTGGACAATAGGGAATCATCTTCAGTTCTTCCCACCTCCTTGGCATCAAAATACTGTGTCACCAAGATCCTTTAAGTATGACTTTACAACAGCTTACTTATCCCACTCAATTTCTTGATCTATAAAATGGTAAGCCATTATATCTGAATCTTAGTATACTGAGAGATTTTAACATAAATATGTATTAACATTTTTAAAAAAGCATTTTCTGCATCTGTGAAATTTAAACAGAATTGTGTTTCTTTAATCTATTAATAATCAATTTTCTAATATTGAACCATTCTTGAAATTCTGGAATGAATCTTTTGTTATGATGGATAAAATATTTAATTTGCTATTGGATTTTTTATTGCATTTGTTAAGAATTTTTGAAATTGTCCATAAGCAAGATTAAATTTTAACCATCTTTTTTCTGGTGCTTTTTTTTTCAGATTTGAAAGTATATTAGTGCTCACCTGATAGAATGATTTTGGATGCTTTTTCCTTTTTTTCTTATTTTTTTAAAGAACAAATAGTGGTAGATAATTCTAATGGTTTCACTGGAGTTCTCTGATTATCAAAGGTTTGTAGCATTTGCCTGTGAAATTATTTGGGCCTAGGGTTACGATGGTGTGACTTCATAAATAGTAACTTTCTGTCATTATAGAATCAGATTTTGAAAGTGTTATTCTTTTTAAATTTACTTGATTTCGATTTTTATACTTATTTGAATACAGTTGTGCCACCTACGCTCTTATGAGTTTTAAATTTTCTTATGTTTTGATGGTTATTCTTTATGGGCATGTCATATTTTTGTATGTGAGCTTTTTCTTGATTAGTTTAAATAGTGGGTTTTTTTGCTGTTTTTTCAATTTATTTTAAAAACCATCTTTTGGACTTATGTATTAATTACACTATTTTCTTCAGCTTTCTGATTACTCCTTGCTTTTGTCTTTAATAATTGTATATCTGCTAATTTTTTAATTTTTGGTTTTTTTTAGCTTATTGAGTGGAAGTTTGATTTATTGATATGCTTATGTAATTATTCACACACATCTGATTTGGTTGTATTCCACATACATGGATTTGTATCTATTGTAACTTATCATTTTTAGCCTATAATTAAGATTGATTCAAAAGTTATATAATGGCGCTTATCTTTGAATTTCTAGCCTAAAAGTTTGGAAGTTTTTTTAAAAAAATTATCATTGGATTCCAGTTTATTTGATGTTACCAGACTTTTAACATTTATGAAATCTTATTGATTATATAATTTAGGTTTTCTATGATCTTTCTAATTTTTTTAACATTGCATCTGCCTGAGACAGAAAAATGTGTTTTAAAGTTTCCCATTAAGTTTTGATTTCTTGTTCTCCATACATGTTTTTCTTATGAGAGCTATCACTGTTTTAACTGTATTCACAAGTATGAATAACTGGTATTCATGGTAAACTTTAGACTTTAGCCTTATTACATCACTTTTATATCTTTTTTTAATGTTTTCTAGTCTTAATTATACAACGTTGACAGATACCAATATTGTGATTTTTGTTTTGTTTTTATTTGTATTTGCCTGTTATGGCTTGCTTATTTTTTAAATGTTTATGAATTTCTGTTTTTATTCCCATGTTGAATTTTGCTTTGTTAGTCAACATGAAAATGTTTACACTTTCTCTTTAAAAAGAGAAAATATTTTAAAATAAGCCTATTTACACAATTTAGGTTTATTTCTCTCAAATTGTGGCATATAATGTGATGTAGGGTGTGTGCATTTATGTGAGTGTGTTTTATTTATACAGCCCTCCACTCTGTGGTCTACCTCCTAATGTTCATTTTTGGTTTAACTGTTGATATTGAAAAGTCTTTTTGTTTTTATTTTATGCTCATGATTACTGTTGTGTTCAATACTATTGAATAATAACTGTGGTTCTCTCTTTTGTGGGGGAGGGTGCTATATTCCTTGGGTTTTCTACTGTGAATAAGATTAGCTGATACTCTTTCTTATTAGTTAATAACCTCTCTTCCCCATCCCTCTTCCTCAATAGCTAATTTCAAGTAATATCTTATTATTCCCAGTTATTTTCTGTAAAGTGATCTGGTGCTTATTCATGTTTTCATATACTCTTCCCAATACCCGTTCCCTTATTACGTTTACATTGTAAAAACATATAGTCATTAAATGTCCTGAATCCATTACAATTACAATTTAATTTTATTACTGTAGAGTGGTACCCATTTAATGCTTGGTGCAAGTCCTTATGCCAATATGACCACTGTCATCTTTGTTGCCCCAGTTTGTTTTTTAGTAGATTCTTTGACAATATTACAACAAACACATTTTCTAAGCTTTTGTGTGTTCAACAACTTTTTTCTGTTTCCTTTATATGTGAAGATCCATTTGTGAGATGTAAAATCTTTGACTCACATTTCTGGTCGTTGAGTACGTTAAATTGTATAATGTACTGTCTTCTAGCACAAAGCATTGCTGTAGAAATGTCTGAAGACAGTTATTTCCTCTCCTCAAGCTTAAATAATTTCACAAAAACATATCATGACTTTGTTTTTTTTGGGTTGAAATTCTAAGAAATGTGGTATAACATTTTAGTGTAAATTTTTCCACTAAATTGCCAGAAAGTTTTCTTAATTATAGCCTTAAAATATATTTGTACATTTTCTAAATTTATTGCTTTATATCTTTTTTCATTTTTTTATTTTTATAAAAGCCTCCTCCTTTGCTTTTTCAATTTCTTCTGAAGCATCTTCTGTGTTGAAATGATACTTGTATTTTAGTCTTCATTTCTTAATAAAATTAATTATTATTTTTTGGCTTTTTTAGCTTTCTTTTTAATCTTCCCTTTCTCCTTTCACTTTTTTGAGAATTTTTTTTCTAATTCTGATTTGTTTTGTCTTTCTGTAGCTTCTGTCATTTCCTTCATCTTATTTAGCTAGATTTGAAATATTAGATTAAAATTTTCATCTATCATTTTAGATTGCTTTTATTATCAGTGGGAGAATTACTCTGCCTTTTTTTCTTATGATAACTTGGAGTGAAAGTCAAAGAAGAGAATATTGTCTGAAATTCATTTTAAGTTAAATAAGTTTTCTTGCACATTTAGGAAGAATTGGGCCAAGGTAACTTCTAGTTTAACATCTTTAAATTTCCCTCTTCTGTTGTTTTCATGAAGTGATAAAAATATTATTCTCATTTTCTCTCTCTTCTCCTTCACTTTTAGGAGGATCTTCTCTTTCCTTTGCATGTAGTGTTCCCTTTTTTTTTTTTTTTTTTTTTGAGACAGAGTCTCACTTTGTCACCCAGGCTGGAGTGCAATGGTGCAATCTCAACTCACTGCAACTTTTGCCCCCCAGGTTCAAGCAATCCTCCTGCCTCAGCCTCCTGAGTAGCTGGGACTACAGGCACCCGCCATCATGCCTGGCTAATTTTTGTATTTTTTGTAGAGACAGGATTTCACCATGTTGGCCAGGCCCAGGCTTGTCTTGAACTACTGACCTCAGGTGATCCTCCCACCTTGGCCTCCCAAAGTGCTGGGATTAAAGGCGTGAGCCAGCAGTTCTAGCATTTATTTTATGGTTAGTTTGTACCCAGACTGCTAGTTAGGGGGTTTAGGAGCTCTGAGGGCTGTAGCATATCTGTTAGACTTTCCTACACTCCCTCCCACACAATTTCTATGCCATGAAGATTGTGCAGCTATGGTTAGCCATCATCTGCTCTTATTTTGGGGTTCATGGGGCATACTTTTTTATACAGTGTTTTGTTGGTTTGTTTGTTTTGTGATGCCATCTGCAAATTTTAGTTCTAATTTTCTGGTTTCTTCATTAATTTGGGGAAGATAGGATTCAGGGAGATTCCAAAACTACTTTGCTGCCACCATTTGCTTAGAATTCTCCCATCTCTCTCCTATACCTAAAGTACTTTTCAAGAAACTATTAACACTCTTTCCTTGAGGTTGTGGTTCAAAATACAACCACAGGCCTAATTTATCTAAACGAAGAACTAGCAAGATAAGTTGTAATACTTTTTTCTTTTTTTTTTTTTTTGATTCTGACTCCTTGAAGCTAAAAATAGAGTCTAGTTTTTCAATTATTGTTGAACCACATGGATTGTGAGAATGAATAATAGAAAAAAACACATCTAAATTTTTTAAGAAAACCAAAAGGGACATGCATGTTGAGTGTAGTGACCTGTTTTCTTTCGCTAGGGGGTTCTTGAATGATCTTGTTTCAGTCGGTCAAGGGTTTTGCTTTTTGCTGTGTGACAATCTTTCTTCATGTGTCACTAGAAGAGCACAATTTAGGCGGTTGCTTTTTCATAGAATAATTTAAATAATTTATAGTAAGATGCATAAATTGTTATTTGATTTTTTACGCCTTGCTCTTTGTAATGAGAATTTTCCAAGAATTGATACTTTGTAGTAAAACAAACTTACATTACCAGTGACCACCGCCAATCATCTCTGTAGAGGCATCAGCCAGATCATGTCCATGGGATCAAATGCATTTCTTTCAGTCAACTGCTCCTGTGAGCTTTGACCGGAAGTCTGAGAAACATATGAGTAATAGATGATTATATTTCAATACTGTCTTAATACAATAAATAGGCATATCAGAAAGATCCACTTACTGTATTATGTGAAACGTATTAATTGATTTTGCTCTGGAAAGGAAAAGGAAATTTTCCTGAACTTTGGCCAAAAGCTCCCCTGAAATAAATGTCTGTTATAAGAGACAAATCATCAAACAAATACTTAGGAATTCCAGCATGGCATTCAAAGGCTGCAAATAAAAAAATAGCACAGTCTATGAAGCCACCAATATATGTGTATATACACACACATATAGTCACACATTGTATTATTCAGGGTTCTCTAGAGGGACAAAACTAATAGAATATATATATGAGTTTATTATTAACTTACATAATCACAAGGTCCCACAATAGGCTGTCTGCAAGCTGAGGATCAAGGAGAGCCAGCCGGAGTCCCAAAACTGAAGAACTTGGAATCCGAAGTTTGAGGGCAGGAAGTATCCAGCACGGGAGAGAGGTAGGCTGGGAGGCTAGGCCAATCTCTCCTTTTCACGTTTTTCTGACTGCTTTATATTTACTGGAAGCTACTTAGATTGTGCCCACCAGATTAAGGGTGGATCTACCTTCCCCAGCCCACTGATTCAAATGTTAATATCTTTTGGCAACACTCTCACAGACATACCCAGGATTAATACTTTGTATGCTTCAATCAGTCAAGTTGACACTCAGTATTAACCATCACAAGTCCACTCCTTGTCAACTTGAACCCATACACATATCTTGAGGTCATACCTAATCTTCAAATAAAGACAATAATAAAGTCATAACTACGCCTAACATAATACAACTGTTCTTTGTACAACCGGAAAAGCACGAATCCCCAACTCATATACCATTACATAAAGCTAACAATATTTGAATGCTGATATGAAGTCAATAAACCTTAAGTCACATGATAAAGGAAAAGGAAATAAAATAATTTTCTTAGTACAAGTGTATATATGCACAAACATGTTTTTAGCAAAAGAAGGAGGAAATACTCATGGCAATTATAGTTCTCATTTCTGCAGCTGGTCACATGGTTGTATTGATGACTACCTTCTTCCACTACTCATTCTGTATTCCCTTTGCCTTCAGCAAGTACTTCAGCAGGCCGTGGTATTTTTCCTAGTGGAATGACCCAAACCTTCATTCCTGAGGGGTCTGGGCCATTTGTAATCCTGCAGGGATTGGGCTGTTGTAGTTTCCAATTGACCTTAATGACAGAGCATGGTAATACTAAGACACCTTAATGGATGTCCTGTATTCCATGCATACTCTTCCTTACCTCCATTGTGGAGTAGTAGACTGATTTCATCATGATAGTCCAGGTCAGTCACCACAGCCAACACTGTAACTCCCTTCTTAACTCGTTGACTTAAAGGTAGAAGGAGCTCAAAGTGTCCAGGTGGCGATCTTAACTTCCAGTTCAATGGAGTTGTTGTGTCTGCTGGTGGCAGAATACCTCCCTATGAAACTAAGACCTCTAGGCCAGCAGAACATATAGTCGCAGGAACAGGAAGCCAAAATTTTGCTAGTGGGTCACTAGGGGTAATGGTGAGTGGTGCCACTTCCACTTCCACGCCTTGATTCCTGGACTGGCGAATCCTGGCTATGAGAGAAGCAGTACCATATATTGGATGCTGATTCAGCACATACATGGTCTTCTGGAGAACTTTGCCCCAGCCCTGCAAAGTATTGTCACCTAGTTGGTGTTGTAATAGTGACTTCAAAAGGCCGTTGCAAAGTTCTATCAATCCAGCTGCCTCAAGATGATAGGGAACATGGTAAGACCAGTGAATTCCATGAGGATGAGCCCACTGCTGCACTTCTTTAGCAGTAAAGTGAGTGCCTTGGTCAGAGGCAATGCTGTGTGGAATGCCATGACAGTGGATAAGGCATTCCATGAGTCCACGGATGGTAGTCTTGGCAGAAGCATCGTGTGCGGGATAGGAAAACCCATATCCGGAGTAAGTGTCTATTCCAGTGAGGACAAATCTCTGCTCTTTCCATGATGGAAGATGTCCAATATAATCAACCTGCTGCCAGGTAGCTGGCTGATCACCCTGAGGTATGGTGTCATATCGAGGATTTAGTGTTGGTCTCTGCTGCTGGCAAATTCGGTACTCAGCAGTGACTGTTGCAAGGTCAGCCTTGGTGAGTGGAAGTCCATGTTGCTGAGCCCATGCATAGCCTCCATCTCTGCTACCATGGCCACTTTGTTCATGGGCCCATTGGGCGATGACAGGGTGGCTGGGGAAAGAGCTGAGTGGTGTCCACAGAACGGGTCATCCTATCCGCTTGATTATTAAAATCCTCCTTTCCTGAGGTCACCCGCTGGGGAGCACTCACATGGGATACAAATATCTTCACAGTGTTTTACCATTTAGAGAGGTCCATCCACATACCTCTTCCCCAAATTTATTTCTCACCCATTTTCCAATCATGCTTCCTCTAAATCCCTGACCATCGAGCCAAACCATTGGCTACAGCCTATGAATCCATATATAATTGCACATCTGGCCATTTCCCCTTCCATGCAAAGTGCACAACCAGGTGCACTGATCGAAGTTCTGCCCATTGGGAAGATTTCTCTTCACCTCTGTCCTTCAGGCATGTCCTAAAAAGGGGCTGTAGTGCTGCAACTGCCCACTTTCAGGTGGACATATTGTGCAGAGCCATCTGTGAATCAGGCCCTAGGGTTCTCTTCCTCTGATCATAGGAAACTGATTATAGGAAACTCCATGAGGCCATCGGTGCAGATTGGGGAAGAGAAGGCAGGGTGGCAAGAGTAGATACCATGGGCAATTGAGCCACTTCCTCACGTAACTTTCTTATGCCTTCAGGACCTACTAGAGCCCGATCACATATGTATCACTTCCATTTGATGATGGAATGCTGCTGTGCATGCCCCACTTTATGGCCAGATGGATCAGAAAGCACCCAGTTCATGATAGGCAGTTGAGGTCACATGGTGACTTAAGGACCCATAGTCAAATGTTCAGTTTCAACCAAAGCCCAGTAACAGGCCAAGAGCTGTCTCTCAAAAGGAGAGTAGTTATCTGCAGAGGATGGCAGGACCTCGCTCTAAAATCCTAGAGGCCTCCACTGTGATTCACCTATGGATCCTGCCAAAGGCTCTAAACAGCATCCCTATCTGCCACTGACACCTCAAGCACCATTGGATCTGCTGGGTCATACAGCCCAAGTAACAGAAAACCTTGCACAGAAGCCCGGACCTGTTGCAGAGCCTTCTCCTGTTCTGGACTCCATTCACAAGTGGCAGTCTTTCGGGTCACTTGATAAATGAGCCAGAGCATCACACCCAAATAAGGAATGCTCCAAAATCCAAATAGGCCCTCTTGGCGTTGTGCCTCTTTTTTGGTTGTAGCAAGGGCCAAATGCAGCAACTTATCCTTCACCTTAGAAGGAATATCTTGACAGACCCCAACCATTGGGCACCTGAGGTAGAAGTTCCCTGAATTTTAGTCAAATTTATTTCTCAAACCCTGGCATGCAGATGTCTCACCAATAAATCCAGTGTGTTTACTAATTCTTGCTCACTGGATCCAATCAGCATAATGTCATCAATGTAATGGACCAGTGTGATGTCTTGCAGAAGTGAAAAGTGATTAAGGTCTATCCAAATATGATTATGAAACAAAGCCAGAGAGTTGATATATCCCTGAGGTAGGACAGTGAAGCTACATTGCTGGCCTTGCCAGCTGAAGGCAAATTGCTTCTGGTGGGCCTTATGGATAGGAATGGAGAAAAAGGCATTTGCCAAGTCAATGGCTGCACACCAGGTACCATGAGATGTGTTAATTTGCTCAAGCAATGAAACCATACCTGGTGCATCAGCTGCAATTGGAGTCACCACTTGGTTGTTACAATAATCCACTGTCATTCTCAAAGATCCGTCTGTCTTCTGCATGAGCCAAATGGCAGAGTTGAACGGGGATGTGGTGGGAATCACCCCTCCTGTGTCTTTCAAGTCCTTGATGGTGGCACTAATCTCTGCAGTCCCTCCAGGGATGCAATATTGTTTTTGATTTACTATTTTTCTAGGTAGAGACAGCTCTAATGGCCTCCATTTGGCCTTTCCCACCATAATAGTCTTCATCCTACCAGTCAGGTAGCCAATGTGGGGTTTCTGTCACTTGCTAAGTATGTATATGCCAATTATGCATTCTGGCACTGGGGAAATGACCACAGGATGAGTCTGGGGACCCACTGGACCCACTATAAATCAGACCTGAGCTAAAACTCCATTAATTACCTGATCTCCATAAGCCCCTTCTTTAATTGGAGTACCACAATGATGTCTTGGGTTCCATGGAATCAATGTCAGCTCAGAGCTAGTGTCTGGTAGTCCCTGAAATGTCTGAAGATTTCCCTTTCCCCAGTGCACAGTTGCCCTGGTAAAAGGCTAGGGGTCTTCTTGGAGAAGAATGGGAGAAAGATTCACTGCATAAATTGTCAGTAATGTAGTGGGGTCCTTTCTCAAGGGGAACTGGCCTCCCCTTTATTCAAGAAGTTCTGAGTCTATAAACTGGCTCAAGTCTGGAAATTGATTGAGGGGCTGTGACTCTCTGTTTTCATAATTCAGATTAGTATTTCTCCATTTGACCTAGAAGTTTTCTGCTTGCATAAATTAAGTAGAAATGTAGTAGGCTTCCAATCAGTTTCACTTCTAGGAACACCATGATTAATCAGCCAATGCCAGAGCTCTACATGAGTCAGGCTATTCTTATTGCCTTGTTGCCTCTGCTGTCCATTATGGTAGCTATGCCCACCTTGCCTTTGACGGTTTATTGCCACCACTTGGCCCCACTACCTCGGGATCCAATTACTCCCACTGTATTTAGGCTTTGTAGTTGAGTGACTGTGGTTCCCATCATGAGATCTGACATACAAAGAAGAGCAATTACAGGACTCTTCAAAGATGCAGGTGTTGCCCTCACAAACCTATTTTGCATGGCATTGGTCAAGGATATATCTTCTGGACCCTCCCAGCTGGGATGAGTAGGTCTAAAGTGACTAATCCACTCCACCATCCCAATCTTCCTAAGCCTTTGGATCCCTTCCTCTACATTAAACCAAGGAGATCAGCTCACTTAAATTGGGCCATCTTTTAATCCATATTTCAGCGAACCAAGCAAATAAACTATTAGAAACTTTTTTAACTCCCTGAGCTGCAACATTAAACACAGAGTCCCTACTTAGTGGGGCCAAATCAATAAATTCAGCCTGATCCAACTCGTGTTTCTTCCATCATTATCCCATACCCTTAATATTCATTCCCATGCCTGTTTTCCAGATTTCTGTTTATATAAATTAGAGAACTCAAACAGTTCTTTTCGAGTGTAGTGCAGCTCGTATGGGTCACATTCTCAACCTCACCTCCAGGGGCCCACTGGGACTTTAGTCTAGTTATAGGTCTAGAAGCAAACAGGAGTGTTGAGCCTCTGGGGAGGCCATCACTGTTGCCTCAGGCAGTGCAGGGTTTATCTCCTCAGACAAAGGTGGAAAGGCTGATGGCAGCATGGGTCAAGGAGGGAATGTTGCCACTACTGGGGATGGGGAAGATGTTCCTTCTGGCAAAAAGTTTCACCGGAGTTTATAAACTCAGTGCCCCCAGCTTCATCAGGGTCCTCCCACACATCCCCATTCCTAGTTGCCAGGTCCCATTCTTTTCCAATTAATGCACTCACTTTAACAGTTGACACCTGGCAAGCCCGTGCATGCATCTTTTGTTGCAGGCCACCCATAAGCATGATAAGAGCCTCTGTCTGTTTTTCCACAATTTCAGCTACTTCTCTGCAGGAGATAAGACTCTCAGTTAGGGTAATATTAGCAGATTTGAGGCTAAGTATCTGCTTCTGAAGCCTGGAGACAGAATCTCTGAGTTCATCCTTTTCTTTCATCACTTTGTCCACTGAACTTAGGAGCAACCAACCAGCTTTAATATGTTGCTTGGTTCTCCACATATGGTCAAAGGTATTATGTATAGAGTCACTAAACTACTGACCTCTCATGAGCAGTGAATCAGGAATGTCAAATGCATTTATTTTGCATAACTCTCTAAACAGTTGACACCAAGGACTAGGAGTATCAAAGGACTATCTAATAGGTCTCCATGCTATTAGAAGTAGAGTCCTTAGCATTTTGGGATCTAATCATATTAAGCAGCCAACTCCAGGAATCCCAAAACCAAATGAAAGAATTCCATCCTTAATATTCTGTTCCTCTAAAACCACTCCTCTTACCACAATCTGTATTATTCAGGGTTCTCTAGAGGGACAGAATTAATAGGATACATAACATATATATATACACACACACACATACAGAAACACACACACATATATATGTGTGTGTGTATATATATGTGTGTGTGTGTGTGTGTGTGTGTGTGTGTATATATATATATATATATTAGAAGCCTTCTCTTTTCCAGCCTACATCAGTGGCCTCATGGGGAGTTTCCTATATTCAGTTGACAGAAAAAAAGGAGACAAAGACCTGGTTCAGAGATGGCTTTGCACAATATGTCAAAACAAAAGTGGACAGCACCAGCACTATAGCTCCATTTTAGGACAACCTTGAAGGACAGTGGTGAAGGGAAATCTTCCCAGGGGGCAGATTATATGTATATATATATATATATATATATATATATATATATAGGAATAATAAATATATATAGTCTACCTATATATATAGTCTAAGTCTAAATTAGACTTGCTCTCCTTGCTCCTCAGCTTGCAGACAGCATATTGTGGGGCCCTGTGATTATGTGAGTTAATACTTAATAAACTCCCCTATATATATATATATAAAATAATAATATATCTATATTATTATTATACAATTATATATAACTATAAATATAATATAATATATATTATCTATATTACATATTAATATATAATATATATTACCTATTAATATATAATATAATATATATAATATATATTACCTATTAATATATAATATAATATATATAATATATATTACCTATTAATATATAATAAAATATATATAATATATATTACATATTATTATATAATATATATTATATAACATATATAACATATACTATATATTATATAACATATATAATTGTATATGTATTATATATATTATATATACTTATACATAATATATAAATAATTAAATATATGTTATAAATATAACAAATATATAACATATATAACATATATAACATATATATAATTACATAAAATATATAATACATAATATATATTATGCAACATATTATATAATATATAACATATAATGTATATTATATTATATCATATATAATACATAATATATAATATATGATATAATATAATATATTATATATGATATAATATAATATATTATATATGTTATAATATAATATATATTATATATAGGATATATTATAACATATTACATATGATATAATAAATTTTATCTTATATATAGGATATATTATAATATATCACATATAGCATATATTAAAATATATTACATATAGTATATTATATATACTATATGTATATATACATATAGTATATTATAGTATATTATACAGTATATATTATATATACTATATATAGTAGTATACAGTATATATTATATATACTATATATAGTAGTATACAGTATATATTATACAGTATATATTATATACACTATATTATATATTATGTATAATATATACTATATATAGTATATTATGTAGTATATATTAAACATAATAGATATATAGTATATACTATAGATAATAGATATTATATAGTATATAGTATATATTATATATAATATATATAATATATATTATATACATATATGATATATGATATATTATATATAATATATATAATATATAATATATGTAATATAATACATATTATATATAATATATGTAATATAATATAATATATAATATATGTAATATAATAATATATATTATATAATATAACATATATAAATATAATAATATATATTATATGATATAACATACATAAATATAATAACATATATAATATATATTATATATTATATTGTATATATGATATACTATATATTACACATTATACATTATTTATAATATATAATTAATATATAACATATATTAGATAACATATAATTATATCTGTAACATATATAAGATATAATTACATATATAACATATATAATTATATATATATTTATCTAATTATATATGAAATTATATATGACATATAAAATTATATATTATATATGTTATATGTATTATATATTATATATGTTATATATGTTATATATAACATATATAACATATATAACACACACATATAACATATATAACATATATTACATATATAACATATATAACACATATATAATTATCTAACATAGATAATATATATAATATATAATATAACATATATATTATATATTATACACTCTATTATATTATATATATTATACATAATATATAATATATATGATATAATATAATACATTGTATATACGATATAATATATATTGTACATAGTATAATATACATATATAGTATATTATGTATAACATAATATATAGTATATTATGTATAACATAATATATAGTATATTATGTATAACATAATATATAGTATATTATGTATAACATAATATATAGTATATTATGTATAACATAATATATAGTATATTATGTATAACATAATATATAGTATATTATGTATAACATAATATATAGTATATTATGTATAACATAATATATAGTATATTATGTATAACATAATATATAGTATATTATGTATAACATAATATATAGTATATTATGTATAACATAATATATAGTATATTATGTATATATAATATACATATTATATAGTATATTATGTATATATAATATACATATTATATAGTATATTATGTATATATAATATACATATTATATAGTATATTATGTATATATAATATACATATTATATAGTATATTATGTATATATAATATACATATTATATAGTATATTATGTATATATAATATACATATTATATAGTATATTATGTATATATAATATACATATTATATAGTATATTATGTATATATAATATACATATTATATAGTATATTATGTATATATAATATACATATTATATAGTATATTATGTATATATAATATACATATTATATAGTATATTATGTATATATAATATACATATTATATAGTATATTATGTATATATAATATACATGTTATGTAGTATATTATGTATATATAATATACATGTTATGTAGTATATTATGTATATATAATATACATGTTATGTAGTATATTATGTATATATAATATATATAAGGTGTATATATATTATGTATATATAATATATAAGGTATATATATTATGTATATATAATATATATAAGGTGTTTATATAATGTATATATAATATATAAGGTATGTATATTATGTATATATAATATGTATATTATATATAATATATATTATTTATATACATTATGTATCTATATAATATATATTATGTATATATTAGGTATCTATATAATATATATTATGTATATATATTATGTATCTATATAATATATATATTATGTATATATATTATGTATCTATATAATATATATATTATATGTATATTATGTATCTATATAATATATATAATGTATATAGATATATTATATATTATGTATATATATTATGTATCTATTTTATATATAATGTATATAGATATACAATATATATTATGTATATATTATGTATCTATATAATATATATTATTTATATAGATATATATATTATGTATATATACATAATATATTACATATTATGTATATATACATAATATATAATATATTATGTATATATACATAATATATAATATATTATATATTACATATATTATATATAATATATTATATTATGTATATATATTATGTATATATAATGTATATATAATATATAAAGTGTATATATATTGTGTATATATAATGTATATATATTACATATATTATGTGTATATATATTATACATAATATATATACTACATTATACATAATATGGGATAATTATTAATCTATATAATATATATCATATATATTATATATATTTTTCTCATATATAGGGGATTATTTTATATATATTCCCCTATATATATATTCCCCTATATATATATTCCCATATATATATTCCCATATATATATTCCCATATATATTCCCATATATATATATTCCCATATATATATTCCCATATATATATTCCCATATATATATTCCCATATATATATATTCCCATATATATTCCCATATATATATTCCCATATATATATTCCCATATATATATTCCCATATATATTCCCATATATATATATTCCCATATATATATTCACATATATATATTCCCATATATATATTCCCATATATATACCCATATATATATTCCCATATATATACCCATATATATATTCCCACATATATATTCCCATATATATCTATTCCCATATATATCTATTCCCATATATATATTCCCATATATATATATTCCCATATATATAGATTCCCATATATATATAGATTCCCATATATATATATTCCCATATATATATTCCCATATATATATATATTCCCACATATATATATATTCCCATATATATATATATTCCCATATATATATATATTCCTATATATATATATATATATATATATATATATATATATAGGGGAGTTTATTAAGTATTAACTTACATAATCACAGGTCCCCACAATATGCTGTCTGCAAGCTGAGGAGCAAGGAGAGCAAGTCTAAGTCCGAAAACTGAAGAACTTGGGGTCTGATGTTCCAGGGCTGGAAGCATCCAGCATGGGTGAAAGATGAAGGCTTGGAGGCTCGGGCAGTCTCTCCTTTTCATCTTTTTCTGCCTGCTTTATATTCATTGGCAGTTGATGAGATTGTGCCCACCAGATTAAGGGTGGGTCTGCCTTCCCCAGCCCCCTGACTCAAATGTTAATCTCTTTTGGTAACACCCTCAAAGACACAACCAGGATCAGTACTTCGTATCCTTCAATCTAATCAAGTTGACACTCAGTATAAACCACCACACACAGAAATAATAAATAGCTAACTAACTAGCTAGCTAGAGAGCAAATAGAATACAACGTATTTATAATAAATAAATGAGAGGGTCTCTATTTCCTAACATAGGATATTGTGCTTTAGTATCCTACTTATAAGTTACAAAATCAGGTTCAAATATGAGTTTACTTTTTTCCTACTTTTTCTCCTCTCTTACTCTTTATATACTTTGAACAACTTTAGAAGAATCTATATGAATTAATATATCTAGGTAGTAAGATTATAAGTAATGCCTTTATCTAAATGTTCTCCTTTTTTATTCAGTGAATACATTGTTTGCATAATATTGTTGCAGTCATGCCTCAGTAAACTGCGTGTGTGTGTGTGTGTGTATATATATATATAGTTTTAATTTTTATCTTAACCTCACTTATTGTTCTTTGCTTATATATTGATTAATTTGGAAGTACCAGAATATGTATTACTAACAAATATCCTAGCTTAACAAATAGGTGAAACAAAGCTTCTTTCTCTCAAGCCATCACTGCTTCTTGGCTGGGTTCACTGATGATTGCTACATTTTCTATTTGCTGTCTTCTTCTGGATATAAGCTGGGTATTGCACATCTGCTAAGCACCATATCCTCAACAGGACCTCCCACTACTTTATGCGGCACAGAAGTGCCTTATCAGACTCACCTTACTTCATCCACTGGGTATCACAAAATGTATTTGCTGCCACCGTCTCCTCCTTTGGATGCCACTATGTCTGCAGGGTTCTTTCATCATTCTCCTGGGCACTGTCACCACGCACTGGTGTAGTATTGTGTTATGTGGTTAAAAAAATATGAAATAACACTGTGTGTGTGTGTGTGTGTGTGTGTGTGTGTGTATTATGCTTTGTTAGACACCTTGATACACATGTCTTCTTTCTCTGTAAGTAATATTGATGTTGGCCAAATAGCTTTTTTTATTTTTTACTTTGTGCCACATCATGTTTTATAGGATTCACTCATGCATATCATCGGGTTGGGTTGGAAGCACACAATGTAAAAGAAAACGTGCTCTGCTCAACGCCTTGATTCTTACTTGACGGTTGAGACTTTTCATAGGTCAGATTCCATCTTTCTCAAGATAGAATCTCCGTATGGGCACCCGTCAGTAGATAGACTTTTGGTTCACTGCTACACCACCTCCTCTTCATGACTCTCCATTCTACCAGACATTCCTTAAACATACACCAAATATAACTTAGATTTAATCCAGTTTTCTCACTATGTTCAGTCAATGCATAATGTTTCCTCACTATGTGTGGTTAGAGCAAAATGAATAACCAATAGAAGTGAAAAAAAGATTTTATCTCTAACTCCTCCATAATATACACTTTATATTAGGGGCATGTTCTGTTATTTTTGACATGCCCTTTGTTTCTCAACCTTTGTGCATTTACTTAAGTTTTGCCTTCTACTAAAACTATTCTTTCTTTTTTTTCTCCAAATTTCACCTGCCTTCCAACATGCAGTTCACATTCCACATTAGCTTATGGACTCAGGGATCATGTATTACCTTTGAAAGCATTGAACACGTGTAACAAGTGCTCAATACATATATTTTACAAATAAATTTATGATCTATTATTACATGCAACCTATTGCACTACACACTTTAAAATATGCTAAAATAAGGGTGGGGGGAGGGGGGAGGGATAGCATTGGGAGATATACCTAATGCTAGATGATGAGTTAGTGGGTGCAGCGCACCAGCATGGCACATGTATACATATGTAACTAACCTGCACAATGTACACATGTACCCTAAAACTTAAAGTATAATAAAAAAAGAAAAAATAAAATAAAATAAAATAAAATGTAAAAATAATAATAATTTATTTTCATATGTTAAACTTGACAAAATTTGTGGCATATGTATTGTATTGGAAAGAAGTTAGGACATTTTGAATTCATATACTTCTCACATAAAAGGTTATATTTCTTAATTATAACTTATTATTTTAAGCAAAAAAGAAAGCTTTGTTTAATAGCATGTCTAGTTATAAGCTTCATTATTTCATATTCTCATAGCATTTCATATTTACTAAAACATGAAGGAAATCAGTTTTGAGATACTGAACAAAATTACATATAACTCATTTGACTATAGAAACAAATATTGAAACTCTGAATTCCATGTTTGTAACTAAGTAACTCCCATTAGGGGAAGGGTCATCATGTTATATGAAAAAGAAACAAAAGATACATAATAAGCTATAAAATTTAAAAGAAATATCGATGAATTAAATAAGTATGAAGTTTTGAAATTTTACTAGAGAATGCTTACAAATTCATTTTTTGAATTTAAACTCCTGAATTTTGTAGACTTCCCATTTTAAGCTATAAGGTAAAGCTTGGTTATAAACTCGAATGAAGAGAGATATTTAGTCTGAATGTCAATTGTATAAAATGTTGCATAAATAAATGTATTCAATAAGTATTTGTACTTAAATATTTTTGTTATGGCAAACACCAATGGCCATGAGTCAACTTAGGAACGGTAGTGCCCTCTGTTTTGGTCTTCTAGAAAAATAGACACCTCATAAATTCCCATAAGGAAGTGGACTCAGTGAATTAGTGTCCCAGTAGATTACAGATTTCAAATTCTCTGCCCCATAGCAGAGAGAAGATGGCCAATGAGTAGGAGTGGTGGTAAGCAGGAGTGGTGGTTGAAGTAGAGTGAACAAAAGCATGGCTATTCCACAAGACAATCTGCCTCTTCAGAGTAAGATTTAATTTCCAAAAGCCTCCAAAGAAGGGAAGCCCAGTAATCCTCAAATGCACAATAGAATGGAAGTATATATAAAATCCCCCAAACTAGTTATAAAACATCACACTAAGACTTTACTTTTTGTGTCAGAATAAAAACTGCAAAATCTTTTTCAATATAGAAATTAAAAACGCCAACAATCTCATGAATACCACCAACAGCAATGATAAGGCTCTAGGCTCAATTAGGCATTTCCTCACTTTGCTTTGTAGGGGTAGCACCCTTTGGGAATTGCCTCACAGGTTCTCACTTTAAGATAACATTTCATTCCAGAGCTCTCTCAAGTTTATGTGGGCCCCGATGCAGCTCTTAGCTGCTCCTAATGCTGTCTTCCGTAAAATACCACCACTTCACAATTTTATGTTTGTAGATTCAAATTTCAATACATTTTCACTGTTTTGGGGAACCTCATATTTTATGTTTTAATATGATTGTTGTTACATTTTAATTAGCACAATAAACATAATACCAAAAGAATAATGAATACAATAAATAATATCTGGAAACTCTGAAAGGGTCTATGAAACATCACTGGTTTTGTGAAATTACCTTTTTATTTAAGGGCCATCAACCTATGTGGGGCTACTTTGTCCCAGTCACTTGGTCCGAAATCTAAAGCTACTTCTGAAGTTAAGATATCACCATTGAATAATCAAATACACTTTAATGTTTAAAAACTCTGTGCTGTATGTGCAACTGCTCACCATGCTTTCACTCTATTTTGAAATATTGCATTACAAGAGTAATTTTTACTTCAACTTGTTGCACAACTTTAATATCTTTGTCAATGATTCCCAATCATTTCTTCATAACGTTCTAAATGAAAAATAATTTCAGAATGAGTAAGCACAGTTATGTCACCACCACAAAAGTCAACATAAATATTAACTGAATTAATAGAAGTTTGACATCTAGGATGAGAGTTGATAGAGTGTCACTAAGCAATTAGACTGGAAGTAAAACATGTTATTCATACAAAAATATGCATTAAGTACATAATTTTTACCCGGTTTTTAAAATCAGATACAGCAATGAAAATAAATAAACACATACATACATAAATAAGGCAAAATTTCTTCTTTGTAGATCTTATGTTCTAGGAGAGGAATAAGTAATACACAATAAATACAAAAAAAGGATACTTTACATTTTTTAGTGATGATAAGCAACAAAAAATTTAAAAGTAGCGAAGGGTAATGGGATTGGAAATTTGAATTATACTGGAAGGCAGGTCACCATATTAAATAAGGTAGCTAAGGTTGTCATTCTTAGAATATGATATCAAACAGATGTTTCCAGGTGGGGAAGTCAGCTTTGTGATTCTGAGGAAAGAGCATTGCAAGCAGAGATATAGCTCAGACAAACTCACAAAGATAGGAGTGTTCCTAGTATGCTTGAGGACCAGTAAGGAGAGCAGCATCTTATAGCAAGAACAGAATGAACCAAGGCAGGGGCAAGTGAAAAGAAGTTGTAAAGAAGGCAAGAAAAATAACAAGACACAGGTGAAAATGTGAGTCTTTAGAGGGTTTGAACAGAGGAATGATTAAACTCAACTTATAATTTTTTTTTTTTTTTTTTTTCTGAGACTGAGTCTGGCTCTGTTGCCCAGGCTGGAGTGCAGTGGTGCGATCTCGGCTCACTGCAAGCTCTGCCCCCTGGGTTCACACCATTCTCCTGCCTCAGCCTCCCAAGTAGCTGGGACTACAGGCACCCGCCACCACGCCTGGCTAATTTTTTGGTATTTTTAATAAAGACGGGGTTTCACCGTGTTAGCCAGGATGGTCTCGATCTCCTGACCTTGTGGATCCACCCGACTCAGCCTCCCAAAGTGCTGTGTCTTGTACTTTTAAAAGGCTTTCCCTCTTGATAATGGGTTGAGATTGACTTTCAGAGAAAGATTAAGAGCAGAGAGACAGGATAGCTGGCTGTTGCAATAATTTAAGTAGGAAACAATGGTACAGAAACTGGGAAATGCAGAAAAGGCTGTTATCCTTAGCTGCTACACTTTCCTCACCCTGAACATTTAATATTTGATTATATCACCATAATATGTGCCAGATCTTCCAAAGTCTTTCTGCTTCCATTTTGCTTGCTAATTTTGTGGTTGATGGTTTTATCATTTTAAGGATTTACCATAATTTACTTAACCAATTCCTATTTTTAGACATTTCAGTTATTTCCAGACTTCTGTTCTTACAGACAATGCTATTGTATGTATTTGTAAACAAGGGCTAACATATCTGTAAATTATATCAGTTAAAGCTGAAATGATAATTTAAAGTTTTATTAAGTCTTTTTATATTTTGTTTTTTGTAATTCTTAAAGCAACAAACATTTACTATCTCATTTTCTGAAAGTCAAGAATTTTGCAATGTCTCTAGTTCAGGAACTCACATGAGGTTGCTGTCAAGATATCAGCCAGAGCTATAGTCATTTGCTGGCTTGGCTGGGACTGGATGATCAGCTTCCAGGACAATTTGCTCATATGGTTATAGATACGAGGTCACAGTTCCTCCCATGATCATATACCAAGTGAACTGATTCACTATTATCAACTGTATTTTCTGGTACAAACAATCCATGAGAGCAAGACAGAAACTGCAATGTTTTTTATGACACATGGACACATGTAGTCACTATCTCTGGTGCTCTTCATTTTTGTGTGTAAATTTAGATTTTCAGTTGGTTCATTTTTCAACTGCCTAAAGAATGTTTAACTTTTTGTGTGGAGTTAGAGTCTGTTTGTAATGAATTCTTGAAGCTTTTATATGTCTCAAAAAGGCATTAGTTCCTCCTCATTTTTAAAATATATTTTCACTGAGTATAGAATTCTAGGTTGATAGTCATTTATTTTAGTTCTTAAAAGATAGTGCTCCACTATCTTCTGGGTTGCATTGTTTCTGACAAAAAATCTGCTGTTACCCTTATCTTCATTCTTTTGTACATAATATGCCCTTTTTTGCTGATTGGTTTAATATTTTTTCTCTTGATAACTGGTTTTAAATAATTTGATTTTGGTGTGATTTTCTTCATGTTTCTAAATTTTTTGGAGCCACTTAGTTTTATGCATATATTGAATATAATTTTAATAAATTGTAAAACTTTTTTTGCTAAATTTAAAATCTGTATCTGTTCTGTTAGTTTCAATTGTTTTTTTAATCGTTACTATTGGTTATATTTTCTTGCTTCTTTTCCTGCCTGATAATCTTTGATTGTATGCCAGGCATTCTTACTTTTACCATGTTGAATGACAGATATTTTTGTGTTCTTTTTAATCTTGAGCTTTGTTCTGGGATACATTCAATTTACCTAGAAAAATCTGGGTCTCTCAGGCCTTGCTTATTTAATTTGTTAGGTGATACTGGAGCAATTCTCAGGCCTGGAGTATTTATTTCTCATGACTAAGGCAATACCCTTCTGTGTGCTCTACCCAGTGCCCTGTGAGTCATGAGGTTTCATAGTCTAGCTTGTAGAAACTGGCACTATTTGTGACACTGTGTCACATGGGATACTCTTTACTGTAATCCATCCAGGTAGATCTTGTTCTTGTCTTAGGTAGTCTTAAATGCAGGTACTAAGCATTACTTAGCTAAATATGTGGTGAATGAGACTCTTTGTACATCTCTGGAGGTTTCTCTTTGAAAAACTTTCTCTTCTCAAGTATTCTTTCCTGGAAACCTAACTGCCTTGCTCTATTCAAAGTTGCAATTCCATATTCTCAACTGAGGGGGCTGAGCTCTGGCTGGGCTACCCCTGCCTGCACCATGGCCCAAAAAGTCTCAATGCATGAAGATGGCACAATCACACAGTTTACTTAATTTCTCTCCTCACAGTGATCACTGTCCTTCATTATCTTATACCCATTATCCTCAAAAAGGTGGATTTATATATCTTGTTCACTTATTAGTTGTTTCAGTGATGAGGGTAAATTTGTTTCTTACTACATCTTGGATCACACTAGAGTCCTCTTCATCATTTTTTATCTAAATTTGCCATGTCCTTCTGACTGATTTCTTGCCCTCTATAACAATCTATTGTAAACCACTGTACATGAAAGTCACATTTTTAAGATCAAATCTATCACATCACATATAAAATTAAAACATTTAAATGACTGCCATTTCTTTCCAAATGGAATTCAAATTCTGCACGTCAGTGTTCAGACTGTATCCACTGTCCCAACATCTTCGTATTGAACTTTGTTTCTGAGTCTTACTGAAATAATTTAAATAACAGTATACTATGCCCTGAGATACTTCTCTTCCTCTTTAGCTTCTCTTTAACTGGAAGACTCTTACCAATTCTTCTTCAGCTTGTTCTTGTTAAGTTTTTAAGAAGCTTAAGAATCAATTGGTCAATGAATTCAAAATCAAATCTATTATCTGTTCTTTTGGTCTTCTTGGCATCTTGCATAGTGTTTTGTTCACAATAGATACTTCTTGAGGCTATAAATATTTAATAATAAGTGATTGATTGAATGAATGAGTGCATGCAATGAGATTTGAGGGGTGCAGTAGCAAAGCACCATTATATTTTAATTATGAAATGTATTATGTAAGTTAAGCAAAGAAAATGAATGCAAGCTGTCAATGTCTTAAGAGCCATATTCAATTCCAAGCATATAGCATCCATCACTTCTGTTTCAGAAAGAAAATAATTAGCAGTACATTCACTTCTTTTAATCAGTGGTTCAACTTTCATGTTTATGTGGCGATTCCTTCTAGAGGGCTGAAAGCAAAACTTACTTTTCCAAAAATAAACAGAACATGTGATTTAACTGGCAGTACCTATTTGAAGAAGAGGCAACTGTGTTGATTTCATTCTACAGTTCCAGTGAAAGAAGAGGAAGTAAGGAAAGACTAAAGCTCTGCTGTGGACTAAGACTGCCTGGGTTCAAATCCTTACTGTACCTCTCCTTCTTCTGGGATCTTGGACACTGCCTACCTATCTGGCTTTGACCCCTCCTGCACCCCACTTTCTATCTTTGTTTCCAATGATTTTAAATGAAGGATGATATCTGTATCATCTCATAGAATTATTAAGCTCAGATAAAATAATATTTGCAAAGTACTTAGCACAGTGGTGGTACATTTTAAGCAATCAGTAAACATTATCAGTAATTATTTTGGAAATCATATGTGGTGTCAAAGAAGCAGCAATTTGTTATGAGCATCACACAGGTTCACCCTCAGATCTAATAGCTTTAAATTAGCAGTCTAAACTTACCAGTAGACGGAAAAGTTTAATTTTGTGTAATTTTTTTTAAATTACCTAATTCAGAGCTCTCAGTATAATAACCCACAAGGCACAAAATATACTTTGTGAAAGAAGGAGGGCAGAGAAAAAATAAAATTGCTAGTAAGTGGCAGCTTAGTACCTATGGGTGATTTATTTCCCCCACAGTCAGTTCTTTTGGCATTCATTTTATAGTTGTAAAAGTTTCAGTCACTTCCTCCTTAGCATTTTCCTCTAAGAGATCAGATAGAGTGCTCCCTAGCTGTGGTGATCCTAGAATGGGTAAGATGGACCAGGAGAAATCTACAACCTCCCTCTGAGAAGTGGTGGGCACAAGGTGAGGAGAAAGAAAACACTTTTGTCAATGTGAATGATAATCCATTGTTTGTAAGGGAAGTTATGCAACTGAGGCACAGTACATTTACTGCTCTCTCCAAGTGCTGTTGTCTTCAACTAGATGGGCTCCTTCATGGACATGGGACATGAGTCAGTTCTGAGAGCACAGCTGCCATCCCTCTCCACTGCCTCTCTCTAATGGTAGATGTCCATCCTACATGGTAGTGCCACTAGCCAGGAAGTATTTTGGGATGATCGGGAGTAACCAACAGCTACCCGCAGCTTCTTCCACTATTTAGCCTGGATTTGCAGGATCCCAAGGAATTCCTTCCACATCTGTCACACCACACTTACCAAGAAAAAGATTATTATCCCTATGCTTAATTGCTGTGTCTCCCTCCAAGTCCCTCTCCCCATTCTCTACGAGGAGAGAAGAGGAGGCACATGGACTGAAGTTCAGCCTACCTTCGTTCAGAGGTTGAAATGCAATTGTCTCCTTCTTGCAGATATGCTGGTTGTCAGACCCCAACTTTGAGGAAAACAAATGGATGGTGCCTCTGTTTTTCCCACACCCATCAAGGAGAAGAAAACATTGCTTACTACTCAAAGTTTCTGCTATGCCCTCAAATACTTTCTTTTTCTCTCAAACCTTTTTATATGGACAATGGGATACTGGCTGTCATGCCTTGATATGGTTTGGCTGTGTCCCCACCCAAAATCTCATCTTGAATTATAATCTCCACATGTCAAGAGCAGGACCAGGTGGAGGTAATTAGATCATGGGGGGTGGTTTCCCCCATGCTGTTCTCATGATAGTGAGTGAGTCTTACAGGATCTGATGGTTTTATAAGTGTCTGGCATTTTCCCTGCTTTCACCCACTCTGTCCTGCCACCCTATAAAGAAGGGGCCCGCTTCTCCTTTGCCTTCAGCCATTATTGTAAGTTTCTTGAGGCCTCCCCAACAATGCAGAACTGTGAGTCAATTAAACAAACCTCTTTCCTTTATAAGTTAAACAGTCTTGGGTATTTTTTCATAGCAACATGAGAATGGACTAATACATGCCTTTTTTTTCTGTAAATGACTCCACTTGGCAAAACTTGCAGAAGAAATGTGGTGTTTTTCTTCAGTTATGAACTGTTGACAGTACTTTCTATCACCATGTTTCATACATATAAAAATTAAATTGAGGATGTGTTTTGAATCTTCTTTATTTTTAAAAAAACATTTAAGGCATGGCTCTCTTCTCTCAACATTCCATCTAAATTTCAGGCTTTATTTTTTCTGGATCTTTATCTATTCCATCTTACTCTGAGACATTTGCCAGCTAATCCCACATTTATCAAGACTTGGGTTTTATGATATTCACCTAGGCAGATTTTAAAACTGCACCCTCCATCTTACAAGAATAAAACCACTGAGGACATGCCATTGTGTGTGTTTTATAATGTAGTCTAGATATAGAAAATTTGAAGTGATATAAGGAGATTACATAATATAACCATTGGCTCAATATGAAGGGGAGAAGAAAACCTTGTAAATCGAATCTGTTCAAAGAGATAATTGGACATCTGGTGAGATGAGGCTCTCCTCCTAACAATGTGAAGTCTTAAAATAGGAATGGGTAAGTGCCCAGGCACCCTTTATATAGTAAGGATGGAGAAATGAAATAGAGATGTGCACTGCACTGGAAGAGAGACGTGACGGTTGTCTCTAACCTACTTGTGCATTAGAGTTAGGAGAGAAAGAGTTTGTATTGCAGCAACAGATTCTGAGGTAGTGGGGTGGTGGTTTTAAATCCAGAAGTTATTTAAGACTCCTTCAAGAGTTGGAGCTTAATTTCCCTCTTCTTGAATGTGGACTACATTGAGTAATTGGCTTCATTTACTGACTTCATATCAGCATTCAAGTGTTGTTAACTTTATGTAATAGCATTTAGGTTAAGGATTATTACACATCTGGTTGTACAAAGGATAGATGTATTATGTTGGGTGTAATTATGATCATATTGTTGTCATTATTTGGAGATTGTGTATGATTTCAGGAGATTTGTATGGGTGCCAAGTTGACAAGGGGTGGACTTGTGATGGTTAACATTAGGTGTCAACTTGGTTGGATTAAAGGATGTCTAGGTAATGGTATTGTTTCTGGTTGTGTCTGTGAGGCTGTTGCCAGAGGATATTGACATTCCAGTCAGTGGACTGGGAAAGGAAGTCCTACCCTCAGTGTGGGTGGGTGCGTGCTGTCCAAAAGGCTATCAGTAAGTCTAGAAAAAGCAGGCAGAAGAAGGTGGGATAAGCTGGCTTGCTGAGTTTTCTGGCTTTCATATTTCTCCTGTGCTGGGTGCTTCCTTCCACTCCTCCTGCACTTGGGCATCAGACTCCAGGTTCTTCTGCCTTTGGACTCTTGGACTTACACCACTGATTTGCAAGGGGCTCTTGGGCCTTTGGCCACAGACTGAAGACTGCACTGTTGACTTCCCTGCTTTTGAGGCCTTTAGACTCAGACTAAGCCACTACTGGCTTGTTTCTTCCCCAGTTTTCAGACTGCCTATTGTGGGACTTCACCTTGTAATTGCATGAGCCAATTCTCTCTAATAAACTCCCTTTCACATATACATATACCCTAGTAGTTCTATCCCTCTGGAGAACCCTAACTAACACAACTTCTAAAGAATAAAATTCATTCAAGGTGATGCTGTGTGACTTGGGTACCAAGCATTGTGGTTTGCTCTTGCTTTCTCTCAGGAATTACTCCTTCTGAAGTAGCCAGCCATCAAGCAATCTACCAAGAGGACTGTGTGCCGGTGAACTGTGGCTTCCTTTAACAGCCAGGAAGAAAGTGAGGCCTTCAGCCAACAACCATGTTGGGGAACCATCTTGGAAACTGGTCCTCCAGAACCCCACCTTCAGATGTCTGGAGCCTCATGAGAGGCCAGGAGTAAGAACCACCCACTGACAACTGCTAATTCCTGACCCTTAGAAGCTGTGTAAGATAATAATCATGTTTTGTTATAAATAGCTAAGTTTTGGTATAATCTGTTATACAGCATACATTGAGTAATTCAAGCTCCCACATCAAGTGTCTGACTACATAGGGTTTGAGGTGGAACTTAGAATATATATTTAATGTAAGCACCCTTCTGATTTTGATGCAGGAACTCAGTCTTTAGGTGTCAGAATAGCTGCAAGCTTGTATTAGTTTAAAAGCACCTATGCCTGACGTCAGCTCCATATTTGTAATATTTTGTGAGTAATCATCTCCCTTACTCTACCTCCTGATCAAGCACATGGAGCAAGTGGTATTACCTGCTAAGTTTTCTGCTTTTTAAAACAAGTAGGTGGACTTCTCATTATTATAAAAATAGTACATACTCATTGTAAAACATGAAGAATATAAAAACATATTAAGAATGGAAAGCATACTTATAGATTCTCCAAGCCTCTCTACTTTGATACATGCCCTTCATATTTAGTCACAAATAATCATTGTACTATCGTCATACAGTTTCTCATTAAGTTTTCACTTACCACTGAAACAGTGACTGTCATGCAGTAGAGTTCAATATTTGTTGAATAACTATTTTGTGATAAATTTACAAATTATTCAACATTTTTTGAAAAACAAATAAATGAATAACATTGCATCGTGTATATGTACTATCATTTATTTTTAAAGTACTAGATGAAAAGTCATAAACAATACTAAAAGTTTTGATACATTTTGTCATGTTGCTTTTGGGAGAAGTTATGGTATTCTGATTTTGAACATGATATTAAATGGCTAAGGTTTCCCAGGAAAAATGTATAGGTTTTGTAACAAAATAAAACAAAGGTGAGAGATGAGAGAAAGTGAGTGGCATGGAATTTATAGACACAAAATCAAAGCTATACACTTAAATTTGATCCTACTTACCTCAAAATTTGGGGAAACAGAAGCTTCAAGAGAGTAGAAAAGTAAGTAAATTGCAGAAGAGAAAGAATGATGTACAGAAATGAAAGTGGAGTATATCTCTCCACATATCTACAGACATCTAGCTAAAACTTCTCTAAGTAGTAAGCAGCAAACTTGAGAAAAGAAAGCCTGGCAGTGAGCTGATCTCTCACAAGAATATTTCTTATTACGGTGTGATTTCAAACAAAGAGATGATGAGGTTAAACCTATGGGCAATTGTGCTTATTGTTCTGTGGTGGCAGAGTGACCATTATGGAAACTTTAAGGCACAAAATGTTCCTGAGAATATTTGTTTAAAGGGAAACAATGAATAATAATCAAAAAGAATGCAGGAGGCATCTTTATGTGGTGCACTAGCAAAATAGCAACCTGAAATATGCCTTGGGTATATTCAACACTGTTTTATTCATAAAGCTATTTCACAAGTTCAGGAGCCGTGACCTCAAGCAAAATTTAGCTCATACATGCAATGAAAATCATGAAGGCCTGAGCTTGAGTCAAGTTAATTGAGATACAGGACACATCAAGTACTTATGAGTGTGAGGCATTAAGGGGCATGGGAAATCCTGAGCAATGCTGAAACCAAGTTATATTGTTGAAATGGTCCATATCTGTTGGAGGGTATGTTGAGGAAAAAATGGAATATGCTATGTTTTGAATGTTACTGTTATGACAGTTTCCATATAATAATGATAGTGATAATATTTATATCTGAAAATGAAAAAAATTATTCATTAATGGCTCATTTATTGTTCTTGGGTTTTTTTATCCCATGCTTTAATTATTTTGAAGAATACAAATATAGTGAATACAATGACTTAAGAGAAGTGTCTGGATAGCTTATATTCAAAAGCCAAAAATTAGTAACTGCGCATGTCTGAATATGTCTAAATGAATTAAAAATCTTGATCATAATGCATGCATGAATTTTATTTAGAAAACACAGTAATTTGTATAAAAGTAAACTTAACAAAAAACTCAAATGACAAAATTCCCCTTACGTAAGTTTTTGGTAGCCAATTAAATTTATTACGGAACCAAGAAGCAAAAATTAAAGTCCCACCTAAATAACAGCTGTCTTTGTAGAAAAGAAAAAGAGGTAATAGATGTTGCCGAAAAACCTTACACTAGCAATGTTTCATTCAGGCACAAGTCTCTGCTTTCACACTTCAACAAAAAGAATCTGGTCCATGGTTTAAAAGAAATTGAATTCTAAGCATTTTCAAGTTTTGATTGAAAGTTAGGAAAAAATTTCTTACTCCCTCTTCATAGGGAGAACTAAAACATTGCCAAGACACAAACAAAATATGTGTAGGTTGAACAGCTTGATAAAACTATCACATACAATGACCAGCCCCATCTCCCTATCAGTATCCACCCACTGCAGGTAATTCAATGAAGGAGTGAGCTTCTCAATAATCCACATCTGTGTGCAGCTAATCCAGGGGTTGGTAACACCCTATGTAAGCTTATGGCTTTGCTTGTTCAACAACAGTAAACTAAAAAAAAGTGATGCACCTGGTTTCTATGGCTGTGTTGATGACCAGATTAAACCAACCACCCAGCTAAACTGATCAATAGTGCAGAAAGTGCCCATTAATACAGCTGGAAACAACATTCCAAACGAAAAACCGTCACTTCAGAGGCTGCCTGTGACTGCTGAGTCAGTCTACAGTAACATAACTTTCAGAGACTGGATTCTTAGGAGCATGGAAATGTAACGTGGGGAAATAATAAAGTTTTCATGTATATAGAAGTTCCAGAGACTAATCATCTTTCTCAGATTTTACATTCTTATTTATAAAATGTAATTGGGTTCTGTGCATGCTTTGGACAGCATAGCAGGCAGAAACTCAGCCAAAGGTAATGTGGGGAGGTGAGAAGAATCCAGATTTAGAGTCAGATATTCTGAGCTCCAAATGAACCTCAACAAGTTTTTTGACTTCTCATTTGTTTTCATCAATAAAATACATACTATAATGCCTTATATAGCCAGTTATCTTGAGAATTATATAAGGTAATATATGTTTATTAGAATCCAGCACAGAGTCTGGAATATAATAAGTAGTCAATAAATATTTATTAAATAAATGATTCTGGGAATGAATAAATAAATTAATGAATGAATTATAAAGGCTACATATGAGTTTCTTCCTTCCTTTCCTTGTCATGGCAATTAAATTCAGCTACAAAACAAACATAACTAAAGAGAAAGTCAAATGAGAGCCATAATAGGAGCTGTTACTGGTGGAACAGTTGCTAGGAGCCACGCGTTTACACATATTATTTAATAATACTGATAATAGATCATCATACCTATAGTGAACCAAGCACTATGCTGAGCGCTTTATGCATGTTAACTAATTTATGATTTTTATAGAAACTTATAAAGCAGATACTATATTTACCTACATGTCTTGCATGCAGTTGTAATCACCATTCACAAATAAAAAACTGTAACTTTCATAGATTAAGTGACTATGGCCAAAAAAGATCCACGAGTTTCTGATTTCATAGTTTGTGGGTTGCACAAACTGCTTCTCCAAGGGGAGATTTTTTCCAAAAATGATGAGGACAATTGTTAAGGGAGCAAAATTAATTTGTTAATTAAAATAGAAAAAGTGTAAATCGAGGGCTGAGGAAAAAAAAAAAAGGATGTTTAGCAGATGACAAGTCTTGACAAAAGAATTAAGAGCTGATACTTAACACTGAGACCCTGCACTCCAGCCTGTTGGGAAAAGGAAGCTGAATTGTGCCTCGTTTGAGTGCTCCACTAGGTTACAACGTAAAAGCATCAACCCTGTGTATTGAGAAAAAAACTTGGGATGATACTCAAGGCTGAACTGAACTGCATTCATCAATAATAGTTTCCAAAAACATTTACATTAGCATTCTAATTACTATGCATATGTTCTAGAGAAACAGGAAATTATTTGTTTGCAAATGACTTTAAATCTAGGACTAATTAAGATGTAAAAACTGAGGTCTGTCTTATTTTCAATGTGTGTCAAAATATTGAGTTAACCAATCAATGCTCCATGTTCTGGAATTTTATTATAAGTATGACGCATCTAGCTAAAAAAAATTCTTTATGAGAAAAGATGTTATGAAATTATGAAATTCACATATAGATACCCAACATCAGCTGTATCCTGCTTTAGGTTATCACTTCACTGGTATTGAAAAATCTATTAAATTCATGACTTACATTATTTGTTTAGTTTTATACTTATATCCCAAATAATTTTACTAACCTTATTTATTGTGAAGCTTTGCTTATTAGAGTCATATTATTCACTTCTGTCAAAACTGTGTAGTTTCCTTGTGCTGATTCCTGTCTGTCAAAAAGGGAGCATCCTTTTTTGGAGAGATGCTGAGTGTCCCTGATGTATCCAGTTCATCTCAAATTAGACTTCCACATCTCAGGAGATATGAACTCTACGGATGTTTTGAAGCTTTGTCTGCTGGTATCCCCATATCCAGCTTCTTGGAAAGTTTTTCATGACCACCTAGAGCCTACAAATTAAAAGTCTAGAAATTAATTCAAATTTTTCCTCTCTTTCTCCTCTTCACCAGTTGCTACCCCACCACTCCACCCGTCTCTGGCAATCTGCAGTTCTCATTTGTATGGAGATTGAAATCAACATTCTCAAATATGGCCACTGGCATTCACATAGCTCAGGCGAGGACTGTATATGGATGTGCATTTTCCATATGTCTTTTTAAACTAAATCTGGCCTTAGGTTGCTTCCATACTTGAAATTCCTAGTATTGTACTGCAGCTAACTTAGTATGTAAACAAATTACAGCCTAAGAGCATATTCCTGCAACAAGTAGCTGAGATTCAGCCGATCGTATCAGCCAAGCTTCAGCCAATCACAGGATGCCAAATGATCAGCATGTATCCAAACAAAGCAAATGTCTCTTCATACCATGGAAAATAAGACAAATGTCAGGCTGCAACCAATCAAGTGCTTTCTATAGATGACTTTGTCTGTCTATAAAAACTGTCTACCCATGTTGCTGGGTGAAGCTCTCTGAACCACTCCTGGTTCTAAGGGCTGCCCAGTTCATGAATCATCTTTGCTCAAATAATCTCTGCTATATTTAATTTGTCTAAAGTATTTTATTTAACGGTCTTCATATTTAAATGGTGTAAATCAAGCTAACAGACAGTTAAAACATTTCTAGAATCTTAAGTGGGTAAACAGACCATTATTTTAAAAAATTATATTAAAAATCTATGAAGCTATGATTTTATGTGACTAATATTTGGCAAAATATTAGTCAAATAAAAGATAATAGATCCAGATAATATTACAAAAAATTAATTTTGTTATCTAAATCATATAGTGCACATCATTTATGTGGTGATTTCCATTATCTCTTAAAGCAGTATCAAGATCAATGTAATCAATATTTCTTAAGTTATCCATATTTCAGAGTTTAGAATGCTGGAAGATTATTTAAAAAAAAAAAAAAAACTAAACTAAAAGTTTGTTCAAAGTCTCTTTTTAAGCAAGACTGTTACTTCATCTATATGGCCAGAGAGGTGAGAGTGGCTAACAAGGGTAAGCTCAAAAGCCTGGCAAGGTAAAACTTGATGGTTCCTGGTATGATCTCCTGCGATGTACGAAGCAGGCTGTTTGTTCATAGGCTTCAACTCCAAGCACTGTAGATACTAGATTAAATTGTATTGTTGCTCAATATTCATCAAATGTTCTTTATTTGAATATAATTTATTATAGACTTAATTAAGTATTCCAGAAACTCACTCAGTGTGGTGACATTATTTGTGTGGAACCACACAGACAACCATGCCCTTATAAAGGAATATGTGTCCTCATTTTTCATTCAGTGTTGTTTTGGATCCTCATATTTTCCTTAAGCTTTAGCACTAATGTCAGACCGCGGACTCCAGGCCAACCAGGCACCAGAATAGCATGGCTGTTCCTTACTTGAATGCTTTCAGTAATTTTTCTTTTGTAACATGGACTCTAATTATTTGCCAGTTACCTGACATGAGTTGTAAGAAGTTTGAGGGCATTGGCTAAAATTCTGACTTGTATATCAACAAAGCCACAGGGCCTAACAAAAGACCTAGTGATTTGTAGACTCAAAATAAGTGTTGACTAATTACTGCATAATAAAAAAGCTCTTTGACAGAATAAATTTCAAATATTCTTTTTATTTCATTTATTAAAGCTTTGGAAAAATACACTTAACATAAAATTACTACCTTAACTATTTTAAGTCCAATGTCATTAAGTGTAAGTACATTCACATTGTTCAGCAATGTGAATTCAACAATGTGAATGTACTTAATGCCACTGGGCTTAAAATAGTTAAGGTAGTAATTTTACATCATCAAAAAGCCTTTAAATAATTACAAAAGCCTTTACATCATCCACTTCCAGAACTCTTGAAAAGAGTTGCAAAAATGGAAACTCTAAACAATGTGCTCACTCGACAATGACTCCTCAGTTCCCCACTTCCCAGCCCCCAGCAATCTCCATTTTACTTTCTGTCTCTATGATTTTGACTACCTTAAGTGCCTCTTATAACTAGAATCATGCAGCATTTATATTTTTGTGATAGGCTTATTTCATTCATCATAATGTTCTCAAGGTCCATTCATGTTATGGGCTATGTAAGAATTTGCTTTCTTTTTAAGGCTTGGTAGAACTCATTGGTGATACCATCAGGTTCAGGGCTTTTCTTTTTTGGAAGATTAGTGATTACTAATTATGAATTCACTCTCTTTGCTAGTTACAGGTATATTCATGCTTTCTGTTTCTTCATAGTTTATAGCCTTAGTAGGTTTTATGTTCCTAGAAATGTAGTTATTTCCTCTACGTTATCAAATTTGTTGGCATAAAATTGCTCATAGAACTCTTGTAGAATTGGTATCAATGTTCCCAACTTCACTTCTGATTTCAGAAAGCTGAATCTTATCTGTTTTTCACATTTTTTCCATCCACCTAAAGCTTTGCCAATTTTGCTAATCTTTTTAAAGAACCAACTCTTGGCTTTCGTAAATTTTCTCTATTGTTTTCTATTCTATATTTCATTACCTCTTCTCTAATCATTATTATTTCCTTCCTCTTGCTAGATTTGGTTTTTATTTGTTCTTTTTATTTCTAATTATTTAAGTTGTAAGGCTAGGTTGTTGACTTGAGTTCTTTCTTCTTGTTGTTTTTAAATATGTGTTTATATCTTTAAAATTTCCTCTTAGCATTGCTTTTTAAAATCCCCAAAGTTTTGGTATGTTGTGTTTTCATTAATTTTTTATTATTTTATAATTTCCCTTTTAATTTAATTCGATGTTTCAGAGCATATTATTTAATTTCCACAAATTTGAGAATTTTCCAGTTTTACTAGTGTTGTTGAATTATATCTGCATCCTGTTTTAGTTGGAGATGATACTTTGTATGATGTCTGTCTTTTTGAGATTTAATGTGTGGCCTAACATATGGTTTACCTTGGAGAATGTCCCATCTGCACTTGAGAAGGTTGTGTTTTCTGTTGTTTGTTGATATTGTGTTTGGTAGATGTTGGTTAGATCTTGTTGGATTATTGTGTTAATAATGTCCTTTACTCCCTTATGTACCTTCTTTATGGTTATTCTATTATGGAGGGTGGGGTCTTAAAGTTTCCAACTATTAAGGTAAAGCTATTTCTCCCTTCAATGCCATCAATTGTTGATTCATGTATTTTGATGGTCTGTCATTGGGTGTGTAAATGTTTACAATTGTTATATATTGTGTAAAATATTTGATTAATATATAATAATCCTCTTTGTCTCTTGTAACATTTTTTGACTTAAAGTCTTTTTTGTCTAGTTTTAGTACAGAGGCACTCCTGCTCCTTTTTTTTGGCTATTATTTGTATGGAATATCCATTTTCATTCCTTTATTAATACCTATTTGTGTCTTTTGATCTACATTGAGTCTTGTGTAAAAGTCGTAGTTAGATCATATTGTATTTATCCATTCTGCCATATTTATCTTTAAATTGGATAATTTAACTGATTTACATTTACTTATGTATCTATTTGTTTATTTGGAGACATGGTTTCACTCTGTCACTTAAGCTGGAGTGTGGTGGCACAATCTTGAGTCACTGCAGCTTTGACCTCCTGAGTGCATGTGACTCTCCCACCTCAACCTCCTGAGTAGTTGGGACCACAGGTGTGCAACACAACATCTGGCTAATTTAATCTTTTGTAGATATGAAGTCTCACTATGTTGTCCAGGCTAGTCTCAAATTACTGGGCTCAAGCAAGCCTCCCACCTTGATCTCCCAAAGTGCTGGAATTACAGGCATGTGCCACGACATCTGACTGATTTACATTTAAAGCAATTACTAATAAGGAGGGACTTACTGTTGTAATTTTAATATTTGTTCTCTGTATGCCCTATTGCCCTATAGTTTGTCTCTCATTTCCTACATTACTGTCTTATTTTATGTTTAGTTGATTTTTTTGTAGTAAAACATTTAAATTATTTTCTCATTTCCTTTGTGTATATTTTTCAACTATTTGCTTTGTGGTTACCATTTGGTATTACAACATGAACTAATAATATTTAAATGCCTTAGTCTCTTACATCATGTTGAAAACAAAAAGTGGAGTTACATATCATTATTACAATAATATTAGTTTTATAATTGCCCTGGTATTTACCTTTACTAAGATCTTTATTTCTTCATAAAGCTTCCAGTTGCTATCTAGTTTCCTTTCATGTCAACCTGCTAGTCTCCTTAGCATTGTTTTCAGGGAATGCATATGCTAATAAACAATTTCAACTTGTATTTACCTTGGAATGTTTTCATTTCTCCCTCATCATTAAAGTACAGTTTTGCTGGATGTTGTGATTTTGAATGACAGGTCTCTTTTCTTTTCTTTTCTCTTTCTTTCATTCACCTTTCTTTTTTTTCTTTTGAATTTTGTGTATATCAGCCCACTGCCTTCCTGCCTCCAAGTTTCTGATGAGAAATATGCTGCAAATAGTATTGAGGATCACTTGTACATGATTTGCTTTTTTCCTCACTGCTTTCAAAATTCTTTGACTTTATATTGATGATTATAATGTGTCTCCATAATGGACGTCTTTGAGTTCATAATCCTTGGAGTTCATTGAGATTTTTGAATGCTTATGTTCATATCTTTCATCAAATGTGGGACATTTTTGTCCATTATTTCTTTAAATATTTTCTTTGTTTCTTTCTCTTCTTAATCTGGACTCCCACAATGAGTATGTTAGTCCTCTTGTTAAAATCTCACAGTTTCCATAGGTGCTGGTTATTTTTCTTCAGTCTTTTTATTTTCTATTTCTCAGATTCAGTAATTCCCATTGTCTTATTTTCAAGTTTGCTGATTCTTTCTTCTGCTTGTGCAAATCTGTCATCGGGTCCCTCTAGTGAATTTTTGGTTTCAGCTATTGTACTTTTCAACTCCAGAATTTCCTTTTGCTTTCTGTCTCTTTATTGATCTTTCCATTTTTTTCACACATTGTTTTCTGGACTTTTCCAAGTCTTCCCTTGGTTCTTTGAGTATCTTAAGACATCTGTTTTAAAGTCTTTTTGTAGTAGATCTTCCCTTCCATCAGGTGTTTTACAGGAACAGTTTCTGTGGGTTTATTTTTTGCCTTTGAATAAATCATACCTTTTGTTGCATTGTATGTCTTTTGACTTTTTTGTTGAAAACCATATATTTTGATTTTAAAATGTGATAACTCTGGAAACTTAATTCTCCTCCCTCCCCCAGAATTTGCTGGTTTTCTGTTTTATTTATTGTTTTTGTTTTGATTATTGTGTTACATTGTATGTGTGCCAAAGATCAACCTAAAGTACAAACTTATGGTCTTCTCAGGTCATCGCAGAGCCTGAATCTTTTTCTGGGCTTGCATGGTAACTTCCTAATTTCCTTTGTATATATAACTGCTTTTGAATGCCCCTAGTCATCAATGTCCAACCCCTGAGAGGAAAAAAAAAAAGGAAAATTAAAGGGGGTAAATTTGGAGGCCCTTTATATTTCCTGAAAGTCATTTAGCCAGGGAGGGAAGTTCTTGCAATACTGGGAAAAGGTACAACAACAATGGCTCTCCACCTTTTTCCAGTAGTCAATAATCAGAACACAGATCCTTGATATTCGAAAAACAGGGTTGTTTTTGCCCATTCTGGCTTCCACAAGCTCTGTGCAAGATACTCCAGGAACACATTCACAGCTGCCTGCCACAAGGCTATAGGATAAATAATGGGTAGCCTCTGCTTAACTAAGAGATAAAATTGACTCATATTAACCATAATTTACTGTCCAAGCCTTTCCCAAGAATTTGCAAGCCTTTGATAGACTTAGGAGTTCCAAAAATCACAACAAACAGAGTCTGCCTGTGAAATTGTTGTCCACATGGAGAGTCAGATTTCTGATGTCTTCCTCTCTGCCACTATCCCAGGATGCCTTTAAAAATGTTTTCGGATTATCAAATGTAACCAATTCACCCTCTTTTTGCACTTCTGTGGAATGAAATCATTACATGAAGAACAGTTTCCAAATCTCTATCCTCAGGGATTTTATGTTCAAATTATGCAGATGAGAGTTAGACACATAGATCTTCAGCCAACAAAACAGTATAGACAAAGTTCTGGGCCACTTGGTATGGAGACTCTGTGCAATGCATGTTCAGAGAAGGCTGAATTGTCTGGCCTGGAATCTTCATGAAAGTGAGAGTGAACTGGGTTTTGAAAGATGATTGAATGTTTCAACGGTTGAAAAACAGAAAAGCCAGTTCCCACCTAACATAGACATAATACATGAGCATCATATTTTCATGTGGCAGTAAACTCATTGAAGACTCAGAATAAGAGTACTAGTAGAGAAATCATACAAAGTAAGTTTGTATGGGTAAGAGGAAATCAAATAGTTTGTTTAAAAAAAAAACCTTAAAACTATGAGAAGAATTTGGAATAAAAATTAGGAATTCAGCTGTCATTGAAGATTTTGAAGACCAAAAAATTATTTTTATTTATACCAGCAGATACTCCTGATTGGTAGAATTGTTGTTAAAGTCACCTATTAAGCAGAAAGTTGTGTGTGTGTGGGGGGGTGTTTGCTTGTATGTGTGTGATTATTAGCATTCAATAATGATTAATGAAGTTGAAGGAATCAGTTTAAGATAAGCTTTTTGCCTCATAAAACTTTGACTTCTCAAACCTAATATTTTATCCTGAAAAAAAAATGTTTCTTTTCTATGTAACAGTCGTGCACATCAAGCACAACTAACACAGAATGTGGAGTTGGAAGCATTTCAAGGGCACTTGATATAATAGCTTCTTTTGCCCTAGTATGGTGACATTTTGGAAACATATGAAAATGTCAGAGTGTGACAAATCCAAACTTAAAACAAAATAGATGAAGAGTTTGAAGCTTTGCAGGCTGTAAATTATTGAAGCCGATTTTCAATGGACTCAATTCAGTGTCCTAGTGTTTTGTGTCACTTAACATAAGATAAAGTTATGCTTTATTCAAATTTCCTATAAGTGATGAGATTTTTCAAGTTCGTGGGAAAAAAGGGAATGAGATTTTAGCTTTCATCGTGTGTGTGTGTATGGGTGGTTGGGTGGGTGTGTGTGTCAAGAAATCTATAAACCTACGAGAACAGGTAGCCTTCTGCATAGCCAAGAGCTAACAGTGGTTCATATGTCCCGAGGGCTCACTACCTGTCTCATCTTGTTCTACAGCCTTCTTGTGGATCTCATTTAATATTCACCACTATCAAAAGTGGTAGTTTTTTTGTATGCTTGCTTGCCTTATGCTCGTTCATGCTGAACACATGGGGAGACTGTAGCACAGGCAGGTTAAATAATTTGACCATGTTGATCAACTGTAAGCAGTTGTATCAGAAATCAAACAGTGTGACCTCAAAACACATGTACTTAGCCATGAAGCCATACAGCCTCATGCGTTTTGCCTGTGTACTTCAGTAGTACTTGAGAATCAATAAAGCACTAACATAAAATAGGAAGAACAAAATCTGCAGTCTCAAAACATGTCAGAAATTATAATATTTGCTATACTTTGTAGAGTCTGTTGTTTATTTATAATATAAATTAGTATTCATTTTTAATAACATAGTGAATATATGAACATATTATTTTTACTAAAAATTAAAACATTATAGATAAGACAAATTTTTCCTTTTGCCACACCCCCAAACCCACTACCCTCCCTCTCTTCTCTACTTACCTGAGACATTATTGCTATTAGTTTAGTGTCAATTCTCTATACCCTTTACAATGCATTGACATCCGTATTATACACATGCACAGGTATATGTACATAGAAAATATATGGTATTTAATTCCATAAAGTGTATTATTCAGTATATATCAATTTTCACGTGCTTCTTTTCAACAATACATCTCTGTCTGTTTCAATTTTAAAAAATACTACATAATTCTAAAGTACGAATATGGTTATTTTATTCAGTGATTATCTTCTTAATAAACTTTTACTTTTGGTTTTTTGTTTTTGTTTCAATACCAGTCCTCTTTCAGACCTCATTGTATATATGTATGAGTACTTATCTAATAAAGACGCCTTAGAGAATTATTGAGTCCTATGGTATTTGTGACTTCATGGCAATTCCAAATTGCCATTCAATTTCCCTGTGCCCCTCTACCAATTTATTTCCCCACAGCAATTTATTTCCCAACTTCTATTTCACAAGGAATTGATATAGGAGTATCAGTTTCCCAACAAACCCACCAAAATTTCATATTTTCAAAAATTTAGTGTTTGCATTCTGGTATATGAAAATGGTATTGTTTAATCTGATTTATCTGATTGCTAGTAACTTAAAAAATCTTATTCCATGTAATGTTACAGTTTATATTTCTTTATAATTGTCTATTTATATTCAAATTGCCTGCTTTTCTAGGCATTTGATTGCCTTTTCCTCTTTTGTAGTTTTTAAGACACTAAACACTAACCTTTTGCCTGCTATAAAACATATATGTATGTTTGTATATATAGCTAAAGAGTGAGAAGTTAAATTATGTGATTTTATTTTGCATTTTTTAACCTGATTTCACATTTTGGAGTATAAAATAACAAGTAGCTTTTCAAGAAAACTATTATGAGCCACAAACAAATCAGCTTTGAATAAAATCACTTAATAGGGTCTCACTTTTAAAAATGTCAATTAAAGAAATTATGCAATGTTTATTTCTGGAAACTTGTTCAGCATCCTTGATTTGTAGTCAGACGGTATGTGAGAGCAATATAGATCAACATGAGGGACCGTTAGATCCTGAGAATTTGCTGTCTCAAAAGTGCAAAATGGAAATATTATTACATTCTAGTAAAGGCTGTGTTGTTGCTGGTTTCACTGGGTTTGGGGGAACTGGAGTGTGACCTGCGGGCACCAGATGCCTGGGCAGCCTAGGGCTGCAATCACAGGCAGACCAGAAGTTGGAGGGGCACAATGGTAGAAAGAGCTCACTGACAGAAAGAAGCAAATGTGGGCCGGGCGCGGTGGCTCACGCCTGTAATCCCAGCACTTTGGGAGGCCAAGGCGGGCGGATCATGAGGTCAGGAGATTGAGACCATCCTGGCTAACACGGTGAAACCCCGTCTCTACTAAAAATACAAAAAATTAGCCAGGCGTGGTGGCAGGCACCTGTAGTCCCAGCTACTCGGGAGGCCGTAGAATGGCTGAGGCAGGAGAATGGTGTGAACCCGGGAGGCGGAGCTTGCAGTGAGCCCAGATGGAGCCACTGCACTCCAGCCTGGGCCACAGAGCGAGACTCCTTAGCAAAAAAAAAAAAAAAAAAAAAAAAAGCAAATGTGGCTGGAGCCATGCAGAGGGGAACACAAACAACAGATAGGCAGACCAACAAAAATGATCTGTGGTTTAGCAAAAGGTAGGCTGCCCCTTTTTCCCTACACTTACTCCGGACAAATTATTTTTGATGGGTCCACAACCCTGCTAAAGGAGACACAGCCTTCACTGCAGTTAATTATAAAGTAAGAGCGTCAGCATATGTGATGCAAAGGGAAAGGTCTAGGAGCTTCATTCCTCCACTTACCTTGACCTGTAGAGAAATTACTAAAACAATTGATTGCCTCCTCCATTCTGTCCTCATGCCTATTCCCATACGCTCTACTACCACAAAGATGTGTATGTGTGGGAGTCTCAGGTTATTTTCCTTAAACTGTCTCCCTACTCACTGAAATCCCTCCGTGTTTAGTGTAATAAGTGTAGCACCTATGAATAAAGATTGTGGTTATCCAGCTTAGTAAAGTGGGCTCAGATCTCAATATACAGACACTGTCTGAGTAAAAAACTCCTTGAAGAAGTGCATAGTTTCCTTATGAGAATATTAAGAATGATGTTATTGGCATAAACACAAATGTGACTTTGATGAAGAACCCGGGAAGAACATTAATAAGAAGATAAAGGCCTAGCAAACACAGATTTAATAACTTCTGATGTCATATATGTGCCTACTTTTTCATTCAAGATTGAGTCTTCCCCTATCTGGTCTTAATCTGGCTACAACTATGTGACATAAGGACAAAGAAAATAATTAGAAAAAGACGGTTATGAAAAGTTAGAAGAGTTAGAGCCCAGGTGTCTAAATGTTGATTTGCATTAGTATGAACCTAACCTCTAATCTCTAATCTTCCCATTGCCTTTTTCAGGCTACATCTTATTTTTGCAGATCACATTCTTTGCATATTTCTGCCACCAATGTCTACCTCTCTAATGTTACATTCTATATTTTTAAGGGGGAAAATAACCATACCCACTCCAACCCCACTGTCACCCATCTTAAATCAGAGAAAGGGACTGAGAAAAGCACATAATTATTGAAAAGAAATGTCCTTAACAGTCATTTATCAAAAGGAAAGATAGTAGAATCCAGAGCCTTCTTTCCCAAGCCTCAGTGTAAGCTCTTTAAACAGATGGTTCTATTCCACTCTGGTATTTTGAAGGGCATACAAAACACATTTACAAGAGTTGACTTCTAAAGCATATTCACTGAAGTCACCCCTGTTTATCCTCCTTGTGAATCTTCCGTGGTCCTGTGACCCCTCCTCAACTCAGATCCTATTAACTTCAGACCATTAAATGGTTTTTAAGCAGATAGCATCATTACCTTTGCAAATTACTCAGGTGGTTTTGCTACAGTGTGGAGAGGGAACCAGAGTGGGATAGACAGAAGAAGAAAGTCCAGGAAGAGAGTTCTCACAATGTCCCAAGCAGGAGATCAAAGCCTGTGATTCCACAGGTAAACAGGGATGAAGCAGACGGATATATGAAATATTCAGAAAGCCAATTCCTAAAAGATCAGGAAAGAAGAAAGAAATGTGATAATGAAGAAAAAAACCTTAATTCCCTGAATTCTGTAAGTTGTGTCGGTATAAGTTTGTTAAATGAGAACTCAGCCCACATTACTGATATTGTCTAAGTAAATGGAGTAATAGCATCCATAGAATCAACATCCCATTTTTATGGGTGTATTATGTTTGAATTTAACAGAGACTATAAATAATTACTACCAGGCATAGTAATTCAGAATGTTTCATTCTGCGCCACGTGGAGAACTTTAACATCACTTCAAAATAATTGTCACATATAAAGAAGCTTCATAATATTAGATCTCGTGCTTCCTAAAATATTTTAGAGACTCTAAAAATGATTCCTCCTGTAAGTTGCCACATATCTGAATAATTTAGAGTTTTTCATTCAAAAAATATTTTAACACAGTTTAGAAATATGTGCATGATGTGATCCCCTTCCCACTGGGGGAACCAGGCAAGATGGCCCTCACTAGCCAGAATGGAACAGGGCTGGGGCAAAAAGATGGGTGTGTATTATCAGAAATTGGCCACATGGAATGGAAAAGATAACATATTGAGCTCACAGGAGGATAAGGGCTGAGCATCAAGTGTAAGCAGCATATCCAAATGTGCCGTTAGAGCCAGAAAGCTGGTTCCATCGTACATTGTGACAATGGACGGGAAAAGGCAGCAAAGAGTTTACAAGGCACCTTCTCATACAGCCTTTCATTTGGTTCCTCAAACTCATCCTAGATAGAGAAGCTAAACAGAAATAACGTCCTCCATTTCATGAGGGTCTGGGATTAAGATGAAGAGTAAGATGCCTAAAATAACACCTAATACATGATAGGTATTCGATTATGTGCTTTGACTTCTGTTTTGTACATGCATGCATGCATGCATGCATGCATATATATATATACATCCCCATATGAACTAGTGATGCACTTGAAGTGCAGCATGGGGAATTATGAAATCACATTATGAACCATGAAAACAAACCTATGGTCAACTGCTAATGCCTAACTCCCATGAATGCAGGAGCAGTTACCCATTTCGATATCTTTGATTTCTAAAATAACTCAAGAGTAGTTCTGTGTTTTCATTTGGCTAGGCCCCATGTTGGCTTTAGCAGTTTGTGGAAACAAACGCGAAGTCCCAGGAACATCTTGTATGCTCCCTAAAGAAACCGTTAAAAGTAAAGAGAAGCCCATTGAACACGATCCAGAATACCAGCTCCAGTCCCTCCCCTGAAATTAAAGTGTTGTGTGAACTTGGCCAAGATATATTTTTGTTGCCAGATAGTAGTTTATTAGTGGAAAAAAAAAATAAGCCCTTTGGACTCAATCATCAGAAGGCTTTCTTTCTAGTCAAAAATGATCAATGCTCCATATTTTTACAACAGTGATTCTTATAGGTTAGTAGTAATATTCTGACCTAAAGTATCAGTGTTTGATTTTTCTCCAAAACATTAGAGATGTGTTTAGTCTCTCAAAACCTCCTGAAGGAAATAGACAAAGAATGGATGGCCAGAGTAATTAACTTCACACGCATCAAAATTGGGGGATGGGAAAGGTAGAGGTAACTGTGTGAAGGAGGGTAAAGATATGATGAAATCTGAGATATTTTCAAATTACATAAAATCTTTCAAAATTGCTGTTTTGGAAAAAAGTCGGAATTTATGCAAAACATATAATCATCAGTAGTAGATTTATATAGGTAGATAGATATATTTGTGGAGTCTCTCCAGCCCACTTTGGTGCCATGTCTCTAGGATGCATTTTGTCCAAATCTTATTTGTTTCTTCTTTCATTTCTTATAAAGCAAAATACCATAAAATTATTCTACTGATTTTTCGGGCTTTTACGCAAATTGATTTCTAAACCAGCATGTTTACAAAAACAGACGGGATAAAACAATGACCTATTTCCGGCCGGGGCCGGTGGCTCACGCCTGTAATCCCAGCACTTTGGGAGGCCGAGGCGGGCGGATCACGAGGTCAGGAGATCGAGACCATCCTGGCTAACACGGTGAAACCCCGTCTCTACCAAAACTACAAAAAATTAGCCAGGCGTGGTGGCGGGCGCCTGTGATCCCAGCTACTCAGGAGGCTGAGGCAGGAGAATGGCGTGAACCCGGGAGACGGAGCTTGCAGTGAGCCGAGATGGCGCCACTGCACTCCAGCCTGGGCGACAGAGCGAGACTTCGCCTCAAAAAAAAAAAAAAAAAAAAAAAAAAGACCTATTTCCAGTACATTTCCATGCCCTCAAAATCACCTTCTAAAGGGGGTCAATTCCTTTCAAATCTAAGCTCTACAAGCCATGTGACCTGGGGAAAGTTACTTAAACTCTTTGATACTCAATTAAAAAAAAAATTATCTGAAGTGAGATTAATAGCAGAATAATACGTCATCGATTTTTATGAGATTTAAATTATAATATGGGCACATAAGTGGCCAATACATGCTATACATATATCTATAAGACAATTCTTTTTTTTTTTTTTTTTTTGAGACGGAGTCTTGCTCCGTCACCCAGGCTGGAGTGCAGTGGCACAATCTCGGCTCACTGCAAGCTCCGCCTCCCATAAGACAATTCTTAAGGCAGGAAACAGCACATCAAAGAAGCTAAATACCTGAACAAAGATTATAGTAATCACAAGTGGCGGAGCTGAGACAAGAAAGAGCCCACACTTGCACACTCCCAGTTATCACAGTGTTTCTATATAGTTTATGTGGCTCCTCTGAAACCCCTACCATAAGGAAAAATCCAAAATGTCATAAAGTCATAATGTTTAGAGTTAAGAGTTTTCTTGAAGTTGGGTCCTGTTGTTCTGCCGAGTGGGCTTAACCCTCAGGAAACAGCATGGAAGACTAAAAGTGACTCATCACACAAAGAACAAGAACATTTTCCATGTATAAATGTTCCTCTCTCAGTCTCTTGTGTGTGAGCATCTTTCTTTATTAAAGAAAAGATGAACAGATGAATTCCGGCCCCCATCCCAAGCATTACACATTATTTCCCAGCCAGTACCCCATCATCACACTCCCCATCTGATCTCTGCTTTCCAAATTCACAGCCCAGGTCTCTAAATCTTGCCTTGCATTAGTATGAACACAACCTCTTTCTAATTTCTAATCTTCCCATTGGCTTTTGCAGGCTGCATCTTATTTTTTCAGATCACGTTCTTTGCATATTTCTGCCACCAATATCTGCCTCTCTAAGGCTAGTTTCTATTTCGTTAGGGGGAAATAACCCTACCTGCTCCAACCCCACTGTCACTCATCTTAAATCAGAGAAAGGGACTGAAAAAAGCACACAATTACTGAAAAGAAATGTCCTTAACAGTCATCATTTCTCAATGTGGCTACGACTCTAACATACAAAGGCAGCATTCTTTGATTACTATCATCAAAAGCCCATTACTCCAAAGAGGACAGTACATATTTTGAATGATGCTATTAAGGTGTTTTTGTGGCAGAAGTTGCTAAATAGTGAGTACTTTACACCGTCTAGTCATGCAGGGAGCATTGAAATATTTAAAATATGAGGCAATCAGGCACTGAACCTAATATTTACTCTCTGAATCACTTAGCTATATTTTATCGGCTCCCCTGGTCTTCTGAATTTTCATCAACAGAAGATATATCATGAACCCCTCCAGTGCGGAGGAAGGTCATAACAACACCTTCCAGTGACTTCCATGGTGATGACATTAAAATCTGAAGATACATTCATTTTCTGAGATATGCTGTTCCCTTTTGAAATGAGAACAGACCAAGAGTTCATCCTGAAGAAAATCAGAATAATCGTTTTTCTCTGCTCTTAAATCAAGCAAAACTTGTCACTGCCTTCTGTGTTCACTTTGCATAATGCTATTTTCTTTCCCTCTTGCACATTTCCCCTCCCCACTGTACCCGGCTCTATTCATATACTGATCAGGCAGGGTAAGTCAGTTCAACATATATCTTCAAAAATCATGACTGCGTTCATTTAAGAACCTTGGGTTTATATCTAGCGATAGGTAATTCACCTCAGAGGGAAAGCTTCACTGAGCTTATCATGCAGAGGGCATAGGTAGAGGTGAAGCCTAAAGAGACAGCAGGAGTTCCATGGAAAAAGGACAGGTACAGGGAGGCTAAATTGGGTTTCAGCTCTGTCACTTTGCAACTGTGGGATGCTGGCAAGTCATTTAATCCGTCAGAGTCTTTGTTAATCTGTAAGTTTAGGGCTACTGAAAATGAAAGCTAAAACTTCACAATGAATGCAAAACACCTTAGTTGCTGTTATTGTTATTATTATAGGTACAAGTCTGGATGTTAAACTTATTTTCCATTAAACAATACACTTGTTAAGAGTAAGTATTGTACCATTCACTCTTGAATGGTTTGACTATAGACACGGGTTAATAAATGTAACTTCTTATTGATCTTGGCATTAGATACTGTGTTTGAAATTTGATTGCTATCTCCCTGCTGCATTTTTCTAAGGAAGAGAGCACTGATTTTTAATTTGCTTATTTGTAAAAAAAATGGAATTAATAATACCTACTTTACAGTTATGAAATTAAACTCAGGTGTGAACATGAACAGCAAGTTGCTGGTACATGGAAGAAATATGTTTTAAATATTTTTTTTCTCCTAAGTTACACTGGCTTTAAAAATAATATTCTTATGAAAATAAAAATATTTAAAATATATTAGATTTTTAAAATAAAGAATGAAAGTAAAAATAACATTTACAATATAAATTATTTCTGTGTTTGACTAGAAACAATACAGAACATTCAATATCAACATAAGCATAATCAAATTCCTCATAAGGCTATGATATTTGCGCACCACTTGATTGTTAAAAATCGTTTTGGCTTTGAGCTATATAGCTGCCAGTTACTACAAATCAGTTCCCAAAGAATTGCATCATTTTCTATTTCTTAAATTGTGGACTAAAACATGTTATTATTTTGCATCCTGCAGGGAAGTAGGGCAAGAAATTGAATATATTTGATTGCATAAAGAGTTGAAGTAATAAAAAGACATTTTAATTTGAACTTGGAAAATGTTTGTCTAATCTCTAGGTCAAAATCATGATATCACAACAATGCAGAGAAATTGTTCCTATGGTGACTTAAAAAATATATATATAGTTCTTTAAAATACTAATTCTGTAATATATATGATATGATATATAACATATACAACAGATGTTACATGAGGAAAAATAAAATGGAGATGCTGTTAAAAACAGTTGAGTCCCTTCATCACAGGAATATGATGCTTTTGATATGTTAATGTGACAATAATATAAGTGAAATCACATAAAAACTCCATAAATGTGCCCTGGTCTTAAGCTATTTGTTCAAGCTAATTTAATATTCTTTTCTTTGTTGCTTACAAAACTCCACCTACTCTGGTTTTTCAACTACCCCACCCAATCCTAGCATGCTCTACCTCAGAGCTTCACACTCTCTATTTCTCTTCTCCCGTATATATCCATGTTTTCTTCCTTTATTTTATTCACATGGATGCACTCAAACGTGCTTTGCTCTCTAGGCAGTATTAAATGGCATCCCAGTTACTTCCTATCACTTCCCCTGCTGGCTTCTTTTTATTTACTTTCCTTCCTTCCTACATTCTTCCCTCCCTCCCTCCTTCCCTTCCTTCCTTCCTTCCTTCTTCCCTTCCCTTTCCTTCTTTTCCCTTCCCCTTCCCTTTCCTCCCTTCCTCCCTTCCTTGCGTCCTTTCTTCCTTTATTCCCTCCTTTCTTTTAATTTTGGTAGTACTTAACAATCTTTGTCACTGGACCACATGTATACATTATTTTATCTTCATTGTCTTATCCCTCCACCTACCCCATAGGATAGACACCCTGTTTGGTTTACTGCTGAATACCAATCCCTAGAATAGTAGTTAGTACATAGTAAATACTCACTAAATCACTGTTGAAAAAATATTCTGTTGGAAAAAAATGAAAAAGTATCATTAGTAGGCCACTCATGTTAAAGAATCTCCAAATTTAGAAAGCAAACTTTTTATATACATTGGAAAATAAATCCAGGGAATAGCACAGCCTGAAACATAATAAAGAGAAGTTTTTTGAACTTATCACTATCAGATATAAGAAGGCAAGAAGTTAAAGGGGTTGTACTCAAAGAAGATAAATGATGCTCCTTTCCCCCACCTTGCTCACACAAAGTAGATTTCTACAATGGTTTCTGCCCAGTGCACAAATTGGTGAGGGTAGAACTCTGGGGAGTTCACTTGAACACTACTGCCTCATGGTAGGGATGAGAGCAGGATATTCCAGACACCCAGAGGGAAAATTGAGAGCACCACTAGCCACATGTGTCCTGGGCTGCTGAGCAGGACGGCTTTGCAAATAATTCAGAAGTTAAGCAGTAATTTGATGAAACAGAATACTTAAGACTCACCAAGACTTTAATATAAGCAACAGCACGAAAAGAATGGAAATCAACAAAAAGGATATTCAATAGCTGAAGAATTTCTATCTTCAAGATATCCAGAGAATACTATATCGTTTATAAATTATCAACTAAAGTTATCAGAAATTTAAAATGTTTGCAAAATTCAGATTTAAAACATTTAACAGGTTGTTAAGCAAAATGGATATGACTGAAGAGTGAATTAATTAGAAGATGTAGCAAAGAAATTTGTTTTCTAGAATGTAGTACAAACAGACTGAGATATGATGTGTCTGAATGCAAATTTAGAAAGAATAAATTCCAGATGATTATCTGGATGTAACAGAGGATAAATAAGATTGATATAGTATAATATCTGTATGCTTGAAATTTAGTGTCTAGTTGAAAAAAAAGCACTAAAATATTTTGGAAGAACTTAGGGTCTTTAAGCCAGAAAAATCACAGTGATAAGTGTTAGTATCTCCTGAAACACTAAGGACATATTAACATGCCTACAAGACTTGAGAACAAAACAAAACAAAAAAGTCTTATCTTCATGTGGCTTAGTCTATTAGGCACATCATGAAGATATTGTAAGTGTTTTGTTGGAAAACCCCAATATTCCTGTCACATGAACCCATGACATGTCTAATAAGTCTCTACAATGGCTCATGAAAAAGGGAATAGATAAATGCTGAATGCATATTTGTGAAATGCTGACCCACTGTGGGATAAAGTGAATGGGAGAAGCACAACGGAAGACAATGCTGAAAAATGCCTTCTTCCCAGAGTGAAAATGCTTCATCTCAGAGAAACCTAAGCACGACTCACCAGGAGAATAATTTTTCTCTTCCCATGTCTTCCATCAAGATACAGACATAATTCGGTGACAGTATTTGTCTCTTTATGTGCTATCCTAAGAAAAATTCCCCAAGGGAAATTTAACCTGCTGTGTCTGATCACCTTAACTAACTGCTGTGTCTGTTCTCTGAGGACTTTAATGCCCACAAAGCTGACGGAGCCTTTCTAATCAGTGAGCTGGGGCTGTTATTTGTCCTAGAAATCACAAAAAGACAACTTCAAAGGACTCAAGTGAAAGTAGGAAATTAGGTCTTAAAATATTTGAATGGTGCCTGAGCCAGAGTCAATGGACCATTCCCTCCCTTGCTTTATATATTGTGCAGCTCTTGCTCATTAAATATCACTGAATACACCCAACAGCTCTTTAAAAGATCAAATGTCTGAACTGGAAAGATCATTAAAAAGTGATCTGTGTCTCTGAAACCAGGAAATAATTCTGCTAAATAGTAAGAAGCCACATGGGGTGAGAAGCCTACATCTTCATTTATTTTGCAATTTGGGCTGTTAAGAACTTTTAAGATTTTATAAAATTTTGTGTGTAAAAAAATAATCTGCAGACCTTATAACCCCCAAATTACCCTTTGAACACAGCTCAGTCTTTCTTTCTGTAGACTGTGATGTTGAGGCAGGAACTGTGAGAGAAGCCAGATCTGTAAGAAACCTCTTATTTCTTGGAAACTTTCAAGTAGTTTAAGAAATGAAATCCTCAGAAGTGTTGGTTTCCAACTATGTAGTAATTTTTTCCTCTAAGTTGTCATAGATCATTAAGTTCCATCTTCTGTGGGGCATGGAGACTGCTAAAGGATGAGGACTGCTAAAGGATGAGGACTGCACTCAGAGAAACAAATGTCATTTTTATAGGACCGTGATTGTTATTCTAAACAGAATTGGAAATGGATTGGGAATGTGAAGCTCAGTTGACCACATCTGATGACAATATTAAAGCATGGAGAACTTTCTGAAGCCTTAAGGATATTGGGAACACTCAACATTGTGTGTAATCATATTTAGTAGGAGACCCAGATAGTTTTTTGAGTCAGTTTATTATTATTATTATTATTATTTTGAGACAGAGTTTCACTCTTGTTGCCCAGGCTGGAGTGCAATGGAATGATCTCAGCTCACTGCAACCTCCACTTCCCGGGTTCAAGAGATTCTCCTGCCTCAGTCTCTGGAGTAGCTGGGATTACAGGCACCTGCCACCACACTCAGCAAGTTTTTGTATTTTAGTAGAGATGGGGTTTCACCACCTTGGCCAGGCTAGTCTCGAACTCCTGACCTCTGGTGATCCACCTGCCTTGGCCTCCCAAAGTGCTGGGATTACAGGTGTGGGCCACCCTGCCCAGCCTGAGTCATAGTTTTACTTAGTCTTCTTTCGGCTGTTGCTCACTACCTCTGTGACCTTGGATGAAGTCAGCAAACTATCTTTGCCTCAGTTCAGGGTTGTTATGACAGTTGCTTTTTTTAACATAGCATATAAAAATATATAACATGGTGAATGAAACACAAAATTACTATGAGATTGCTAATAATATGGGGATGGGATGGGAGAAGTGGTAGTACTTTTAATGATGATGGTTGACTCTAAAGGAATAAATAGTCTTCAAACAAATAAATAGTCTCCTATCATATAACTGTCATTAAATAAATTAGCTGTCACTTTCTTCAACATTATTCTTAATCTGATCCCCTTATGTTTTTCTAGTCTTATCTCAAAATATTTTGTATGTAGCAGTTTCCTCTTCAGTTGGTCTCCCTTGTCTCTAAAAATGTCCTCCATTTTCTAACCAAAATATCATTGCTCAAACTGATCTATGAGTTAAGCTGCATATGAGCTCTCTTTTTTTTTTGTTTGTTTTTTTTGAGACGGAGTCTCGTTCTGTCACCCAGGCTGGAGTGCAGTGGCGCCATCTCTGCTCACTGCAAGCTCTGCCACCCGGGTTCACGTTATTCTTCTGCCTCAACCTCCCAAGTAGCTGGGACTACAGGCGGCCACCACCACACCTGGCTAATTTTTTTAGTATTTTTAGTAGAGACGGGGTTTCACCATGTTAGCCAGGATGGTCTCGATCTCCTGTCCTTGTGATCCGCCCGCCTCAGCCTCCTAAAGTGCTGGGACTACAGGCGTGAACCACCACGCCCGGCCAATATGGTCTCTCTTTTCTGCTTTTGTGCAAGTTCTACTCATGAAATAATCTGCTGCTTTGCTCAATAAAAAAGTTTTCTGGTTACTCACTGCTCACTGTATATGGAACATCAGGTATATGTAATGTGAGTAGATCTTTTAACAATCTGTACTGGATTACCAGCTTTTAAAATGCAGAGGCTACATCTATCAGTTGTGTCCCCTAGAGTAGCATATTTAATAAGGAATGGTGATTCTATCTACTTTTTACTACAAAATAAGTGTGAAAGCTGGTCACTAGACTTTAAGCTCTGGCTTGTCAATGACTTTTTCTTATGAAAAGCAAGAAACGTTTTCTCAGCATCAAAATATCAACTTTTACTTTCATTTTTTATTGTCATTCATTTTTATTTTGTTCTTTCATAAACATCCACATATTAGGTCAGCTTAGAACCATGCTAACTGTTGGAGAACAGACCAACAGTATGTTGGTAGGACAGACCACGATAATCCTCACCCTTGAGAAGCAGGAAGCCAACTGGATCACCATAAGAAGAGCCAATTACACTAGGTGTGATAAGTGCTCCTTCAGAGATGTATAAAGCCAAGAGAAGGAGCCCTAGTATGGAACAAGCCGGTATGAATACATAGTGAGTGTCTATGACAGATCATTAGATGAATGGAAGGATAGGTAAGGAGGAGAGACAGACAGATTTTTTTTTTATTTTGTATCTGATATTCTTTATTCTTTCCTTCAGATCTGGGCTTCCATCTGGAATCACTTTTCTTCATCATGAAGAAGTATTTTCAGCAATTTGTATAGCACGAATCTGTGGAATATAAGATACCTACAATTTTGCCTGGGGCAAATGCAATTATTTTACCTTCTTTTTTTAATTATCAGGTTTGTAAAGGACAGTTTTTCATACATTAAAATGAATACATTTTAATAAACATTTTAATGAATTCGAGTAAATTTATTCATCATGTAACCAAGACCAAAATCACGATATAGAATATTTCTCTCAACCCAAAACATTTCTTCGCACTCCATTCCAGTCAAACTCCTATGCCCCAGACAACCACTTATCTGTTTTCTAACGATAGATTTGAATTATCTTTCTACAGTTCCAAATAAACAAAATTAGACAGTACCTGCATTTTGTGTCAGACTTTTTTTTTTTGCTCAGCATTTTCTTGAGATCTATCAATGCTTTTGTGTGTACCAGCAGTTTCTATAACTTTATTGAATTTTTTTATAATTTTATTTTATTGTATTCTATTGTATGAATATATAATAGTTTGTTTCTCTATTCACTTTTTCCTGAATTTGGGTCTAATTTTTAGCTATTGTGAAAAAAACCTGCTATGAACCTTTATGTGCAAGTCTTTATGTAATACATGTTTTCAATTCCCTTTAGTAAATACCTAGGACTATAATTGCTAGGTCACATAATAAATGAATGTTACATTTTACTACAAGTTACTAAATTATCTTCCAAAGAAATTATACCATATTGCATTCAAGACCACCCACCAGCAATATTGCTACAAATTTTCACCAACGTTTTATGTTTTTTTTTATATAGTTTTAGCAGTTAAATGGGTATGCAGTAGTATCATATTATGGTTTTAATTTGCATATACCTAATGCTAAGAGTTTTTTATGTGCCTATTGGTCTTTTGTACATTTTTCTATGAAGTATTCAAACTTTTGGCTCTTTTTAGAAACAAAGATATTCTTTGAAAACGAGAACAAAGACACAACATACCAGAATCTCTGGGACACATTTAAAGCAGTGTGTAGAGGGAAATTTATAGCATTAAATGCCCACAAAAGAAAGCAGGAAAGATCTAAAATTGACACCCTAACATCACAATTAAAAGAACTAGAGAAACAAGAGCAAACACATTCAAAAGCTAGCAGAAGGCAAGAAATAACTAAGATCAGGGCAGAATTGTAGGAGATAGAGACACAAAAAACCCTTCAAAAAATCAATGAATCCAGGAGCTGGTTTTTTGAAAAGATCAACAAAATTGATAGAACGCTAGCAAGACTAATAAAGAAGAAAAGAGAGAAGGATCAAATAGACGCAATAAAAAATGATAAAGGGGATAACACCACTGATCCCACAGAAATACAAACTACCATCAGAGAATACTATAAACACCTCTATGCAAATAAACTAGAAAATCTAGAAGAATTGGATAAATTCCTCGACAAATACACCCTCCCAAGACTAAACCAGGAAGAAGTTGAATCGCTGAATAGACTAATAACAGGCTCTGAAACTGAGGCAATAATTAATAGCTTACCAACTATTCAACTTTTAAATTTCTAATTTATGGAGCATAAATTAATTTTATTTTTGGAATATAATTCTGTAAGTTTTAACAGAAGATTATAATCATGTATAAGGCCAGGCAAGGTAGCTCACTCCTGTCGGTTGTGGATTGCTTGAACCCAGGAGTTCTGGACCAGCCTAGGCAACATGGCAAAATCCCATTTCTACAAAAATTACACACACACACACACACACACATACACACAAAATTAGCTGGGCATAGTGGCACAAACCTGAGGTCCCAGCTACTTGGGATGCTGAGGCAGGAACACTGATTGAGTCTGGGAGGTCAAGGCTGCCGTATAATACAAAATGGTTTACAACATAACATATTCCTTCATACCATTCCTATGTAATCACACCTTCCTGCCAGCCCTGGCCACGGTGACTACCAATCTCCTTCATCTCTATTGCTTTGCTTTTCTAGAAATAAATATAAATGTAATCAAACTACTGTTTGATCTAACTTTTTGAGTCTATTTATTTCACTAAACCTAAAGTATTTGAGTTCATCCAAGTTACTTTGTGTCTCAATAGTTCATTCTTTTTCACTGCTGAGGAATATTCCATTGTAAACATGTACCACAGTTTGTTTATTTGCCCCTTGAAGGACAATAGTGAAGGAAGATTTTGGTGAATATGAATAGAGCTGCTATAAACATTTGTGTATAGGTTTTTGTGTGAATAAAATGTTCTCATTTTCTATGATAAACACCATATAATTTGGGAGCTTTTTCTTATTTTTAAAGTGTAAGAATTATTTGTATATTCTGGACACAAGTACTTTTTCAGATATGGTAGGATAAATAATGCTTCCGTTGGCCAAGGATATCCACATCCTCATTCCTGGAACCTGTGAATATTACCTTATATGGTAAAAGGACTTTGCAGGTATAATGAAGAATTTGGACATGGGGAGATTATCCTAGATTATTGGGGTAGCCTAAATGTAATCACAGGGGTCTTTATAAGAGAGAGGTAAGATAGAGGAAGTAGGATATGTGACAATGGAAGCAAGAATTTGGAGGATAGAAGGATGTGGATACAAGTCAAGAAATGCAGGCTGTCTCCTAAAGCTAGAAAAGGCAGGGGAGGCCGGGTGTGGTGGCTCACGGTTGCAATCCTAGCAATTTGGGAGGCTGAGGTGGGTGGAATATTTGAGGTCAGGAGTTCGAGATCAGCCTGGCCAACTTGCTGAAGCCCCGCCTCTACTAAAAATACTAAAATTAGCCGAGACTACTGGTGGGCACCTGTAGTCCCAGCTACTCGGGAGGCTGAGGCAGGAAAATCTCTTGAACCCTGGGGGTGGAGGTTGCAGTGAACCGAGAGTGCGCCACTGCACTCCAGCCTGGGTGACAGAGCAAGATGTCTCGAAAAAGAAAAAAAAAAAAAAAGAAAGAAAAGAAAAGGTAGGGGAAAGGACAGCCTGCTAGTGCCCATACAAAAATAAAAACAAAAATAAATAAATCCTGCTGCCACCTAGACTGTGGTTCAGTGAAACAGATTTCAGAAGTCAGACCTCCAGAAGTGTTACAGATTAAGCTTGTGCTGTTTTGAGTCATCAAGGTTTTGTTCATGTCTTACAGCCTCAGTATGAGACTAGTGTATTGAACACGCAATTTGCAAGTATTTTCTACCAATGTCTCATATTTTCATTTCTCAGAAGTGCTTTCCAAAGAACAAAATATTTTATTTTTTATCAAGTTCAATTCACAATTTTTTATGGTTCATGCTTTTTAGTTTCAACTAAGCAATATTTGTTTAATACACAGTCAAAATATTTCTTCTATGTCTTCTAGTTGTATAATTTTAGTTTTCACCTGTAAGTATATAATCTATTTTTAGTGTTTTTTTTTTTTTAGTTTGCTTTTTGTCCTTACATGATTGGAGGTAAAGGTTGAAGTTTTGAGGAATTTCCATGGGTTTAAAAAAATCATTTCCCCTTAAATTTGGTACCTCTGTCCAAAGTCAATTAACTGTATATGCTGGAGTCTATTTCTTGACTCTCTCGTCTATGGATTGACCAATAAAACTCAATCTTAGGACTTTATACTAAGTTTAACATCAGGTAGGGTGTGTCCCCTAACTTTGTCCTTCTTTTTCACAATAGTTTCGGATACTATAGATCTTTTTTCTTTTTTCTTTCTTTTTTGAGATGGAATCTCAATCTTGTGGCCCAGGCTGGTATGCAGTGGCACAATCTCAGCTCACTGCAACCTCCGCCTCCTGGGTTCAAGCAATTCTCCTGTCTTAGCCTGCCAAGCAGCTGGGATTACAGACGACCACCACCAAGCCTGGCTAATTTTTGTATTTTTAGTAGAGACGGGTTTCACCATGTTGGCCAGGCCGGTCTCGAACTCCTGACCTCGGGGGATTTGCCGGCCTCGGCCTCCCAAAGTGCTGGGATTACAGGCGTAAGCCACCATGCCCAACACTTTTTTCTTTTTTGTAGGAACTATAGTATCAATTTGTCAATTTCTAAAAATAAACAAAAAATACTGAAGTTTTGATAGTATTGCATTGAATTTGTTTATAAATCAGTTTGAAGAAAATTCACATAAGAAAATACTGAGTAGTCTACTTCATGAAAGTTGTATGACTCCATTTTTAAGTGTTTTCAATTTATCTCACCAATGTTTTATAATTTCCACCGTACAAATCTTACATAAATTTTGTTAGTTATATTTTTCAATAGTTCAGAGTTTCTTTAAACTATTGCAAATAGTTTCTTTAAACTATTATTATGATTTTTAAATTTGAGGCATTCATTGATAGTATGTAGAAATATATTTGATATTTTACATCTTTGTATTATTGAACCTTGCTAAATGCTCCTATTAGTTCTAGTAACTATTATGTAGATCCTGTACTATTTATTGCCTACACAATTATATTGTCTATTTTTAAAAGCTTACTTCTTCCTTTTCAAAATGTATGCTTTTATTTCTCTTTCTTTTTTAGGATCTTTGGTATAATGTTGGATAGAAGTAGTGAGAGTGCATATCCTTGATAATATTAAGGGTAAAACATTCTTTCAATATTAAATACAGTTTAATCTGTACAAATTTATTTATACTTTTTTCAGATGGAAGATGTTCACTTCTATGTCTTTCTAAACATTTTCATAATGAATGTGTATTAAATTTTGTCTAATGCTTTCTTGGATTCTATTGGTATGTACCTTTCTTTTTTGTCCTTTATAGAATGTATTATTTTGATTTATTTCCATGATAGCCTTTGCCTTTCAAGAAATTAGTCATTTTCATTTAAGTTGTCAAATGTTTTGTCAGACAGTTATTTATAATACTCCCTTCTACAGTAAAGTATCTTGTTTTCCTTCTTTTCATTCCTGTTGTTGGTAATTTGTATCTTTTCTCTTTTGTTTTTTATCAGTAGAGATGTATTGTTATAAGTAAAAAATATTTTCTAAAATAAATTCAAGTTTTTGCTTAATTGATTTTTCCCTGTTGCTTTTTATTATTTCTGTTGTATCTACTTTTGTTCTTAATTTCGTTTTTCCTTTTTTTTGTTTTGTTTTTGTTTCAACTTGTTTCTACTTTACTAGCTTAATCAGGTGGAAACACAGGTCACCAATTTTAGACAATTCCTCTTTGCTAATATGAGTGTTTCATAATGTAAATTTTCCTATAGTTGTATTCCATTAAGTTTGATATATTCTGATTTACTCTTTCCTTCAGCTCAAAGTTATTTTCTAAGTACCTTCATGATTTAATCATTGACACATGGGTTTGAAGAAATGTGCTGCTTACTTTCCAAGTATTTGAGTATTTTAAAGACACCTTTCTGTTAGCAATTTCTAATTGAATTCTGTTAAGGTCAAGGCACATATTCAGCATGATTTCAGACATTTTAACATTGTTAAAGTTGTTTTACAAGCCCCAAAATGCCCCATTTTGACAAATGTTTCTTTTAAACTGGAAACTAGTATGTATTCAGTTGTTGTTGGACAGAGAACCTTATAAATACCAATTAGGTCCTGTTGCTGTATAGTATTATTCAAGTCTTTTATAGTTCTACTGATTTTTCTTTCAACTTGTTTAACAATTAGTGAGAAAAAAGTGTTAAAATGTCCAAGTATAATTATGGATCTGTCTATTTCTTCTTTTAATTCTGTCAGTTTTCGCTTCAATTATCTTAAAGATCTATTATTCAGTGCCTGAACATTTAAGAATGTTATGTCTTCTTGACAGACTGATTTGCCATCATTATAAAAAAATTCCTCTCCTTTCTTTGTAATATTAATTATTCTGAAGCTTGTTTTCTTATGCTTAGTAGGTTTTTGGTAAGTTTTTTCATCTTTTTTGTTGTTGTTAAGCAATTATCTTTGTTCAGCTGTGCATGAAGTTATCTTTTTTTCTCCAGGTGCCATAAAGATTTTCTCTGTAGCACAGACATTTAAAAATTTGATTACAAAGTGTGTTGGTAATCTTCTTCTTCATTTTAATACTGCTGAGATTCACTGAGCTTTTTGACTCTTTGTGTTCATACGTTTCATCAGATGTGATAAAGGTTCAGCCATTATTTAAGTGTTCTTTTCTGTCCCACTTTCTCTCCTCTTCTTTTGGGAGTTTAATCACAAGCATATTAATTATCTGGGTGATGTTTTGCAGGTAACAGTCTTTTTTCTTTCTTTTTAAGCTTCACATGGGTAGTTTCACTGTAATATGTAGTTTTATGACTTTTTTTCTATAGCATCTAATTTTCCATTAATAACATCCTCTGAATGTTTAATTTCTGGTAACATTTTTGCATTCCTAGAATTTCCATTTAAATATTTTTTCTATTTCTATCTCATTCATATTATATTCACGTTTTGCTTTACATCCTTAATCAAGTGAAACACAATTATAATAGCTGTTTCAATATCCTTGTCTATTATAATAATTCCAATATCTCTGGGATTTTTTTGGGATCTGTTTGTCAGCTAATTTTTCTCCAGTTATGGGTCATATTTTCTAGAGTCTTTTAGTAGCAAAAATATTTTATGGGATATTAATACAATATTTTGTTGCTGAGTGGTGACTCGTGTGTGTGTGAGAGAGAGACAGAATTGCTTTCTTACAAATTAATTTGGTATTTTTGAGGTTTGTTTTTAGACTGCTTAAGTAAAGGTCAAAGATCCAGATTATTTATATCCAGGCAAGTGTAGACCCACTTCCAGTGCATAGTCCCTCTGGAGTCAGGACTGCCTGTCTCATGTATAAACTGTGATCTCCCACCCTGGCTAGAAGGGGCTCAAGTAATTTCTAGTCTGGAATGAGTCCTGGGATTTCTTTATCTTTCAGGTTTCTCCATAATTGTTCTTTCCTCAGAAGTCTGTACTTGTAGTATGTTACTCTACTCTTGTATATATTCTTCTTCAGGTAAAAACTCCAGTGAACTTTATGCAGATTTCTGAAACTGTTTTCCTACATATCTCCATCCTTTCCTGAACACTGTTGTGGACATTTCAGCCTCCTCCGTGTTTCAGAACTCTAATCTCTGTTTCCTCACCTTTGTAAGGTGGCCAAGTTCTAATTATGTTCTTCCCTGCACCACCGTCTGAAAATTGTACTAAAGCAGTAAGTCCGGGCATTCTTAAGTGTTTTCTCCTTGGGAATAGAGAGGAGGAAAGAACAGAGGGAGGCAAGTTCTGGACTGCTTGTTGCCAATGTCTGTAAATTGTGTCTCCTCTATTTTGTCCACTTTTTTTAGTTATTTGTGGGGAAAGGTTAATTGTGGATTTGCCATTTCTTCATGGACAGATTCAGAAATCTTCTCTCTTAAGTTTTGAACGATATTTTACTATAAATAGAATTCTAGGTTCCAAGTTTTGTTTTCTCATTTAGTATGTTGGAAATGTCATTCCATTTTTAACCAGCCTAAAATATCATTTATAATTTTTACTATTTTTAATATTTTCTCTTTATATTTATTTTTTACCAGTTGTCTATGATGTGCCAAAGAATTTTATTTTTAGTATTTATTCTATTTGAATATCACAAGTTTTTTTGATTCTGTATATTGATGACTTTCATCAATTTTGAAAAACATTTATCAATTATATGTCTAATATTATCTTCATTCTCATTCTTTTGTATTCTGCTGAGATAGGTATGTTAAACCATTTAAAAATGGTTTTAAATATATGTTAGTTACATGTATATTATTACATGTATGGTAAACCATTTACCCTTTATGTTCAATTATATGTGTGTTAAACCATTTTTAAAGGTTCACATTTTTCTCAAGAGCTATTCTATTTATTGTAGTCTTTCTTTTATTCTTTTCAGTTTGGATAGTTTATACTACTCTTCATTCAGGTTCACTGTGTTTTGTCTGCTGTTTAGTCATTGAATATATGTTTCATTTCTGATGTATTTTTCATGTTTTGCTTTTCTCTCTCTTTTTTATAGCTTCTGTATTTCTGCCAAATTCTCCAACTACTCATGCAGATTGCCCACGTTTCTACTAGAACTTTAAATAGATGTATCATAGCTGTTTTAAAGCCTCTATCTAATAATTCCAAACAATGGATCTGCTTATATTGACTGTTTCTCCACTTGAATATATGTCCTATTTTTCTTGCTCTTTTGTATGTTTTGTAAATTTTGACAACATGTTAGACATTGTGTGTAATTCACTAGTGAAGATTGAAGTATATATATTTACTTCCATGAAAGAAAAACTTTTATTCTTTCTTTGCTAGCATAAAAATGTGAGTCTAGTTTTAAACATTTTGAGGTCAAGTTAGCACTTTCCCTTCGGGAGATACGGGATTTGAGCACTAGTAAGTCTTCAGATAATTATTATTACTATTCTTTAAAGACAAGTAATTATCGTTCTGAATTGTAGGAGATTTCACTCGCTTTTTACCCTCGATGTCTCCTTTTGGAGTCACTGGAGAAATTTATGTTTGCTTGTTTATTTTTTTTTTTTAGGTTTTTAAATTCTCTGGTCACATGCCTGACTTGCTGCTTCTCAGAAGATTTCTCTCTACCTTACTGCTTTGCATTCTAGGCTTTGGAATTCTTCATAAAGCAAGTAAAGGACTCTGCTTCTGAGGAGGGTTGCAGACTTTATCAGTTCCTGTGTCTTTTTTTTTTTTTTCCAACTTTTATTTTAAGCTCAGGGGTCTCAGCTTGTAGTGTCCTTCCCCGTTATCCTTAGTGAAGGGCCATGGGAAATAGAAATAAATTGGCTGTTGGGTGTAAAGCCAAGTTATGGCTAAGGCTCCTTGAGATTTTTCTCTCTTTTCTCTCTTCTTTCTCTCTCATCATAACCTAGGTCTACACCATCGTAAGTGATGAGAAAGTATTTTGAAACATACAGAATACTATACGTGAATATGGCATAAACTCCTGAAATGAACACTTGACAGTAAGGAGAACTTGCCTCTCTAGAGCTTTGATCTTGGCTAATTCTATAATGTAATGAGCTGCTGTCCTGCAAAGGATCATCAGGCTCAGCTTTTCTCAAGTCACAGAGAATTTAGTTCACTTCAATAAATATGAAATGAATGACTGCTGTGTGTCACTGAAACCGCAAAATTGCAAAGTTGTAACTGAGACAGTGAAAGAGATCTGACCTACCAACTCCATCTTCGTTCTAACCTCTAAGCTGTCCTTGTTCATTCATGGGTGTAGGCTGAACTAACTTGGGAGAAACTTAGTTTATGGTTTATAGTTGAAAACAATGATGATAACGGACCTTTCCCAAGGCAAATACCCTTCTTGTCTGAGGACTAGACTGCCTTTGTATGATTAACAAATTAGCCATAAGATTAGAAATTATGGTTTAGGAGTCATGTAGCTTGAGGCTACAAGATTCTGACCATCTCTAAACTGCTCCTAACATCAGTGGTTGAGATATTTCGCAGAACCTGTGAGTCCGAAATTGGTGGGTTCTTGGTCTCACTGACTTCAAGAATGAAGCCGCGGACCCTCACGGTGAGTGTTACAGTTCTTAAAGATGGTGTGTCCAGAGTTCGTTCCATCTTATGGTTGGATGTGTTCAGCGTTTCTTCCTTCTGGTGGGTTCGTGGTCTCACTGGCTTCAGGAGTGAAGCTGCAGACCTTCGCAGTGAGTGTTACAGCTCTTAAGGTGGCGTATCTGGAGTTGTTCTTTCCTCTCGTCCAGAGTTGTTCACTCCTCCTGGTGGGTTCGTGGTCTTGCTGGCCTCAGGAGTGAAGCTGCAGACCTTCACGGTGAGTGTTACAGCTCATAACAGCAGTGCAGACCCAAAGGGCGAGCAGTGGCAACATTTATTGCAAAGAGCGAAAGAACAAAGCTTCCGCAGTGTGGAAGGGGACCTGGGCAGGTTGCCGCTGCTGTCTCCGGCAGCCTGCTTTTATTCCCTTATCTGACCCCACCCACATCCTGCTGATTGGCCCATTTTATAGAGAGCTGATTGGTCCATTTTACAGAGAGCTGATTGGTCCGTTTTGACAGGGTGCTGTTTGGTGCATTTACAAACATTTAGCTAGACACAAAAGTTCCCCAAGTCCCCACTAGATTAGCTGGACACAGAGCAATGATTGGTGCATTTACAAACCTTTAGCTAGACACAAAGTGCTGACTGGTGTGTTTACAGTCCTCTAGCTAGACATAAAAGTTCTCCAAGACCCCACCTGACTCAGGAGTCCAGCTAGCTTCGCCTAGTGGATCCCGCACCAGGACCATGGGCGGAGCTGCCCGCCAGTCCCGCACTGTGCAGCTGCACTCCTCAGCCATTGGGCAGTCAATGGGACCGGATGCTGCAGAGCAGGGGGCGGCACCTGTTGTGGTGGTTCAGGCCACGCAAGAGCCCACCATGTGGGGGCTCGGGCATGGCGGGCTGCAGGTCCTGAGCCCTGCCTGGCAGGGAGGCAGCTGAGGCCCAGAAAGAATTCGAGCATGGCGCAGGTGGGCCGGCAGTGCTGGGGCACCTGGTGCACCCTCTGCAGCTGCTGGCTCAGGTGCTAAGCCCCTCACTGCCTGGGGCCGGCAGCGCTGGCTGGCTGCTGAGAGTGCAGGGCCTGCCGAGCCCGTGCCCACCTGGAACTCACGCTGGCCCATGAGCGCCGCACGCAGTACCCGTTCCCACCCATGCCTCTTCCTCCACACTTCCCCTCAAGCAGAGGGAGCCAGCTCCAGTCTTGGCCAGCCCAGAGAGGGGCTCCCACAGTGCAGAGGCAGGCTGAAGGGCTCCTCAAGCATGGCCAGAATGGGTGCTGAGGCCAAGGAGGTGCTGAGAAGGAGGGAGGGCTGCTAGCATGCTGTTGCCTCTCACCTGCACTTGATGGAGCAGCTGGCACCGCCAAGATCAATTAACTGTCTCATCTGATCTTGTGGCTCCCACCCAGGAACTGACTCAACACAAGAGGACAGCTTAAATTCCCTATGATTTAATCTCTGACCCAACCAATCAGCACGCTCAACTCACTGGCTTTCCCATACTCACCCAATTAGCCTTAAAAACTCTGATCCTCGAATGTTCAAGAAGACAGATTTGAATAATAATAAAGCTCCCGTCTCCCATGCAGCAGACTTTGTGTGAATTACACTTTCTCCATTGCAATTCCCCTGTCTTGATAAATTGGCTCTGTCTGGGGAGCAGGCAAGATGAACCCATTGGGCAGTTATAGCACTGCCTATGGTAAAAGTTAATAAATGAAAGAATCTACATAGCTACTTCCCTGAAGGAGGAGTGACTGCCACATAAAGAAATGACATTGTGATATAATGCGGGGGTCCATCCCGCAGACCCTGACCCAACGATGGTTGAATAAAGTACGCTGACACACAGATATTCTGCTTTGCCTGTCCAACTGAGTGTCCAAGCCCTTAGTAGCAGCCAAGGCCCCAACTAACCAGCGAGACTCGCATTTATTCAGTAAAGGTTAATTGACAAAGGCTTGAGTCAACACCAAAAAAGAGTAATTGACATTGCAGACTTCCCAAGTAGAAAGCAATTAGGCACCGGCAGTAGAAAAGGTTAGTCTTAAGACCACATGAGTAAACAAGTTAGTTAGATAACTCCCCACATTCCTCTGTTTCTACTCTAATTTATTTAACTAAAAGTAAGGGGACTAGTCTACCTATAGCCAGATTTATTACCCAAGTTAAGCAAACTCTCAGGCCTTCCAAGAGGGTTTGTGGCTATTATAACTAAAATTTTTCCCACCAGCCTGACTGAACCCCCACAATATACATCCTGGAGCCCAGGGGAAGGACAATTTCTCCAGCCTGAGTGAGTCATAGATATCTATCTGGTGAAATGGTGGCTCTGTTAATTCCCCATAAGATTAAATAGTACATGAAGAAACATAAGAAACAAAGGTGAGATGGATAGCAGAAGGAAAAGGCCTCTGATTATCCTTAATCAAGTTTTAGGGATGGCCATCTCAGACCCTCTGAATAGATAATAAACTCTTACTTTGTGATATATGATGAAGGCCTTGCCTAGACCCTGCTTCACCTGGATTCCTATGTTGCTTATCTACCTAGAGTAATGGTAATTAGCACTATAATTTACTATTATTCCAATGTGCTTCAGTTTATATCTTAGTCTTAAGACCACATGAGTAAACAAGTTAGTTAGATAAACTCCCCACATTCCTCTGTTTCTACTCTAATTTATTTAACTAAAAGTAAGGGGACTAGTCTACCTACAGCCAAATTTATTACCCAAGTTATGCAAACTCTCAGGCCTTCCAAGAGGGTTTGTGGCTATTTATAACTAAATTTATAAACTATAAATTCTCTTTTACTTCCCTATAACCTTGATCTCTATGTATTGATTGCCCCATTTTACATCAGAGAAAGCTGTAGTTCCGAGAAGACCACAAAGCTGATAAGTAGCTTTATGCAGTTTTATTTTCTGCAGGTTCTGTCACCCACTGTGCAGTACAATAAGATATTTTGAGATCAAGATGACTGACTAGAATAATTCAGCACATGCCTCCTTCACAAAGAAGCATAAAAACAGCAAATAGATAACCACATGTAGAATTAAGCATCTAAAGGACACTGGAATTCAGCATAAAAGTGATGAAGACCCTCTGAATCACAGAAACTCAAGATGGCAGCTTAGAGAGGGAAGCAAAGCTGCCAGCCTAGATTGGCTCAGAGCCGAGAGAGACTCCCCATTGCAGGGAAAAGGTAAGTGTGAGATGTCCAGTAGTCCACATTTTTTACCACAGATGCCTACAGTTTGAACTAAAGGAGACCACTCAGCCCTTACAGAGCCTCATATAAGGAGCTGCCTGAACCCATACAACTTCATTATCCCAGAAAATAAATCTATGTTGAGTTCCTCCAAAACCTGAGACCAAGTCTGGTGCAGCATGGCAACATTTTGAAAGCAAAGCTACCACAAGTGTACATCCTTCCCAGGGGCCCAATAACCCCCACATTTTCACATTCCTGGGGCCCTGTGACATCACCCCACATTCCTCCACAGGGCTGCAATGATGTGACATCAGCTGGACCAAGTGGTGATCAGTGTCCCTGGCCCTGCACCCTGGGGGACAGGGAGTACAGCACATCAGGGAAATTAACCCTAGGACATAGAGGTTCAAAGCAGATGCTTTCTAGAACCTGAGAGCCACATGCCTGGTGCAACCACTACCAACAGCGACAATGCCCCCTCCAGTGGTGGAGCCACCATATATTCATGCATGCCACTCAAGAACTAAAAAACTACCCCATCCAGGTCCTGCCATCACCACTTTCAGCACTAACGTTCACTGTCCCTCAGAGGCCTGAAGATCAGCTCACCCAGTATACCTCTCCCCAGCAAAATTTCCCCACAGCCTTCACAAGCAACTGTATCCCAAGCCACTGAGGAACTCACAGACACTGTTGACATATTGATTATAGCCAAAGAAATCATATGAAGACTACAACTACCCAACTGATACTAAAGATATATCTACAAGAAAAAGTCTTTCCATATGAAAGTATTTAATAAAATTCAAAGAAATGACTATTAGACCAGTTGAGGTGATATTAATGTAGGGACAAAAGAACATGAAAAAGAAAGGAAATATGACACCTCCAAAGAAACACAATAATTATCCAGTAACAGACCCCAAATAAAAGATAATGATTAGAATACTTGAAAAGCAATTGAAACTAATAATCTTAAAGAAACTCTGCAAGATACACAAGAACACCAATGGACGGAACAAAGAAATAAGGAAAATAATTCACAATTGGAATAAAAAATTCAGCAAAGATATAGATGCCATAAAAAAGAATGCAACAGAAACCTTCGAACTGAATAACTCAATAAATAAAATTAAAAGTATAATTGAGAGCTTCACTTACAAAGAAACCTTAATCAAGCAGAAAAGAGAATTTTTGACCTTGAAGAGAGGTCCTTTTATGGATGGAAAGAAGGAAAGAGAGAGAAGAAGAAGAAGAAGAAGAAGAAGCAAAAGCAAAGAAAGAAAAGAAGGAGAGAAAGAAAGAGAAAGAAAGAAAGAATAAAAAAGAAACAAGAATGAAATAAAATGAAGAAGCTCTGTATGCCATAGGGAACACCATTAGTGAGCAAATGCATTTTGGGAGTTCTTAAAGGAGAAGACATGTGAAAATGCATAAAAAGATTTATATAATAAAATAGCAGCTGCAAAAAAATTCAAGTCTTGCAAGGCATATAAGCATTCATGTATTGGAAGCTCAGACTTCCAAATAGATTTAGCCCAAAAATATTCTCTCCAAGGTACACTATACTTAAATTGTCAAAAGTCAAAGACAAAGGGAGAATTCTCAAAATAGAGAAAAGTGGCAAGTCACACACACACACACACACATATATATAGCACTGTGTGTGTGTGTGTGTGTGTGTGTGTGTATATATATATATATATATATATATATATATATATATATATATATATAAAGAAACTTCCCTCAAAGTAACAACGGATTTATAAGGAGAAACCTTACAGGCCAACTGAGAATAAGATTATCTATTCAGTGTTGAAAGAAAAAACATAACTGCCAGCCAAGACTACTGTATCTAGCAGAGCTAACCTTCAGAAATGAAGAAGAAATACATTATTTCTTAGACAACCAAAAATTGAGGGAGTGGACTGGACCTACAAGAAATTCTACTATCATGAAAACATACTAAAGCATATAGCTCATTGGTAGAGCAGATATAAAAATGAAAAAGAGAAAGAAATCAAATATTATCACTAGAGAAAACCATCAAACCACAAACAATAAGAGATAAAAAGGGTATGCAAAATAATCAGAAAACAATTAACAAGATGATAGTAGTAAGTCCTCACTTATCAATAACAACCTTAAATACAAACGGTTTTTCCCAAAAAGATATACACTGACTCAATGGATAAAAGCAACAACTATATGCTGCCTATAAGGAACTTATTTCAACTGGAAAGACACATAGACTGAAAGTGAAGAGACAGAAAAAATATTCCTAACAAAAACAAAAACCAACATTTAAAAGTAGTTATATCAAACAAAATAGACTTTAAGTCAAAAAACAAAAAGAGACAAGGAAATTCATTAGGTAATGATAGAGTGATCAACTCAGCCAAAGGATATAACAATTGTAACTATATCTGCACTCAATACCTGAACATCCAGATATATAGAGCAAATAATACAAGAGCTAAAGAGAAAGACCATAATACAACAATAGTTGGAAACTCCAACACTCCACTTTCAGCAGGGGACAGATCTAGACAGAAAATTCATAAAGAAACATTGTACTTAGACCAAATGGACCTAACAGATGTTTACACAACATTTCATTCTACTGATGCAGAATACACATTCTTCTCATTCAGCACATGAAAAATTACTCAGGATAGACCACATGTTAGACCACAAGACAAGTTTCAACAAATTTTAAAATACTGAAATAATACTAAGTACCTTTTTACACCACCATGATATTAACACTAGAAAGCAATAACAAGAGAAACTTTAGAAATGGTACAGATACATGACAATTATACAATATGCTAATGAGTGATCAATAGGTCTATGAAAAACTTAAGAAGGAAAAAAACAATTTATTGAAATAAATGCAAATGGAAATATACTAAAACATATAGAATATAGCAAAAGCAGTGCTAAGAGAGAAGTTTACAATAATAAATGCCACATCAAAAAAGTAGAGAGATTTCAAATAAACAACCTAATGGAAAATCTTAACAAACAAGAAAAGCAAAAATAAACCAAACCCCCAATTAGTAGAAGGAAAGAAAAAATAAAGATCAGAGCAGAACTAAATGAAGTAGCAACAAAAAATAAGACAATATAAAAGATCAATGAATTAAAAAGTTTATTGTTTGGAAAGATAAATGCAATTAACAAACCATTAACTAGAATAAGGGATAAAAACAGCCAAATAAATAAAATCAAATAACAAAGGTGACATTATACCCAATCCTAGAGAAATCCAAAGAATCATTATAGATTATTATGAATAACTATGCACTAGCAAATTGAAAAACTCAGAGCAAATGAATAAATTCTGAGGCACATATAACATACCAAGAATGAACCAGAAGATGTCAACAATTTGAATAGACTAATATTGAAGAACAAAATTAAATCAGTAATAAAATGTCTCCCAAGGGGGGATAAAAAAAAGCTCAGGACTGATGGCTTTATTGCTAAATTCTACCAAAGTTTTAAAGAAGGACTAACAGCAAGTCTCCTCACACTATTCCAAACAGTTGAGGAGAAAACTCTTTCTAATTCATTCTATGAGGCAAGCCCTACTCTTATACGAAAACCGGACAAGAATGCAACAAAAACCAAAGTTCAGGTCAACGTCCCTGATAAACACAGATGCAAAATTTTTCAGCAAAAACCCAACCACATCCAAAAGCATGAGAAAAAGATAATACACCATGATTAAGTGAAATTTATACCAGGGATTCAAGGATGGTTCAAGTTACACAAGTCAAGAAATGTGATACATCACATCAACAGAATGTTCAAGAAAAATTATGTGATCATTTCAATAGATGCAGAAAAAGTATTTGATAAAATTCAACATCACTTCATGATAAAAACTCTCAACAAAATTTAGATTTAAGAAACATACCTCAATACAATAAAAGCCATATATGAGAACCCACAGCTAACATCATACTGAATTAGAGAAAGCTGAAATCTTTTTCTCTAAGAACTGGAACAAGACACAAATGCCCACTTTCACCACTTTTATTCAGCATAGTACCAAAAGCCCTAGCCAGAGCAATTAGGCAAGAGAAATAAATAAAAGACAAACAAATTGGAAAAGAGAAACTCAAATTGTCCCTGTTGGTCGGGCATAGTGGCTCATACCAGTAATCCCAATGTTTTATGGGGCCGAGTGGGGCAGATTGCTTGAGCCCAGGAGTTTGAGGCCAGCCTGGGCAACATGACAAAATTCTGTCTCTACTAAAAGTACAAAGAATTAGCCAGGCATAGTGGTGTGCACTTGTAGTTCCAGCTATTCGGGAGGCTGAGGTGGGATGATCACCTGAGCCCAAGAGGTAGAGCCTGCAATCATCCATGATTGCACCACTGCACTCCAGCCTGGGTAACAGAGCAAGACTGTTTCAAAGAAAAAAAATTGCCCCTCTTTGCAGAAGACATGATCACACACACACACACACACACAAACACACACACACACGTATATAAAGAGTCCACCAAAAAACTGCTAGAACTAATAAACAAATTCTGCCAATTGGCACAAAATCAGCATACAAAAATCAGTAGCATTTCTACACACCAATAACAGACTAGCTGTAAAAGAAACAAGAAAGTAGTCCTACTTACAATAGGTAAAAATAAAAACAGGAGAAAGTTTAAACAAGGAAGTGAAAGATTTGTACTACAAAAACCACAAAATACAGATAAAATTTGAGGTACATAAAAAACATAAAGACATCTTATACTCATGAATTGGAGGAATTGCTATTGTTACAATTAACATAATATCCAAATAAATCTACTGTTTCAAAGCAATCCCTAACAAAATGTTAATTGAATCTTCAAGAAAATAAAAAAGGCAATCCTAAAATATGTTCAGAATCACAAAATACCCTAATAGCCAAAAGAATACTGAGCAATAAAAACAAAGATAGAGACATTATATTATTTGATTTCAAATTATATTACAAGGCTATAGCAAACAAAACAGCATGCTACTGGAGAAAAAGTAGACAACATAGACCAATTGAACACAACTGAGAATTGAGACATAAATTCACATATTTACAGCCAACTAATTTTCAGAAAAGATACCAAGAACATACATTGGGTACAGGACAGTCTTTTTAATAAATGATTTTGGGAAAACTGGGTAATCATATGCAGAAAAGTGAAACTAGATCCATATTTCTCACAATAGACAAAGGACAACTAAATGTAAGGTCCAAAACTATAAAACTGCTAGAAGAAAAGCCAAAGAAAATACATTGGGGTATTAATCTGGGCACATATTTAATGTGTAAGAGTTCAAGAGCACAGGTTACAAAAGGAGACCATATCAAACTAAAAAGCTCCTGCACTGCAAAGGAAACAATTAACAGAGTTAAGAGAAAACATGTACAATGGGAGAAATGATCTGAATACACATTTCTCAAAAAAAAAGACATACAAGTGGCCAAAAAATATATGTAAAAAACGTTCTACAACACTAATCATCAGGGAAATGCAAATCAAAACCACAATATATATCATCTCACCCCAGTTAGAATGGCTATTATCAAAAAGATTTTTTAAAATGCTGGAAAGAATGCAAAGAAAATGGAACTCTTATACACTGTCAGTGGGAATGTAAATTAGGACAGTCACTTGGAAAACAGTCTACAGTTTTCTTAAAAAAACTAAAAATACAGCTACCATATGACCCAAGCAGTCCCCATTACTGGCAGTTTATCCAAAGGAAAGAAAATCAGTACATCAAAGAGACATCTACATCCATGTCTGTTAATAGATGAATGGAAAAAGAAAATGTAGCATATATACACAATGAAATATTATTCATCCATAACAAATTAAATCTTGTCATTTCTGGCACCATGGAGGAACCTGAAGGATGTTGTGTTAAGTGAAATAAGTCAGGCATGGAAAGATATTAAATATTTAATGTTCTCACTCACATGTGGGAGCTCAAAAAAGTCAAACACATAGACACAGAATAGAATTGTGGTTATTAGTGCCTGGGAAGCATAGCAGGGAGGAAAGGATAGTGAGAGGTTGGTTAATAGGTACACAATTACAGATAGATAGGGGAAATAAGTTCTAGTGCTCTATAGCACTATAAAGAAAATATAGTTAATAATTTATTGTATATTTTCAAAAAGCTAGAAAACAGGATTTTTAATGTTTCCAACACAAATAATAAAAGTTTGAGGTATCTGATGTGCTAATTACCCCAATTTAATCATCACATATTTAAACATTACATACATTTACAAAAATATTACCATGTATTCCATAAATATGTACAATCACTGCATGCCAAATAAAGGGAAAAAAGAAATTTTGAGAGAGACCAAATTCACATAACTTTTATTGTATTATAATATTATAATTGCTTTATTTTATTACTAGTTATGTTTATTAATCTCTTTCTTTGCCTGATTTATAAATTAAATTTTATCATAGGTATGCATGTATGAAAGAAACAGTATAGCTAGGATTCAGAACCATGCTTGCTTTCAGGCATTCACTGGGGGTCTTGGAAGGTACATCTCTTGGATCAGTGGGGACTGTGAAAGGAAGAAACAAACTGTCTGTCCCACTATACTCTTAACCACAGAGAACACTTCTGATACCAGATGTGTGGAGTGTTTTCCCCACTCACCAAACAATTCCCTAGGGATACCAACTGAGCATCCTATAATTCAGTTCCATTTTGGTATTTTCTACCCGGAGATAGCATCAGATCCCACAGGTTAAAGACTCAGTCCCACAAGAGTATTGACCCCACTTTAGATGCCAATTGCAAGTCCAGACTTCTAGGACTTCTCACCGACCAGCTATAAATTAGGGGTTCCCACAACCTGCTCCTCAGGTTTGATCATTTTCTAGGGCAGCTCACAGAATGCAGGAAAGTAGTTTACTAACACTTACCCATTTGTTATAAAAGGATTAAATTAAGGAACAGCCAAATAGAAGAGATGCACTGGGCCAGGAATGAGTGAGGGGGGATGAAGCTTCATTGTCTTCTCGTGTGACACCAACTTCCATATGTTCAGCTGCCCAGAAGCTTTCCAAATCCCATTGTTTAGAGTTTTTATGAAGGCTTCATTACAAAGGCATGATAAATTAAATCATTGGCCATTGGTAATTAACTCAAACTTCAGCATGCCTCTGCTACCTAGAGAATGGGAGGTGGGATGTAGGGCTGAAAGTTCCAATGCTCTAAGCACATGGTTGGTTCCTCTGGCAACCAGCAACCAGTCCCTATCCTGAGGCTATCCAGGACTTCCCCAGACATCAGTCATCTCATTAGCATGCAAAAAGACACTTACTTTGAAACTTGCAAGGGTCTTAGGAACTGTGTACCAGGAAACAGGCTGAAGACAAATGTATATTTTTTATTATAAATCACATCTATCACAGTAATATCTGGAATTTAAAAACAAATCTAACTCTTGAGCTCCACAATTGCTCCATCACCGGGGTTTGGATCCTGCCTTGCTCTTGCCATCTTTTCCAAGCCTAGAACACCTGAAACACTACAGCCTTCACCTTTTGCATACTCTTCTGAGGGCCTCCTGTGCCTGCCTGTCTGATTACAGCTGCAGGTGTTGCCTGCTGGGTATTCCTTTGCAAGAATGTGTTTGATCCATGATTTTAAGTCCTGGGAGTTGAGCAAGCTCACCACTGTTAAAAGAAAGCTAGACAAATTAAATTTTACAGAGTTTAATTCAGCAAAGAATTATTCTCAAATAGAACACCTCCTGAACTAGAACAGGCTACAGAGCAACTCTAAGGCTGCCAACTGTCAGATAATATTTATGGACAGAAAAAGGAAAGTGACATACAGAAAATGGAAGTGAGATGAAAACACAGCTGGATTGTTTACAGTTCAATAATTGCCCTATTTGAACACAGCTTCAACAGCTCGCCACCTATGATTGGCTGAAACTCGGCTGCCATAATTGGTTGAGACTTGACTGCTGCAATTGCCTGAAAGTTGGTAGCTGTGATTGGCTGAAACTCAGCTGCTGTGAATGGCTGAGACTCCCCTACTTGTTAAAAAGAGTAGGTTGCAGTCTGTTTGCGCATGCAATTAGGTTGCAGTTCACTATGTGTAGGGAAATCTTTAGGGCAGACTTAAAATATGTAAGGAGGCAGCTAACTGATCCCCAGTTTTAAGTTATATCCCCTCAAATATAGATATTGAGTCCTATGGAGATATCTTTAAATATAAAACAAAGTTTGTAAACAATATCACCTATAGAACACATTGCAGTATTCAAATTATTGTATTATAATAATTTATAAGGGTTATAATCAAGAATTTTTATATACTGAAATGACCACACTCTTTCTTTGCTTATGCAGGAAAATGACTCTTTTCTTTAATGTCCAACGGAATTGTAATGATCTGACTCCTCAGACTAAGTGCTTTCTCAGAACTTTACGCCTACATAGACCCTTTTTTTTTTTTTTTAATCCTACTCAGGGCCAAGCTAAGTAAACATCATGCCTTATTCAGGTTGAGCCTAGGGAACTCAAACTGCTTCAGCCAGCAGTATCAGGAGTCCAAGAAGTTAGCCCAGAATAGCAGCATCTGCATCAACTGGGAAGTTGTTAGAAAAGCACATTCTCGAGTTCTATTCCCAAATGACTGGCTCCAATACTCTCGAAGCAGATCAAACCATTTGTATTTTAATTAACTCTCCAGGTGATTCTGACAGCTACCAACACTTGAGAGCAATGGGTTTAAGGTGTAGTAAGCACTGTGATTCCTGTATCCTATCAGCAGAAGGGGGCCTATGGGAGAATGGAGGGGCCAGTTATCAACCCAGTTTGGAGGTTTTATGAAGGCTTCTGAGACAAGATGATACTGAGGCTGAATTCTAAATGATGGATATGAGCTAGCCATTGGGAGTGGAAGTGACAGAACATTCTAGACGAGGGAATGAACACAGTAAGAGGATAGATTGCTTAGAAGATTACACACAACTCTTGAAGGGCATTGAAGGGCAGATACAAACGAGGTATAATAGGAGATGAGACTAGAGTGGTGAAAAGGAGCCTTGTCATAAGACAAGAAAAGCAACATGCCAGAGTGTATGTAGAGATATTGTTTGTCCACAGCACGTGGAATGACATATATGAGAAAACTGGAACCAAGACTGTGAACTGGTCTATAGAGGATACGCCAAAGTAGGAATGGTGGGGACTCTGTGAAGTCATCAAATTAGGAGATAGAAAGCAAAATCAACATAGTTGGTGTTTAATTTGGCTCCTGAATTTTGAAATTACAGAGTCATTCACTGAGGTAAGAACCTTAATTGGAGAAATAGGATTGGAGGGAAACGATATTTATATTTATAGACACTGAATTTGAGATACCTGTAGGAAGTTTTATATCACTTTTATATGTAGATATCCATTTCATATACTAATAATTATAATATAATGATAATTATAATCAATAATGATAAAGCAACAATGAGAGTTTTAATTTTTACATATATAAACTTATTTAATCTTCACATCAGGAGTGAAAATTGATTTAAAATTACTGTTGAATAATTTATTTTCTCTGAAGAGAAAGATTACCTGCTAAAAGTGAGGAAGTAGGTAGATGAAAACTCTAGGTAAAATACTTTATAGAATTGGCTTTTCTTTGTTATTTAATTTATCACATTTATCTTTCCCTGCACACACTCGAGTTGTAGCAGCGTTTTTGCAGTTTTCCTAAAACAGAATGGTAATTCGTGCCTCTTTGCTTTTGCAAATGCTGTTAATCTTTCCTAGAAAAGGAGGGAGCATGAGTCTTCGCTAAACTTGCAACACATGGGCTGCACTCTTCATTGAGCCTCTTCAAGGAGAAAGTGTATAATCTCTGAAAATCATGCAAGTTCTAAAAGGCTGAAGATGGGATTTCAAAGAAAATGGCATATCAAAATGTTCTCTGTTGTGCTGAGCCAGTATATGTATGTGCAAACTTTGTGTTTTAAAGGCCAATAATTTGTGCTTATGGATCATCTCTCCCTGAATAAATATGGCAAAACTCCATGAAGCTGAAATATTGCTCATTTCTCTTTTATAAAAAGGTTATACATTTCATAAGACAAATCTTCCAGTCAACAAATTCTTATTCCCAGGGCACTATTACTCTGATAAAATTAATAAAGCTTTAATTATAGAATCCCAAAACACACAGACAAGATTTACTTAAAGTTTTTTTTTTCTATACTGTTTTGTTTTTTAAATAAACTTTTCAATCCAGAACAGCTTTACATCTACAGAAAAATGTGAAGATGGCACTGACGGTTCCCATACATACTACACCAAGCCTGCCACACATCAGAATCCTGTCTTAGTATGGCATATCTGCTATAATATAACTAATGAACCAATATTGATACGTTATTATTAACTAAAGTGCATACTTTATTCAGAGTTTTCCAGTTTCCACCCCTGGCCTTTTTCTGTTTTAGGATTCCATTCAAGGTACCTTATTACATATATTCCTCAGGTCTCCTTAGGCTCCTCTTGGCTGTGGTAATTTCTCAGACTTTCTTTGATTTTGATGACCATGGAAATTTTGAAGGATAGTAGTCAAGGGTTTCACAGACTGTCCCTCAATTGGGATACATTTGATGTTTTTATCATGATTAGACTGGGGTGATTTGAGGTAAGAAGACCACAGAGGTAAAGAGCCATTCTTATGGCATCATATCAGAAGAACATACTAACCACATTGACCATAACCATTGATATTAACCTTGACTATCTGGCCTAGGGAGTATTCAGGTTTCTCCTGTGCAAATGTATTCTCTCTCCCTTTCATACTGCACTCTTTCTAAGAGGTGGGGCGGGGGGACACTCCATCTTCTTGAAGGCGAAGCATCTGCATAAATCATTTTGTATTCTGTTGCACAAGAGATTTTCCTGTTGTTACTTATTTATTGATGCAATGATTTTTATCAGTACAGATTCTTTTTTAAATTTATTTGAAGAAATAAATATATAAAATAAATAAATAATATATTTATGTTTATTTATAATTTGAGAAATTATTTGCTCTATTTGAGAATAGTTCTTTCCTGAACTAAACTCTGTTACATTTAATTTGTCTAAAGTTTTCTTTTAACAGTGGTGAACTTGCTCTGCCCCCAGGACTAATAAATAATATTATAGGCTATTTATTCCATATAATATTCCAAATACTTTATGGAATATTTATTCTATGTTTTGGGTTTTAATCCCCAAACTACTCCATTTATTTTGTGACTCAAATTACTCTAAACTTCAAACAACTGAAGCTCCTTCAATTGACTCCTGTGCCCACTTCACAACACACACCCGTCATTGGGATTATTTTCAGCTCTTTCTTAGTTTCTGGCACTACAAGACGCTCCAGGCTTCTCCTGAATTCTTCCTGCTCCAATATTAGACTCAGTCATTTATCCAAGGAGCCCTTGGTTCCTTTTATTAGGGAATATTGGAAAGTAGAATCTGAGCACCAGGTGTGCTAGTTGTTAAATTCCAATGTACATGTATATCAGGATCAGAATTATTAACCTGTGCCCCATGGGAAATAATTTTATTAATTAAAGTGTAGTGCTTATGTGCAGTTCTTTTTGCCTTTAGACTTATAGACTGTACTCACTTCCAAAGTTCACTTAGGTCAGCACCTTTTTTCCCATCCCATACAAATTTCATTCATTTGTTATATAGTTAGATTGCTCGCCTCATCCTGCATTCCATCCTGGGATTTCTCTACGTCCTAAATGCTTAAAACATTGCCTATCTTTTTGTTATGAATTCTATAAGTTTTGACAATGCATTGTGTCATGTATCTACCATTTGAGTATTAGACAGAATAATTTCGCCATCCTAAAAATTCCCCCGTCCTCTACCTAATCAACCCTCTTGCCCTCCCTCTTGAATTCCTAGATGTCACTATAGTTTTGCCTTTATAACCATTATTATATAATAGTTTTTCTTTTTCCAAAATGTCATGTAATTGGAATTGCATTGTATGTAACCTTTTCATATTTGCTTTTTTTCATTTATCAAATATGTTTAAGATTCATCCATTTTTAAGGATTTATTTTTATCACTAAAAATATTCCAAATTATGGATGTACCACAATTTGTTTACCCATTTATCTATTGAAGGATGTCTTAATTGCTTCCAATATCTGGGGATTATAAGTAAAGCTGCTACAAACATTTATGTCCAGGTTTTTTGATGGGCATGATTCCAAATGCTGGAAGGTTTACTCATCAAAACTGCCTTGATCTTCCTCCTGGTCTCCTTTTCTTCAGTTCCCTGCAGAGCCTTCAGGGTGAAGTGCTGCCATGGTCCCCTGCAACCTCTCTGCTGATGAGGGTCTGTGGCCCTTGCCTGGAGCACTGTCCCCATTCACCTCCCAGGCCTCCTCCACCTTTCCTGCAAATCGATGAGAGTCCTGTTCAGTGTCTTGTACACCAGTGACTCCCAGCCAAATCTGGCACCAGAACAGCTCCTCCCAATATTGGTTTGTCAGATGGAGAGTGGCTTCCACCTAGGCTTCTTATAGGAAATGCACCTCAGTCTCCCAGTTACAGTCAGCAGCCTGCTGCCTCCCGGTCACTTGCTCCTTCACACACTGCCTGCCTTTTATTCTTCTTTGCTTTTTCCAGTATCCTCTATGCCTTATGCTTTAGCCGTTGATCTATTTTCCCATCAATTATTTTTATGCATGACACACTTCCAGGGAGCTCTGATTCTAATATAAACATTTTAACAGTGCCACACTCTAAAGGCAGAAAACACCCTATCCATCCTCACCCCCCATAACCACCTTCTCTCATCCAGAAAATACTATTTTCCCTGCTTGTTGGCTTTTAAATTAAAGATCTGATTTCAGATTCCAGTCATGCCTCTTATTAGCTGGGTAACGTTGGGCAATGTATACAACCTATCCAAGCTTCAATTTTTCTTTTGGAAAATGGAGATATTATCCATTTTATGAGTTTTTTATTGAGAGTCAAGTATGCAAATATCTTAATACGTGCCTGGAAGAGTCATTTGAATAAATAATAGTTCTTTTCATTTGGTCTCTTCTCATAGAATTTCATTTTTTCAATATTCTTATCAAATGCTTCTCTTACCTGTCCTCTAAGGCTGTAATATTTAAGGAGAGTGAATGGTAGTGAATGGAGAATAACTATTCGCTAAAGCTTTTCAGTACCTTGCCATGATAAAAAGGAGATTTCTTTGTATATAAGGCCTTTGTCACCTTTGAAGGTTCTACCATGTAGAAGGTTGATGGACCACTAATTTTCAACAGATTTATATGTAACAGATATGGTGGGCAAACTCAGCACTAAATGCCTTAAAATATATTATTATATGTTTTATTGCAGATGCCGTCAATGACATTTGCTTGACATTCAGTGAACACCTACTTTATGCAGGGCACCACAAGGGGCTCTCTAATACATAATCTAATTTAATATAATTGTTATAATCCTGTGTATAGTTAAAATATTTAATTTTCTCAGCATTACAAAGTCAGCAAATGACAGAGCTTAGAACTGAGCCATGTGCATAATACATGTTCAAAACATATTTGCTAATCAATTATGAAAAGTGCTGAGATTTGATGTAAACACTGGCCCTCTCCATTTCCATATTCTTTCACTGTGTCACTCTAAAACCTCCCAGGAGGTGCTATCTAAATTTACTACTAGAAAGGTTGAAAATAACAGTGTCAAGGCACATGACTTACCACGACTTGACTTGCTGTTGTGGAGGAGGGTGGGCTGATAGCAGAGGATTCCATTGGTGTTAGGATTCAGAAAAGCTTGTCAAACCTCCTGCAGCTCCCTCTCCCTGCTGGAGCATTTTTTTATTTCCCTGAAGATAACAATGGCATGTGGATTCTCTCTGTAGGAGTCCTTTGACATTGGTACTGCCCTTTCAAAACATTTTTTAAAATATGCCGTGAGGACTAAGACTTCTCCTTTTGCATCTGTGACGTGATCTTTTTTGATGTTGCAGAGGGCGACTAACAAGGACAACCACAATACAAACACTAGTAGGTAGAGGATGGGCTACTTCATTTACATGTGTTTCTTCTGTAATTAAATTCTATTAATAATGCTGGATGTTTCATATCAGCACCTACATTTAAAGGAAAGAAATCTAAATGTTAAATGATAGGAGCAGAAATTGAGTCCACTTCTATTTTCATATTCCAGTCCATGCTACTCAGAGAAACACTTGGGGTGGAGGACGGTGGATGGAAGAGTTTGTGCTTCCCTTTTAGGACTTTTACAGAATTTAAAAGTCTGACTCTGTACAGCCAGACTGACAATACATTCAGTCTTGCCCCTTTTCATGAATCCAATCATTATTTGTGTGGGAAAAGCTTTCAAAGCCTCAATTACACCACCAGGTATAGTGTGTCCACTTAGAAACAAGCCAGATTCCACTGTTCATGAGATGCTTCTCCACTCTGGACACTGGAGCACCTACTTTAGTTCCCTGCCAGATAGATTTACATTGTGTCTGCAACTCAGGTATTGCTTTTCCTAGACATGCTCAGCACAGGTAGGAAAATTTTGCCCTTCATTGTGTCTTATATAAAACAACCCAACTGCATGGCACAGCTGCCACATTCAAGAGTGTGGCAGAGGTAAAGGGCGTGTCCAGGCAATACTTGCTCAATGGAAGGAAAGACAACAAGGTCCTCCCCAGGAAAGGCTAGTCCCTTTTTGCCTATTATTTGAGAAGAACATCATGAGAAAACCACCATGGGCAAGAAGGTCTCTTACAAATTTCAGGCCCAGTTTAGAAAATGTAAGCCTCAGCACAGAAATCACCATGACTGTGACTTCTGAATGTTAAGAATTTCTGCATTTTTCTTTACTAAGAGTGCGAAGTCTGAAACACCCCAAGTTGCTGGGACATCAAAGAGCCCCAGAAATGATTCAGACTTTTAATAAATTAGCTTTAGATAAGACCATAAATTAAATAAATCTGAGAATAGTTTTTTTCCTATTACTTGCTTTTCAGACAAATTTAGAATTTACGTATTAAAAATTCTCTAATTTTCAAGAAGATTTAAAAACCCAGAATCAATAAAGGAAAAGACTGATAAATTTGATAATGGAAGAATAAAATAAGAGCTAACGTAAAATGACTATAAGTTCTACACGATGTTACAATTTTCTGTGTATAAACTTATTTATCCACATCAAACCCTATGAGTTTTTTCTTATTATACACATTTTAAAGATGAGAAAATTGAGGCACAGATAAGTTAAATAACTTGTCCAAGATGATAGTGCTGGTAAAATAGAGCTATAACTCAACTCACAGACTATTACCTGTCAAATATTTTGTATGGCACCAAACAAATTCAAAAGGCTAACAGCAAAGTGGGAAATTGTAATCATAACTTAATAATAGATAAAAGCCTAATTTCCTTAAATGAAAATAACTTATACAAATCCATAAGGAAAAATATGAACAAGCTAAGATAAAAAATGGTCAAAAGTTGTAAACAGGCAGTTTACCATTTTCAGAACAATGACCAATAAGCATAGGAAAAGATGTTCTGCATCAGCTGCCTCCAAAAGAATGCAAATCATAACAGCAGTAAAATAAGAATTTTTATCTTATCAAAAAAATAAAAAAGAAAAGAAAAAATCTTAGTGATTCCTTCTACCAGCAACTGTGTGGGGAGACAGGGCCTCTCGTACAGTTGATGGGGGTGTGAGTTGGTGCAAAATTTCTGGAGGGCAATTTGGCCACGCCTATTAAAATAAAAATGCACATAAATTTTAATCCAGCAATCTTATTGCTAAACATGCATGTTTCCAATTTGCTATACACAATATTACCAATGTAACATGTAAAAGATGTTCCTCATAGCATGGTGTGTAAGAGCAAAACCTGAAAACTATTAAATTTTGAATCAATAGGCTCCTGAAATTATGGTACATAAATATGATAAAATACTATTAAACTATTCCAATTTAGCCAACATGCAAGGTAAATGATTGCTTTTTTTAAAGCAGAGAACAGTGTATATAATCTGATTTGTTTTGTGTAATTTCCTTCTATGTTAATGAATCTCATAAGTGATTTTAAAATGAAGAGGAAACCCCTGGATCTGAAGGCACTGGAGAAGAGGGAGACCTCATGTCTATCTCTGTTCAATGTACAGAGAGAGATCCCTGCTCTCTCTGTACCTAACCTGCAAAACACTTTCCTTGAATCAGGGTAACAGAAGACTGAACGGTCCTCAGCGCTCACATAGGGAGTGCTCAAGTCAGGTTGCAGAAGTTAAACCTGCAATGGTGAAGAGCTGTGTGACCACAGTCCAGGTGACCAGGACCCACCAGGGCTGGATGGCCTGTAGCTCACATTTACCTAACGGTAGAGAGAGCAGTTGCAATTAGGCAGGCTCAGCCACAGGGTGAAGGTGGCTTTCCTGGGCCTTTTTCTCATGCACATTGACCAGTGCTGAGTCCTAGATCAGACTCCCAGATGCCAGATGTTTTATATCAGAGCAAGGATTTCAAGGAAGAAAGAAAGGCACTCTTGCAGAGGGTGGTTTTGGATTTCAAAGATATTTAATTTGAAAATGAAAGATTTATGAACCTTATATCTCTTGACAATAAAATGGGATGCAGAAATTAATTATAACACATTCAAGTAAACATATTCATTAGATGGCTAGATGTAACATTTTAATGTTTATTTTTATGTAAATTTTATGTTTGTTTCAGTCTTTTTGGCTGAAAAACACTTAACACAAATAGGTAAGATGGACAGATGTTAACAAAAATCAGTAAAGGTGGGTGGGAATATTTGTTGAAACTCAGTGGTCTATTGGGTGATTTAGGGTTCACACAAGAAGCCACTGTTGAGTCTCAGCTTCGGAGATCATGCTCTTCGGGAAGGCTGTGATCAGCTGCAATCTGACCTCAGGTTCTTACTGGATTCCCCATTCCTTCTAAACACTGACTTTTCTCTCAACAGGACTCTCCACCTCTTCCTTTAATCCCTGTCAACGGGAGCCTCTCACTGCCAGACTGATTAATGTTTCTTTCTGTATATTTGGGAGCTTCCTCTCTCTCATAATAATGGGACCATCTACAAACATTATTTTTTTAATTATTTATTTTCTCATAAATGCAGGTTTTGTTTCATCTGATTTGCCTTGAGCTACTCTTCTTCAAATTCCACAAAGACATAAATGCAAAAGGTCAAATAGATTGTAATTTTTCATTGCGTCTTCCAATGCATGAGTCATGGTCTGTAGTTTTACTATCATTGTAATCCTCAATTCCTGTTAATCTGGGATTTAAAGAAAACAATCAACAGGAATTAGAGGAGTCACTACTGGGGCTCAGGAAAACTTCAAGCATTGTAGACTAGAAAGTCGATATAGCATACACATTTTTAAATCAGTGGTTGCATGGAATAATAATAGTTCCAGTGACAACTTTAACTTGTCAAAATGAGAAGACAATAGGGGTAATTATTCAGGCAAATCATTCTTACTGTTAATCCCTGACCCATTGACTAATAAACATTTTTGTTGACTTTTTTTTCTTTTCTTTTTTTTTGTGGGAGGGGGACAGAGTCTCACTCTGTCACCCAGGCTGGAGTGCAGTGGCCCAGTCTCGGCTCACTGCAAATTTCACCTCCTGGGTTCAAGCAATTTTCCTGTCTCAGCCTCCAGAGTAGCTGGTATTACAGGCGTGCACCACCACGCCCGGCTAATTTTTATATTTTTAGTAGAGACGGGGTTTCGCCTTGTTGGCCAGGCTGGTCTCAAACTCCTGACCTCAAGTGATCCACCGAACTCAGCCTCCCACAGTGCTGGGATTACAGGCAAGAGCCACCACGCCCGGCCCATTTTTGTTGACTTTGAAGAAGAAAAAATAAGTAGGAGGCTCGTTGCTTTGAAACATATCTTGGAATTTTACTGATAAATATCAGCAGTAAAACAGAAGTACGTAGAATATGTTTTACAATATGTAGCATAAACAGCTGCCTGGTCATAAAAGTGGAGTTTGAAAATATGTGTTGTTTTTTTTTAAGCAGTGGAAGCAACTAAGAAAATTCAAGAATTTCTTCCTGTTGTTTTAATAAAGATTGCCAAGTCATTCAATTTTTCTTTAAAAGCAATCTGCAAACTATTCAATTGTAAGCTTAGCGCACTTATATGCAAGTAAAAGGAAATATTAGGAACTATTTTTACAATTACCTCTACTCTCCTCAGTTGTTGAGTTGTTGGAATTTTTTTAATGGCTGACTTCGATATAGGAATGGGAAATAACTTAAATGATAATGTGTTCTGCAAAACTGCCTCTTTACCTCTGCTGCATCTATGAAGGATTCCTCATTCTAACAGCGTTATACTCTCAACATTTGTTAATGTCCTCCCATTCCACTGGGACATTTTCACAATTGACATGATAGCAGCATGTTTTTTTTGGGTGCTACCTTGATCAGGTTAACAGAATTCTTAAATTCTTTTCCAAGCCTCAACATTCACTTGGAATCTATGACTTTATACCAGGATAGAGTGTTCTATATCTAACACAATCCCTTCATTTCAGATTCAAGGAAACTGGTGCAGAGATTTCTAGTGACTTACCTAAGGTCGTACAGAAACTGAGGGGGTAGCTATTGTGCCAAAATTCAGCTATATGGTCTCCCCTCATAGCTCTAAGATGTAATGTAATGGCCTCATGAGTTCCTGAATCTGTGACTATGCTCCTGTATAAAAAAATATAGCTTCGGTTACTTGACAAATCAAAATTTTGACCTGTTATTAAAAAAAAAAAAAAAACAGACCGAGTCCTGAAATGTAAGTTGTGGTTTTATTAGACAGGTTTGGTTTTTGTGACTACTTCTCCAGATAGGTAAACTTCTAGGAGTTGTGAGTATAAATATGGAGTCTTGCACAGGGATGACAGGAGAGAGAAATGGAATTTCATTTGCAAATTTCATGTGGGAAAAATGACAGAGAAGAAAGATTCACAATGTGAGAAAAAAAGCAATAAAGTCCCTCATTACCATAATATCCCTCATGCCAAGAGCAAGCTCCCACTCCACTCTTAGCTAAATTTCAATTCTGTTGACTCTAACATTTTTACTGTGGAAGCGCATCCCCAGTACTGTAAGAGAAGTGATTAAGGAAACATATTTCTTTTTACAGAAATTTCCTGAACATCAGCTTTAAGGAATCCATCTCAAACTGTCAAATCTCTTTCTACTTGGTACAAAAATATGATTCATATCACATTATATAAAGTATATTGTATTATAAATGGATCAGTGTTTTCAATATGGCTTTTTTGAGCTATGAGAGGAATTGGAGAAGCCTTTTCCATTGAGTCTGAAATGTGTTTTCTGTAAAGAAAGGTGAAGAGAACAGTTTAATCTTACAGAGGGAAACCATGAACATATTTTTATTATATATTATGAGCTGAATATTTTAAGAATAGAAACAGACTCACAGATATCTATCTATCCATTATCTGCCAGGGAAATGCAGATGAAGGAGGGAGAGACAATGGCTGGCTACTGGCAGTACCATGCTCACTGAAGCAGCATGTCTCTCTGCCTTCAGTGTCTAGTGCCTTTCTCTGGAGTTCCAGCTGGGACTCTCCTACTTCTTCTATAAAAGGATTTGGAAGTGTAAGGTGGCCAACAGGGTGAATGTGGAACAGCTGGAGGGCAAATGAGACTGCGAAGCAAGCACATATTCTGTCCTTTGGCAGAGCATCATAAATAACCATTTCCAGTGATTTAAAACAAGGTGGCAGAGGAAGGATAACAGTGCGTATTGTACACAGAATAATGCTGAGGCAAACTAAGAGGTACATCCAACACCTCCTATATTTCATAGTGATGATACACATGCACCCACTTCCGCCTGCCATGATGTTATTCCTGAGCAGATTCATCACGTCTGTCGCCGGGAAGTGTCACTTTCCTTCCCGAGTTGTCATCAACACTTAGCTATACTCCGCAACTCTGATATTTCATTCCCGACTCAAAATTATTTTCAGGTTTAGCCAACCACCAACAATTCTTTCATCATAAGTTTGACGCAATTGCACTTTTATGTCATAAAGTCAACCAATAATTTGTTGATTATCCTACATACCAATACTTTAACACGGTTTATCTGTAAAATACTTTCATTGAACAAAAATAAAAGTATCATAAAGATTTAAGCAAGTATAAAAAAGCAGTATAAATTATTTGTAATAGTCTAGCATTATCAACTTTATTGTTTATTTAAAAGGCTGACATAAACATTAAGATCAGAGAAGATCTTTCTATGTTCAAGTGGAATCTCATTTTTTTGGTGGGGGATATCAAACCTTAATTATGCTCTTATTTTTAAGAGCTTTTGGGGAAGAGATGATGCAAGCTTCCATAATAACCTTTTGCAGAAAGTAAGAACATAATAATAAATTATTCCTAGCTTTTAGTGTCTAATAAAGTTTTGTACAAACTATATATTTAAAAATGTCTCTTGACTTTAACTGAATTTTCAAATTAAACTTAGCCAATAAAGTTTTATTAAGCCCTAACCTGTATTCATTCATGCATTTATTATTTACTTATTTATTAAGCATTTACATGTCGTGAGAAATTCAGTTGGGCCTTAGGCATGTAGACATCAATAAGATGAAGGCCAAGTTCAGTTCTCTCAAATGAGCAAAAGGCAGAAAAGCAAATCAGCAATTGCAGTACAGACTGTCAAGTTCTCTGGTGCAAAAGTGGGTACTCTGGACTTCTCCCACCTTGGGGGTTCAACAGAGGTTTTTTGGAGAAATTGCGGAAAATCACGTTGGTGCCATGAAGTCTCAGGACTCCTAGATTCATAGTTAAATGGAACAAAGATAGAGACGCCTAACTATAATGAAAGTAAGTTGAGTACAGTGATACTAATAAAGGGAATTCAAAGCTATAATGTGGGCACAGGCACTGAATCTAATTCCACAGATTGGGTAGATTTCACAAAACAGCTGGCATTTCAGCCAAGGGGTAAGTAAAAATATTGTCTGTGGAACAGTGAAGAAATGACTTCATTCCTATAAAATCACTGGCAAAGGTACAGAGAACCCTAGTTGAAATTAGAAGGTTGAAGAAAGGTCAGTTCTCCAATAAGATTGGAAGATTATGTTGTGTGTGGAGCTGATCAGGATGCAGAAGCCATCCTACCCTCAGTTGCAAACAGGTCTTTCTATTTTAATGTATTCCAGCTCTGTGAGGCTTTCAGAGTGTGTGAAGAAGGGGTGATGGGAGCAGATTGATGGAGAGCTCAGTTTCCAACACCAAGTGGTCTTGGAGATTGAGGAAAAGGTCTCTTCCTTTTGGTTCATTTTTTCTTACTGTTTTTTATAAATGAGTTGGCCTCTGCTCCCTTGGCCTCCTTTCATGTCCGATTACCTGATGCTCACCCCATTGAAGCCACACCTTCTTCTCCCTTCCTCAGATTTGAAAAGAGCATCCTTCTCTCTCGGCCTTTGTCCTTGCTGTGCCCTCTACCCCATTTGTACTTCCCCCAGCACTTCAATTGTCCGACTCCTATTCAGCTTCAGTTCAAATGTTGTTTTTCCATGGAGACCTTGCTAAAGCAAAGCTTACCAATCTCCTCCTTCTGCTCCAACAGTACCTGAATTTTTATTCACCTTCCATGCAGCTTTACTCCTTCAGTACATTTTTCATTGTGTGAAATTACCTGATTTGTGTATTTGTTTATTTTCTGTCTTCCTGTCTATAATATAGACTCCCTCTGGGTGTGATTTTTTAGCCTTGTTCTCCATTGTTCTCCATACCCAAAGTTCTCCTGGATAAACTTATGCTGAATGAATGAATGAAGATCACAGTCAGCTTTAATTATTTCAAACCATCTCCTCTCATTAACCAGAGAATCCAGGCTCACAGAGTCTCCCCTCCCCTACCAGATCCGAAGGAAATGAAAATAGGTGAATTGGCAAATGTTCCCACAAGGATTTTTTGTAATGTTCTAAACATATCATTTTGAAACATACAGTCTAATAAAAAGGAACAGAGATGCCAATGTGATGCTTTTGTCCAAAGACAAAAGACAAAAGAGCTAACTGAGGTTGAGCTTGGAAGGAGCCAGAAATGGGGTCTCTTGGGTAGGAGAAGTTCAGGAGTAAGAAACATGCTTTGACACTCTCCCCCTGCCAAGTAGTCACTTATAGTAACTTACTTAGAGATGCCCATGGACTCTGTACATATCCCTTGATGAAAGACAGCTACCCCATGGAAAATCATCATTTATGGCTTATCACTGACACCTCTGAGTGAATGCAGTTAGCAGAATTTCTGCTATAGGTGTTAATAAAGAAAACACAGCCATCTAAGAGGGGAATGGAAAGGGGCAGTGAGATCATAGCAGGCCTGTGAGGTCCCATTGGCCATTAAGGACCTGGGCCTATGGGATCAAGGAGGCCACACCATGAGGGAGGGTGACAGCAGGTAATTGATCACATCTGCCTTTTCCCCTTTATTCAGGGGTAGAAGGAAAGGTATGAAAAGTCATGCTTGAAGCCACACCCTTTTCAGTAGTTTATTTTGAGTAAAAGAAACTTTTTCAGTTGCTCCTTTATAACTAAGCCTCTTGAATAATTTTCATGTGAAAGCCTCACAGTCTCTGGCTAGGACTCTGATGGGGATAAGGTCATAAGGTTCAAGGAGCAGGCTGTGAAGAGAAAACCTGGGAGCTGAGGTTTTCTTCCGTGGGGGAAGTCAGCGAAGGAGTGGCCCAGCAGCTTACAAGCAAAGATTTGATGATCATGAATTCAAAAGGAGATATCACTGGGACCAGAGATAGGGAAGGCTTAACTGTGTGTACCCCCATGAGGAACTGGAGCCTGAAGTCTATTAAAATGCTGGCAACATGCCATAGCCTGACCTAGGAATTTAATTTACATTACCTTATTTAAATTTCACAAAAATCCCATGGGGTGATTTTATTCTTCTCATTCTACATATCTGGAGGACAGAGATCCGGTCATAATCTCAGTGTGCCCTGGGAACACATTACAGGGTAAAGCATAGCAAACGCTCAGTGGATACAGATCAGAAGTGGACAAAGAAGGCTGGGGCCCCTGCTCTTCACATATCTCCTGGCAGATTCATTATTTCCATTACAGAAGATTTAGCCATTTAGGGAATTTTCCTGGGTGGTAGACAGGGTCTGATTTGATAACAAGGAAGGGTGAATTTAAGAGGTTAGGTTATAACCAATATACTGTGTGAACTGAATTACTTTTCTAAGCTTTGGTTAGAAAGCAAACAGAAAACTTATTATGAGGCAAATAGAAAAACTTTCTATAGGAGGGCAGATGAGAACCTAAGGTAAAATTAAAGATTGGAAAGTGCTATGAAGTAGGTAACTCAGCAGTGGGTGTCCGGGAGTGAGTCTCAGGCACTCCTGAGAGGTGGACTTTTAGAAAGGGAGATGTTTGGCAGCCCTGAGAGGACTTGTTCTTCCCTTGCTTCGGGAGGTCCATGGACCTTTGGCACTTCTATTCCAGGGTTGCTATAAGGTGAAGTCAGTGCTGGAGGTGATGCTTCTGCAAAGGGCTTAGCCATTTACTGTATGATATGTTTTGAATATGTGATCCCACCAAATTTCCTGTTGAAATGTAATCCTCCACACGTGTGTTTCTTGTAGCACTATTTACAATACCAAAGACATGGAACCCACCCAAATGCCTGTCAATGATACACACTAGATAGAGAAAATGTAGTACATATACACCATGGAATACTATGCAGCCATAAAAAGGAATGAGATTGTGTCCTTTATAGGGACATGGATGAAGCTGGAAGCCATCATCCTCAGCATACTAACACAGGAACAGGAAAACAAACAGTACATGTTCTCACTCATAAGTGGGAGTTGAACATTGAGAACACATGGAAACAGAGGGGGAAAATCATACACCAGGGCCTGTTGAGGGGGTGGGAGGTGAGGGGAGGGAACTTAGAGGACAACAGGTCAATAGGTGCAGCAAACCACCATGGCACACGTACACCTATGTAACAAACCTGCACGTTCTGCACATGTATCCGTGTTTTTTTTTTTTTTTTGAAATAAAGAGCAAAAGAAGAAGAAATATAATCCTCAATGTTGGAGGTGGGCCTGGAGGGAGGTGTTTGGGTCCTAGGGACAGATCCCCTATGGTTTGGCGCTGTCCTCATGATAGTGAGTGAGTTCTTGCCATATCTGGTTGTTGTAAAGTGTGGCACCTCCTTCCCACTTTCTCTCTTGTCCCTGTTTCACCATGTGACATGCCTGCTCCCACTTTGCCTTCTGTCGTGAGTAAAAGCTCCCTGAGGCCCCCTCAGAAGCTAAGCAAATGCCAGCACCATGCTTCCTATACAGTCTGCAGAACCATGAGCCTATTAAATCTCCTTTCTTTATAAATTTCTTGGTCTCAGGTATTTCTTTACAGTGATCCAGGAACAGCCGAATACACTGTTCATCTCTGCTCCAGCTTCCAGGACAAATTTAGTGGCCTTGTAGCAGAAAACCCACTAAGAGGAACCCCTGCCTCGGTTTCTACAAGCTCCATGACTCAGGGCCAGCCACCTACATCTCTGAATACTTCATATAACTAAATGGCAGCTAACAGTATTTTCCTTACCAAGTGGATTAAATGTGTAAAGAGACAATGTCTACAAAGCCCCACGTGGTGTCTGGCATAGTGCTAGCTGCTGATGGATTCCCTGCATTCCCACAAAACCTGACTTCTTGAGTGGAATGATCTGGGAAGCCTTTCCAAAGCTTACTTCACCAGCAGGACTGAGATGCAGGGCATCCACATCCTTTCTTCTCTTACTACAATAGCACTGGTTGAAAGTAACAAATATTTTTAAAATCCTTTTCCTTCAGGTCTGACAGTGTAGCAGAGCCCTGATATGGTTCTGACCACTCTGAGAACAGTTTCCCCTCACTAATGATAAATCCTTAGGAGGACGATGTTTCAAATAGTAAAAACTTCACGTTGATTTGAAATGTCATAGTGGGGAATGAAAGAGGGTGGAAACACCAGAATGAAAGTAAATACTCATTCTGGAATATACAGAATCCAAACAAGAACAAATGGGCAGCACAGCAAAATCAAAGTTGCCTTTCCTACATGCCTTTTAAGCAGCAGGAAGATATAATTTCCAAGGTCCAACCTCGAGAAATGAAGCATGCCACAACAGACTCTGCTAGTGGACAGCCGTCCACACTATCCATCATCTTGCGCCGTTCATCCATACCTATCAAAGAGAATGACATCTCATACAAAATAAGAATGATTAAGGTTGCAGGAATTTGTGCAATTTATTATTAGTGTCAAGCCATATTATTTTAGCCAGTGCTTGAGTAAAATTTGCTTACCACAGTTGTGTCTCTGAGCAAAGGGTTATAATTATCTAGTGTCTTTTCAAATATAAACTGCTCCTGAAAGAGTCAGACTGGCCATAGATCACTTCGACCTTTATTGGAGGAAATGATTGCTCATGAAACACGTTGTTCTTTTCTTTCCTATAAAGACTACACTTAATTTTCTTCTATGTTTGAGTAAGATTTTTTAAAAAATCTATGTTTTTAAAAGAAATATATGCTTTGATTTTTTTAAAGTTTCAAACTCTAAAAAGCAAAGTTGCTTATATTATCTGGAGATGATGTTAGGAGACTTCATCTTCCTTGTATTTGTGTTTACTTGGTGAGTGACTGGGAGCCTCAGGAAGCTCCTGGGCAAATGGCCCCAGCTGTGTGCATAGTGAAAAGCCATTAGTACACGAGTAAAAGAAGGCAGGAGACAGGCATCCCTGCCAATAATAGGGCACTTGCAAAGAGGGGCTGATCTGAGGGAGAAGTCACCCAGAAGAAAGAAAGAGTTTGAGTTGAAAGAATGAGTTGAATTAAGAAACAGGACAGAGGTTTGGCCATAGTGGTTCTGGAAGAGAATCAAGGATTTTATTTATCCATCCCCACCACGTCATCGCAGTTACCCAGCTTATATAAGCACACTGGATGTAAAGCAATAGTTTTTCTTCAATTTGTAATGCATTGATTCTAAAGCACTCCTGTGACGAAACACTTTTAACAGAGGGGTAAAAATTTATCTTTCCTTTGAAATAGTGAAAGTCATCCCCAGAGGGCCAAGGTAGCCTGGGCTTTCATCTGAGTGAGGAACAAAGAAGGAGGCCAGCAATGAAGAGTCACAGCTGGAGCCATGATTTGGGATGCTCAGGGTCACTGGGTCTACACAGCATGGTGGCCGGGGAAGGCGGTACCCCTCCCTCGCTCCTTTCTGGGCAGTCACCCCAGACACTTCAAGCCCAAATCAGCTAGTTGGTATTTATTCTCTTTTAGAGATGGGTAAACATTTTCTGTAAGGACCAGGTGGTAAGTATTTCAGGCTTTGCAGGCCATGTAATCTCAGTTGTAACTACCAAGCTCTTCATTTTAATGCAAAAGCAGCATAAACAAATGAGCCTAGATGTGCTCCAATGAAACTTAATAGACATTAAATTTTTGTGCCATGAAAAATTATTTTTCTTTTGATATTTTTGGACCATTTAAAAATGTAAAACCTATGCTTAGCTTGAGGACCATACAAAAACAGGTGGTGACCTGGATTTGGTCTACCCGCTGTAGTTTGCTGAGCCAGCTCTCTATATAACTCACAATCTAATCACATTAAAAATCTTGGCAGTGGACCACCCAAAATCAGCCACACTCATGACAGGAGAGGCCTCTCAATATCAATAGGCGACTCCTTCCTTCAATTTTCTCTTGGTGATTCCCCATCACACTTGTTGACCATGCTTCTTCAGTGGACTGTCACCTTTTGGAGAAAGGGGAGAGGATGATCTCATTCATATTTACACACTGTGCTTCTGGCACATTGCACGTCTCTTAAATGTGTTTAAAATAAATGGTGGATGGGTAAATTTATGTTTCTCCCTTTCAGAGAGGTTTCTTCTTCTTGGTTTTTAAGAATGCCTTGCCACCAAGTCATGCCACCGCTGAAAAGACCCTTTGGGCTTGAATTTCTTCTTCAGTCATTACTTATATAACAGTCAAATGGAAGAAACCAAGACGTGGTGGCACAGCTGCTTTTCCAAGTGTTCATCCCAGACTCAGCCTTGGCCTTGCAAACTTTCCTCCTTCTATTTGCCAATGTAGGATGGTCACCTTTCCAGTTCTGTGGCTTGATGATGCATTTTTTCTTGCCTAAAGTGCACCCCCATCCCATTTTTCACTTCCTTCACACATCCCAGTTTAGTAATCCTGCCCCCTTTTCCTATAAGCTCTATAAATTCTTCAACTTCTGAGCCAACACTTGATGTCAGAATCTGGCAAAAGGCATATCACAAGATCCTCAAGGAATAGTTAAGTGAATTCAAAAAGGGTTGTTTTTACATCTGTTTATATTATGAGCAGATAACAGCATTCTGCCAAAAATAAATACTCCATAAGAATTATTAAAGTTAGGCCAGGCGCGGTGGCTCACACCTGTAATCCCAGCACTTTGGGAGGCCGAGGTGTGTGGATCACGAGGTCAGGAGATCGAGACCATCCTGGCTAACACAGTGAAACCTCGTCTCTACTAAAAATACAAAAAATTAGCCGGGTGTGGTGGTGGGCGCCTGTAGTCCCAGCTACTTGGGAGGCTGAGGCAGGAGAATGGCATGAACCCGGGAGGCAGAGCTTGCAGTGAGCTGAGATCGTGCCACTGCACTCCAGCCTGGGTGACAGAGTGAGACTCTGTCTCAAAAAAAAAAAAAAAAAAAAGAATTAATAAAGTTAATATTTGATTGAAAAATAAAGATTTAAATGACAGTATATTAAGGACAGAAACATTGCCTTGTTTTATCAGTGTATGTTCAACGTATGTTATAGTCCCCCATCAATAAGGTTTTCTTGAAGTAAAAAAAAAGGACAATTAATGAAGACATAAAAGAACAGATGAATGTAATTAACTAGAGACTTTTGATCTACAGGCAAAACTTTTCAGGAAAAGGCTCTCTTATTCTTCAAAAACTGCAAAATATTTTCTATTTTCTCCTCTGTTCTTGTCACACAAATTTGGAAGGCATTTGTTTAACATTACCACTTACAGAGGGAGAAAGGGCAACTGTCGCCAGGGTCTATTTTTCTGACTTTCACTTACATTCCATTATTTTTTTTTCCATTCTGTTTTCAGAGACTGTCTCAAGTCTCACTGGGATCCTTGAGCTGTGACCGTGCTTATTTGCCACCTGTGATTCCTGGCAGACCAGAGGAACTCTACTCACAGTGCACTTTGCAAGGGCTCAGCTTCCACGAGCACCCCCCAACCATAGGGATGTAAAGGTTTTGTTTCAATTCCCCTAAAATATTTTGCTTCAGCAGGAGCAATACATTATGGAGGTTCACTTCAAACCAAAAGGTGTGACAGATTCCCTTCTATCCCTGAGAAAATAAAATATACCATGTCTAGAGAGATAAATAAACTCAAAGCTGTATTATAATTTAAAATTTGATTAGAAGAGTTTCTGTGGCCAGATCCAGAGAAAAAGAAACTGTACAGATTAACCAACAATTTGTATGACCTCATTCATCCTTCTTTATTAGGCAATGACCATTTCTCCAGGGTCACTTGGCGTGGGATTGTTCCTGAAACCATTAACTTAACAACCACTGAACTCTTGCATGTCCATTACTGTATTTCATCAAGATCCTCAGCAAAGATGGGCCTCAACCCTGGCTCATGAGGAAAAAAGGGGGAGATAATTAAACTATGTCTTAAGGCATAACAACCAGTATTTTAAGATGAGTTTCCAAAACCACTTTATCAACAGCATGTATGCTATACCAAGTGTTAATTTCCAAGTTTGCTTTGAAGAATAATGTCTGTTTAGCTTTATAAACAGATTGTATGAGATTACAAATCTGTGAATTATAGATCCACAATGCTCAGTAATATGTTGGATGAGCCTAAGGAGCAAGGCTTCATTGACTGCAAAAGGCCAAGTGACAACAGAAATAAAGAAGGCAGCTCTCACCAGATTTTCATATGTAAGCTTCATACATTCAATTGAGCAATAAAAATATTCACACTTACAACTTTCTACAATATGTGTATCTGTTACAAGCCTTTTGATTGGAATTAAGAGAATGCTAAATTAACAGAATTTTACATCCTGAGGCTGTTTATTGTTTAATTAACAAGAAATTTGAAGCTCAGTAGCCTCATGGTTGATTTAATAGCTCACGGAGGCCTTGTTTGGAACTGCTGAAATGTTATTGTTTCCTCAAGGTTAAAAGCCATGTATGACAGTGTGCCAGCAATAAGGAAGAAACAGGGTCACCATGTTTTCTTCACCAAAATTTGTGGCTTTTTAATCTGGAAAAGGAAGTACCCACTAGACTTTCTCTTATCTTTCACTGGAAAGAACCTAGTCATATTCTCATCCTTGGACCCATTGCTGTCAGAGGAGAATTAAGCAGTTATTACTGATTTTGACCAATGATAACTCATCCACTGAAGGGGAGAAAAGGAGCTACATTCCCTTATATTAAGGCTGCTTCCCTCGCTACACAATTGGGGTAATATTAAAAATGAAGAAAGTGAGAACTTGCTCTTTAGTCAATCAGAAGTGCCACAAATGAGAAATTAAATGCTTATCAAAGAGATAATGATTAAAGCGATGAAGATATAGACATAGAATTATATATTATAAAATGATTTAAAAGTGTATACTTCTGGGCTTTCATATAAATTGAGAAAAGCAAGTTGTAAAAGAGAAACAAAAACAGTAGCAAATGTCCTAGATGTGTGTAATTTCATCTGTGCTTGGGGAAAGGTGAGAAGGCACACACTCAGACTTCACAGGGATAACTTCCTTGGTTGCTTCACGAGAGGAAGGAATGAGGGTCTATGCTTAAGTCTTTCTCCATGTACTTTTGAGTAGATTTATTACATACAATGACTGTATACTTACCTATCCCAATAAAGAAAGGAGCCACGAACAACAGAAAGGATAACATGTTAAAAATAGCTACAAATAATATGCTAACAGATTAACTGCTGAGCGTGAGGCCAAGGGTAGTTGGGGGGAGAAGGAAGAAACTGAAATTGAGTGAGCACCTAGGATATGCAAAGAATCACCCTGGGAAACATGTAATCTCATTATCTCATTATTCCTATGACTATTCTAGAAGGCAAATGCAACTATGATTCAATTTTTATTAGTGAGAAAACTGTCTCAGAGAAGTAAAGAAACCGGTCCATGCTCAGAAGGTAACTCTCTGGCAAATCTGAGATTTAAACTCTGAATTGGAGTCTGTCTGGCTGCAAGTCCTTCAAAGAGACCATGGCTGGTGACTCAGGAATTAGAAGTAAAAGATCACTTTTAGCCTGGAGGGTCAGGGATAGTGCCATGCAAGAGTGGTGGGATTTACTGTAGGTCTCCATAGAAGGCAGAAAGGTAGGAATGTGTCACACAAGTGTGTGAGAGATGAGTTTGAAATGGTCAGGTTACATCATTTGAGGAGTACTTGAGAAAGAAATATGGCAGAAATATAACCTAAAAGTAACTACTAAAGGAAGATGCTAGAATCTTTCCTGTTTCATGTACTTTAACTTAGTTTGAATTAGTTTTTTTGGGGGGGAAAGGCTTTCATTAGTCAATGCATTGAAAATCAATGCTCACAAACCGTCTCCCACCTTTTAACACTTTTTATTAAATAATATATTTGATGAATGTAATTTACAAAATATGAAATGGCAAAAAGTATAACAATAAAAGTTATCAGAGATTTCCAGCCTTATACACTGATCTGATGTATATCTTTTCAGGATCTTTCCCTCCACCCCATGAATTTATTAAAAGCATGAGATCAGTCTTAATATACTATGTCATAAGCTATACCCTTTTCCTTAAAATATGGTGAACATTTTTTCTATGCCATTCAATATCATTTTATACAACAGCATAATTTTAATATATATACTCTGTATTCCAGAAAATACCTTAATTTACAATAATTAATCCTTATTGTTTCATTCATATGTTTCATATGAATCCTTATTGTTTCATTCATATGTTTCTTCCCAATTTTCATTTTTTTCAAATAAAACAATGCAGGTGTAATAATCTGAAAAAAAGAACAGGATAAAAAATCATTTCAACGATTTCTGAAGAAGTATATTTAACTACTAAAAATGTTTTTATAGTATGAAAAATTTCCCTTGAGGCATCAAAATTAGAAGTAAATGAAAAATAGTAAATAGCAATGGTGAAAAATTACTGATTTATCCTGTCAAGGTGATGTCAGCTCAACTGGCTTGCTTTTCTCAGAATCTATCTCAGTCAATCTATTAAATTTTAACATGATAATGTATACATTATATATACCCACTCCTTCAGAATTTGTGTGTTCCAGGGCAAATCTGCAGGGAGTTTAGAAGACAATGTGCTATTTTTCAAGAACATTTATTCTTAAATAAGGTTAGCATAGATGGAATAAAAAGAAAAATAATACAGCCATAAAAAAGAATGAGTTCATGTCCTTGTCAGGGACATGGATGAAGCTGGAAACAATCAGCTCAGCAAACTAACACAGGAACAGAAAAATAAATACCGCATGTTCTCACTCGTAAGTGCGAGCTGAACAATGAGAACACATGGACACAGGGAGGGGAACATCACACACCAGGGCCTGTCAGGGGGTGGGGAACTAGAGTAGGGAGAGCAGTAGGACAAATACCTAATGCATGCGGGGCTTAAAACCTAGATGATGGGTTGATGGGTGCAACAAACCACCATGGCACATGTATACCTATGTAACAAACCTGCACATTCAGCACATGTATCCCAGAACTTAAAGTAAAATAACATAAAATTAAATTAAATTAATAAAAGCCCCCAAAGACTCCCCCAAAAAGAGCAATAATAACAATAAGATGATAAAAATGTTTAAAAGTGTGTTAAATCCCCCATGATAAATTATTAATTAAAAATAATGAGGCATTTTTATTTCCACCATACAGACGGAAAAATTGAAATTCTCATAATCTCAGTAATTTAACCACTGTGGCAGAATCTGCGTATCAGTTAGTGATGCCTCCAGGATTCCCATCAGAGCTTCAATACTAATGTCACAGCTTTAGCACTTTCTACTCACAATTGTTCCACTTAAAAAAAACATGTTTTAAAACTTCAAGAATGGTGGTACCTGTGTCTGTGTCTGTGTATATACACCTAGGGGGAGATGATGCCTAGTAGGAAGAAAAGCCTTGAGAGCTGAATCTGGTGCCTCAGTGGGGCAATGGCAAGGATATTCTTAATAGGGTTCTATCCCAGGGAATACCCATGCATCTCAGTACATGTATCTCCTTCCTTATTAAATGGTTAAAGAATAATACGTTATTGAAAAGTTTTATCAGTCAGAGCCCCCATCTCCCAGCTGCTGTGGCTGTTGTCTGGTAACAATTCACAGCTGTTGCTATAGCACCACCCTTCCCTACCATGGGGGTAGACCTCAGTCAGAGACTAGCCATGGAGAGCAAAAATTAGGCCCCGTTTTCTCAGAATGGAATAGTCCTGGTGCAATTTGCATTCTAGGGCTCCCCGTAACCAGCTTTGTCTGTGTAATCAGCTCCCATATCCACAGTTACCTAAAGTCAACAATATGCAATAGTTGTGTCTAGATTAAAGTCTGGGCCATGCAAACATAAAAATCACATAGAGAGTGGCATTATAGGCTTATCTCCTCATTCTTGTGTTCACTCACCCACTCCACTTACCCATTCATTCATTTTCTCAATTATTAGTTTATTTCAACTATTTCCCAAGTGTTGTTTTCTTTGTTTGTTCATTTATTTTAAAGTACAAGTACTCAATGTGTTATGTCCTGAGAACACAAAAAGAAATAATATAACTACTTAGCCTCAGCCAGTGACTAAACCTGGGGTGCAAAATTAGGTCCCCTTTTCTCAAGATGGGGCATTTCTGGTGCAATTTGTATTCTAGAGATTCCTTATGCCTGGCTACATCTGAGTCTTTCCTCCGTCCATAGCACTTATGGTCTCATCAAGGAAATAAACATATACATACATTAGTGTGCAGAAGGGTCTTTATAGTGTTTTTTAGGAGAAACTGTGAGCAAACCAAAGAGCAGTATGCTTGGGAGTGCCACCAGAGAAAGCTTTATAAAGAAGTGAGTAGTGGATGTGCTTCTTTTGGCAAGGGGCAGGGGTGGATGGGGGAGGTGACAGTGTAGGAGCTTCTGATTACTTAGAAGCAAAGAGAAAAGGAGAAAGGAGGGAAAGGACATTCTAGAGACAACACTGGCCAGCAAACAGGAGGAGTGGTGACATGCTCAAGTGTTAAATGGGACATCCAGACCATACAGCAGGGGAAGAATGGCTAGGAGGAGAGATGCCTGAACTGAAGGCTCCTGATAGAAGCACTGAGTGCTGTCTTGGAGCTGAGACTTCAACCTCAAGCCAAGAGCCAGGCACTAAAGAGCTTTCAGTAGGGCCTTGGAGGCCAGTTCCGATGACCCATGCTTACTGCAGTGCAAGGAGGGATTGGTGGGCACAGCCTGAGTCAGGCGGAACAGAGCTGTTGAAATAGTTGAGAGAAAGGAGCTTTCATCAGTTACCTTCTCCTAGAAGGGAGGAAATTAAGGAGGCAGAATTGATAAGACATGGCCCCTATCTGGGGGTGGCGGTAAGTAACAAAAGATGAAGAATATTTGAGAATAAGAGTTCAGAGTGATGTCCTGGCTCCTTGCAAGGGTGCCAGGTGGTGGCATAGTGAATCACCCTCTTGCTCTCTGTGTGTTCTTAGACCAAATCTTCATTCCTGAAAGGAAGTCACTGTTTAAATTCAGTATTTCTTTTTTAACTAATAAGTGCTTGATAATCCATTAAGTAGAACAGTGCCCATCCTGAGAGACATTATATATCTCCCACTTCAGCAGGTTTTCCATGAATTTGATCACAGAATACAAATATCTCCCTTTATGTGTTTCCTCATTTTTTAGTAGGTTGGCAGTTTTGAAGCAGAGTTTTCTACTCACTCAGCCTTAATTAAATCTGCAAATATGAAAGTGGGGTATGTCTAAAGGTTGTGTGATTCCATCTAAATACCAAAGCTTAATACGGTTTCTGACTTACAGAATAGTGAAGGCGTAGAGCTTTTTAAAAATAACATGTTTGAGGTATATCAATGAGGACAGCTGAAAATCTGATAGTTCACTCAATCCAAAATTCTATCTTCAGTACTTTTTAAGGATAATTTCTGTAGTGTACTGGGGCAAGTGGAAAGGGAAGGGTGACCACCTACAATCACATAAAATTATTCAAGGTGCATGCACCCAAAACATTAAAAGCTAATTTTAAAGAGCACTTATTAAGCTTTTTCTAGTACCTGGTATTTATTCACATATTCAGCCTACCTTTTATGGTAATAAAGAGAAAGAAAGAAATATTTTTAAGTACCTACTAAATGTCAGGTCTAATCACAGGTGCTTTGCATGACACATGTCCCCTAATCTTTCCAGCACCTCTTTGTGCTATCATCCGGTAGGCAGGCCCACAGAGGCCAGGAGACAGAAAATCCCACACAGAGGGCAGGGCCAGGATTCCCAAGGGAATCCCAGAAAGGTTCCTGTCTAGGGCCAAGACATCTGTTCTTTATTTGTCTGCCTTGTCACATCATATTTCAATTTGCTCTAAACGAATCTCTTTCAAAATTAGATGCAACTCTCTTACTGTTATCATTCTACAGGTGAAACATACATTTTATTCAGAATCAGATTACTTAGAAGCAAATGAAAGGAACAGAAAGTTTAACTCATACCATTGTTCAAAGGAAGACAAATGCTGTCTGAAAATGCCAATTTCATTTTTGCTTTGAGTGGGTGGAGGCCAGAACACTTTCTTTGAAAAGAAACAATAAAAGTGTATTCTATCTGTTTGAAAGATGAGGTTTGGTCTTCTCCAACCTTAAGGATTCCTGCCCTGAAGTGGCTGGTGTCTTCCCATGTTTTTGTGAATTTCCATATGCAACTCCCCTAAGTCTGTGTTGGTCATCGTCCTCAGGGCTTCCCCAGAATGAGCAGGTGGCTTTTGTCTGTGTGAAATTTCAGATGTGCTTCTGTGACTAAGTGGATCTAATATCTACCTGTGGTCAATGCATAAGCAACTTAATTTCATATCAAATGGTCACTCCAAGGGGTCCCTCTAAGTGGCTGAAATGTGAGGGATGGATTATTTGTTCTTGTTGCTTTTTTGTTTCTTTTTAATTAGGTCATTAAAGGGATGGAATCTTATCAGCCATTTGTGCGCTCACTGTAATAAAGCTGGCAGCAATCAAATCAATTTTAAAATGGCTGATTACATAAATCCAACTCCTAATTTGCAAGTTCAAGCCAAATTTAACTGGGGAAAACGGCATATATAATAAAGATATCTGATGTTTCTTACCCACATTTTAATAGCCCTTACAGGTACTATTCTAAGTGCTTGATAAATATTAACTCATTTAATGTTTCTAAGAGTCTTGTTGTTATAGCATTCTTAAAATATCACCCATTTTACAGATGAGGAAATGGAGTCCCTGAGAGTTAAGTGACTTCCCAAGGTCACATAATTTGCAAGTGGTGGATCAGAGATTTGAAACCAGGTGAAGTCTTCTTTACCTCCCTTATTTGTTCTTCCCTGTCCTCATCAGTGGTGTAAGATGTTTCATCTCTACCAAAACCTTTATTCCAGCCTCCTTCACCTGGGAGTCCCAAGACAGGTAATCTATATCAGCAAGAGAGACAAAACAAGGACCTATTTATGTACAGTTGCCCACACTGAAAAATGTGTAGTCCCAGATAAAATTCTACCCAAGGGCATCATGATGCCAGACACAGAGTGGAGAGGGTGGCAAAGGAACGTAGGAGAAAGAAGAAGGGAAAAGGAGCCATTTTTAACACTTGCATTGAGCCAATGTGGTGCTGATTGAATGGCCAATGACCCTTTGCGTAAAGACTGTTACCATTATTCACTGGACCCCTTCCCTGCAAAGAATAAGCCTTTATTCTTTCTAATGAAGGAATAGGACAGTGTACCTTCCTAGCTATTCCAGGACATAGCAGCAGTGTTTTATGAGGGACTTTGATATTTTATTCACCAAATGGCCTCATAAGTTAGATTTATTTTTCATGTCCATCTTCCAAATGGTTTCCCTGGGCTTTAGAGATAAGTTGTTGCTTAAAGGCATAATACCTCTAAGATAAGACTGAACCCTAAATTTAAATGTGGGGCTTCTTTATTTGGAGAAATTTCCTTTAGGATGTTTTACAAATAATGAACCTCGAAAGCACAATCTTGTAAGGAGAAGATGTTTTGCAACAGAAAGTACAGTGATAGCTTATCTTTGGCTACATTACATAGTTTCTCCTTTCCTGGCTATAATTATAAAAATAAAGACCACCATGTTTAAAGTTGACTCCTGACCAGTTACCACCATTCTTGTACCTACATCCAGTTCTGAATTACTCTGAAGGGTTAGTGGGTCAAATGGATAATTCTCCCTCAAGTAGTCTTGTAATTTAACTAGGAGTATAGTTTTCGGCAAACCTTTTTTTTTTTTTTTTTTTTTCTGAAACAGAGTCTCACTCTGTCACCCAGGCTGCAATCTAGTGGTGCAATCTCGGCTCACTGCAGCCTGTGCCTCCCGGGTTCAAGCAATTCTCTTGCCTCAGCCTCCCAAGTAGCTGGGATTACAGGCACCTGGCACCATGCCTAGCTAATTTTTGTATTTTTAGTAGAGGCGGGGTTTCACCATGTTGGCCAGGCTGGTCTTGAACTCCTGGCCTCCCAACATGCTGGGGTTACGGGTGTGAGCCACAATGCCTGGCGCAAACCTTTTGTTTAAAAAATACTACTCTCTTTTTATATATTTTCCCCTTTGACATTCTTCTGTGCCCTAAGGCTAAACTATAAACTCTGTCTCTACTAAGATTTCTGTTCCTGATTCTATCTCCCATAGCAAAAGAGAAGGAGAAAGAGAGAGAGAGAAAGAGAGATAGAGAAAGAGAAAGAGAGAGAGAGAAAGAGACAGAGAGAGAGAAACTCTATGAAGATTCACTTCTGATGTTGTCATTATGCAAAATTACAGGAGAGATATTGCAATCAACTTTCACTAGGCATTTTCTTGTTATCATCTTCATTGGCTAATTAATTGCAGTGGACCTGAGTTGGGAGTTCAATAGTTTTTTCTTTGTTTGATTTTTGGCAGATATTTCTCTCTTTTGAATGTTATAATACCTACCATTTAAAAGGCCAATATATAGTTGGTTAAATCTTTGCAATTCTGAACAGTAATAAAAAGAATGAGTGGTAAATAAATGGCAGATAAGATTTATCTGTTAGAGCTTATATTAATCTTTTCTGGGTTGAAAGGTATTTAAAAATATTAGTCCAGATAAACATATTGCCAATCTGCCTTTCATTTTAAATGAATCCCATTTCTTTTGTCTGCATTTCAATCCACTTTAAGGAGTCACAAATAAAATATATTCTATCATAAGAATCATAAAACGCAGGTGTTGGGATGAAAGAGCCTCTTAGCACTGCGCTTTATGGGGATATAAAGGAGATATATAATACAGTTAAAAGAAAGTTTGCTTTGCCTTTGTTTCCTCTGAGAAAGAATTTAAGAGTGTTGGTCCACCTAGGAAAAAAACATGTAAACGAGCAAAGTGCTTAAAAAGTAAAAGGGGACAAAAAGCAAAAGCCGAAGAAAGCCTTCCTTCACAGTGGGAACATCCATGAATGTATGTTGTAAGTAAGATGTTTTGATTAAATGGCATTATAAATACACAACCTGAAAAGGATAAGAATGTCCATATCACAACTATCATTTATTACTTCCCAGTTTATTTTTGTTTCTAAGAAACCGAAGTGGGCAACATATCTAAAAGTCGTCACCATACCCACTCAAAACGCATTCCTCGGCTTTGTGCACCTGGGTTACAGAGTATTTGTAAACCCTGTCCAGGAAAATGATGGATGAGCCTTGGTCAGCTTTGGCATCCTCCAGGACTCCAGACAAATGCAAATTTGTGGATCAAAGGCAGCAGCAATCAATCCATGTCTGTTACTAGGCAGCAAGGGCATTAGAATAATGATGAGACCATGTCTTCCAACAAAGTAAATCAGACAGCACCACTAGTGGGGAAGCTCCACCTGTCCTTGAAAGGACTTGACACGCAGTCAGGCTCCAGGACCAAGTAAATACCTGTGAGCTTTTTAAATGGATGCTTCCCTTGGGGTTAGTATTTATTTGTACCTTGATTTCAAATGTTTCTGAAGTCTGACTCAACCTTTTGCCAAAGACCAGATGGGTGGAAATGAGCTGACATCCTGAACTTCAATTAGGCCCTGGAGGTAATGTCTTCACAAATGGCCTTTCACTGGCGGTCGAAAGCCTCCGGTGTTTACCCTCAAAAGCTACTGGCAGAAGTCATCATTCAGGAAGACTGAGCACTTTCAAAAGTGCTCTTTTTGGCTCTTAAAATGTACAACAAAAAAGTTTTGTGTTAAACTGTTGCTTTCCTTAGGCATGGCAGAATGTGTTTAGTAACAATAAATTCAAGGAAAAAAACTGCAAAGCTACTTCCTTTGGTCAATAAGACTTTTTTTCAAAGATGTGACCATGATGGGTCCCTCAGGTGTAAACAATGGGGAACAAGTTACCAAAGACCAAAGGATCAAAAAGGGATACGAGGGAGAGTATTGACAAGGTGTGGAGTTAGTAATTTTTCAGATGTGAGAACAGCCATAGAAGATCCACGTGTTTAACTTCCTCTCTGGAACAAAAGACCATTAACATGGAAAGTTCCATTAGAGGGTTGAAAATGACCCTTGAAAAATAAATGCAAAGAAACCAGGGGAAGAAAACCCCAAAGCAATGATGAGGAACTGAGCAAGCACAATATGCCAGGCCATTCCCTATGGCTGGTTTATGTTACCTCCTGTAATACTCATGGCCATCCTGCAAGGTGGTACTCTTCTCTCCTCTTACAGAAGACTGACCTGAGGTTCAGTAATATATGTTTTCACCTAAACCAAAATTAAGTTCTGAAAGAGGGCTGCCTGTCCCTTTGGGTGTACAGTTTTTCCCACATTGCCCTTAAGTGGTATTTACACTTGCAAGAGTTTGCATTTTCCTAACAGCCACAGTGGTTAGGTTAGCTTATGTTCTGCATGGTGAGAAAAATAAAAGGCTTATTCTCATGTAGCTCCTTATTGCCACACCACTTGGAGACATACAAGATTCTAATTTTCAGCTCTTGCTGATGTTCATATTTGGGGTCACAGTTGGCCTCATGTCATTTTTGATGTGTATCCACAATAGAAAAATAAAATAATCTATCACTTGATAGCAGTTTGCCATTCATAAAATTATAGCACGCATTCTTTAAAAATGTAAAGTTCTAAAATCAGTTCTTAAAATTGTTAGTTATATGTCTTAATATCCAGAATAAATCAGTTCTTAAGATTGTTAGTTATATGTCTTAATATCCAGAATAAATTAAAAAAAAACTAAGTATTCCCTGAAGCTTCTTAAAGTTATTTATATAAAAAAAATTTTTTTAATTTTGTCATGTTTTTCTAAATATTCCAGCCAAAATAGTTAGATGTCATTACCCGTTCTCATTTCATGGGATAATAATAAAAAGACATTAAGGCAGAAATATGATTTTAGTTCTATAAGACATGTATTTTATTTATATCTGACATCAGAATTATCTAAGACAATAAAAGTCACCCATATTATTTTCCATGAAAGGTGAGCTCTTGTATTTTGTTTCTGAAGAGGGGAGAGAAGAGATGAGAGAAAACTAAACAATAAGAATCAAGTCAGAGGAAAAACTGAATTGAAGAAGACAAAGATAATTCTACAGTAAAATTGCAAAGGGATTTTTAATTTTAAGTGATCAAACCGTTCATTTGAAGTGGCTCATATTGCTTTTCATTCATCAAATCTATCTCGTGATTATTTTTAATTGATATCCATTAAGGACTTGAGTTGTCTGTTTGAGTGAACGCAGCATCTGCTGAGGAGATGATCCTAATTCTGAAAAGTAGCTGAAAGACCTCCATTGACAGCTTGATTACATGTATATTATATGCAAGTATATATATATATGTATATACATCTACACACATACACATGCATATTTTTATTAAAAGCTATGTGTTTTACATGGCTTACTTAATCCTCATAATATTTTTCAGATTAGATACTGTATTATGACTATGTATAGTTATAATATAATGGAATCAAATTCAGATATATCTTATTTCAAAGTCTACGATTCCAAAATTCCATAATACCACTAAATGTTCCTATATTAACATAAATTAATAATTATAATAGGAAGAACTTGTTATACTTACTCTCTGCCATCACTAATTTAAGAACATTTAACTCAGTCTCAATAACCACAACATATTATTAATACTTTCCTTTTACACAAAGCACAGAAAGGTTAAGTAACTAGCCCAAGGTCACAGTGCTCATAAGTGAAGGATCTAGGATTCCAATGTAGGAGGAGTCTTTATCTTGTGCTTCACAGTATTTCCTGCATGTCACAGAGACTAGTTGCAAGTTATATGCCATATAAAAATATCTGTTATTTAAATATCAAATGGCAGTTTCAGGCTTTGAGCTGCAGTCTAACTCTGAAGTCAATGCTTTTTCTACTAAATTAGTTGGTCTTAGCTGAACTCAGTACTGCATGCCTGTAGTCAGCTACTCAAAAGGCTGAGGATCACTTCAGGTCAGGGGTTTGAGACTGTAGTGTGCTATGATTATGCCTGTGCATAACCACTGTTCTCCAGCCTGGGAAACATGGTGAGAAACACTCGGAGGGAATGAAGGAAGGAAGGAAGGAAGGAAGGAAGGAAGGAAGGGAGGGAGGGAGGGAGGGAGGGAGGGAGGGAGGGAAGAGAAAAGAAAAGAGAGGCTACTATCCTTCTTTATCATTATGTAAAAGACAACCACTTTAACAGAAAAATGTGTAGAAAGGCATCCAGCTCTTTGTATTTGTCTTATGTTATTACACACTGGTATTCATTTTTGTTTAAAATTTTCTGGGCACATGGTGGGTGTATATACTTATTGAGTACATGAGATATTTTGATACAGGCATATAATGCATAATAATTACATCAGGGTAAATGAGGTATCCATCACCTCAAGCATTTATCCTTCCTGTTACAAACAATTCAATTCTACTCTTTTAGTTGTTTTTAGATGTAGAAATAAATTAATGTTGACTGTAATCACCCTGTTACTCTATCAAATAGTAGACCTTACTCATTCTTTCCAACTATATTTTTGTACCCATTAACCATCCCCACTCCCTCACCCTTGCCAAGATGTGTTACCCTGCCCAGCCTCAGTTCACCATTATTCAACTCTCTATTTCCATTCATTCAATTGTTTTAATTTTTAGCTCCCACAAGTAAATGAGAACATGAGATGTTTGTCTTTCTGTGCCTGACTTATTTCACTTAACATAATGACCTACAATTCTATCCATGTTGTTGCAAATGACAAGACCTGATTATTTCTTTATGGCTGAACAGTACTACATTGTCTATAAGTACCACATTTTCTTCATCCATTCATCTGTTGATGGACACTTAGGTTGCTTCTAAATCTTGGCTATGAATGAATAGTGTTGCAATAATTATGCGAGTGCAGATATTTCTTTGATCTACTGATGTCCTTTCTTTTGGGTCTACACCTAGGATTGGGAATGCTGAATTTAATGTTAATTCTGTTTTCAGTTTTTTGAGGAACCTCCAGACTATTCTCCATAGTGGTTGTACTAATTTACATTCCCATCAACAGTTTACAAGGGTTACCTTTTCTCCACATCCTTGCCAACATTTGTTATTGCCTGACTTTTGGATAAAAGCCATTTTAACTGGGTGAGATGATATCTCATTGTAGTTTTAATGTGCATTTCTCTGATAGCATTGAACACTTTTTCATATGTCTGTTTGCCATTTGTGTGTCTTCTTTTGAGAAATGTCTATTCAGATATTTTGCCCATTTTTGATTGGATTCTTAGATATTGTCCTATAGAGTTGTTTGCGTCCTTTATATATTCTGGTTATTAATCCCTTGTCAGTTGGGTAGTTGCCAATTTTCTCCCATTCTGTAGGTTATCTCTGCACTTAGTTCATTGTTTCGTTTGCTGTTCAGATACTTTTCACTTCATGTAATCATACTTGTCCATTTTTGCTTTAGTTTCCTTTGTTTGTAGGCTATTACTCAAAAAATCTTTGCCCAGTCCAACGTCCTGGAGAGTTTTCCCAATTTTTTTGTAGTACTTTTATTGTCTAAGGTCTTAGATTTAAATCTTTAAACTATTTAGATATGATTTTTATACGTGGTGAGAGATAGGGGTATAGTTTCATTCTTCTGCATATGGATATCTGATTTTCCAAGCACTATTTATTTATTTATTTTAATAGGTTTTGGGGGAACAGATGGTGTTTGGTTACATGGATAAGTGTTTTTAGTAGTGATTTCTGAGATTTTGGTGCACCCATCACCTGATCAGTGTACACCGTACCCAATGTGTAGTCTTTTATCCCTAGTTCCCCTCCCATCCTTCCCTACCAAGTCTCCAAGACTCATTTTATCATTCTCATGCCTTTACATCCTCATAGTTTAGCTCCCACTTATAAGTGAGAATATACAATGTTTGGTTTTGCATTCCTGAGTTACTTCACTTAGAATAATGATCTCTAATTCCATCCAGGTTGCTGTGAATGCCATTATTTCATTCCTTTTCATGGCTGAGTAGAATTCCATGGTGTATATGTATATATATATATGCCATTTTTGTATCTAGTCATTGATTGATGGGCATTTTGGCTGGTTCCATATTTTTGCAATTGCAAATTTTGCTGCTATAAACATGCATGTACAAGTGTATTTTTCACATAATGACTTCATTTCCTCAGAGTGGATACCCAGTAACAGGATTGCTGGATCAAATGATAGATCCACTATTAGTTCTTTAAGGAATCTCCATACAGTTTTTCTTAGTGGTTGTAGTAGTTTACATTCTCACTAGCAGTGCAAAAGTGTTCCCTTTTCACGACAACCACACCAATATCTATTTTTTTTTATTTTTTATGACCATTCTTGCAAGAGTAAGGTGGTATCAGATTGTGCTTCTGACTTGCATTTCCCTGATCATTACTGATATTGCACATTTTTTCATATATTTGTTGGCCTTTTGTATATCTTCTTTAGAGAATTGTCTATTCATGTCCTTAACTCACTTTTTGATGGAATTGTTTGCTTTTTTAACTTTCGTTGTTGTTGTTGTTGTTCTTGTTGTTGATTTGAGTTGCATGTAGGTTCCAAATACTAGTCCTTTGTTGAATGTGTAGTTTGAAAATATTTTCTCCTACTCTATGGGTTTTCTGTTTACTGTGCTGATTATTTCTTTTGCTATGCAGAGGCTTTATAGTTTAATTAAGTCACATCTATTTATCTTTGTTTTTGTTGCATTTGCTTTGGGGTTCTTGGTCAGGAAGTCTTTGCCTAAGCCAATGTCTAGAAGGGTTTTTCTGATGTTATCTTCTAGTGTGTGGTTTCAGGTCTTAGATTTAAGTGTTTGATTCATCTTGAGTTGATTTTTGTGTAAGGTGAGAAATGAGGATCCAGTTTCATCCTTCTACATGTGGTTTTCCAATTTTCCCAGCACCATTTGTTGAATAGGATGCTTTTTCCCCACTTTATGTTTTTGTTTGCTTTGTCGAAGATCAGTTGCCTGTAAGTATTTGGCTTTATTCCTGGGTTTTCTATTACATTTCACTGGTCTATGTGACTATTTTTATTCCAGTATCATGCTGTTTTAGTGAATATCACCTTACAGTATAATTTGAAGTCGGGTAATGTGATGCCTCCAGATTTATTCTTTCTGCTTAGTGTTGCTTTGGCTAGGTGGGCTATTTTTTTGGCTCCATATAAATTTTAAGATTTTTTTTTCTAGTTCTGTGAAGAATGATGATGATATTTTGATGGGAATTGCATTAAATTTCTAGATTGCTTTTGGCAGTATGGTCACTTTCACAATATTGATTCTATTCATCCATGAGCATAGGATGTGTTTCCACTTGTTTGTGTCATCTGATTTCCTTCAGCAGTGTTTGAATCAATGTACACAAATCAGTAGAACTGCTATACACCAACAGCAACAAAGCTGAGAATCAAAAGAAGAACTCAACCCCTTTTATAATACCTGCAAATAAATAAATAAATAAATAAATAAAATATTTAGGAATATACCTAACCAAGGAAGTGAAAGACCTCTCCAAGCACCATTTATTGAACTAACTGTCCTTTCCTCAATATATGTTTTTGTCACATTTGTACAAAATGACTTTATTTTAGATGTATAGATTTGTTTCTGGTTTCTCTATTCTGTTCCATTGGTCCATGTGCTTGTTTTTATGCCAGTACCATATAGTTTTGATTATCACAGCTTTATAGTATAATTTGTGGTCATGTTTTGTGAGTCCTCCAGTTTTGTTCTTTTTGCTCAGGATGTCTTTGGCTATTCTGTGCCTCTTGTGGCTCCATGTAAATTTTTTTCTATTTTTGTGAAGAATGTTATTGGTGTTTTGATAGAGAGTGAATTGAATCTGTAGATTGCTTTACATAGTATAAGCATTTTAATTCTACTGATTCTTTTAGTCCACATAAACATGGGATATCTTTCCATTTTTCTTTTATTCTCTTCAACTTTTCTTCAATGTTTTATAGTTTTCATTGGACAGATCTTTAACTTCTTTATTTAAGTTAATACATAAGTATTTTATTTTATTTTTAGCTATTATAAATGGGATTACTTTATTTATGTCCTTTTCAGATTGTTCACTGTTGGCATATAGAAATGTTACTAATTTTTTTATGTTGATTTTGAATCCTGCAACTTTTCTGAATTTCCTGAATAGTTCTAAGAGTATTTAGGTGGAGTCTTCAGGTTTTTCCAAATATAAGATCATACTATCTGCAAACAAGGATAATTTCATTTCTTCCTTTCCAATTAAATGCCTATTATTTTTGTCTCTTGTCTGATTGCTCTATCTAGGACTTCCAGTACTATGTTGAATAACAATGGTAAAAGTGGTCATCTCTGTAGTGTTCCAGATATTAAGGAGTTTTTATTTTTCTAGCTATGATACTAGCTGGGGGTCTGTTGTATATGGCTTTTATTATGTCGAGGTATGCTCCTTCTATACCCAGTTTTTGAGAGGTTTTATCATAAAGGAATGTTGAATTTTATCAAATACTTTTCAGCATTAATTGAAATGGTCTTACGATTTTTGTCTTTAATTCTGTTTATATAATGTATCACATTGATTGATTTGCATATGTTGACTCTCCTTGTATCCCTGGGATATTTCCCACTTAGTCATGATGAGTGATCTTTTAAGCGTGTTGTTGAATTCAATGTGCTAGTATTTTGTTGAAGATTTTGCATGAATGTTCATCAGGGATTTGGGTCTGTAGTTTCCTCTTTTTGATGTGTCTTTGGTTGTGGCATCAGGTTGATACTGGCCTTGTAGAATTAGATTGAAAATAGTCCCTTCTCTTCTATTTTTGTGAATAGTTTGAGAATTGGTGTTCTTCTTTAAATGTTTGGTAGAATTTATCAGTGAAGCCATCTGTGCTTTGGTTTGATGGGAGACTTTTCATTATAGCTTTTATCTCATTACTTGTTATTGGTATTTTCAAGTTTTTTATTTCTTCATGGTTCCATTGTGGTAGGTTGTATATGTCTAGGAATTTATCCATTTCATCCAGGTTTTCCAATTTACCAGCACATAGTTGCTCAGAGTAGCCCTTGATGATCCTTTGAATTTCCGCAGGAACAGCTGTAATATTGGCCTGTTCATTTCAGATTTTATTTATTTTGGTCTTCTTTCTTTTTTCTTAGTCTGTCTAAAGGTGTAAAAATTTTGTTTATCTTTTCAAAAAGCATACTTTTGGTTTTGTTGATCTCTTGTATTGTTTTCTTTGTTTCAATTCATTTATTTCTGTTCTGATCTTTATTATTACCTTTCTGCTACTATTACTGTCTTTTCTTGGTTTTCTAGCTCTTTAAGATGTATCATTAGGTTGTTTATTTGAAGTTCTTCTATCTTTTTGATGTAGATGTTTATTGCTATAAACTTTCCTCTTAGTTCGGCTGTATCCCACAGATTTTGGCATATTGTGTTCATTATCATTTGTTTCAACAAACTTTTAAATTTCTTGCCTAATTTATTCATTGACCCACTGGTCATTCAGGAGCATATTGTTTGATTTCCATATGTTCATATCGTTTTCATAATCCCTCCTTACTGATTTCCAGTTTTATTTTATTGTGGTCAGAGAAGATGCTTGCTATTATTTTAATTTCTTTGAATGTTTTAAGACTTGTTTTATGGCCTAACCTATGGTCTATCCTTGAGAATAAGCCATGTGCTGAAGAGAAGAATGAGTATTCTCTATGCTGGGTAAAGTGTTCTGTAAATATCTCTTAGGTCTACTTGGTTTATAGTGCAGAATAAGTCCAATGTTTCTTTGTTGATTTTCTGTCTGGAAGATCTGTCCAAAGCTGAAAGTGGGATGTTGAAGTCTCTAGCTATTATTGTATGGAGGTCTGTCTCTCTCTCTCTCTCTCTTTCTCTAAAAATATTTGCTATAGATATCTGTATGCTCCAGTATTGGGTGAATATACATTTAAAATGGTTATATTCTCTTGAATAATTGACCCTTATCACTATATAGTGACATTTTTCTCTTCTTATATATTTTGTCTTGAAATCTATTTTATCTAATATAAATATAGGTACTTCTGCTCATTTTTGGTCTCCATTTGCAGGAAATAATGTTTTTCTATCCCTTTATTTTCAGTATGTGTGTTTCTTTAGAGGTAAAATGTGTTTCTTATAGGTAATATATTGTTGTGCCTTGTTTATTTTTTTCCCTATTCAGCCACTGTGTGTCTTTTGATTGTAGAGTTTAGTACATTTATATTCAATGTTATTATTGATTAGCAAGGACTTACTCCTGCCATTTAAAAAAAAATTCTGGTTATTTTGTGGCCTTCTCTTTTTCCTTTTCTTCTTTCTTGTCTTCCTTTTGGTGAAGGTGATTTTCTCTGGTGGTATGTTTTAATTTCTTGATTTTTATTTTTTGTATATCTGTTGTATGTTTTTTGCTTTGAGGTCACCATGAGGCTTGAAAATACGATCTAATAACCCATTTTTTCAAAACTTATTACAACTTAGCACGGATTGCAGAAACAAACAAACAAGCAAATAGAAAAATAACAAAAACTCTACACTTTAAGTTCCTCTCTCAGCTTTTTAATTTTTATTGTTTCCTTTTCTCATTGTACTATGTCTTGAAAAGTTGTTGTAGTTATTATTTTTAATTGGTTCATCTTTTAATCTTCCTACTTAATATATGAGTAGTTTACATACCACACTTACAGTGTCATAATATTCCGTGTTTTTCTTTGGGCTTATTATTATCAGTGAGTTTTGCACCTTGAGATGATTTTTTATTGCTCATTAACATGCTATTCTTTCAGAATGAAGAACTTTCTTGAACATTTTTTGTAGGACAAGTATGGTGTTGTTGAAATCCCTCAGCTTTTGTTTCTCCTTCAGGATTGAAGGATATTTTCTCTGGACATACTATTCTGTGATAAAAGCTTCCCACCCCCCTCCCGCCCGCTCCCCTTTCAGCACTCCAAATATATCATCCCCCTCTCTACTAGCCTGTAAGGTTTCCACTGAGAAGTCTGCTGCCAGACATTTCAGAGCTCCATTGTGTCTTATTTTTTTTTTCCTGCTTTTAGATGCCTTTATTCTTGACCTTTGGAAGTTTGATTATTAAAAGTCTTAAATAGTCTTGCTTGCTTTAAATCTGCTTAGTGTTCAATAATATACTTATACTTGAACATTGATATCTTTCTGTAGGTTTTGGAAATTCTCTGTCATTATCCTTTTGAATAAGCTTTCTACCCCTATCCCTCTCTCTACCTCCTCTTTAAAGTCAATAACTTTAGATATGTCCTTTTTAGGCTATTTTCTAGATCTTGTAGGTATGCTTCATTCTTTTTCTTTCTTTTTTCTTTTGTCTCTTCTGCCTATGTACACAAATAGACTGTCTTCAAGCTCACTTATTCTTTATTCTGCTTGATCAATTCTGCTGTTAAGAGACTGATGCATTTTTCAGTATGTCAATTCATTTTTCAACTCTAGAATGGCTACTTTACTACTTTTAATTATTTCAACCACTTTGTTAAATTTATCCGATAGTATTACAAATTTTCTCTGTGTTATTATGGATGTCTTTGAGTTTCCTTAAAACAGGTATTTTGAGTTCTCTTCTGAACGGTCACATATATCTATTTCCCTAGGATTGGTCCCTGGTACCCTTATTTCATTTGGCGAAGTCATGCTTTCCTGGATGCTCTTGATGCTTGCAGATGTTCTTTGGTGCCTGGGCATTGAAGAGTTATTTACTGTAGTCTTTGCATTCTGGACTTGTTTGTACCTGTCATTTTTTGAAAGGTAATCACCGCAGCATTATGTGCATTTGGGGAACCTCAATCTCAGTAACACTGTGGCTTTTGCAGAATCATAGAAGTAGTACCTTGGTGGTCTTGGATAAGATCTGGAAAAATTCTCTGGATTGCCAGACAGAGGCTTTAGTTCTCTTCCTTTACTTTCCTCCAAAAAAGGAATGTCTCTCTGTGTTGAGCTTACTGGAGCTAGGCGAGAGGTCACACATATACTCCTATAGTCACCACCACTGGGACTATGCTGAATCAGACCTGAAACCAGCACAGTACTGGGTGTCATTCAAGTTCCATGTTCACCATTGCCTGGCTACTACATATGTTCACTCAAGGCCCTAGAGCTCTACATCAGCACATGGTAAAGAAAGCCAGGCTTGTATCTTTCCCTTCAGGATAGTGAGTTTCCTCCAGCCCTGGGCAGTCCAGATGCTATCTGGGAGCTAAGGCCCAGAGTCAGAAATCTTAGGAATCTATCTTGTGCTTATTGTACTGTGGCTGAGCTGGCAGCTGAGCCACAAGAAAAAGTCCTTCTTACCCTACCATCCCCTTTCCAGAAGCAGAGGAATCTCTCCTCTTGGCCTCCACTGCTCCAGGCTTATGGCAGTGGGCTCTTCTCTGGCCCAGGGCCACACTGGTATTCTTTACCATCATCAGCTAACCTTGCCTTAGAAGTGAGTAATTAATTCATGTCTGCTGATTAAAGGACTCATTGTCAGAACATTTGGTGGACACGTAAACACAGAGACACAGAAACAGCATCCTCGCCTTTAAGGAATTCTCTAAGAGACTAAGATGACAAATGAAAATGGAAAATGGAAAATGAAGACAGAGAATGGGCTTAAAAAGTGGGAAAAGTGGAGAGCAGTGTGTGGATGCCCTCATCACAGCCAATGACCCAAGGGCCAGTGCTGTGTTTTGTGTCACAGGCCAAGGCTCTGGGACAAGCCCCTAAACTCTCAAAGACATGTATGTTAATTTTCTCCAGATTCAGCCCTTCACTTTGTGTGCTTTAAAGCAAAATGTGACTTAAAACACTAGTGGAAAGCAAACATCATCTTGCTACATCTCAGACCTTTTTCTGTGCTAGAGAAGACAAGTGGCACATTTCCTTATATGTCTTTCTGCATGTTTCTAAATTGAGGCCTTTGAAGGCAACCAGCATATCCATTCCTCTTCAAAGAAGATTTAGTCATTACCCTGTGGGTTTGATTATTAGATTGATTTTGCAAATATTGATGTTTGTTAATTAATTTTTTAAAATATTTCTACTTAGCTTTAGAGCTGAGAAAATTCATTTTGCTAAGTGTCACCTGAGAATGGGAAGAGAGATGCCAAATTTTTAAATCTCAGTGTTGTAATTATTTTTTCCCAAATGTAAATTTCATAGCAAAAAAAACCCCAAATTTTGCTCTGTATGTTTCTTTCCAGAACCATGAAACTTAAAGAATATAAAGGAAATGTAAATTTAGGCAGTGTTCATTCATCAAATACAAAATATCCAAATGAATATTTGAATTTAATTTGTGATATTACAATAATAATATTGCTATGTATCTCTGTTAAAAGGCACTTACAATGTGCCAGATACTTTATCTACCTCCCATATATTATTATCCCTTCTTTTGCAGATGAGGAAAGCTGTGGCCCAGAGAGGTAATTAACTGGTTCAATTTTATGTGGCAGAACAACTACTCAAAAGAAATCACCACACTACATCATTAAGAATGCAACATCAGGCACTCTGTATTTAATATGAAGGGACTCAAGGTATTCATATATATGAAAAATCTATTGTAAAATCTGATATCAATTTGCTCCTTCTTCTCGCTAAGAATATAGATTAAAAAGCAAAAGAGAAACATGGAAGTCTCTCCATGTCTGTTGAAGATTTTTCTTGAATCATTTCTTTTGTTTAGACCCTCTAATATGACCCCGAAAACTGCTAACCATAAGATCTCCTTATCCCCCACACCCACCACCATCAACATTGAATTATTTACTAAGATTATGTTTTTCTTTTGTCAAGGGGCTTATAAATGAATTTTCCATTATTTTCTCTTTTATATATATGAAGAATTTACTCAAAAGTCTTTAACCATAGATTTCTATAAACCATTTTTCTTTCAATAAGCACTTTTAATATTAATGTATTGAATTGATTTCTGCTTTGCTCTTAACGCATGGTGCTGTCTCCATTCTTTTTGTTTTAACTGAGCTCTCTTTATTTGATCCTTTGAATTCTCCCTCATCCAGCCCTCTATCTATTCACAGTGATAAGAATGTGCCTGATTTCAAACACAGGAAAATTAGGATTAAAATGGAGAAGCCCAATTTATTTTCAAAAATAAAACTTTATAACCAGAACAAATTTTGCTCCACAAAATATTATGTCTTAAAGAGACATAATACCATATCCTTAAAATTTCAGATTCTGTATTAAGATTTGTACATTTTCTTAAATGTAACAAAATTTTGCCATTATGTGTTTATCCTACTTGCATGATCAATAACCTCCAGCATTTTCCTCATGAACTCCTATATTTTCCACTGGGGAGTCAGCGTTGTGTTCATCCATTCGTTTGTTCATGCATTTGACAATTATGAATAAATGGAATCATTCAATAATAGCATATTGTATCCCTCTTGTGTGTCAAATATTATCCAAAACACTGGGAATAAGATGGTAAATGATATGCTACCCTTACCCTCAAGAAACTGGTCATTTTCTTGATGACAGTGAAGTCAATTGATGATTCCATTTGTGCCTGTGTCTTCTGCTCTGTGCAATCCAAGGCTTTTTTGGGAAGTGTTTCCTCCCTATCAGAAGTCACAGATGACTTGGTAGAAGAAGGGAATTATAAATTAAGACAATGACCTTGGACCTTGGAGCCATAGAGACATAAGTTTGAGTTTCAGCTAACCAAAACTCTGCTCTTAGAACTCTGTGAGCTTCCTCATCTGTGAACAACTGTTGATATAACCTATTTTAAAAGACTGTGGCTTATGTCTTGGGTACACACTCTTGTTCTCTCCTGGCTCTGTCTTTACACCTTTGGTGTCTTCTCTGTGAGATCACTCTGCCATGGGGGAAGTAAGAGGTCCTATGGAAAGCCCCAAATGACAAGGCAAGGATATGAGATCTTCTATCCAACAGTCTGTGAGGAGTGGAATCCTTCTGAAAATGACACAGGTGAGCCTGGATGCAGATTCTTTCATCCCACTTGAGTCTGGAGACAACTGCAGCCCTGGATGACAGCTTAACTGCAACCTCATGACAGACCTTGAGCCAGAAGCCCACAACTCAGGGGCACTTTGATGTGTCACCCGCAGAAATTGTGAGACACTAAATAAATATTTGTTGTTTTAAGCCATTCAATTCAGGATAATTTATCATGCTGCAATATGCAAATGAATACGCAAGTGATGTGCAAAGTTTGTAAAAGAAAAGATGTTAAGAAGTGCCTAAGTGGCCAGGTGCGGTGGCTCACGCCTGTGATCCCAGCACTTGGGGAGGCTGAGGCAGGCGGATCATGAGGTCAGGAGATTGAGACCATCCTGGCTAACACGGTGAAATTCCATCTCTACTAAAAATACAAAAATAAATTAGCTGGGCGTGGTGGTAGGTGCCTGTAGTCCCAGCTACTCGGGAGGCTGAGGCAGGAGAATGGTGTGAACCCAGGAGGCAGAGCTTGTAGTGAGCTGAGATGGCGCCACTGCACTCCAGCCTGGGCGACAGAGTGAGACTCTGTCAAAAAAAAAAAAAAAAAAAGAAAAGAAAAGAAGTGCCTAAGCATTGGGGTCAATATTGCTGTCATTTAGTGAGTCAGGGAACACTGAGGACAAACCAGGTTTGGAATAGACATGAAAAGGTTGGTAAGGACCATGGCAAACATAAAACATCAACTAAATATCCCAGGGAAATGTCAGGTATAGCTGCTTATATGAACTTGAAAATGGTGGAAGACACTATGGATAAGGTAAAAATCCAGGGGCTGTCAGCTGACCTTTAACTTCACAGACTTAATAGATATCACCTGCAAGGTAAAAGCCATTTTAGAGGAGAGAACATCACACAAAAAGCTTAGGAGGGGAGAGGTAAAAAGAGGGAGGTGGAACGACATGCCAGGCAAATGAAGGAACTGTTTGAAAAAACAGTATGATCAATGGGATAAAATACTGGCTCTGAAGTGACGGGAGACAAGCACAGAGAGTTCTCCATTAGATTTGCCATTGTTGAGGCTATTAGTGCCTCTTAACGGAGCTTGCTCAGAATAGTGGTAGAAGCCACTGTCCCAGAGGAAATGTGGGTGAGCAAGTGGAGGTGGTCTATATTGACTGAGGTTTATGTTGGCATGAGGACGTGAGCAGAGAAATGGAGCAGTAGTGATGGGGCAGTGCATCCATTTTAACAGGAAAAATAAAGAATATATAGGCATGAAAGTTGGGAAAAATTCACCAAAGGGGGTGAAGAAGTTATTTTCTAATTGCTTTCATTTTTTCAGTGAAACAGGAACAAAGTCAGTAGCTGAAAAAGAGAAAGGGCCATAGGTGGTGGTAATTTGAAGAGTTGTATATAGTATAAATAGTCTTTCAGTAACCTGACAGTGTTTGGAGAAGAGATACATACATCAGGCTTGTTGGGCAATCTGAGAGCCCACTTGAGTTATCACATCAAATACTTTACATGACAGCAGTTGGCATTTTTTTTTAGACGGAGTTTCGCTCTTGTTGCCCAGACTGGCCAGGCAGGCATGCAGTGGCGAGATCTCAGCTCACTGCAACCTCTGCCTCCTGGGTTCAAGTGATTCTCCTGCCTCGGCCTCCTGATTTTTTTGTTTTACTTTAGTTTTGACAGACATGATCAGCTGCCCTGATAAAGGCACATAGTAAGCACAGAGTAAGTTTAACCACAGTTTTTTGTTTTGTTTTGTTTTCTAGGAGAATACAATAAAAGGAAAGGCTGTTAGGGTTTAAGGACTGATAATTATTTGGAAAGACTGTTAAAGAACCTCATAGTTCCAAGGCTAGTAAAAAAGGAGAGGCTCCAGAAAGAATGAGCAGCCTCTTTTTAGTGACTGTGGAATCTTGAGAGTCAGCTAGACTTATGTTACAGCAAGAAGGTGAAGAGTCTGAAGAAACGGGAGCTATTGCTCTAGACAGACCCCTAAGCTCTGGAAAACAAAATGGAAATTTTAGGGGAATTGGGAGAGAGGCATAGTGGACCCAATTAGGGGGTGTACAACCCTGTGCAGAGGACAAAGAAGCATGGATTTGATGTGTTCTCTGAGGTAATGCAGATGAAGGATATGAGTGGATTCATCCTGAGAATATGTGTGTGAGCACAGGTTTGTTGAGGTGGCGAGGGGCATTGTGAGTCGAGGATCAGCCACAGTAGCTGAAAATAAGAAAATGTTTTCAGCTAAGTTTCGCCTCCTGCTTGGAACTGTTTCTGTCAATAGGGAGATGAGAGCCTGCAGAGGAGTGGAGAGTTCTCCGGAACCATTCCATCTTGCTGGTGGTGGCTTTGGGCACTATATCTTATAGTGCCTATCACAGTAAAATACGTACCTCAAAAATAAGGTCAAAGCCAGGTGCGGTGGGTCACGCCTGTAATCCCAGCACTTTGGGAGGCTGAGAAGGATGGATCACCTGAGATCAGGAGTTTGAGACCAGCCTGGTCAAGATGGTGAAACCCCATCTCTACTAAAAATACAAAAATTAGCAAGGCGTGGTGGCAGGCGCCTGTAATCGTAGCTACTCAGGAGGGTGAAGGGGGCTTCAGCCCGGGAGGCAGAGGTTGCAATGAGCCGAGATTGCACCACTGCACTACAGCCTGGGTGACGAGAGTGAGACTGTGTCTCAAAACAATAAAAATAAAAATAAACAAATAAGATCAACATGAGACATTTGTACAGGGGCATACAGTAATCTTTGAAGGGCTCCTGCTTAATTCTTGATGTGGGTAAAAGACAAAAACAACTCAGCCTTTTATTTTAACTCGGATGATGAAGATCCTCAGGCAGTGTTCTTCAGCAAACAGTGCTTGTGAGACACTAAGAATGCATATGGCACATTCAAAATGCCCTTTTCCCATATTTGGTCATCATTGAATTCAAACAAACAAACAAACAAACAAACAAAACATTTTGGAAATTTTATCAAGTTTCTATCAGCTCATTAATACTCTTTTCATCTTCCATTTTCAGCAGTTTGATTTAGTTGATGTTTCTAATTTACATAGAGACAACATTTTTAATTGATTTAATCCCAGCTCCTGTCTTTCTAGCAAGCCTACTGCTATTTATTGATGTTCATTAATATATGCAGATCTTGGATTACAGCTTTGCTAGCCAAAAGTTCTCCTTTTGGGTGATCTTTCCTTTTATACCAGGTTTTAACGATTTTCCCTCTGTGCCTGATGCTGGCAGCCTAATCTGAATTCATTAATTTATTAATTCATTTATTCAAAGTGTTGATTGAATATTTAATAAGTCCCAAGAGACATATCAGGTTTGTTTGTTGGGGAAAAATGATGATACACAAATAATAGGAAGGGAGAAGATACCCTCATATCACGTGGTGCCGGAAGATACCTCTGATGAACAGCCTTTAGGCTGAGGCCCGAAGAAGGAAAACAGCTTCATAGAAAGTGTAGAATGTAGGGATTTCCAAGAGTTAGAAGTAATATGTGAAAGTGCCTTTGTCTGGGAAGAGTTGTGCTTGCCTGGAGCTTGGTGGAGCATGGGAAGTGTGGAATGCAGACTATTGGAAAGTTTGGCAGGGACTTGCACACATGGAATTTTGAGACAAGGATGACAAGTGTGAACATTTTCCAATGTGCAATGGAAATGAGTGGAAATTAGCACAGAAGACATAGAGTCAGGTGGATCTGATTAGGAGCTCCATTGCCAATGCTTGCCTTTTATGAGGCATTTAAGTGGTTTGATCTTTGGATCTGCTCTCTGTAGAACAGGAATTATAACTCATGGTGTTTAAAGGATCGGGGCATGGTAAAGAACACAGCAAGATGCTGGCACATCTCAACATGTGCGTTTTCTTGAATTTGCTGAAAATTTTATGATTTATATTCGGTAATTCAAGCTTTGTAAGGTGCATGTAAATAATAAATGCATACAAAATTGTACTTTATTAAGGGAGGCAAGAAGAACATCACGTATTGAAACTTTTTTCAGATTTTTTGATAAATAAATTCCATATAGTAATATTCACTGTGTTAAGGTAAACAGTTCATTTGGGCAAATTTATAGTCATTTACCAGTATCATAATCAAAATAGAAAACAGCCCCATATACCAAAACAATTCCTTCCTGTCCCTTTTTAATCAGTCCCTTCCCTCCGCCAGAGGATAGGCCCCTGGCAAAATGATTTTTTTTGCCATTTCTAAAATATTATATAAATGAAATCATGTAATATGTGGTGTTTTCTAATTTCTTTCACTTAACATAAGGTTTTGAAATTCATCTCTATTGATGCATGTATTAATAGTTCATCCATTTTTTATTCCTGAGAATATTAGATTATATGGTTTCCATTCACCAGTAGATGGATGTCAAAATTATTTCCAACTAATTGTCGTTTAGGTTGTTTTTGGCTATTTTCAATAAGATTGCTATAAACACCTATGTACAGGTCTTTTGGGAAATGTATTTTAATTTCTATTTGATAACTTCCTAGGGATAGGTTCACTCAGTCTTGAGATGATTCTACATTTAACTTTGGAAGAAACTGTAAAACTGCATGCCAAGGTGGCTGTACCCTTTGGCCTTCACACCAGCAGTGTGTGAGAATTCCAGCTACTCTGCTTATTCACCAGCATTTAATACTGTCTTTTAAAAATTTTTTTGGTGAATTTACTTGGTTTGTAATGATATCTCATTAATTCTTATAAGATGTAAGTCAATTCAGTTTGTGACTTTACCAAATTGAATTACTATTGAAGTCAAAGCAGCTAAAATATTCTTCTTTCTTTCTATTCCTCTAACTTTCATTCATTCAGCAAATATTCATTCAGTGCCTACTAAGAGTTCTTAAGGAGTTCTGAAACCAGAATGTAACAACTGCTTAAAAAAGCCAATGGCTTTGTGAAAATACAGTTGTTACACAAAAGAGTTTGCCTAATGTAGCCCAAAACAAGCTTTAATAGATGAGAAGGAGTTTGCCAGTGATGTAGAATGATGAAGACATTCAGTCAGAGTGGTAACATATAAATGCCCAAAGGCATTTTGTTGTGGGAAGTCAGGGACCCCAAACGGAGGGATCTGCTGAAGCCATGACAGAAGAACATAAATTGTGAAGATTTCATGGACATTTATCACTTCCCTAATCAATACTCTTATAATTTCCTATGCCTGTCTTTAATCTCTTAATCCCATCATCTTCGTAAGCTGAGGATGTATGTCACCTCCGGACCCTGTGATGATTGTGTTAACTGCACAAATTGTTCGTAAAGCATATGTGTTTGAACAATATGAAATCTGGGCACCTTAAAAACAGGATAACAGCGATTTTCAGGGAACAAGGGAGATAACCTTAAAGTCTGGCTGCCTGTGGGCTGGGCAAGACAGAGCCATATTTCTCTTCTTACAAAAGCAAATAGGAGAAATATCGCTGAATTCTTTTTCTCAGCAAGGAACAGCCCTGAGAAAGAGAATGCGTTCCTAGGGGGAGGTCTCTGAAATGGCCCCTTTGGGAATGTCTGTCTTATACAGTTGCAGATAAGGAATGAAATAAGCCCTGGTCTCCCATAGCGCTCCCAGGCCTATTAGGAGGAGGAAATTCCTGCCTAGTAAATTTTAGTCAGACCGGTTGTCTGCTCTCAAACCCTGCTCCTGATAAGATGTTATCAATGACAATATGTGTCCGAAACTTCATTAGCAATTTTAATTTTGCCCCGGTGCTCTGCCCCCATTTGCCTTGTGATATTTTATTGCCCTTGTAGCATGTGATCTCTGTGACCCACACCCTATTCATACACCCCTCCCTTTTTGAAATCCATAATAAAAACTTGCTGGTTTTTGCGGCTTGAGGGGCATCACGGAAACTGCCAACATGTGATGTCTCCCCCGGACACCCAGCTTTAAAATGTCTCTCTTTTGTACTCTTTCCCTTTATTTCTCAGACCGGCTGACACTTAGGGAAACAGAAAAGAACAAACATTGAATTATCGGGGGTGGGTTCCCCCAATAGCATTAGCTTCTTTAATCTACATATAATTAGGGTACAAATTGAGGAGTGCAGATTTTGCCAACTGGTGACTTGATCCTCTTTATCTGAAATGTGGGTGTCAGAGGCAGTTGCGCATTCACTAAGAATGGAAATAATCCTTCCAGAAAGACCTTATATGTCTGTGTATGTGTGTGTGTGTGTATATGTGTGTGTATATACATATATACGTATTGTGATTGTGTGTCTGTAATGTGTGCGCACATGTATATGAAAAACAGCATATATGACTTTCTCCATTACAGAGTAGTAACATAGCCTTCTCAATGATGGTAGTCACCAATTCAAAAAATCTGGCATTATTCAGTCTCTCCTTACTTGTCAAGATTTGATATCTGGTGCACTTTATCTATAGTAAAAACAGAGTCCCAGATCCCCAAAGACAGATGAATATGTTTTCTGCTACCAACTGACTGATTTCCTCACCATCCCCCTTCAGAATTATTAAACTCACTTCAGGTTGGCTTGACAGTTCTGGTCAATGCTGATCAATTCTCTGTTTGATGATATACAACACTTATATAATATGATCTATTTTAGATTTACAATTTAATATAAAGCATAAATTATGTATATTATTAGTTAATTATGCATGCAAGCCTTATTTTTGAAACAGGAATATAGAGGAAACTCATCATTGTAGCAGAACAAGCACTTGATTTGGAGTCAGAAGAAAATTGGGTTAGAATCTTAATTGTCCAGCTTACTGGTAATTTAAATTTGTGAAAGTTACTAAACCAGTTGGTTTATAATCTATAAAGGAGCCATATGGATACCAAACTCAAAGACTCTGTTATGTGTGCTGATTGGTGATTGGTAAGCTTTGTGACTGGCACATAGCTAGAGGTAATTATCAGTCACATCTGAGAATAGGCATATGAGATTCAAATATTTTATCTCTAACAGTGCTCAAAAATGTAATAGTGAAAATACCAACTGAAATTAGATATAAGCAGAAATCAAAAGTAATCTATTTATCTCATAGCACATGGGGTATATGGATTGACAGGCATGTGCTAAATTTAATAATGTCTTTCAATTCAATTCAATTCAAGTATTGAATTAAATTAAATTAAATGTAATCATAGGGGAAAATGGTAGCATAGAAAATCTTCCTAAATTCCTAAAACAACTGAGTAACCAAAATAAACAAATGTGGAAAATTCCTATTAGTACTGATTTTGTTATCAGTTGGATTAGACTGAAGTAACAAGTAACACCCAAATCTCAATGGCTTACAACAGGTAAGTAAGCTTTCATTCATATTAAATATTGGCTGCAGACCAGGCATGGTGGCTCACGCCTATAATCCCAAAACTTCGAGAGGACAAGGTAGGAGGATCACTTGAAGCCAGTAGTTTGAGACTAGTCTGGGAAACATAGCAGCACCCTATCTGTGCAAAATTAAAAAAAAAAAAATTAGCCAGGCATGGTGGTGCTCACCTGTAGCCTCAGCTACGTGGACTGAGGCAGGAGGATCACTTGAGCCCAGGAGTTCAAAGTTACAGTGAGCCATGTTTGCATCACCATACTCCATCCTGGGTGACAGACTGAGATCCTGTCTCTAAACACAAAACACAAAACAAAGCAAACAAGAACCAAATATTGTCTGCAGTTTGGGGTGGCTCTGCTTCATTTCATTTTTACTTGTAGATCTGGATTCACATCTGAGGAGACAAGAGGAAAAAAGTGTGAGGAAAAAATATCTCATTATACCTCCTAAAACATATGCTCAGAAATGGTCCTGAGAAACTTATCAAACTAATATTAATTTTATTTTCATTTCATTAGCCAAATCAACTCAGATAGTCAACTAGAAAACAGGATTCCATTCTATTAGAAAACCACGGGCCTGAAGAATATGAGACCATTTGGGGGAATAGAGAATATACCTAATGAATACTCTAATGCATGCACACATCCTCAAAATTCAAAAATTTTATTTTCCCAAATGTGATGGAGGTGCATGAAAATTGAAAGAAGATCCTAGAATTCTTTCCATTGAAATTTTCTTATTTTAAAGAGGATCCCAAGATTATAAGACACAACTATTACCACTGAATGGGCAATAAACGTTAATGGCATGTGGAAAGCTGAGAACTTTTTACTCTAATTGGGAAGGGCAAGTACAGAACAAGACAGGGAAATTAGCATATATTAACAACATTTCACTTGGAGCAAAAGATTACATATTTAACGAAGCTATATATATATATTTTCCCTAGGATTCTTTAATACATGGACAGAATGTACTAACCCTAATGAGGAATATTTTCTAATCTAGTGGACCAAGAACAGGCAGAACACTGGAGAGACAAGAATCCTGTGCTCAGAGTCATGTTCACCTCTGTCAACTGATGATAATGAAGACAATGATCCCATATTTACCCAACAGAAAACTAGTTGGCTAATGGGCTTCCTAGGAAACCAAAGAAAAATACAGAAACAAAGTTACTTTGTAAAACAACTCATGATCCAACGCCATTACTCATTTTCTTTTTTTTCTTATTTTTTTTTTTTTGAGACGGAGTCTCGCTCTTTCGCCCAGGCCGGACTGCAGTGGCGCTATTTCAGCTCACTGCAAGCTCCGCCTCCCAGGTTCACGCCATTCTCCTGCCTCAGCCTCCCAAGTAGCTGGGAGTATAGGCACCTGCCACCGCGCCCGGCTAATTTTTTGTATTTTTAGTAGAAACGAGGTTTCACCGTGTTAGCCAAGATGGTCTCGATTTCCTGACCTCGTGATCCGCCCGCCTCGGCCTTCCAAAGTGCTGGGATTACAGGTATGAGCCACCGTGCCAGGCCTCATTTTCTTAGTTAATAATATAGATCTAACTTATCTAGGCCTCCACGTTAAATTCATAACGAAGGAGCCTCAGTGCTCAGGAAAACACAAAGATTATTTAAGAAGAACTCAAACGTTATTTTCAGACAAATAGTAGATTTTGTTATATCTGGGCAATGGGAGTTTGAGTAAATAAAACAAAAACATGATTCATATAAAAATGTTTACAGCATAAAAGAAGAAAAAATAAATATAGCATGCAAAAGACGGGTGAAAAGGACTCATGGAAATTAGCTCCATAAATCATAGTAACAGTTTACACAAAAACTGCTTTGCATTTGTATCAAAGAAACATCATCTTGATGATTAATGAGATAGTACAACAAATTGAGATAAATTTGAAGCTAGTTGAGTTTTCTTTTAAAAAGTTAGGAAAATAATACTGGTAAGAAGCTGACAACTATTCGAAAAAGAAGTGCAGAATTGACATGACAAAACATTGAGTTAGAGATGTGAAGAAGGACTGTCTTGCAAGAGGACAATTCTAGAATCCATGTTAAAGTGAAAACCAACAGAAGGAGAAGATTGTGTGATGACGTCTTTGCTTGGTGATATGCAAATTTGGCCAAATATCTAGGGCTCTAGTATAGACTATGTGACTCCAGGAATAGTTGTTATAACTGACTGATAAACTGAAAAGGACCTATGACCTCATGCCAGATATGTATCTGACAAATGCTTTTCAGGTGACCTTCAAAGTAAATTGATATCTTGCAATACACAATTTAATTAAAAAGGAAAATGAACCAACAAATTTTATCAAATAAGAAATCCAAAGTCAAAAGTTCTGCAACAGTCCTCTAATACAAGCTTGTCCATGCCAACGGTATTAAAAGAGATCAAGATCTTTTGTCTATATTTAGAAAAGTGAAATGTTATCTTTGCCCCAAGAATGAGTTCCAATAACCTATATCTGTCATGATTTCACAAGACACTGAATCTGAAGAAGGTTTAGAAATACTTGTAAAACTCTGAATACACTTTAAATCTGAGGAAGGTTTAGAAACCCACACTCACATAATATAAATGTAATTTGAGAAAGTGGTTTGCAACTAAGATTTTTTAAAAGGAATATATAATTGTTACGAAATGTTATTTAATAACTCTTTTTTCCAGATGTGCATTAAATGTCATAGAGCTTTTGTTTTTGTTTTTTAATCTGTTATTAACTTTATGGGGCATTAATTCCAGAACTACAAGTGAGAAGAAAATGTCAATATCTATAGATTCTGGAGAAAAAAAAACTGTAAACCATGAATTGTAGTCTGGCCAGTATGAAAACTGGCCCTGAGTTCCAGTCTTATATATCTTGCTGTATATTTGACTGTATTCTACTCGGATACCCAATAGGCATTTCAAACTAAATATATCAATGCTGAAGAAATGGTCTTTCCTAAAAACCTGCCAACTCACAGTTAATAACTTAATTCCTCAGTTGGTCAGACCCAATTTTTGGAGTTATCCTTGATTTCTCACTTTCTCACACAATTTATATCCAATGAGCCAGAAACTTCTGTCTTCTTTATCTTCAAAATGGATTTAGGATCCTACCACTTTTATGACCTCACAGCTACCACCATGATCAAGCGGCCATTTCTCTTCCAGATGATTGCAGGGCCTCTTACCTGGTCTCTTGCTACCTACTTTATACCCTTTCTCTGTTCTCTATTTGATAGCCAGAGAGATCCCATAAAATACAAGCCAGAGCATGCCCTTCCTCTGCTCAAACCTACCCCATTGCTTCTCATCTAATTCAAAGTGGAAGCTAAGGAACTTACCATGACCTGCATGACTCCACATACTCCTGCCCCAGTGCCTTCCACCCCTCATCATCACTGACCATCACTCTTCCTCATGTTCCTGGCCTTTCAGCCCAGCTGCCTCCTTGGTATCACTCCACATACCAGGTGGTCCTCACTTGGAGCGAGGCCTTTACACCTGCTCTTCTCCTTCAGGACATTGCATTCACAGACGTTGGTGACCCTCCCTCCTATCTCCTGAAGACAATTGCCCAATGTTCACTTTTAACAGCATGCCGCCATGTTTGAAGCCCACCTCAACACTCCCTGAGTGCTGTAGCTGTCTGGGCTCCACTGTATTTGTCTATGTCTTCTCTACTAAATGTTATATTTGTTTAATTTTTTTCATTGACAATTAAAATGTAAATGCCAGGAGAGCAAATAATTTTTCTTCTTTGCTGTATCTTCAATTCCTAAAACAGTGTCTTGCACACAGTTATGCTCAATAAAGTTTCATTCATTAAGCAAATGAATACTTCAGGGCAAACAAAACAAATGTTTAGACTTGCAGTGCTTCAGAAGCATACACCTTATGCTCTTATTAAAATAAAAGCAAAATTTAATTTACAGTCAGCTTTCAACCTCAATTTAATCCAAAGAGAAGTCTCAAGATAAAGGAAGATGAATAAGATAGTGGGCAAAAAATTATGCCAAAACTAAAAAGATAAAAATTTCTTCAGGAATTTGCAACATAAATACCAAGTATAGATTATAGATGTATTGTAAAGAAATATTAATGAGCTAAAAATAGTGTTTTTAAATTACTCAAGCAAATGCAAAAAGTTAGAAGATGGTAAAGTTAACAGATAAATAAATGCTTCATAAATATTTTAACTTGAAGGGGGGTGAGAGAGACATAAAATGTCCTAGTTTTTAAATAATAAAGTCTAAACATAGATATAGAATTATATTATGTTATAGTGATCATCTGGGCCAAAAACAATCAATCATTACAAAATTTCAAGAGCATTGTAGAATTTCAAATTAAGGGTCAAGAATGTTCATGCATGTGTGGAGGGGGTAGGGGGAAGCTGGTATGTGAAGAGGGGTTGAAGAAGCAGAAGTTGACCAAGTCAACCAAAGTCAGATAAATAAGGCAAATACCGTTAAAACATATCATAAGAATTTACCATAAAATATGACAGGAACAAAAGAAAATAGTTCAATTGTTACATTAAGTGCAAAAAGATTGTATTATTCCACTAAAGAGGCATCCTGGGTTAAAAATAATATAAGTGTATGTAGTTAGAAAAAAATGACAAATCAAGGGAAGGGATGAACAATGACATAGAAAGCCAGAATAAACTCAATATTAATATCGGTAGGGTAGCCCTGAGTATTCAACTAGGAGAAGTAACGTAATGCAAACATGAAAAACAGAATTTATGAGAAGATATAACAACTCTAAATGTAAATAACAGCAGGACAACTTCATAAATGCAAGGAGACTTTAATAAAAATGACATTGGTAAATTTTAAAATAAATCTTTTGGAATTTGATAGATTGAAGAGCCTCACAACAAATTTTGAAATAAATAAATATTTATTAAACTTTGAAACTTTGTATAGGATACATTCTTTTTTTCTTTAAGAGACACGGTCTTGCCTTGTTGCGCGGGCTGGAGTGCAGTAGTGTGATCTTGCCTCACTGCAATCTCAACCTTCTGGGCTCAAGCTATTCTCCCACCTCAGCCTCCTGAGTTGCTGGGACCACAGACACTTGCTACCATACCAGGTTAATTTTTTGTATTTTTAGTAGAGACAAGGTTTCACCATGTTGCTTAGGCTGGTCTCAAACTCCTCAGCTCAAGCGATCTACCCACCTTAGCCTCCCAAAATCTAGGATTATGGCTGTGAGCCATTGCGCCTGGCCTAGGATAAATTTTTTGTCATAACAATATCAAATGGAAATAAACAAAATAAAAACTGAGTAAGTCAATGCAAAACTGAAAAACAAACAAAACAAGTGATTATTTAGAAACTAAGAAACATTTTCCTCTAAAAAAACATGAAGGACATGTATTATTTGGAAAATTAGAACATTTTACAGAAAAACCTTTAGGAATTTTTTCAGAGAATTCCTCACCCTCAATGTATTTACTAATAATATCAAAACTAATAATGAATTAGCATAAAAGTACAAATTAATCAAAATGAATTGTGAAGATAATTTATGAATGATACAAAAATAAATTTAAATTGGGAGGAAAATATTTCAAAGGATAAACTGAGAGCTGTTTCTTCGAAATGGCCAATTAATAGCTAAATCCCTAAAGAATCTACTTAAAGAATAAATAACAAAATAAAAACATCCCGTAGGATGAATGAAAAAAGAGAATTAACAATGTACTTTGAAAAAAATTAGAATAGTTATATGAGACTTCAGAGTCCTGACAAAATGCAGAATAAGCTCTGGGTACAGCCTTTTCCTCACTCAAACCTGAGGGAAGCACAGGAAGGGGAAGGATCAACACTGGGAGAAACCAGTGGTCTGAAAAGAAAACACAGTCTGGGGTGAGAGGAATAAACTAAGGAAGCTTTGATTTTGACATCTTTTCTTTGCTCATTGCATCAGGTGGACGTCACTTCCCAGGGGTGGCTAACAGGTAGAGAAACCGCAGCACCTGCTTAGCCAGACAAAAGAAGTCTCCTTGATACAGAGAAGAGCCCTGAGCATATCTTCCTTCTTTCTTTCCTGTCCATCTTCGTGGGTCTTGGGGGGCACCCTTGGAAAAGACTAGTATTAGCAAGGCAGTAAATAGGAAGTTTGGTGTCCTGTGCCAGAACAGTAAATTCCGTTGGTCTTCCAGGTATGTCTTACATGAGGGCTCTCGGAAGCTGCATATGCCCCTTCCTTACTAACTTGCTTGGTGCATATTGCCAGCAGACACAGCTGAGAGACTAGGGAAATATGAATTCATGTGGAAAGTCATCTACCTTTTTATAAAAAACTTTGAGAAACTAAAAAGCTGTTATAAAACCTAATAGAATGAGTGTGACAGATACAGAATTTAATTAAATAGAATACATGTACTAAAATAGATATGTGAGAATATTGGTAATATGAAATAGAACACACAGTTATACAGATGAGGCAAGCAAATACATATATATATATATATATATATACACATAATATATCTTTATCTATCTATGTAGCTATGTATCTATGTAGCTACGTATGTATCTATCTATATAGGCCATTGGGTAGAATTAAAGAGCTGAATGGCTAAAGCTGAAGAATAAATGAATGACTGAACATGAGACCAGATCAGAGAATTCTTCAAGAAACATCAAGGAGGGATGTATAGATAGTTTTTTAAAAAACCGAAATGTAAAAGAAATACAAGAAGAATGGAAACATCTACATAACGAGAGTGGAAAGAAATGAAAATAGAGGTAGATAGATTAGATAGATAGATAGATTGATTGATGGATTGATAGATTGATAGATATAGAAATAAAAGAAAGAAAATAGAAGATGCTATAGACAGAATGCATGTGACTCCTCCAAAATGTATATGTTGAAACCATAATTTCCACTGTGGCTGTATCTAGAGACTGGGTCTCTATGGAAGTAATTAAAGTTAAGTAAGATCATAAGGATAGTGCCCTGATTTGATAGAAACTGTGTCCTTTTAGGAAGTCTCTGTCATGTGAAGACACAGTAAGAAGATGGTTATCGGCAAGCCAGGAAAAGAGACCTCAGCAGAAATCAACCCTGCCAGACTTTGATCTGTGACTTCTAGCCTTCAGAACAGTCAGAAAATTTTATGTTTTTGAAGCCACCCAGTCTATGTTATTTTATTATGGCAGTAAAAGCTGACTAATATTGAGAAAAAGAAATACTTGAATTAAAAATGTTGGGTATTTTCAAGTTTAAAAAAACCTAAAGCACCTTAGTTTGAAATGGATTTCAGAATGTCAAAGAGTGATAAGAAAAAAGATTAACCCAGATATGTTATAGTGAAATCTAAGGTAGCTAAATACAAAATGAAAACTCTGGAATTCACCAGGAAAGGAAAACAAAACATCTCCATGAAGTTTTATAACCAGATTTAATTAGACATCATCAGCAATATTGGATGTATGAGAAAAATGTAATATTGTCTTCAATGTTAATATAATTTTGAGCCTGGAATTGCCTATTCAATTAGAAAATCATTTAAATAAGAAGATGGAATAAATATATCTTCTGAAATTCAACACCTTTAATTGTTCCTAATACAAAGTCTCACTTTGAAAATGCATGGAGAGACTTCTACAGCAAAATGAAAATAAAGCCAAATGTATTATCTAAAAGAGCAAGAACCAAGAAAACATATATTAATAACAATGCATTGAAAGTCTAGCAGACATTTACTAATGTACTGAGGGGATAGAGAGCATGGCAGGAGAAAGCAGTGTATACTGAAGAGGAGAATATGTTAAAATGTATGGTATGTTTTTTGTGGAAATATAAACTTTGATAAACATAACAAATCAATAGAGAGAAAATAAACACTGAAGACAAAAATATAATATGTAGTTTTTAAATAATCAGAATACATTTTTTTCTAGACAATGAAAGACAGGGAGGGGAAGGAAGAAACATGAAAATTCAAAAACTAGATGCAACAAACAAAATGACAGAGGTGAGTTCTGATGGTAAGAACAACTAAGTATGAATGGGATTAATCTTTCACTCAAAAGACAGTCACTATCATATTGTTTAAGAAAAACAGAATTCAGTATGCTAATGGGGCATTAACTGTCTTCAAAGAATACATTTTTTAAAATGGTACTGAAAATTTAAAGAGAAAAAATAAAACAGCTCCACAAATATAAAATAATTTGAATATTTTACAAAATGGAATACAATGAAAACATTATTTTATAATGATCAATAAATACATATTAATAAAATGCCACATATGTACTTAATAATATACCTTCAGAAAATGAGAATTAACAGACTTTATGGGCAAATGAACTATTTAAGTATAGTATTAAAGATCATAAGATAACCCTCTCAAAAAGTAGATTTGTGGATAATTATATAGAACATAATATAGAATTGGCTGGGCAGAGTGGCTCACACCTGTAATCCCAGCACTTTGGGAGGCCAAGGCAGGTGGATCACCTGAGGTTAGGAGTTCGAGACCAGCCTGGCCAACGTGGTGAAACCCCATCTCTATTAAAAATGCAAAAATTAGCTGGCTGTGGTGGTGGGCACCTGTAATCCCAGCTACTCGGGAGGCTGAGGTAGGAGAATTGCTTAAACCCAGGAGACAAAGGATGCAGTGAGCTGAGATCATGCCACTGCACTCCAGCCTGGGTGACAAGAGCAAGACTCCATCTCAAAAAAAAAAAATAATAATAATAATTATATAAAATTACACAGAAAGTTTGAATAGTAAATTTAAAGATAATAGAAACTATACTTAATATGCAACAGATAATATAGATTCTTTTTGAGCACATGTTAAATATACCTTTAAAAGGACTATATTCTAAGACAGAAATACATACAAAAAAACCCTCATTTTTAATAAGGGTAATGATAGTAAAACATTTTCTTATACATATGTTGAGCCACAGCTAAACTAGCCTTAGAAAAACTTCTATTTTATAGGTAATATGCATATATAATATACACATATGTCTATAATATACATATATAGTTTTAAATATGAAATGCGTTTATCAGAGAACAAAAAAGTTTGAAAGTAAATGAGCTAAATAGTTTTGGTGGAGACTGGTAGTTCTCCAACCAAATATGTTCTTAGCTTCTTCCATAGCAACAGGGAAGTAGTTTGAGCTTGATTACTCACTGGTACTACAATTGCTTGTTCCTCTGGCAGAATGTGAGCCATTGTGCCAGATAAAGACCTGATAAAGACCTGAACCATCACACCTTCTATTTTCTATTTTCATTTTATTCTTCAGCGTTATTTTATTCTTCATTCCCATTTCCTGTTAAACTTACTCTAATCGTGCTTTTGAACCCACAACTACACCCAAACTGCTTTTGTTGTGATTACCTCAAGATTGATAAACACAGTGGTCAGTTTCAGTTGACATTTTAGTTGATCTATCAGTAGTTAGGTTTAGTTGACCACTCCTTCCTCCTGGATACTGATTCTTTATTTACATTCCATTCTATTGCTCCTCGCTCACTGGCCGGCACTATGAGCTTTAGACTCTCCAACTTGGGGAACTTCTAAAAAGTTGTATAAAGTCCATGTAAGAACTGTTCATTTGAAAGTTGCTTGAGGGTGGCCCCTTTTGGGTTCAGCACGCAGAAGTGCAAATCTGGTTCCCAAAACTATTTCAAACTATGAGAGTAGAGAATTCTCTGGGGCATTAAGTGTAAAATACATGGCAAAGTTGCACATGATCAAAGATGGTTGAAATATACAAAGAAATGGACACTAAAGAAGTAGCTGCAGTAAGAGGGAGGCAAAGCAGATTGAAATGCAGACAGTGGCTCAAAGGACTTACATGTTCAAGGCTTTCTCTCCCCAGTTTCCTCTCACACCTTATCTTGCCTTCCTCTCCTCCTTCCATCTTCCCTATATCCCTCACATGGTGGCTTCTCATGTAAAACAGCAAGCATTTCTGTGTTTTAGGTCTTTCGAAATGGCTGCTCTCTCTACCTCTAATGTTCTTTGCCTAGATATTTAGTTTTGTGTTTTTGCTCAAATTTATAGTTTAGTGAGGCTTATCCCTAGTATGCTCTTGAAATTGCTGTATATTCTGTCATCCAGCTTAACCTGTTCTTATTTTTCATAGCAATTATCCCCTTCTGATTGACCAAATAAAGTACTAATTTGCTACATTTACTGTTTATTATATGTCTCCTTTTACAAGAACACAAGCTCCACTGGTGTGGGATTCTGTCTACTGTGTTCATTGATGTATTTCATATGCTTTAGTATTTTCATTGATATAAATATAATGGCTAAATAGTGATTGCCACATAATAGGCACTCAGTAAATATCAGTTGAATTAATAAACAAGGGGTAAAATATGAAGCATTCAGGAAATGATGTCAAGATGGTTAGTAATATGAAAAAATATACAGGAAATAGTACTCTAATTTCATACCATTGCAAAAAGTTAATTCCCATTGTATTAAAAACAGATATAAAAAGCAAAACTTTAAGATATTTGAAGATGATACAGGAAATTATCTTTAATACCCTGGGTTACATAAAAAAATGTTTAAACAAAACAAAAATTGCACTAACATAGAAAGGGAACTATAAAAATAGACTCCATTAAAATTTAAAAAATAAAATACAAACCACAAATAAGGAAAAATTTTTGCCACAAGTCCACCCTTAAACAGAATTAGCATTCAGAGTATGAAAGTAATTGTTGTAAACCTATCAGAAAGAAAAAATAGTCCAATATAAAATACAGAAAGCTATAAATAGGAATTTCACAAGAGAAAATACAGGAAAGCCCGTAAGTTCATTTAAAGATGCTAGATCAGACTCTGAGTCTTGGGAATGCAAATTAAAATCACAAATAGATATCATTTTAAATAGGAGTCTTATCCACAGAAGAATAAATGTGTAAAATAAAAGCCATCCTATAACAGATGTTGGCAAGGATGCAGAGCAGGGGAACTCCTGTGTGGTGTTAGTGATGATGTATGTTTTATTACTATTATTATTACATTTTAAGTTCTGGGTTACATGTGCAGAATGTGCAGTTTTGTTACATAGGTATACACATGCCATGGTGGTTTGCTGCACCCATCATCCTGTCACCTACATTAGGTATTTCTCCTAATGTTTTTCCTCTCCTACCCCCCCACACTCCCCCCAAGCCCTGTTGTGTGATGTTCCCCTCCCTGTGTCCATGTGTTCTTATTGTTGAACTCCCACTTATGAGTGAGAACATGCAGTGTTTGGTTTTCTGATCTTGTGATAGTTTGCTGAGAATGATGGTTTCCAACTTCATCCACGTCCCTGCAAAGGGACTCATCCTTTTTTATGGCTGGATAGTATTCCATGGTGTATATGTGGCACATTTTCTTAATCCAATCTATCACTGATGGACATTAGGGTTGGTTCCAAGTCTTTGCTATTGTGAATAGTGCCACAATAAACACACATGTACATGTGTCTTTATTGTAGAATGATTTATAATCCTTTGGGTATATGCCTAGTAATGGGATTGCTAAAATTGACCACATAATTGGAAGTAAAACACTCCTCCTCAAATGTAAAAGATGTATGTTGTTACATGAAACTGACTTTTAGAAATACTCAGGTAACATCAGTAGATAAAAATGCAAGCTTCAGAGCAATAAGTATTGTGTAATAAATTTTTATTTGTAAAACAATCATGAAAAGCAAACAGAAACAATTACAAAATTCATAAACTCAAAATTTCAGAAATTTAAATTTGATTAACATATTCTAAGCAGTTAATTTAAAAAATTGTAGTAAAAGTCACATAACGTAAGATCTACTACCCTAACTGTTTTTAAGTGTACAGTTCTGTATTAGATTTGGTTTGAAGCAGGGTACAGAAGAATTAATATTTTCTTTGTATCTTTGGTTCACTAGATGTAACACATTAGTTGATTCGTATGAAAATAAATGATATATAATACTTATAAAATAAAATTATTCAAAATACTTCATTTGAATACTTTGACAAATTTAAATAGCAGCTTAATATATGAAGAAACAAATATATTCCTAAAGAAAATGCTCCCAAATTTGGTATGTTAACTACACAAAATCAGCATATACACAAAAATAATGTATATTACATCCATTTACATTTTGATTAGTCTAATAGTTATAATAAAAATATAAATAAAAGATCCAAACCATTTGAAAATTAGGATTTTTTTAAAAATAATTATTACACCATATCAGAAATCAAACTGGCAATTATAATATATTGAGATAATAATCATAATTAGAACACCTTTGTGATGTGCCTCAGACTACTCCAAATGAATCCATATCTTAAAGCCTTTTTAATGTTAAGTAAGACAGACTTTAAAAAATAAATGAACATTTGTATGTATGACAGTAGCAAAAGAGTAATTACATCAAAAGAAAATAATTACTATAGGTGAAAGCAGGAATTAATATGTTAGAAAACAGCAAATAACATTAAAATTGATAAATACATTCAATTAAACTTTGGAAATTGTTAAGAAAATAGACAAGCAGGAGCTAATATAAATAACTGAAAGAAAAGCTACAAAAAATGATGCAAAACTAGAAGCTAACAAATAATAAAATGACAACAGATGCAAGCAAATTAACATATTCAAAAGGAACTTATACATATATGTTAATACATTTTAGGATCTGTATAAAAATATCTATGTGAAAAATATAAGCTATTTATGTTAAGTGAAGAACAGGTGGAAATTCCAAAAGAAATATACCAATAAATATAAAGGAAAACATCAAATAATTAAACTCCAAGAAGCCTTCATAACTGAATCTTGATAAGCTTTAAAATGAAGTTATTATTTATTTAGCATTTAGGAGTTCCCAAGCTTAGAGAACAAAGGTATTTTCATAATATTTTTCTGAAGCTTGAAAAACTTGGCATTAGCTTACAAAGATGTGAAAAGATAAGAAAAAAAATCACAGTAGTGTATTTGTTAATGGATGTTCAACAATTCTAAATAAACTAATAGAAAATAAACTCATTAATGTATTGAACTACAGTCATGCACTGCACAAGGATGTTTTGGTCACTGAGGGACTGCATATGTGTAGTCTCATAAAATTGTAATACTGTGTTTTTATTGTGCCTTCCCTAAGTTTGGATATACACATACCTACAATTGTGTTACTATTACTTACAGTATTCAGCACAGTAACATGCTTCAAAGGTTTGTAGTTTAGGAGCAGTAGGCTACACCATATAGCCTAGCTGTGTAGTCGATTATGCCACCTAGTTCTGTGTAAGCACATTCTACGATGTTCACACAATGACAAAATCATCTAGCGACACTTTTGTCAGAATGTATTCTCACCATTAAGCAATGCATAACTGTAATATCCTGATCAGGTATTTTTCATGTTGAAATAAACAAATGGCTCAGTATTATAACATCTATCTATAACATTCATGGTGTCTTAAGAACAACAACAAAACAGAGAACAGATATTTGATTGTCTTAAGACACACTGAAAAAAGCATACTAATATTCAATATCCAATTATTTTTTAAGAGAATTTTCCTAGCTTTGGTGAGGTATAATTGAAAAAGTATATATATATATCGTGTAAAAATGTAATGTTTTGATATATGTATACTTTGTAAAATTATCATCATAGTCAAGCTAAATAACACATCAGTCACCTCACATAGTTACCTGTTTTGAGTGAGAACACTTAAAACAAGAGAGTAAATTTACTCTCTTAGTAAATTTCAAGCATAAAATGTATACCTGATAAATTTACACCTGATAAAAAGTATAATTAACTATAGTTGCCTTGCTGTACATTAGATTTTCAGAACTTATTTATCTGTGTAACTAAAACTTTGTACTCTTTGACCAGCATTCCTCTATTTCCCCACCTCCCAGGGCCTGACAACCACCATTCTCCTCTCTCTATCTATGAGATTGACTTTTTTAGATTCCATGTATAAATATGTATAAATATAAATGAGGTCATGCAGTATTCCTCTTTCTGTGTCTGGGTTAGTTCATTAGTATAATGTCCTCTAGGTTCATCCATATCGTCCAAAATAACAATTTTCTTCTCTGTTTTTGTTGTGTGTACACACACCTTGTTTTCTTCATCCATTCATTCATTGATAGGCACTTAGATTGTTTTGTCTTGGTTATGAAACTGACTTTGCAAAAATTATAACTAAAGAAGTTATGACACTGAAAAAGATCAGACCTAACTGACTCCATCTTTCCTCTAGACCTTAAGCTGTCCTTGTTCATTCCTGGGCGTAGGTCAAACTAATCTTGGGAAGGAATTTAGTTTATAGTTTGACTCTGAAACAAAATCGTTAATATCCCTTTCCCGAAAAGACTGCCCTCTTTCCTGGGGACCAGTCTGCCTTTGTAGGACTAACAAATTAGCTACAGGATTAGAAATTTGGAGTCTTGCAGCCTCTGGCTAAAAGAGTCTGAACCTCCCAAATTGTTGCTGGGGATAACATCACTATTGTAAAATCTAAGATTAATGCTTGAGGTATTTTGCAGACCCTGCACTCAATAGATCACCTGACACCACCCACCGGTAATGTGGCTCAACCAGTTCTGCAATCCCACCCAGGAAGAGGAGACAGCAAGAAAATGTCACTTCGAACCCTCTATGATTCCATCTCCAACCTGACCAGTGAGCAGTCCCCACTTTCTCAGCCCCAACCCGCCAAATTATCTTTAAAAATTCCAATTCCTGAATGCTGGGGGAAACTTATTTGAGTAACAATAAAACTCCGGTCTCCCACACAGCCAGCTCTGTGTGAATTACTCTTTCTTCATTGCAATTCCCCTGTCTTGATAAATGGGCTCTGTATAGGCAGTGAGCAATGTGAACCCATTGGGTGGTTACAGTTATCTTGAACGATGCTGTGATGGACATGGTAGTACTGATGTTATTTTGATATCCTGATTTTATTTCCTTTGGATATATACTCAGAAGTGAGATTGCTGGACTGTATGGTACTTCTATTTTTAATTTGTTGAGAAACCTCCATCCTATTTTCCTTACTGGTCATAACCATTTACATTCCCACCAGCAGTGTACGAGGGTTCCTTTTGTCCACATCCTCACCAGCACTTGATATCTTTTGCCCTTTTAACAATAGCCATTCTAAAAATGTTATCTCATTGTGATTTCAATTTGCAATTCCTTGATGATTAGAGATATTGAGCACTTTTTCATATACCTGTTGACCACTTGTATTGTTTCTTTTGAGAAATGTCTATTTGAGTAAGGTCTGAATGTTTGTGATCCCCACAAATTTATATGTTGAAATCCTCTTCCAAAATGTGATGTTAGTAAGAGATGGGCCTTTGGGAAACTAATTAGGTCGTGAAGTCAGAGCACTCAAGGATGCAATTAGTGATCTTATAAAAGAGGCCCCAGAGAGCTGCCTTGCCCTGACCACTATGTGAGAACACAGCTAAAAGGCACCACCTATGAAAAACCAGCCCTCACCAGACACGAAATCTGCTGGCACCTTGATCTTGGATTTCCCAGACACAAGAACTGTGAGAAATAAATTTCTGTTGTTTATAAGCCACTCAGTTTATGGTATTTTGTTACAGCAGCCCTAACACTAAGTCAAAGTTTTTTGCCTATTTTTAAAATTGGATTGTTTTGCTATTGCTATTGAGTTATTTGAGTTTCTTATATATTTTGGAGATTAACCCTTTATCAGATCATGATTTGTTTTTTCTTTCTGTAGGTTGTACTTTCATTCTATTGACTATTTCCTTTGCTGCACAGAAGCCTTTTAGTTTGGTGCAATTTCATTTGTCTACTTTTTTCTTTTGTTGTCTGTGCTTACAGGGTCATATTCAAAACAAACAAAAGCCATCATTGCCAAGACAAGTACCAATAAGCTGTTTCTTTATATTTTCTTTTAATAGTTTTACAATTTCAGATCTTACATTTAAATTTTTAATCCATTTTGAGTTTAAGTTGATTTTTATGTGGGTTGAGGTAAAGGTCCAACTTCATTATTCTGCAGATGGATATCCAATTTTTCCAACATCATATATTGAAGAGACTCTCCTTTCCCATTGTATGTTTTTGGCAGCATTGTCAAAGATCAGTTGACTGCAAACATATAGATTTCTTTCTGGGGTCTCTATTCTATTTCATAGTTCTGTGTTTGTTTTTATGCCAGTACCATTCTGTCTTGTTTACTAAACCTTTTAATATATTTTGAAATTAGGGAATGTGATGTCCCCAGCTTTGGTCTTCTTGCTCAGGATTGCTTTGACTATTCTGGATCTTTTGTGGTCCTGTATGAATTTTAGAAATTTTTTCTATTTCTGTGAAAGATGTCATTGGATTTCTGATATGAATTGCACTGAACTGGAAGATTGCTTTGGAGTGCAGTGGTGTGAGTCGAGATCAACTTCGCCTCCTGGGTTCAAGCAATTCTCCTGTCTCAGCTCCCCCGAACAACTGGGATTACAGGCGTGCACCACCATACCTGGCTAATTTTTGTATTTTTAGTAGAGACAGGGTTTCATCATGTTGGTCAGGCTGGTCTTGAGCCCCTGACCTCAGGAGATCCCCCCACCTCGGCCTCCCAAAGTATTGGGATTACAGGCATGAGCCACTGCACCCAGCCTGAATTCTACCAAACATTTAAAGGAGAATTAATGGCAATTCTTCTCATACTCTTCAAAAAAATTCAAAAAGAGGAAACACTTCCAAACTCATTTTACAAAGACAACACTACACTAATTCTAAAGCTGGATAAAGATGCTATACAAAACGAAAATTACAGGCCTGTATCTGTAATAAACATAGATGCAAAAATCCTCAACAACATAATGGCAAACCAAATTGAACAACATATTAAATGGATCATACACCAGGACCAAGGATTTATCCCTGGGATGTTAGAATGGTTTAACATACACAAATCAATAAATGTGATATACCACATTAAGAGAAAAAAGAATAAAAATCATATGATAATCCCAATACATGAAGAAAAAGCATTTTACGAAATACAGAATTCTTTCATAATGAAAACTCTCAACAAATTAGGTATAAAAGCAACAGTACCTCAACATAATAAAGATTATATGTAACACACCCACCGCTAATATCATACTCAACCATGAAAATAATGGGTTTTCTCTAAGATTGTGAACAAGACAAAGATGGCCACTTTTTACTTTTTCTATTCAACATAGTACTGAAAGTCCTATACAGAGCAATTAGGCAAGAAAAAGAAATAAAACACATCTAAGTTGGAAAGAAATAGCAAAATTTTATGCTTACAGATGACATGATCTTAAATTGTTGGCCCTCCCTCTTTATTGGCAGGTGCTGCATACTCAGATTCAAACAACCATGAGTTTAAAATATTTTGGGGTAAAGTTACTACAACAATAAAAAATAATACAAATAAAACAATATCATATAACAACTATTTACATATCATTTACATTTTATTAGGTATTATAAGTAATCCAGAGATGATTTAAATATGTGACAGGATGTGCGTTAGTTATATGCAAATTCTACACCATTTTATATAAGGGATGTAGGCATCCATGGATTTTTACATTTATGGAGTGATACTAAAATCAATCCCTCAAAAATACTAGGGATGACCGTATATTAAGAAAATCCCTAAAACCTCCATTAAAAGGCACTTAGAACTAATAAACAAATTCAATAAAATTGCAGGATGCAAAATCAAAATTCAGTGCTATTTTTAATATGCACTCAGCAAACTGGTAAAAAGTTCTATGAGACATAATAAAATAATAAGAAATATAATTAAGAGTGAAAATAATATAAAAATGCTTGCCAAATTGCTTATACAAAAAATAAACTAGCATATATACACATACATATATATACATATATATGCAAGGAAAATGCAATATTAATATTTTTAAAAATTACTTTATTGAAACATGCAGAAAATCAAATGGATAGCTTATAAAAATTATGACTCCCAAAAGAAGGTCAGTTTCAAATCAAAAGAACATCAGTAATTCAATTTTTAATATTCTTAAGAACTAAGAGACAAAAAGTAATGGTATAAATATGGTATTTTTATAGCAACTAAATTATAAAATGTTTGTTTTTAAATCCTTAAAAACATGGAAGACTAATGGAGGCTTACGTTTATTTGAATTTTTCTCTGGGGTTATTCCCTAGAACATGTAGCAAGCCCTTATCTGGGGCTGCTAGAGAAGCTACAAATTAAGGAATGGAATTCCAGAAGAGGAAGAAGACCTGAAATTTGTATATAAACTAATCTTATATCTATGCGTGATTCGTGAGCTGTGTACATGCATGAGAAAGACAGGAGAGAACCAACAGAAAGATAGAAAGTAGTGGCTGAAAAACTAATATATATACACAGAGGCTTCACCTGTCATTGAATGAGAAACATAACCTACAGTTTTAATCTCCCTGGGCATCCCTTTGAAACACAATAAAAGCAATACTTAATGAGTGAACAATATGTCCTATGCCTAAGGATTCTTGCCAAAACAGAAGACAAAACTTAAATGTAGCTGTGCTAACATCATATGAAACCAAGGATATAGAAGTTCAAGTTTTTCAGCCAACAACTTATTTTTCTATTTAAACAAAACCCATTATTACTCAGACAATAATAAAAAGCAGAGACTTTATAATATAAAATTATAATGTTCAGCATACAATCAAAAATTAATATACATGAGAAAACATATAAAAATATAAGCCATAGTTAAGAGATTTTTAAGTCTGTCATTAGAAATGGATTCAAAATTAACACAGATGTTTGAATTATCAGACATTCACATTGAAGAACCTATTATAAATATGCTGAGTAACATTTTAAAAGATGGCATAATGAATGAACAGACGGTAAATAGCAGCATAGTAATGCAAATAATAAAAAATAGACCAACTTTGAATTCCAAAATTAAAAAGTAAAAGTATCCGAAATAAAAATGTAAGTTTTGGTGTAACAGCAAACAGAAGATGGCAGAAAAAAGCCATAAGGAAACTTAAAGATGAGACATGAGACATGATGCAATTTGCATCACAGAGAGAAATAAGATGGAAAAACAAAGTAACAGAACCACAGTTACCTGTAGAACAGTCTGAAGTAGTCTAACATACATGTAAACAAAGTTCCAAAATGAAAAAAAAGGTACAAAAGGGAGTAAAACATATACTTGAAAAAAAATCCAAAATTGTCCAGTTTTATGAATTCAACAATGTATACATGAAGAATTTCAGCAAACCCTGAGCAGGATAAACCCCAAAACGACCAATTTTAGAGATATCAGATTCAAGATGCTGACAGGGAGATATAAGACAATGCTTTTTTGTATTATTATACTTTCAGCTCTGAGATACATGTGCAGAGCATGCAGGTTTGTTACATAAATGTATACGTGCCATGGTGGTTTGCTGCACCCATCAAGCCATCATCTACATTAGGTATTTCTCCTAATGCTATCCCTCCCCCAGTCTCCACCCCTGACAGGCCCGGGTATGTGACATTCCCCTCTCTGTGCCCATGCAACATCTTTGTAAAAGTTCCAGATACACTTACCCCATGACCTTAATTCAACTGCTAGCTGTTTTTCCAAGGAAAATAAAAATATATGTATGTGAAAAGATCCATTAAAAATTTTTCATAGAGTTTCCTTTATATAACTAAGAACTGTAAATAATCCAAATGGCCCTAACAATAGAATGAATAAACAAATTGCGGTAGATTAAGAAACTGAAATTATACTAAGCAACATAGTTAATGTAATTCTGATACATGCAACAAATGGATAAAGATTAAAAAGATTCTATTAGAGTCAGTAAAATCATTTAAAAAGTATACACTAAATGATTCAATGTTCATAAGTTTCTACAGTAGGCAAAACTAATCTATAGAGGTAGGTCAGAGCAGTAGTTGCCTACAGGGTACTGAGATAGATTTATTGTATAATATTCTGTTATGTGTACACCACATTTAATTTATGAATTCATCATTTAATGGGCATTTGAATAATTTTCCATTATTTGGCTATTATAAATAATGCACAGTTATAAAAATTTATGTACACATTTTTTATTTGAATGTATGTTTTCATTTCCTTCGAACTATACCTAAGCATGAAATTGGTGGGTCATATGGAACTGTCAGACTGCTTTCCAAAGTGGCTGCATCATTTTACAGTCCCACAAGCAGTGTATGAGGATTCCAATTTTTCTTTACCTTTGTCAACACTTGCTAGTATCTATCTTTTTTTTATAGCTAACACTTGCTTTTGTCCTTTTGATTTTAGCTTTTCTAGTGAGTATAAAGTAGTATCTTATGTTGGTTTTGATTTGCATTTTTCTAATGACTAATGATATTGCACATTTTTTGTATGCTTAATGGTCATTTGAATATTTTTTTTGGAGGAATGTATATTCAGATGGTCTGGCAATGTTTAAACTGATCTACTTGCATTTTATTATTGAGTAATAAGACATATTCTGTATGAGACACAAGTATCATATTAGATGTATGATATTATAATATTATCTCTAATCAGCAGGTGATCTTATCACTTTCTTTATGGGATCTTTTAAAGTACAAAAGCTTTTTAGTTTTTGTGAAGTCCAATTTATGCTTCTTCATTGGTTACCAGGTACTTTTGATTTTGCATTTTAAAAACCTTTGCAAAATGAAAGTATAGAAAATTTATCTTTATACCTCTTCTAAGAGTTTTATAATCTTCTCTTACATTTAGAATTGTGTCTTAATTCTACAGACACAATTCTGAATGTGAAAGAAGATATGGTTTCTTACATTGTGTCTGTTTAACTTTGAATTCATTATTGCATAGTATTTGAGATAGGCATCTCAAATAGTTATTTTACATATGAATATCCAATTGTGCCAGCACCATTCATTGAAAAGACTACTCTTTCACTATTGAATTGTTTTGGAACTCATGTCAAAAAAATTAATTGATCTTAAATGTGAGAAATTTGTGATCTAAATTCTATTCTATTGTTCTATATATCTATTCTTATTCCAGTACCATATTGTCTCGATAACTGTAGCTTTGTAATATGCTTTGAAATGGGGATTTATAAAATTGCTCTTTTATTGAACTCAAGATTATTTTGGCTATTCTATTGATATGTTGTATTACAATAATTGATTTTCAGATACTAGACCAGCCTTGCATTCCTGGAGTAAATCTCACTTGGTCATAGTTTATAATTATTTTGTATGTTGCTAGAGATGTGGGTTTCTAGTATTTTGTTGAGAAATTGCTCATCTATGTTGATATGAGATACAGGTCTGTAGTTTTCTTGTAATTTCTGGCTTTTATATTAAAGTAATTCTGGCCTCATAAGATGAGTTAAGAAGTGTTTCTATTATTCTATTTTTTGGAAGAGCTTGTAGAACATTGGTATTAATTCTTTCTTAAATATTTGGTAGAATGCACTGCACAAACCATCAACGACTATGCATTTCTTTGTTGCTATTTTTGGTTGCTATTTTACTATTTTATTTTATTTTTACTTTTTTATTTTATTATTATTATTTTTTGAGACAGAGTCTTACATTGCCACCCAGGCTGTAGTGCAGTGGTGCGATTTCCACTGACTGCAACCTCTGCCTCCCTAGTAGCTGGAATTACAGGTGCCTGCCACCATGCTTGTCTAATTTTGTGTATTTTTAATAGAGATGGGGTTTCACTATGTTGGCCAGGCTGGTCTTGAACTCCTGACCTCATGATCTGCCCATCTTGGCCTCCCAAAGTGCTAGGATTACAGGCATGAGCCACCACACTCAGCCTATTTTATTTTATTTTAATCAGTTATAGAACAGCTCACATTTTCTGTCTCTTCTTGAGTCAGTTTCATAAGTTTCTGTCTTTCTAGGAATTTGTCCATTTCAATTGATATACAATTGTTTATAGTATTCCCTGTAATTCATTTTGTTTATGTAAATGTAACAGCAATTTTCCCTTTTAATTCTGATTTTGTAATTTGAGTCTTATATCTCATTCTCTTAGTAAATCTAGCTAATTTTTTTTCAATTTTGTTGATTTTTTAAATAACCAACTTTTGGTATTATTTTCTTTTCCTCTCTATTGTCTATGTCAATAAATTCTGCTCTGACCTTTACTATTGCCTTTCTTCTGCAAGCTTTAGATTTAGTTTGCTGTTTTATCTTTGCAATTGATTATCTATCTGTCTATCTATCTAGCTAGCTAGCTATCTATGCATTTGCAGATTTAAATAGTCACATCTAAGTACTGCTTTAGTTGCATTCCATAATATTTTGTATATTGGGTCTTTATTTCCACTTAAAGCATTTTTAAAGTTTTCTGTCATATATTCTTTTATTGGTTACTTAAGAGTATGTTTTTTCGTTTCCACTTACTTATTAATTTCTCTAAAACCCTTTAGATACTGATTTCTAATTTAATTCCATTCTTGTCAGGAATGTGTTTTACATGAATTCAATCCTTTTAAATATACTGAGGTTTGGACTGGGCACGGTGGCTCATGCCTGTAATCCCAGCACTTTGGGAGGCTGAGGTGGGTGGGTCACCTGAGGTCAGGAGTTTATGACCAGCCTGGCCAACATGGTGAAACCCCATCTCTACTAGAAATACAAAAAATTAGCTGGGCATGGTGGCAGGTGCCTACAATCTCAGCTACCCAAGATCGTGCCATTGCATTCCAGCCTGGGCAACAAGAGTGAAACTCTGTCTCAAAAAAAAAAAAAAAAAAGTACTGAGATTTGCTTTATGATCTAGCATATAGCTTATCCTTGATAATACTTCATATGCATTTGAAAATAATTATATTCTGTTGTTGAATAAAGTGTTCTACAGATGTCCCTTAGGCCTAATTAGTTTATAAAGTTGTTTATGTCTTCTACTTTCTGGTTGGTCTTGTAATGAGTGGAACTTTCATTATTGAAAGTGAGGTATATGCCAAGCACAGTGGCTTACACTTGTAATCCCAGCACTTTGGGAGGCCAAGGCGGGTGGATCACTTGAGGTCCGGACCAGCCTGGTCAACATAGTGAAAACCCATCTCTACTAACATACAAAAATTAGCCGGGCGTGGTGGCAGGTGCCTGTAATCCCAATTACTCGAGAGGATGAGGCAGGGGAATCACTTGAACCCAGAGGTGGAGGTTGCAGTGAGCTGAGATCACGCCACTGCACTACACTCCAGCCTGGGTGACAGAGCAATACTCCCTCAAAAAAAAAAAAAAAAGTGAGGTACTGAAGTCTCCAACTGTTATGTTTAAATAGCCTATTTATTCAGATTGAAACAATCTGTCATTTTTTGCTTCATGTATTTGGAAGCTGTGTTTTTAGGTGCATGTACATTGACAATTGTATCTTCCTGAATGACTCACCTTTTTACTACTGAAAGTGTCCCTCTTTATCTCTAGTAATATTTTTTATATAAATTCTATTATTTCTGATATTATTATAGTCGTCCCACCTTTCTGATGGTTGCTCTTTGCATAATATATCTTTTCCATCCTTTTACTTTCGAACTATTTGTACATTTGAATCTAAAATGCATCTTTAGACACTATAGTTGAATCATGTCTGTTTTTTCATCCTCTCGTACAACTTCTGCCTTTTATTTGAATTGTTTTATCTACTCACATTTAATGTTATTTTTGATATATTTGAATTTCTATTTTTCATTTTAATATTTTGCTTGTTTTTGTCTTAGCTCTTTTGGTTCCTCAATTCTTCCTTTTCTCCTGCCTTTTACCTTAAGTTAATATTTTTATTTTAATATTTTAATTTTTTAAATTTTTTTTCTCAATTTTGAGTTATTTCTTAATGGTTTAGAGCTTACCAGATAAATATTATCACAATCTACTTTACCTTTGTAATAAATTAATTCAAGTGAGGTATAAAAACATTAGCCCTTTACAGTGTTATTCCTTCTCCCCTTTTTCTACTATAATTGTTAGCATATTATAACACATCTGCATATGTTACAATTTCAACAACATTGTTTTAATTATTACTTTTTGTAATTTTATGCATTTTAAAGCCGTAAAGAGAAAAAAACGAGAGCAACTATGTACATATAGTAGGGTACTTTGTTCCTTTCTTTTTCTGACCACATCCAACTATTACATTCCAGTAATTGCCAGCTGATTGATCTTTTATTTTCAACAACACCCTGTGGCATAACTTGTTCTACAGTCTATTTGGCATCCTTTACAAGGGTAGTTTTTGAGCTCAGTTTTCTGCTTTTTTGACCTCAGGAGAACTCTCTTAGCTATTCCTGATTCTCTCTGGATAACTAGAGATGCTGATGGTTTAACTGGCTTATTTTCAAATTTTTCATTTTTTTTTTCTGACAGTGCCCTTATGCCTAAAATTCCCCTTACCTTGTTTAGATAAGTTTAGATTCTTAGTAAAGAACTTCTGAGCTCTCTGTTTTATGGCCTACCTTTCTCTTTGGTCCAAATATCTGAGTCACAGCTCTGGTCCTTAGGTTGGGGACAATTGAAAACTTTCTAATTGACACCTCTACTTTTGCAGGTTACCGGGCCCCTATAGTCTTCTAGTTTTGCCTCTTCCTGCATGGAAACTTGCTGCATGCCTGCACTATGATGAGGGCAATGAGGGCTCCAGGATTCTCACCCTTCCACTCCTGGGGTAAAATCTCTCCTCTGTGAGTTGGAGTTGCATGGAAGAAGAGAATTTCCAACCTTTCTGTTACACTAGCCTCTGAAACTCAGAGTTGGAGATGGAAGGAATTTTGAAATTCCTGCCCCTCTGTGGAGGATACCTTAGCCCTTGACTGAGAGTTGCCTGCAGAGGGGGTCCTTTGTTCATGGCTGTGCCTACTTGAAGTGAAGGTTCTATTATGCTGATCTGGAAGAAAGGGAGAGATCTGGCCAAGGTTAGAATGCCACAGACTCTCTTAATTTACTGAGTTTAGTAGATTCTCTTGAGTAAATGTTACTTAACTTTCTGTAAGCCCTAATGACAATTTCAAGAGATTTTGAGTGGTTGATTTTAAAATAATTTTCACCAATTATGCTTTTTATCACTGGAGAGTGTATCAGCAGAGCTCCTCACTTGTCATTTCAGAACTAGAACTCTGGAACCTTCTAAAGTGAAGAAAATGTGACATATCTTAATTTGGATGGCAATTACAAAGTTTTATAAATTTATAAATTCAATAAATTATAAATATAAGATTTTTGTATTTCTCTATGTATTAATTATACATCAATTTAAAAATCTGCAGTATTTATATGAAGACTGATAAAATTCTACTCTAAAACCAACAAAAAGGTCTTAAATACCAAAAAATCCACTATGATCTTGGTTGATTGATCAGTGAGGCTCCAAACAGGAAAAGAGAAGTCACCTTAAACATACAAAACAAGGGGAATTTAAAATAGGGAATTGGTCATCCAAGTGATATAAATGCTGAGAAGCCAAACAGGAAACTACAAAGCAAACAAAAGCTTTAAGTTTATTTTGTCTCTAGACTGGAAGGAGATGGTTCCAGGATGGAAGCTGGGAACACAATGGGCTTTTGCGACTGTAGTTGGAGCCGGGAGGATATACGATCTTTGCCAGACACATAATCTAAGACAGAGAGATGACAAATATATTAGCTTTTCTCTTCCTCCCACTGCCCAGTTTTCCACCAGAACCTCCCAATGGCAGATTCCAGAAAGAAGCCAGTTAAAATAGAAGCTTAGGGCACATAGCCTGGAGGGATTGGTTCTACAGAAAAGAGTAGGAAAAGGGGTCGATATCCAAAATGTATAAAGAACTCCTACAATTTAACAACCAAAAATCACATAACCACATTAAAAAATGGGCAAAAGACTTGAAAAGACATTTGTCCGAAGATGATATACAAACAAAGATATATTGAATGCAGACAAAGTTTATTGATTAAGTTTTCTGTCCTATATGGATATGGTTTGTGGGCACTCCAAAATAATTACAATAGTGACATTAAAGATTACTGATTACAGATCACCATAACAGTTATACTAACAAGGGCAAGGTTTGAAATATTGCAAGAAGTAGCAAAACATGACACAGATACACAAAGAGAGCACATGCTGTTGATAAAGTGGCACGGATAGACTTGCTCAACACAGGGTTGCCACAAACCTTAAATATGTAAGCAACGCAACATTTGTGAAGTACAATAAAGTGAGGTGTAATAAAATAAGGTATGTCTATAGATTATTACCTTTCTTCAAAGAAGATGAAAGGAAAACCCATGCAATTGTAGAACTTTTGTTGCAAGTGACAAAACGTCTGCTGGATGATCAATTTTCTCTTTAAGTATTAATAAAAGTGAACCTGAGTTCACTTAAAATAAATTTTCCCAAAGAAGCTTCCAGCTCACTTTTATGTTCTAAATGGTAGTTGTTTGGCATAAACACAACGGTCTAAATGGATGGTGACAGGCAACACATTTGATGGACAAGCGCTGAGGGAAGAGATCAAACATAAATTCTACAAAGCAGTGTTAGCACACCATATACATAATAAACAAGTGCAAATGAAAAGAAAGCTCATGAATAATAGATGAGGGATACATTGAACATATTAAAATATGCATTATCTGGATGGCTGATGGATTTCAGATGGAATAGGTCCAAAGGACAGGTGAGTGAAAGGTGAGGTCAAACTAGAGAAGCTGATTAAGTGATATGGGGAGAAGCTTCCCAAATGGAAGCTCTTGAAAGATTTTAATTGTACATAGCTAAATTAGCTAGCCAGGTGAAGAGTGTACAACATGAATAGTACACTAATAAGCAAATGTATAAACAGTAGTGGAGGCGGTAGAGGAGAAGAAGGAGGAGGTAGATAAAAGGGGAAAAAATAAAACATAAGAAAGTTAGGGAATACAAATGTAAACAGGCAGGCATTGCAAATGCAAACCATTAAGATTCAGGTGAAATGAAAGCAGTGTACTGTCCTTTAACAGGAGACAAATGGCTATGGGGGTGCTGGCTAAGAGCTTATAACTGAAGAATTTAGTTGGCTTCACTACCTTGCAGATTCTAAAGAAGCAAAACATATGTGAGTGAAAATGTAGCCAAAAATTCTTAATCAGAATTCAAGGCAGAGATATTTGTTGTTCTAGTGAGACAGAAGCAGTTCTCAAAGGCTTTTGTTATTCACCTTTTTAAGAAAAAAACTGAGTATAGTAACCAAAGGTTCTTTATTTTGCATATTAAAATGATAAATGATTTCTCATAAATGAATTTTCCAGATTATGCCAATCTTTTTTATTTAAATACCACTTTTTTAAAAAATCAAAAGTTTTGATAACAAAAATGAAAAATATATTTATGCACATACCATTCTTCTCCACTTCTGGGAAATATTTTCAATGGTTTTTTTTCCTTTCATAAAGTTTCACTATGACCTTCTTTCATTATTATAGTAAAAACAATTGTGGTAATATTTTTGTATGCAATATTATATTATACATACTATATGTTAGTTTAAACACTGTCATGGTTCTCATTTTCAAAAAGTAAATACTGTTTATATGAGCTCACATTTTTGTAGCTCAGTTTGCTAGGGTTTGGAGTCAATATATATACAAGAGTATTTCAGTTCTTTGTTTTCTCACATCAAAATTTTAGCGTATTTTATATTGCCTTTCTATAACCCTGTAAAAAGTGCCAAACAAATGGTCAGAGTCAGGCTCCCAGGTTGGATAGAGGGAAGATGATGGTTTTTTCTATAGGAAGAGCATTGAGAAAAACCTATAGAAAGGTTTTTCTGAGTACTTTCTATTTGTCAGACATGTTGTTAAATATTGACCAGAATTATCTCCTTTAATCTGCCAAAACAAAAAATGTAATCTTTGAGTCTGCTGCTATAATTAACCTCCATTTTATGGAAGAAAAAAAAATGAACCATAGAAGTTATAAATTACATGTAAGTTCACAGAGCTGGTCAATAAAAGAGCAGGAAACAGACAGAACGTCACTTCAGAACTGCCTTCTCGACTGATGGACTTCCACCGATTAACATTTGGGTTGCTTCTACCTCTATTCTATTTTGATTAACAATGTTATTTATATTTATGGGGTACAAAGTGGTGTTGTAATTTTTAATATAATGAAATAAGATTACATTTAGCTAATTAACATACCACCTCAAATATTTTAATTTTTTTGTCATGAAAACATGAGATATTTACTCTCTCAGCAATATTGAAATGTACAGCTCTATTCACCATGCTGTGCAATTGATATTTTTAAATATCAAACTTATTTCTCCTGTCTAATAAGGCTTTGTACCCTTTGACTATCATCTCTCCATTCCCCCTACCCCCAGTCTCTGGTAACCACCATTCTACTCTCTGCATCTATAAGTTCAATTGTTTTAGATTCATTGTGGTTTTTATTTGCGTGTCACTAATTACTTTATGATTGATGATATTGAACATCTTTTGATATGCTCATTTATGGGGCTTCAGGAAAGAAGCCATCATTGTAATATGAAAGTGCAAGGTGAAGTAGCAAGTGCTGATGTAGAAGCTGCAGCAAGTTATCCAGAAGATCCAGCTAAGATAATAGATAAAGCTGGCTACACTAAAAAACAGATTTCAATGTAGATGAAATACCTTTCATTGGAAGAAGATGCCATCTAGGACTTTTGTAGCTAGAGAGGAGAAATGGATGTTTGGCTACAAAACTTCAAACAACAGTCTGACTCTCTTGTGAGGGACTCATGCAACTGGTGACTTTAAGGTGAAGGCAATGCTCATTTACCATTCTGAAAATTCTAGGGCCCTTAAGAATTAAGCTAAATCTACTCTCATATTTGTTTATAGCATGACTTACTGAATATTTTAAGCCCACTGTTGAGACCTGCTGCTCAGAAAAAAAGAATTCATGCTTCTCATTGGCAGTGAAACTAGTCATCCAAGAGCTCTGATGGAGATATACAAGGAGATAAATGTTTTCTTGTCTGCTAACACAACATCCATTCTACAGCCCATGGATCAAGGAGTAATTTCAAGTCTTACTATTTAAAAAAATACGTCTCCTGAGGTGATAGCTGTTATATATAGTAATTATTTTGATGGATCCGCAAAGAACATTGGATTTACCATTCTAGATGCCATTAAGAATATCTGTGATTCACAGGAAGAGGTCAAAATATAAACATTAATAGGAGTTGGTAGAAGTCAATTCCAACCCTCACGAATAACTTTCAGGGCTTAGAGGCTTTAGTGGAAGAAATAACTACAGATGTGATATAAATAGCAAAAGAGCTACATTTAGAGTGAAGCTTGAAGATGTGACTGAATTGTTGCAATCTTAGGATAAAATTTTAATGGATGAGGAGATGCTTCTCATGGGTAGTAAAGAAAGTCGTTTCTTAAAATGGAATGCACTCCTGATAAACATGCTATGAACACTGTTGAAATAAAAACAAAAGATTTAAAATATTACACAAACTTAGTTGATAAATCATTTTCAGGGTTAGAGAGGAGTGACTCCAATTTTGAAAGAAGTTTTACTGTGGGTAAAATGCTATCAAACAGCATCACATGATGCAGAGAAAGCTTTCATGAAAGGAATAATTAATCAATGTTGAAGGTCTCATTTTTTGTTATATTTAAGTAAATTGCCACTGCCACCCTGCTTTCAGTAACCACCACTCTGATCAGTCAACTGCCACCAATATCAAGACAATAACTTCCACCAGCAAAGAAATTATGAATATTTTAAGCCTGAAGGCTCCAATGATTGTTAGCATTTTTTAGCAATAAGGTATTTTTAAATTAAAGTACGCACATTTTTAAACATAATGCTATTCTGTACTTAATGGAGTATAGTATAGTGTGAATAAAACTTTTATATGCACTGGCCAAAAACTTTGTGTGACTCATTTTATTGTGACATTTGCTTTATCTCAATGGTCTGAATCCCTGAACCAAACCCACATTATCTCCAAGGTATGCCTGTATATGAATCCTTAAATTTATTAAGAGAGAAACTCCTCAGTCTAAACTACAGCAAACATTATCTTTAATCTGATCTTGCTGTTTTCCAAAACCACATGCCTACATCTAGAACATGAGGATTAGGAATCATTAAAGTAAAATATACATAAATTTTTAAAAACTTGCTTTAATATCAAGTATATTGCATATGAATACAAGAAACACTGGATTTCTGGGTGTGGAGGGAACCATATTTCAGAGAACACTCTTGCTCTTCACCAATCACCTTCATTTGCAATCACTTTTATCAGTTAATGAGGAGACATCAAATTTTGAATAAGGTGCCCCCGAATGAGAACTTGACATATCAACTGTTCTAGTGAGTCTTACCAGAGAAACAAACAAACAAATGAAAAGAATAATAATAGTTAAAGACCATATTGATCTGTTTACTGCTAAATAAGCATTAAGTTCCCCCAAAGGAGTATTTCACTTTTTACAATGCTCCTTGGACCATGTCTCTGACTATAAAATAAAGAATACTAACATTCTTGGGCTGTGTTTTGTATGAAAACAGCAGGCTTAGTATTTTACATAGATTTTCACCTCAGTAATTTATTTCAGATTTTTATAAGCATTTTTATTCCCAAGGTGGTACTTATGGCTTGAAATGTCGATTTAGAACTTTGGAATTTCCTGACCCAATATTTCAACCCTCCTGACACTGACCCCAGTGTCACAATTCCATTTTCTACTCATTATTCCTTAGTGTTCTATAGTTTGAAAAGCCTGTACACAGACCTCTCATCTGACTCTCTTAATAGCCTTGTGAGTTAAATAAGGCTTCATTTAACTTTATTTTACAACTGATGAGACTGAGGCATACTGAGATGAGATGCCATGGCTGCGAGGGTATGGTTGATGGGTGAGAGCCCAGGGCTTGAAAATCCAGTACCGGGCTTTTCATCGTTTCCTCTAGTGCTTCTTAAACCCTCACTCAACATGGTACCCTTCTCCATTCCCCTGTGAAACCTGCCCCATTTGTTCTGTCGTTCTGTTTATTGTATGCATACCAATCACATCAGCTCAACTAGTCTCTAGACTATTTTTTTTCCTTTTTGCCCAGCACAGAACAGAGAACAAAGTAGATTTATAAGTAGGATTTCTCAACTCTCTAAGTGAAATTAAATCTAACACCCAACAAGTCTTCCGTTGGCTGGCTTCATTTTCACATCTCTGCTACTTCCATTTGCTATATTTCCCCTTTTTTCCTCAGGTAAGTTAGAAGTTTGATGGTCCAAAGTGAAGAAAGAAAAATTCATCAAAATATAAGAAAAATTTTCAGCTGAATTTCCAAAATCAAATAAAACTTTAAAATTCCACCTTGAGTCTATAAGGATTCTAGACATCATGACCCATTGAATCAGGTTAGATCAAATCACACTGGTGCAAACACTGAAACATACCATGTTTCCCATCACAATTTGTGGTGTAATGGTAATAAGCCCAGTGATGGGCAGATTGCGTAGTTTGTCTCATCACATCCCACATCCCCTCCTAAGGGCTGACACATCCATGTCCAGGCTGCTGGCATGTCCACTGTGGACAGCTCAAAGATGCACAGTCCTGGTGGCAGGGATCTGCCTTGCCCAGGGGACAGCCAACAGCCTGAGACTGGCTGAAGCAGAAATACAAAGGCCCAGGCCATATTCTGACTGGGAAAATCTCTGCAAGACTGTCTCAGATCCACAGCTTCCTGTAGGATTCAGAGCCCTCAGCTGCAGCCTTATTGTGGTTCAGCTTCCCCCTGCCTTCTCCTTTTCCTTGCAGGTGTAATCTCCCAAGAGTTTTCTCCAATAAACCCTCTACAGGCAATGCCCAGTCTCAGAGCATGTTTCCAGGGAAACCAATCTAAGGCACTGTACAAAACAGTGTGAGAGTAATAAAAACAGCATGGCTACATAGATTTGAATAGTAATAAAGGCTTTTTTAGCTTCCTCAAAGTTGTTATATTATTATTCAGTGTCATTTTTTATGAACTTGTGTGTATATGGAGGATGGGGATACTCACAACAGCTTTCTGTTCCGATCCCATAATGATGAGCTTGGGTCCTAAGAGTAAACCTTATTATTTTTTCCTCCCTTTGTTTCCACTTAAGATGTCAATAAAACTCAAGTATATACAATAACTTAGGTGAGCTAATAGCACGACTCATGAACTCTGAGACTCAGCCTTCCTGAGTGAGGTTGCCTACTGGAGGACCTTGAGGTGTTCCTTGGAGATTATCAGCAGTAGGTCACTCAATGAACTTTGTCAGTGCCTTTTGTAATGTTCATACTAGGATTTCAGAGTGCAAACACATAAATGCTTCTAATTTATAACAGTAGGAATATAGTTAGCTATTTGTTTTACCCTACTTATTTCATTAAAGGAGATTTTATTTTTCTTCAAAAACATGAGTACTTCGTTTTCTTTGAATTTTGCTATGTTAACTGACAGGCTACTTTGCCCTTGGAAGACAAACAGGAGAAAAGAACCAATGTTTGTTAAGCATGTACTCACCATGTAAAACAAGGAAAGCAGGGCTTAAAGAAGTTAAACAATAGTAACTAGATTAACAGCTGTGCTCTTTCCTGACACAGGGAGCCTCCCAGAGATACTACCCAGCCGACTGCCCACCCTCTCCTGTGTGCCCATCACACCTCCCACTGCCCTTGTTGTAGCAATGCTTGCTGCATCATGTTAAGCTGTGATCTGTTTCTAGGCCTCGGTTCCAGCTGTTCTGGATGCCTAGAAATCCATTCTCCATACTTTGCAGCATGATCTCTCTTTATTAAAGCATGAAATAGAAGTTAAAATTGCAAATATCATTTAATCTGTTATGTAATCAATGTAGTGACTCTTCCAAAAGAACTCAACTCACTTCTCTTTGTTTGAGAGTGTGACAACTTTAAAATTAAAAAGTAAAATTAAGATGAAGAACATTTTAAGATTTACCTAGATGAAGGAGAGAAAAAACATTCAATGACACCTATCATCTGACCCTTCATAGGTAGCTATTATTAACAGTTAGCTATATATACCTTTGCCTGGCTACTTTCAAAACAGAGCAAGTGGGCGCCACTTTTACCAGTAAGCTTTCCCACAGCCTAAATTTTACGTTCTCCTGGGTTCCCATTTTCAGCTGTGCACAATTCTATCTTATTTCATACTGTAATATATTGACAGCAAAGATTTCCAGAATACTGACATTGAAAAATCAAGGCTGAGACCATGCACTATTCATTTTTATGTCCCATGAATTGGGCAAAGCTCTAAGCTCATAGTAGATGATTACTAAATGCCCATATAACTAAAGTGAGTTGATGTGAAAAGCTTTAGTCTGTGCAGTTTGAGTTGGGGAAATTTGGGTTAAAAGCTCATGAGAAAGATTGCCAAAATCTCCGTGAATTCACTTGCCTCGTAAGCCAGTCAGAGTCCCAGTCCTGTGATCACTATTGTCATCAAAGAAAAGGTGCATGGGAAAAAGACACAAGAAATCAGGGCAACAATTCAGGATTTTTTTTTTAAAAAAAGGTTAGAGAGGAAATGTAGAAGGACATTGGATCCTTGAGAACAATTAATTACATCTTCAACCATCTTGCTTTCCATAGTAACAGCCAAGTTCGAGCAGCCTTCGCAGGTCTTCTTTACCTCCATGATCAAGTACTGACACTCCCACTGACTATTCCAAGCTGTTGCCTATTTTTTCAACCTATTGATACCTCTTTTACAAACCCAGAGCTGGCATGGTCTTGCACACCTACTTCACTCATGCTGTTTCGGTTCCTTGAAATGCCCTATCCAATGGCTCAAATTCCTGCTTCAAAATCCAAATCAAATTTTACTTCATTTGGGAAAGTGAATATTCTGTTGTAGCCTTTTCCTGCTGCTATAATAAAATGCCACAGATTAGGTAATTTATAAACAGCATAAATGTATTGCACATGGTTATGAAGCCTAGGAAGCCCTAGATCAAGGCATCAATGGGTTCAATGTTTGGTGAGGTTCTGGTTTCTATATCCAGGATGGAACCTTGAATGTTGCATTCTCCAGAGGGGAGAAATGCTGTGTCCTCACATAGCAGAAGGGAGATAAGGGCAAAAGAGACTAGGGGATTCCCTTCAGCTTCTATTATAAACTCATTAATCTCATTCATGAGAGCTTTGCCTCATGACTTAATCACCTTCTAAACACTGTACTTCTTAATACTATCACAGTTTCAACATATGTATTTTGGGGGACACATTCTGAGCAAACCACTGACATTTTATATATTTATTACATATATCTTGCTAAAAATAAATGTTAATTTTTTGCATTAGTAATAATGTTTCCTGTATGTGTGTCTATCACTCTGCACATCTGTCTTCCAAATTTGGTTATAAATCTCTTGAGGGCAAGATCACTTCCTCTATTTGTGCATTTCCCAGCTGTCTCAACACAGTACCTTGTAATAGTGTATATTCCCTGCTTGGTTGGCTCAGCTTACCCGAAGGGCTCATTTCAAATTAGTTCATTTTCAAATCGGCCTAATTTTGCTGATCCTTCCTTTCCCTTTAAACCTTAAAGTTCAAGTTCCCTAGGGCTCAGTCCATGCTTGGTTCTTTTCCTTTTTCTATTTACAAGCACTCCCTTTGTGGTCTCATTTCATATCATGGTTTAATTGTCATGAAGATGCCAGTTTCTCCCAAGTTTATATTTCTACTCAGACCTCTCTCCTGGCATCTGGATTCATGTTTTCTATTGCTTTCTTGGCACTCCTTGCAAACACTTGATAGATACTTCAATAGCATGTGTCCAAAACTGGGTTCTTGATGCTCTTTCAAAGATGATTAATCTATGACCTTTCTCATTTTAGTAAGCAGTGAATCCATGCTTATAGTTGCCCAGGCCAACATGCTCAGAGTCATTTTTGTTTCCAGTCTTTATCACCCACCCTATAATAAAGTATCCTATCAACTCTATTTTCAAATATCTGAAATCTGAATACTTCCTCCACCTTTATTGCTACCACCAGATTCTGAACCTGTAGCATTTCCCACTTAGATGCAGCTATAGCCTCTTAAATGTTCTTTTATCCTTGTTTCCTTACAGTCTATTCTCAACACAGCATTCTTTTAAAGCACTAGATAAATCATGCTACTTCTATTTTCAACATTCTGCATTGGCCTCCCATTCTTTAGCAATGACAGCCAAAACCTTTACAATGGCCTACACAGCTTTACATGACCTGTGCCCTTGTCCTTGACTTCACCCCCAGCTCCCCCTGCCCACACACACATCCCTGGTACCTTCCAACATCAGTTATCTGTAACCCTCATTCAGCTCTAATCATACTGGACTCCTCACTGTCCCTCAGAAATGCCTCACGTATCTTGCATTGGCTGTTGCCTTTACTTGGAAATATCACCTCCAAGATATCATTATTACTAACTTTGCATCCCCAAAGTGTGTGCGCCAATGACCTCATCCCAATAAGCCATATCTTGACCAACTTATTTAAAATTGCAGTCAGTCCCTTCATCTAGCACTCCAAACTGTCTTTATGCTGTTCTATTTTTTTCTTTTTTCTCCATAGCGTGTATCACCCTCTAACACACTTCACAATTCCCAATTTATTGTATTCTTTATTGTATTCATTCTTCATTATTTGTTTTGCTCCTAGACTGTAAGTCATTGACATTTTGTTCAATTACGTATCCTAAGAATCTGTAACCATGGCTAGCACCCAGTACATACTTAAGATAAATTTTTGAATGAATAAAATAATAAAATAAGTTATATGAGCTTTGTATCCACTACCATTTCTCTTAAATATGTTCCTGCTACCTGTGAAACAGAAATTGGCTTAATTATGTTCAAGTGTGTCTAGTAAATCTCTTTGCAAAGTCAGTATGGTAGTTACATTTGGTTCTGCTTTAGTGGAGCTCTGTTCCTAGTGAGGAGAAAGACATACATATAAGGAACAGAGCATAAGGAGTGTGCAAGTAAATAGGTGTGAGCAATGACATATAGAAAATGATGGTTAATTTAAATCATGAATACTGACAGGAGAGCATGTAGCATCTAGGTAGCATCTAGGATAAACCAATTTTGACAGTATAGAAGACAGAGGATGGAATTTCTATGGAAGGAGATGGCATGATTGAAGACTCACATGAAGAACACCTAATGTGGTTATGTGGGGAGTTTTTAGTTGAAAACACAGCAGAATGGGGCATATATGATAAGCCCTCTATTCCATGCTAAGGCACTTGTGGATGTGGTTAAGTCCTCTATTCCATGCTAAGGCATTTGAGACTTCCTCTGTAGACATTTAAGGAAAACTGAATGTTTTCAGAATTAGGGCTGAGAGCAGACGTTTTTTATTCAAGAAAATACAGGGCTTGAGCTCACTAACCTGACACCAGGAGTGAAATCTGTGCTCATGGCACCCTCATGCTGCGTTAGCAAGTTTGTCCTGTTAAATTGGATTTACATCCTTTGACTTTATATCCTTCATTTGAATCTGGGAATAGTCTATGATTATGTGGTCTTAATATAAACTGCAGTCTTAGGTTTGTTAATTAAAGAAACAAATTTGTTATGAGAAGACATGAAAATATTATCACATATAAACACCCTATTGTATGGGTCAGAGGTATTGCAGAATTTTTTTTCCTCACTTCATAGTTGCCCACTAATTAGTTTTCATCTTGATAAGAAATTACTATCCCTCAGGCCCCTAGAAATAATTCCAATTAAGCATCACATAATGCCAATTTAAAAACTTGGAAACTGGTCTAGGTACGCTTTGACTCAGACTGGGTTTCCCTCACTGCCACAGGGATACACAGAGCTTTAGGGGAACTCGTGTGCCCTGACAATCTGTTTCCTGGTTTCAAGGCCCTTGAAGAAGGGCCTTCAAGGCAGAAAGAAGAGCAGTTTTTGAGAAGATGGTAGATTAGGCCAGCTGTCAGGCCCCTGTGAAAACAAGCTGTACAAAAGAGTTGTGGGCTGTGGAAAACTAAACAGGCAGATTCAAATTAGCTTATGCATATTTATTCACATCAAAAATGGTGCACTTCTCTGCAGGCAGTGCAGAGTGCTGAGGGAATCTCTGTGTGGCACAGGCCTGTCACTCCTTCACTCCTTGGAAGTTGAGCTTGTAGTGTGACAGGCAGTATCACCATGTACATAAGAACAAAGTTCAGTGTGTCATAGGTAGGCTGATTGATTATTTATTTGGCATCGTGTTTTATTATCTTCACAATTGCCATTGAAATCATCCTAAAGCAAGTCATTCACTGTCAAATAACTTTTCTCCCCTCAGGACAGATTTTAATTTTCAACTCTCATAGAAGGGGAAAAAGAAGATTTTATAATCACTAGTTGAATAAACAAGACTGAGTAAATCATAGTCTGAGACCCTTCTCATGTACATTTTAATCAAAAAGCAAGCATTAAACACATATCAAAAGGATAAAGAGAGACATGAAAGTGCAAATGGGCTGTGAAACCTGTTTTGGGTGGAAAGCCAGTCTCATGGGGGCAACTAGTGAGTGTTGGGCTGGGGAGGGAGTTGGTGGCTTGTAGGCATGTGAGCAGCAAGTGCCAGTCTAATCTTTTTTCTATCTGGGAACCTTGTTTGCCTCATGAGTCATCAACATTTGTTATTACTAAAATAGTGCCCAAGGTAGACATGTGAAGATCTCCATCTCACTTCTTTTTCTTTTCAATTTCATACTCTCCCTTGGATGATCTGATTCTCTTCCATTGCACCTTTGGGAGGTGATTAGGTCATGAGGGTGGAGTCCTCATGGATGAGATTAGTGCCTTCATGAAAGAGACCTCAGAGAGCTGCCTTGTCCTTTCCACCATGTGAGGACACTGCAAGAGGATGCTGTCTATGAATCAGAAAGCAGTCCTTCACCAAACACCAAATTTGCTGGCCACTTGATCATGAACTTCTCATCCTCCAGAACTGTAAGGAATAAATTTTTCTTGTTTATAAGGTATCCAATCTATGGTATTTTGTAATATCAGCCTGCACAAACCAAGACCCTAATCTAATCACAGCTAATGATTGACCACAAAATCCATGAGCATAATTCAATAATGGCTAAGATTCTGTACTAAATTCCAGACTTGTAAATCCCATCTTCTACTGTGACAGTTTCCCAGTCCCAGGCATTTCCAAATTACTGTGAACATAGATGGACTCATCATGAATGCCTTTTCTGGCATTCCTAAGCTTCTCTGTGATCAATGACTACGGGAACATGTAGGTACCATCATATTTGATTATCATTACAAAGTTGGGATTATAAACAGATATTTTATTCTGATTTACTGTTTATATTTCAATGTTTAATTTTAAGCAGAAGAAAGCACCATAGGCATAACTTTAAATGAAATATCATCATGTGATTCATATGGAGAAACAATATCAGTCTGATGAATTATATATTATTGCAAAAGTAAAATACTTCAGCTGTTTTACCATAATTATTTATTTACTAGTAATTTTATAAACCCTGAAGTAGTTAAATGGGGGAAAAGGTTGACAGTTAAATCAACGATTGTGAGTGTATGTTAGCTAGATAACTTTAGAAAAAACATTATGTTCCTTTTGAGCCAAATTTTTTTTTAACAAATTAAAAATAATATAGCATAGAATAATAAATAATCTTACAATGTAATGTGTATAGAATTAAATGGTGAACCGTAAGGTTCATAACTTTAACCAAAATAGCGTTGAGAAAATATTTTTCAATTATAGTTGTTTGATACCATGAACACCAAGAATCAAACAATTTTCAAAAACTATTTGGCAATTATTGTTATGAAAAAAATGTCAACTGTATTACCCCAAAATTTCACTATACATAATAGCACCAACCTCATTTATACTAGCACTAACAGTAAGCCATACTCATAGCTTGGAGTCATAATATTTAATCAAAAAGTTTGATGAAATGATTGTTAAAGAATTGTCAACCATTTTCAATAAAGACGAATAATTTTTTTTTAGTTTTTCTTAATGTATAAATGCTTGGTAAAGTCTTATTTCTAGAAAACATGCTTATGAAAATATGTCTTTATTTAATAATAATATGTGCTGGGCAAAAAAAAAAAGGAATTTATTCAGTGTGCCACTTTTGTCTCGTTGGATATTTGGGAGAGAAACAATGAAAAACATTTTTTACAAAAACTTTGGTGTGAATTAACAATTATACTTTTGGTAAATTTGTTTGGTGAAAGATTTCAGCATCTTAAGCAGCTAGCAACATAGTGACTACTTGAAGAAATATATATATATATAATTTGTTTGTTTGTTTGTTTGTTTTTGTTTTGTTTTGAGATAGAGTATCCCTCTGTTGCCCAGGCTGGAGTGCAGTGGTGCGATCTCGGCTCACTGCAACCTCTGCCTCCTAAATTCAAGCGATTCTCCTGCCTCAGCCTCCTGAGTAGCTGGGATTACAGGCGCCGGCCACCACGCCCGGCTAATTTTTGTATTTTTAGTAGAGACGGGCTTTCTCCATGTTGGCCAGGCTCGTCTTGAATTCCTGACCTCAAGTGATCCGCCTGCCTCGGCCTCCCAAAGTGCTGGGATTACAGGCTTGAGCCACCGTGCCTGGCCAGAAATATTTTTAGAATGGCAAAATGCACTATGCAATGATTATAACAACGGAACCAGGCTTTGAGTAGTTTAGGAATCTCAAGGAAGCAATATATATATTGCTTATAATATGACTATAAGCTATATATATATAGTGTGTGTGCATATATATGCATATATATGTATATATGTATATGTATCTATATGCATATATGTATATGTGTATATATATGCATATATATATAGTGTGAGTGTGTGTGTGTGTGTATATATATATACACACAGTCTTGTTTATTATTGCTATCTGGTCAAAGACAACCTACATGATGGAATCCAAAAGTTTGTAACCTTTCTTGTCACATACAAAATATTTAACCAGTAGGGAATGACAGCTATTAGATTTTTGACAGGCTGCTTAAGCAAAAGAAAGCTTTTATATTATACCATGCAGATAACAATAATGCAGAGCTTGCAGAGAAAAAAAGCTCATTTGCTGAAACCTGCTGAATAATCAAACTGTTTTATTTCAAGAGTGCAAGAATTCCTTATTAAAAAAATCTCCTGTAAAGATATACAAATCATTCCACTCCAGGAAAGAAGCTGAAATTGGTGTCACGCAACGAAAGCTGAGTTGTAGATGGAAACTCAGAGCAGCATTTTGTGTGCCAATTACATTACCCCATCCTCATCTCTACATGAACAGATTAAGGACAAATTTGTTCCAAGTAGTTGTGAAGTTACAATTGCATTCACAAATATTATAAATAAAAAGATATGAGACTAAAAATCTCAACTTTGTTTTTGAATATATTCAGACAGAAAAACAGTGCATAAAATTTCAATATGTGGAATGGTTTCAATGAAATAACATAAATATCATTAATTAAATTTGTATTTCTAAATGAAGGTAAATTTGACATCACCTTAGTCACTTATAGAGAGGAAAAAAAGTTTCATGAGCTGGTTAGAAACATCATTTTCTGCAGTGTTCTATACTTCCAGAGCTAAGCCACAATACTCAGATGCCCCACTGATCTTAGTGGAAATTCTAAGATCTGAATTATAATTCTAAATTGCTTAGTTTTGCAAATATGCCATATAGAGAATGCAGGAGCTATCTAGCCACTGACAGTGCTGAGAAATATTGGCAAATTTAATAATGACTTTTGCACTTGTAATAAGAGCATTCTAATAATTATTATTAGATAAAAATTGAAATGTTCTTGTATTCCAGAAGCTTAGCATACAATAGTGATATGCAGCTTCAGCCTGGTCTTGGTTTTTGTCTTGGAGTTAACTAAATATTGACTTCCACACTTGAACATTAAGCATTTGGTCAAAATATATACATTAATATATTCTTTCTCTCAACAGTTGCCTGCTGTATGTAGATGTAGAAGTCAACGAGTTAAGGCATTATCCTTTCAGTTCCACTAAACAGCACCATGTCTGCAATTTCCTGACAGTACCAGATCCTGTAAGAGACACAGAATATAGAGTTCAGTTAACCAAATGAGCCCGAGCCCATCTTGGTCTCTTTTTCCTCTCCCACACACTCCATTCCATTTGTACCTCTTTGCCTCTTCTTTTCCTAGCTTACTCCTTAACATCCTTCATAGTTTTCTTATTTTCAATTAAAATTATGTTAATTTTTGAACTATAAAATATCACATGTTGATTTAAAATAATTTGAAAAAAGAAAATTATAATTAAAAACAAACACACCTAATATTCTCACAGAGAAATAGCTGTCTAGTGCCTTGGGGTTGCTTAACATCATGTAACCAAATATCCAAACCCAAAGATTTGTATTCTGAGTGTATGTAGACTGTGGCTTTCTTATTTTCCCTTAATACTAAATCTGTATTATTCCACATCCTTACTATTTCTAAAATTTTTTTTTAGTATCTGCAATCTATTCCAGTATTCATGTATACCATAATTTTTAAAACTATCACTTGTTTATGGACATTTGGTTTACTTTTTATCACTTTTCTCAGTAAGATCATGGTCTCAAGAACTTTTGCTCCCAAATACAAACAAATAATAAATAAGTAGAAATGCATGTATATATTTCTATATTTTTCTCTTAAATAAATTTAAAGAAATGAAACAGTGAAATCAAAGTGAATGAACTTTTCAAATTATGCTTACTACCATTTTATTTTCCATTTTAAATGCCATCAATTGAATAACCATATGCCAACATTTCAAAAATCACATTTCCTATTAATACTTGTTTTCTGCTGTCTCTACCTTATGTCTAGTAGAAATGAATTTAGACCTTACAAATTCCTCCCATGCTGTTCAGGGTTATAACAGGCACTGGGACTTTCATGTAGTGATAAAATATGTATCATATGTTTCATTAGTCATGGTTCTCCAAAAACAAAACCAATAAGAGGTCTCATACGTGTGTGTATGTCTGTGTGTGTGTATGTATGTATATGTGTGTGTGTATGTGTCTGTGTGTGTATATATATATATATATAGTAATTATTGACATGGTCTGGCTCTGTATCCCTACCCAAATCTCATCTTGAATTGTCAACTGAATTGTAATCCCCACATGTTGGGAGAGGGACCTTGTGGGAGGTGATTAGATCATGATGTCTTTGTGATACTGAGGGACTTGTCATAAGATCCGATGGTTTTATAAGGGGCTCTTTCTTCATCGCTCTGCACTTCTCTCTCCTGCCACCTTGCCACCTGGTGAAGAAGGATGTGTTTGCTTCCCCTTGCACCATAATTGTAAGTTTCCTGAGGCCTCCGCAGTCATCATGCAGAACTGTGAGTCAATTAATAAACCTCTTTCCTTTATAAATTACCCAGTCTCAGGTATTTCTTTATAGTAGTGTATAAATGGATTAATACAACTATATATAATGTTATAATTTTTATATAGTTATATACATCATGTGCATATATATATAATATCATTAGAGAGGAAGAAAAGTTTCATGACTTGGTTAGAAACATTATCATCTGCAGTGTCCTATTCTAGCAGAGCTAAGTCTTGATACTCAAATGCTCCACTGATCTTAGTGGAAATTCTGTTTAGTTTTGTGGATATATACATCACACACACACACACACACACACACACACACACACACACACACACAAAGAGATAGATAAAAAGAGAGATAAAAAACAGATGAGAGAGAATTATTTTAAGAAGTTGACTCATGCTGGTGTGAAAGCTAGCAAGTCCAAAATCTGCAGAGAAGGTCGGGAGGCTAGAGACCTAAGGAAGAATTGATGTTGCAGTTTGAGTTGGAAGGCAGTCTGGAGACAGAACTCCTTTTCTTTGGGGGAACCTCAGTCTGCTTTCTCTTAAGGCTTCAACTGATTGGATAAGGCTCACCCACATCGTAGAGGTTCATCTGCTTTACTCAAAGTCTGTCTATTTAAGTGTAACCCCATTTAAAAAAATAACTACACAGCTACATCCAGACTGGTGTTTGACCAACTATCTGGGTAATGTGGCCTAGCCAAGTTGATACATAATATTAATCATACAAGTATTTCAAGAAATCAGAAACAGCACTAGCAAATAAACACTATCATCAATTCATTCCAGCTACTAAGAAAGATATCCCTGGTAATCGTTGAGATAATTTGCACACTTGGCTATTGAGACATGACAAATAGTAGCAGCCACCTAAGGGATAAAGGTGCCCCTATTTCAGAAGTGTCCTCAGGGAAAAAGGTGTTCCATGGGTAAGCTGAGGTCTTCAGCTAATGTTTGTCTTAAACCATCAGGCAGCCAAGCCATATCCCAGTGACACTGCTGTGCAGCCCTGGACTTCTTCCTGCTGGGCCCCTCTGGGACAAGAATGTAGCTTTTAGCTCCAGAATCCTCATGATAAATTGAGGATTCTCACATCAGCTCTGAGTTTTCATGAAGATGATGGAATCCAAGTAAAGTGTTACAACAGTACCTGGCACATAGGAGGCATCCAACAAACCGTATTTCCCTTCCCCTCAACGCCATCATTCTTAAAACATCTTTCCTTAATATTGAGTTGGAGGAAGCAATGTGATTATTCGTTAAAACTTTGCCTTAACATTTTTCTCCTGCTCTTACTTCATCTTCCTATGCTTGAGCCTAATGATTAGAGGAATATATTCACAAGAAATAAAAATTTGTTAAAAGAATGGGATGTCTTTATTCATTCCTTATAAAAGTAGAATAGACAGGAGACTAAATATCTTAATTAGAGATTTTTTAATATGACAATACATAGTTTCTTTTTTGTAATAAAGCTAATATTTGGTGACAAGCTGACTCTCTAGCCATATAACATTGATATATAAATTATATATATGCTTAGTAAATATATATACCTTATTTTATGTGTATATGCTCAATACATATATATTTAAATTCATATAATACATATCTTGATTATTTTGTAGCAAGACTAATCATATGGTAATTGTTTTAAATCTGTCTCCAATTTGGAAGTTCATCCTAGATACACTCTTCTCATCCTACCTTAGAGGCAGAATGCCATTCCCAGAGGACCAACTCCCAGTTTAGTAACTACCATGTGAGTAGGGTAAATGGAAGTTATTGATTTGAAAACTTTTTCACTGAAGAGAGAGTTCAATATTTGGCTTGAAGAATCAAAGGCATGCTCTATTTATATCCTCCAGATTTACTGGACAGTTTCACTGTTTGCCTCAGGAAACAGCTTATGTGAGCTACTAATTAACAGAGAACTTTGGGGCCATCCTGACACTGTCCAAATATACCTATTTTAGAACATATTTTGTTTATAAAAATCACTTGCCTGCAAGTCAGTAAGGGGATGGGGAAAGCTCATAAGTCCCTTAGATGCTCAAGCTCAGGTTACCAATCTATCAAATGAGGACTCCAATATGAAGTGAATTTGCTGAAGCTTAATCAAGACAGTGCTCAAAAAAATTTAGATCTTAATGTAGACCTATTACTCTAAAAAGTAAAAAATATAATTAGATTGTACTCTGGCTAGGAGGACAGAAGGAAGAAAAAAATTCTAGTTCAGTTGTTGCTGGTACTGAATTTTTAAAAAAGGAGATAAATAGGTAACTAGAGAGACAGAAAAATACATGTTTTTGGGCAGAAACCAAGGAAGTTTGCAGGTTATAGAAGTAGTATATGTCAGAAATGTGTCACTGGTAGTTCAAGAAGTTCCAAGAGCAACAGAATGCAGCAAGCAAGCTACAGAAGCATCAGGACTTCCACTGAGTTAGAAAAGAGCACATATTAGGCCCCACAAAGCAAAGCTTGCAAGGAAGCAAAGAAACAGATGGTACTTTTGGCCAAAGGGCAAGTTAAATGTAAATTGCTCTAAAGATCAAGGCAGTTTGTGTGAATTACAAGATAACATGTGTGCTAAATGCCAGGCCCCATGCCAATGTATAGCAGGTACCTGTTTTAGGTTGAACGCCTCACCTGTTTTCCTGATGGTTGGTCACTTCTCTGCTCAGTCACTGCTGTGTTAGTGACCCTATGATCTTTAAGTTTCCACTATGGAAAATAAAGACCCTAAATTTCTAACTTCTCCCATTACTTACTGATACTGAAGCCCACAACACAAAGATAAAGTGTGGTTCCTACTCACTGCCTAAGAGACTTTATGGCAGTCCATCTGGAAATGCGCATATGTGTGTGGGTAGAAGGGTGCCATATTCAGGAGACAGGAGGAAGTCAACAGATAAATTGCCTCTCCAGGGTTGCCTCCACTGGGTGGTCCTGAAGCTTTCTGTACATCTTTAGAAGGCATGCTCCATGGCTATGTTTCAGTGACATAATGGCCAGCTTCATAACACACCACTCTGTATGTGTCTCCTACCCTTTCCTGTCTTACTTCCCTTTCTTCTTTCTGGTCAAAGATTCCCCCTTTCAATACTGCATTAGCACATATGTTTTACCTTGAGCTATGTTTTCAAGACAAATTGGACTAACACAATTGTTCTAGGAGCAGTGTGCAGTGGCATCAAAGTTATAAAGCTTTTGTTGGTGGTTAATTGGGATGAGATGTAAGTGAAGGGAAGGTCATTAAGAGCTCAAGTAGCTGTGATGTTTCATCAGTATGGGAGGAAATGTTATTTATCAACCTCCTTTTGCCAGCATTGGAGTCTTGCAGAAAGAAATTAGTAGACTTAGGGGAATTACTTGCCAATTTAAGGCACACCTGAGTAATCAAAACCCCATGATGACAATCTTAAAGAATCTTAAAGAATCCTGCACCTTCAGGAAAAACTGAAGCTAAAAACCAAGTTCAGGTTCTTGTTTTAAGGATAACAGAAGTGTAAAGCTTGCAAACTGTGTATTCCCAACTTATTTCCCATTCAAAGGCAGAGGTCTGATGGGAAAGAACAGGATCATTACACCTGGAATTGGCGACATTTTGGTGGATGAGCCCAAGGCTCCTGAAGTTCTAAATTCCCTTGAAGTTCTTGCACAATGAAATCAGCCTTTTCTCTTTTGATATCCAATGACCTTACTCAAAGAAGATGCACAAAAAGATGCCACATGTTCCTGTCAAGGCCTACTCAGATGATCCATAATTAATACCAGGCTAATCAATGAGTCAGATTCCTACTCAGTTTTAAAAAAGTACAAGTCCTGCTTCTTAAGAGCTCACAGGTCAAAGGACTTGAAGAATCTGGGTGTAGGTACTACAAGAACCTGTTGAGTACATGTGGAAAGGCATACTAGATTTTTATAATTGGAGGATAGAATCGAATATAAGACTAGATAAGGAAAAGATCACTAAATCATTAACCTAGGAACTGAGATAATGTTTCTACAAGGATCCCTGGATCTGGTCCTAACAGTTTGCTGGGGTAGCTCTTTGAAGTTATCAATTCAACAATGATTCACAGAAATTGAAGGAGAGTTGCCAGAACCATGTTGGCACAATATTGAGATAAACAGTCAAAGTTTCAGGAGGGAACAATGTCAGAATGCATTTATTATATAACATCTGATAAGTCACCATTGGACTGTGTTCTTTGGGGAGGCCAAGGTTAGCCCCTTTGTTGAGGCATTCAACAACGTAATAGCGAAGTGGGTATAAGCATGTTTCATTTAACAGTAATGGCTATTCCCCGAAGGCCAATATTGATGGAAGGAGAGGCTCTTCAGATGCTAAGTTATCTAATGTAAGTGATAATAATAGAATTACAGAAAATCAGAGGACAGGTAATAGCATTAAACAGTCAGAGACAAGATGAATGTGGCAATAAGAGAGGCTGGACAGCAGTGATCTAGGTCAATGTCCTCCCTAGGGTAAAGAGAGATGGACAGCCAAAGATAGTGTTGCATGCTTTTCTATTGGGAGAACCCACCCCCAATATTTCAACGTAGGTTCTTTCTATTTTCCATAACTGTCGGCTGGCTGAGAAATAAAGAGAGACAGTCCAAAGAGAGGAATTTTACAGCTGGGCCGCCAGGGGTGACATCACATATCGGTAGGACTGTGATGCCCTCTGAGTCTCAGACGAGCAAGTTTTTATTAAGGGTTTCAAAAGGGGAGGGAGTGTAAGAACAGAGAGTAGGTACAAAGATCACATGCTTCAAGGAGCAAAAAGCAGAACCACTGATAAAGGTCTAACAAAGATCACATGCTTCTGAGCAAACAGGACAAAGGGCAAAAGCAGAACCACTGATAAGGGTCCAACACAGATCACAAGGCAAAGAGCAAAAGCAGAACCACTGATAAGGGTCTATGTTCAGGGGTGCACATATTGTCTTGATAAACATCTTACACAACAGAAAGAAGGTTCGAGAGCAGAGAACTGGTCTGACCACGTATTTACCCGGGTTGAGTTTTCCCAACCCTAGTAAGCCTGAGGGTTCTGCAGGAGACCAGGGCTTATCTCAGTCCTTATCTCAACTGCACAAGACAGACATTCCCAGAGCAGCCATTCATAGACCTCCCCCTAGGGACGCATTCTTTTCCCAGGGTATTAATATTAATATTCCTTGCTAGGAAAGGAATTTAGTGATATGTTTCCTACTTGCACGTCCATTTGTAGGTCCTCTGCGAGAAGAAAAATATGGCTTTTTTTGCCCGACCCCACAAGCAGTCAGACCTTATGGTTGTCTTCCCTTGTTCCATAAAAATATTATTATTCTGTTCTTTTTCAAGGTACACTAATTTCATATTGCTCAAACACACATGTTTTACAATCAGTTTGTACAGTTACCACAATTATCACAGTGATCCTGAGGTGACCTACATCCTCAGCTTACGAAGATAATAGGATTAAGAGACTAAAGTAAAGGCAGGCATAAGAAATTATAAAAGTATTATTTGAGAACTGATAAATGTCCATATTAAGATGAAATCTTCACAATTTATGTTCCTCTGCCGCGGCTCCAGCCGATCCCTCCATTCAGGGTCCCTGACTTCCCGTAACACTTTTTTGTATGCAGAAAAAAGTTGGGAGTTAGCATACAACTATGTGAGGGACCATGGGAAATCATGCTCCCTCAAAATTCTCCCATTTCTGGCTCAAAACCTCAAAACTTCGAGAGGTATTGATTGCTGTAAAGAAGGGCTGTATACCATAACATGTGTATGCCGTACATATTCATCTAACTCTTTCCCAAAATGATTTGCATTCTTTTGTAATATTAACTTTGAGAAAAGGAAAATACCTAGACCTTTTAAAACTTGCTAGGCACAACTCTGAGCTGACATGGACAGCAGGGGCCAAAAACCTTTCTTTTTTTTTTTTTTTTTTTTTGAGAAATAAAAAGGAGGAAGTAGAACAAATCTAGAGGCATCATATTACTCAATTTCAAACTATACTACAAGGCTATAGTCACCAAAACAGCATGGTACCCAATGTGTAGTATTTTATCTCTCACTCCCATCCCACCCTTCCCCCCAAGTTCCCACCATCCATTATGCCATTCTTATGCCTTTGTACCCTCATAGCTTAGTCCCCACTGATAAACAGAAACATATGATGTTTGGTTTTCCATTCCTGAGTTACTTCACTTAGAATAATGGTCTCCAGCTCCATCCAGGTTGCTGAGAATGCCATTATTTCATTCTTTTTTATGGCTGTGTAGTATTCCATTGTATGTATATATGGGCAGTTAGCCTGGTTCCATATTTTTGAAACTGCAAATTGTGCTGCTATAAACATTCATGTGCAACTATCTTTTTAATATAATGACTTATTTTCCTCTAGGTAGACACCCAGTAGTGGGATTGCTGGATCAAATGGTAGATCTACTTTTAGATTTTCAGGGACTCTCCATACTCTTTTCCATAGTGGTTGTATTAGTTTACATTCCCTCCAGCAGTGTAAAAATGTTCCTTTTCAACACATCCACATCAACATCTATTTTTAAAAATTTTTAAATTATGGCCATTCTTGCAGAAGTAAGGTGATATTGCATGTGGTTTTGATTTGTATTTCCCTGATAATTAGTAATGTTGAGCATTTCTTATATGTTTGTTGGCCATTTGTATATCTTTTTTTGGGAATTGTCTATTCCTGACCTTAGCCCACTTCTTGATGAGATGATTAATTTATTCTTATTAGTTTGTTTGATTTCCTTGTAGATTCTGGATATTAGTCATTTGTTGAATGTGTAGTTTGCAAAACTATTTTCTCCCACTCTGTGGGTTGTCTGTTCACTATGCTGAATATTTCTTTTGCTGTACAGAAGCACTTTAGTTTAATTAAGTCCCATCTATTTATTTTGTTTTCATTCCATTTGCTTTTGGGTTGTTGGTCATGAAATCTTTACCTAAGCCAATGTCTAGAAGAGCTTTTCCAAAGTTATCTTCTAGAATTTTTATGGTTCCAGGTCTTAGATTGAAATCTTTGATACATCTTGAGTTGATTTTTGCATAAGGTGAGAGATGAGGATCCAGCGTCATTCTTCCACATGTGGCTGGCCAATTATCCCACATCATTTGTTGAATAGGGTGTCCTTTCCCCATTTTACGTTTTTTTATGCTTTGTCAAAGATCAGTTGGCTGAAAGTATTTGGTTTTATTTCTGAGTTCTCTATTTGGTTCCATTGGTCTATGTGTCTATTTTTATGGCAGTACCATGCTGTTTTGGTGACTATAGCCTTGTAGTATAGTTTGAAATTGAGTAATGTGATGCCTCTAGATTTGTTCTTTTTGCTTAGTCTTCCTTTGGCTGTATGGACTATTTTTTGGTTCTTTATGAATTTTAGGATTTCTTTTTCTAATTCTATGAAGAGTGATGATGGTATTTTGATGAGAATTGCATTTAATTTGTGGATTGCTTTTGGTATTATAATTATTTTCACAATATTGATTCTACCCATCCATGAGCATGGGATGTGTTTCCATTTGTTTGCATCAACTATAATTTTTTCAGCAGTGTTTTGTAATCTTCCATGTAGAGGTCTTTCACATCTTTGGTTAGGTATAATCCTAAGTATTTTGTTTCAGTTTTTTGCAGCTATTATGAAAGGGGTTGAGTTCTTGATTTGATTCTCAGCTTGGCTGCTGTTGGTGTATAGCAGAGCCACTGATTTGTGTACATTAATTTTGTATCCTGAAACTTTGCTGAATTCATTTACCAGTTCCAGGAGCTTTTTGAATGAGTCTTTAGGGTCTTCTAGGTGTGCGATTACATCATCAGCAAACAGTGACAGTTTGACTTTCTCTTTATCAATTTGGATGCCCTCTACTTCTTTCTCTAGTCTGATTCCTCCAGCTAGGACTTCCAGTACTATGTTAAATAGAAGTGGTAAAAATGGGCATCTTTGTCTTAGTCAAGTTCTCAGCGGAATGCTTTCAACTTTTCCCCATTCAGTATAATGTTGGCTGTGAGTTTGTCATAGACGGCTTTTATTGCCTTAGGGGATGTCCCTTCTATGCTGATTTTGCTGATGGTTTTAATCATAAAGGGAAGCTGAATTTTGTCAAATGCTTTTTCTGTACCTATTGAGATAATCATGTGGTTTTTGTTTTTAATTCTGTTTATGTGGCATATGACATTTGTTGATTTGCATATGTTAAACCATCCCTGCATTCATGGCATGAAACCCACTTGATCATAGTGGATTATCTTTTTGATATGCTGTTATATTTGGTTAACTAATATTTTGTTGAGAATTTTTGCATCTATGTTCATCAAGAATATTGGTCTGTATTTTGTTGTTGTTGTTACATTCTTTCCTGGTTTTGGTATTAAGGTGAAACTGGCTTCGTAGAATGATTTAGGGATGATTCCCTTTCTCTATATTTTGTAATAGTGTCAACAGGATTAGTACAATGTTTGATAGAATTCAGCTGTGAATCCAACTGGTCCTGAACTTTTTTGTTGTTGTTGGCAGTTTTTTTTTTTTTTTAAATTACCATTTCAATCTTGCTGCTTGTTATTGGTCTGTTCAAAGTTTTTGTTCCTTCCTTTCTTCCTGGTTTAATCTAGGAGGGTTGTGTTTCAGGAATTTATCCATCTCTTCTAGTTTTTCCAGTTTGTGTATATAAAGGTGTTCCTAGCAGCCTTGAATGATCTGTATTTCTGTGGTATCAGTTGAAATATCTCCCATTTCATATCTAATTGAGCTGATTTGGATTTTCTCTCTTATTGGTTAATCTATCACTTTTATTTACCTTTTCAAAGAACCAGCTTTTAGTTTCATTTATCTTTTGTATTTTTTGTTATTTAATTTCATTTAGTTATGTTCTGATCTTTGTTATTTCTCTACTTCTGGGTTTGGGTTTGGTTTGTTCTTGTTTCTCTGGTTCCTTGAAATGTGACCTTAGATTGCCTATTTGTGTTCTTTCAGACTTTTTGATGTAGGCATTTAAGGCTATGAACTTTTCTCTTTGCACTGACTTTGCTGTATTTCAGAGGTTTTTATTGGTTGTGTCACTATTATTGTTCAGTTCAAATACATTTTTAATTTCCATTTTGATTTCATTATTAATCCATTGATCATACAGGAACAGGTTATTTAATTTTCATGTATTTGCAGGTTTGTAAGGGTTCCTTTTGGAATTGATTTCCAATGTTATTCCACTGTGGTCTGAGAGTACTTGATATAATTTTGATTATCTTAAATTTATCAAGAATTGTTTTGTGGCCTATTATATGGTCTATATTGGAGAATATTCCATGTAATGATAAATAGAAGGTACATTCTGCTTGTTGGGTAGAATGTTCTGTAAATATCTGTTAAGTCCATTTTGATACAGGAGTTAAGAAGAATTAGGCAGATAGAGTATGAAAGTCCTCAATAAGGTTTTCCTTTTAATGAAAATCAGCCCCAAATCATTTTCCTTTCTAACAAAGAACAGCCTGTTAAATCAAGCTGCAGACATAGATGCTGGCAGTTGTGCCAATCAAGTTTAAAATGGCAGCCCCATCTTCCCTTCTATTTATCAGCCATGTATACAGTAAGGAGCAGACAAGATGGCCTTGGTCAACTGGATAATTCATTGGCATAATAAGATAGGGGTGGAGTGGACATCCTTTCCCACATGCTATGCAAATGTCATACCTATTTGAACCAATTTGTGAGCCGTATGTAAATCAGACACTGCCTTCTCAAACGTGACTATAAAATCCAGCACGTCCACTGCCCACAGGTCTTTTCCTCTGGCAAGTCCCCTCTCTCTCAATAGAAAGAGAACTGTTTTTCTTTCTCTTTGTTCTGCCTTTTAAACCTCTGCTACCTAAACTCCTCATGTGTGTCCATGTCCTGCATTTTCCTGGCATGAGATGACAAACCCCAGGTTTATACCCCAGACAATGTAGCTGCTTCAATTTGTTGTAGGTTACAGTTTAAGCCCATTGTTTTCTTGTCGACTTTGTCTTGATGACCTGTCTACTGCTGTCTGTGGAGTATGGAAGTCCCCCCATTATTACTGTCTTGCCACCTATCTCATTTCTTAGGTCTAGTAGTAATTGCTTTATAAATTTGGGAGCTCCAGTGATAGATGCATATACATTTAGGATTGTGATATTTTCCTTTTGTACTCATCCTTTTATCATTATATAATGTCCTACTTTGTATTTAACTGTTTTTGCTTTAAGGTCTGTTTTGTCCAATGTAAGAATAGCTACTCCTGCTTGATTTGGTGTCCATTTGCACAGAATATCTTTTTCCACCCCTTTACCCTAAGTTCATGTGAGTCGTAATTTGTTAGGTGAGTCTCTCGAAGACAGCAGATACTTGGTTAGTGAGTTCTTATCCATTCTGTCATTCTATATGTTTTAAGTGGAGCATTTAGGTTATTTACATTTAGCATTAGTATTAAGGTGTGAGGTACTATTCTATTAATCATGCTAGGTGTTGCCTGAATACCTTGGATTTTTTTTAGTTGTGTTATTATTTTATAGATCCTGTGAGATTTATGCTGTAAACAGGTTCTATTTTGGTGTATTTTGAGGTTGTTTCAAGACTTAGAGCTCTGTTTAACAGTTTTCATAGTGCTGACTTTGTAGTGGCTCATTCTCACAACATTTGTTTGTCTGAGAAAGACTGTATCTTTCCTTCATTTATGAAACTTGGTTCACTGAATACAAAATTCTTGACTGATAATTGTTTTGCTTAAGGAGGCTAAAAATAGGACTCCAATTCATTCTAGCTTGTTAGGTTTCTGTTGAGAAATCTGCTGTTAATCTAATAGGTTTTCCTTTATAGATTACCTGATGCTTTTGCCTCACAGTTCTTTTCTTTCCTTTGTTTTGAATTTAGATAACCTGATGACTATGTGCCCAGGTAATAACCTTTTTGCAATGAATTTCCTGGGTGTTCTTTGAGCTTCTTGTATTTGGATGTCCAGATCTCTAGCAAGGCTAACGAAGTTTTCCTCAATTATTACCTCAAACATGTTTTCCAAACTTTTAGATTTCTCTTATTCCTCGAGAACAATTATTCTTAGGTTTGGTCATTTAACATAATCCCAAACTTCTTGGAGGCTTTGTTTATATTGCTTGAATTTTTTTTCTTTGTCATTGTTTGATTGAGTTAATTCAAGAGTCTTTTCTTTGGGCTCTGATTTTTTTGTTTGTTTGTTTGCTTGTTTGTTTGTTTGTTTTACTTATGCAGTTCTATTGTTTAGACTCTCCAGTGTATTTTGCATTTCTCTAAGTGTGCTCTTTATTTCCAGAAGTTGTGATTGTTTTTTATTTATGCTATGTATTTCTTGGGAGATTTTACTGTCCATATCCTGTAACTTTTTTACATCTCTTTAAATGGTATTCACCTTTCTCTGTTGCCTCCCTGAGTAGCTTAATAATGGAACTTTTGAATTCTTTTTCTGGCAATTCAGAAATTACTTCTTGATTTGGATCCATGGCTGGTGAGTTAGTGTGATGTTTTGCAGTGTTACAAAACTTGTTTTGTCATATTACCAGAAATGTTTTTCTGGTTCCTTCTCATTTGTGTGGACTATGTCAGAGGAAGGTTCTCAGGCTCAGGGGCTGCTGTTCAGATTCTTTTGTCTCATGTGATTTTCCCTTGATGTGGTGCACTCCCCTTTCCCCTAGGGATGGGGCTTCCTGGGAGCTGGACTGCAGTGATTGTTATTTCTCTTTTGTGCATAACCACCCAGTGGAGTTACTGGGCTCCAGGCTGGTACTGAAGAGTGTCTGCAAGAGTCCTGTGATGTAATCCATCTTCAGATCTCTCAGCCATGGATACCAGCTTCTGCTCTGCTGGTGGTAGCAGGGAGGTGAGGTGAACTCTGTGTTGGACCTCAATTGTAGTTTTGTTTACTGCACAGGTATTCTCGAATGGTGGTTGTGCTGTTGGCATTAAGTTACAATGTGGACAAACTCAGGTTAGCCAGGATGTTACAAGTGGTGGAGTTAGCTGTTGTTTTCTCCTTTCTTGTGGCTGGGTTGTTCTTTTATGAGTTGTGTTACTAGAGGAGGTGTATCTTTCAAGAGAGCATCAGCTGTGTTAGTACAGGGAGGATACAAGCTTGCCCTAATAAATTTCCTAAATAAATTTCCCAGGCAGTGGGCTGGGTCATAGAGCTCCCAAGAGATTGTGTCCTTTGTCTTGGACTACTAGGATGGGTAGAGAAAGACCATCAGTTGGGGGAGGAGTTAGGCGTGTCTGAGCTCAGACTCCTTGGGTAGGCCTTGCTGCAGCCACTGTGGGGAATGGAGGTGTGGTTCTCAGGCCGATAAAGTTATGTTCCCTGGGGGATTATGGCTACCTCTGCTGTGTCACACAGATTACCAGGGAAATGAGGGAAAGCCAGCAGAGACAGGCCTCACCAAGCTCCCAGGCAGCCAGAAAAGCCAGTCTCAGTTCTGTTTCTCTGTGCTCCCCCAGCAGCAACAAGTTTATATCCAGGCAGCCAGTGAGCAGAGCTGGGAACTTGCTCCAGGCTCCAGGCCTCCCTGCTGAGAAAACAATCAGGGCTTTCAGACTTTGCCCCTCCTCACCACAGTTTCTGTCCTTCTATCTGCACTTCCTGTTCACCTCCCACCCCAAGATTCTACCCTGGAAAATGCGTGCTTAGTTGAAATTATTACGAAGTTCAGCTAGAAGTTTCCTTCAGTCAGAAATTGTTTCCCTGGGCTTCCTTGGAACTGGGAGTGCCTCAAGGCTCTTCTTGCTGCTGCTTCTTCTTTTATATTTTGCTTGGCTCTCTAAATTTGTTTCAGCTCTAGGTAAGGTTAAATCCTTCTCCCATGATCTGGATTTTCAGGCTCCCCTGCGAAGATGTGTGTTTGGGGCAGACTTTCCCCCTCTCACACTTTGGACACTCAACGATTTTGTGGCTGTCTCTAGGAGTTTGCAGTGGTAAGCCATGTTTTTCAACGGGTCTGTGAATTCTTTCAGTATTCCTGGTATGTTCCTGTGGTAGTTCTTGGAGCAACAATTCACAATATGAATCTCCACATGCTGTGTCCATTGAAGTGGGAGCTGCAAGTTAGTCCTGCCTCCTATCTGCCATTTTATCAGGCCACTTAGATAGTCTTTCATTCAAGCTGGAGCAGAGTGGCATGAAGAACTTCTAAAAAAGATTCATAGGAGTCTTGGGTTTATAACAAGATCTGTCTGAGAAGCTGATATATCTGTTAACTTCTGTGCTCTACTCATGAGCACAGGAGGCTTGAGCTTACCACTAGACTACTGAAAACGACGCATAGAAGTCAGTCTTTTTCTAGATCTTACATGCTCTCTTCAGTATGGTCCAGGTAGTATTATCTAAGAAAAGAAAAACATTGGCATTTTAGCAGTTCTCTGAGCAAATTCACCTCAAATTGCAGCCTTGACTACAACTGTCTTTGCAACTCTTGCTCCTTCTTGCACAATGCCCTTTTCTAAATTTCTACAGCTCCTTCCACCAGAAAATCTATGTCTTACAGTGCCTTTGCCTCTACCTATTTCAAGAAAATAAAATTAGAAACAACATACATTTAATTTAGATTTAATCTCTAGCTTCCCTCTAGCCACTCCTCTCACAGTGCCCTTTCCTGGACACCAACTAGAACTGCAGTAATGGAGGTCACCGCTCCCCCCGGAAACTTGGTTGTCTTAGGCAGACTCCAAGCTGCTGTGCTGGTCAGTGGGGATTACAAGCTAGTGATTCTTATCTTGTGGGGTTCGGTGGAAGTGAGACCTGCTGAGCAAGACCTCTTGGCTCTCTGGCTTCAGCCCCTCTCACACAGGAATGGATGGTTCTCCTGCCTCACTGGAGTTCTGGGAGCTTCTGGAGTATGCAAAAACTCCTGCAGCTCTGTGTCTGCCTGAAGGGTTGCCAAGCCTGGCAGTTGTCGTGGGTCTGCACAGCTTTGTGCTTGAGACCTGAGACCCTGGTGTTGTGGGAACACGAGGGAATCTCCTGATCCACAAATTGCAAAAATCCGTGGAAAAACCATAGTTCTCTGGACAGGTAGCACAATCCCTCACTTCCACCCTTGGCTGGGGAAGGGAAGTCCCTTTGCTCTGTGCAGCTCCTGGATGAACTACTGCCCCACCCTGCTTTTCCTTGCCCTCTACGTTTCACCAACTGCCTAGTCAGTCCCAATGGGAGAATCTGAGTACCTCAGTAGAAAATGCAGAATTCACTGGCTGTTTTTATGTATCTCAGTGAGAGCTGCAGACTAGAGCTATTTTTACTTGGCCATCTTGGCCCCTCACTCATCTCTGATTTTAATTTTTTTTTTAGCAGTGCTTTGTAATTCTCCTTGTAAAGATTTTTCACCTCCATGATTGACTGTATTCCTAGGTATTTTATTGTTTTTCTGGCAATTGTGAATGAGTTTGCACTCCTGATTTTACTCTCGGCTTGACTGTTGGTGGTATATAGGAATGCTAGTGATTTTTGTACATTAATTTTATATCCTAAAACTTTGAAAGATGTCAAAAGCCTTTTCCCCACAATCAAGTAGGCTTCATCCCTGGGTTGCAAGGTTGGCTCAACACATGCAAATCAGTAAATGTGATTCATCATATAAACAGAACTAAAGAAAAAAACCATGTGATCATCTCAATAAATGCACAAAAATCTTTTGATAAAATTCAACATTCTCTTCTGTTAAAAATTGTCAACAAACTAGGTGTTGAGGAGACACACCTAAAAAATACTAAAGTATTGAGGAGACATACCTCAAAACAGAAGTTAGATGCTGAGGAGGCATACCTCAAAATTGAAGTTGTTTATCAACTTCATGAGTTTTTGGGTTGATACTACAGAGTTTTCCAGATATAGAATCATGTCATGTGCATACATAGATAGTTTGGCTTCTTCTCTCCCTATTTGGATGCTCTTCATTTCTTTCTCTGGTCTGACTGCCCTGGCCAGAACTTCCAATACTATGTTTAATAGAAGCCATGAGAGAGCATTCTTGTCTTGTGCAAGTTCAGTATGATGTTGGTGGTAGGTTTGTTATAGATGGCTCTCATTATTTTGAGATCTGTCTCCTCAACACCTAGTTTGTTGACATTTTTTAACATGAGGGAATGTTGAATTTTATCAAAAGACTTTTGTGTGTATATTGAGATCACATGGTTTTTGTCTTTATTTCTGTTTATGTGATGAATTACATTTATTGATTTGCATATGTTGAACCAACCTTGCAACCCAAGGATGAAGCCTACTTAATTGTAGTGGATAAACTTTTTGACATGCTGCTGTATTTGATTTGCTAGTATTTTGTTGAAGACATTTGCATTGACGTTCATCAAGGATATTGACCTGAAGTTTTTGTTATTGTGTTGTTATGTCTTTCAGGTTTTGGAATCAGGATAATGCTGACCTCATAGAATGAGTTGGGAAGGGATCCCTCCTCCTTAATTTTTTTGGAATAGTATCAGTAGAAATGGTACCAGCTCTTCTGTGTAAACCTGGTATGATTCAGCTATTAATCTTTAGGTTTCAGGGTTTCTGTTTAGTACTGATTCAATTTCAGTGCTTGTTATTGGTCCATTTAGGGATTCAGTTTCTTCCGGCTTCAGTCTTGGGAGGGTGCACGTGTCCAGAAATTTATCCATTTTTTTATAGATTTTCTAGTTTGTGTGCATAGAGGTGTTTATAATAGTATCTGATAGTTATTTATATTTCTGTGGGGTCAGTGATAACATCACCTTTGTCATTTCTGATTGTGTGTTTTTGGGTCTTCTCTTGTTTTTGCTCTAGCTAGTGGTCTATCTATTTTCTTAATTTTTTAACAAAATCAGCTCCTGGCTTTGTTGATCTTTTGAATGTTTTTCCACGTCTCAGTCTCTTTCAGTTCAGCTCTGATTTTTGTTATTTCTTGTCTTTTGCCAGCTTTGAGGTTGGTTTACTCTTGCTTCTCATTTGGCTGTGATGTTAGGTTGTTAATTTGAGATCTTTCTAATTTTTTTGATGTGGGTGTTTAGTGCTATGAAGTTCCTTCTTAACACTGCCTTAGCTGTGTCCCAGAAATTCTGGTATGTTGTATCTCTGTTCTCATTAGTTTCAAATAACTTTTTGATTCCTGCCTCAATTTCACTATTTACCCAAAAGTCATTCAGAAGGAGCTTATTTAATTTTCATGTTATTATATAATTTTGAGCTATTTTCTAACTCTTGAATTCTATTTTTATTGCACTGTAGTCCAAGAGAATGGTTGGTATGATTTCAGTTGTTTTGCATTTGCTGAGGATATTTTTACATCCGATTTTGTAGTCAATTTAGAGTATGGGACATGTGGCAATGAGAGGAATGTATATTTTATTGTTTCGGGTGAAGAGTTCAGTAGATGTCTATCAGTACCAATTAGACCAATGTTGAGTTCAGGTCCTGAACATCTTTGTTAATTTTCTGCCTTGATGATCTGTCCAATAGTGTCAGTGGGTTGTTGACACACACTGTTATTGTGTGGGAGTCTAAGTCTCTTTGAAGTTGATTTATGAATCTGAGTTATCCTGCGTTGAGTGTGTTTGTGTGTGTGTGTGTGTGTGTGTATATATTTATGATAATTAGGTCTCCTTGAATTAAAGCCTTTGCCATTATGTAATGTTCTTCTTTGTCTTTTTAAAACTTTGTTGCTTTAAAGTCTGTTTTGTCTGAAATTAGAATTGTAATTTCTGTTTTTTTCCTCTTCTTCATTCCTTGGCAGATTTTCCTCCATCCCTGCATCTTGAGCCTGTGTGTGTCACTGCATGTGAGATGGGTCTCTTGAAGGCAGCATAACAATGGGTCTTGGTTCTTTATCTAGCTTGTCATTCTGTGCCTTTTGATTGGGGCATTTATTCTGTTTATATTCAAGGTTAGTATTGATATGTGTAATTCAATCATTCTATCATCATGATTTTAGCTGGTTATTATGAAGATTTGTTTGTTTGGTTGCTTTATGGTATTACTGGTGTGTGTACCTAAGTTTGTTTTGTGTAGTGGCTGGTAACAGTCTTTTCTTTTCATATTTAGTGTTTCTTTCAGGAGGTCTTGTAAAACATTTCTAGTGGCAACGAATTTCTTCAGCATTTGCTTGTCTGAAAATGATCATATGTCTCCTTCACTTATGACATTCCTGCACCAAATTGCCCCAGCTCAAGTTCTGCTGCTATTGCTTCTCTAAACAGTTCTCACTACCAACTCAAGGGTCCATGAGGGTCATGAAGTTTCCTGCTGGCAAGATTCCAGATACCCATGGCAAGAGCAGGTTTCCCTTTGCCTCTTCAACTCAGCTGTCAACAGGAGTCATTGGGCACCAGGAATGAGTTCTGTATAGCAGTCCCATGCAGTGTTCTCAGCTTCTTCCCCCTTCAGCTCAGCATCTGTGTCTTCCCTCTTTCTGTTCTCAATGCTTCCTCTCTGAAGATCTGCCAGGAGTGCATCAGTCTTTCTAATGTCCCAGTTCCTCAGTAGGAGATTTTCCTCCTGGCTGCATCTAGTTGGCCATTGATATGGTTTGGCTGTGTCTTCACCCAAATCTCATCTTGAATTGTAATTCCCACAGTTCCCACATGTCACGGGAGGAACCCAGTGGGAGGTAACTGAATCATGGGGGCAGGTCTTTCACGTGCTGTTCTCGTGATAGTGAATAAGTCTCATGAGATCTGATGGTTTTAAAAATTGGAATTTCCCTGCACAAGCTCTCTCTCTTTGCTTGCCATCATCTGCGTAAGATGTGATGTGCTTCTCCTTGCCTTCCGCCATGATTGTGAGGCCTCTTCAGCCATGTGGAACTGTAAGTTCATTAAACCTTTTTCTTCCTAGTCTTGGATATATCTTCATCAGCAGTGTGAAAACGGACTAATACAGCCATCTCGAAGCCACACTTATTTTATTTTATTTTATTTGAGATGGAGTCTTGCTCTGTCACCCAGGATGGAGTGCAGTGGCATGATCTCGGTTCACTACAACCTCTGCCTCCTGGGTTCAAGCAGTTCTTTTGCCTCAGTCTGCCGAGTAGCTGGGATTACAGGCACATGCCATCACACCTGGCTAATTTTTGTATTTTTAGTAGAGATGGGATTTCACCATGTTGGCCAGGCTGGTCTTGAACTCCTGACCTCAGGTGATCTGCCCACCTTGGCCTCCAAAAGTGCTGGGATTGCAGGCATGAGCCACCATGCCTGGCCTGAGCCACCCTTTTTGATAAACCAAATTTACCAAAAAAATTACCACAATAAATTAAATACAAGAATATTTCTATAACAATTTAAGAAATCAAAACTATTATTAAAAATATTCTTGCAAGAAAACTGTAGTCCTAGATACCTTATCTGTGGAATTCTTTCAAACATGTAAGGAAAATGTATGTTTACCTATAAACAAACATATAATAAAAGGTGGTGTAGTTTAGGAAACGAGAGGAGAGAAAATAAAATTCTTAACAAAATTGATTATTTAAATAAAAACAGAAAATAAGAATCAGAGGAAAAGCAGAAGGGGAAAATGGGAAAGGAGAGTGTAGCCTCCAACCCAAACATGTAAATGGATTAAGAACTTCAATTAAAAGGTGAAGATTATTACACTGGAAATAAAAGATCTTAATCACATATATTTACTTAAAATGCACTCTAAATTTAAATACACTAATAATTTAGAGGAAGCATGTCTTAGTCCATTTGTGATGACATAACAAAATACCTGAGACAGAGTACTTTATAAATAATTGACATTTATTTCTCACAGTCTTGAAGGGTGGAAATTCCAATATCAAGGTTTCGAATCGGGACTGCTGTCTCTGCTTCAAGAAGGGTGCCTTAAATGTTTTGTCCTCACATCATGAAAGAGACAGAATGTGCAAAAAAGGGGACCTAGTCACTTTGCTCCAGTCCTTTTACATTGTTGCTAATCCCATTCATCACCTCTTACAGGCCCCACTTAATACGATCACAATGGTGATTAAAGTTCAACATATGAATTTTAGAGGACTTATTCAGTTCATAACAAAACATATGGCAAAATATATTCCATGAAAAGAGCAAGCACAAAAAGGTAATATACTTGTTAAGTAGACATCAAAACAAAAAGTATTATACTAGTTTAAAGGAATCATTTCTTAATGATACTATATTAGAAAAGTAATGAGAATGACAAAAAATCTAAATATCTATGCCTTTAAAGGAATGCATAGTTTCAAAATAAATGGAATGTAAACTTACTGAACTAAATAAATAGGCCACTAAAAAATCATATACTGAGATTTTAATAACCATCTATTAGCAACAGAAAAAGTAGGCAAAATTAGTAAATACATAGGAGGTCTGAACAATACCATCAATCAACAAGACCCAGTTGACATCATTAAGTCTCATTCTCACAATTGCAAAATATGCATTCTTTTCACGTGTATGTAGAATAGACCATATGCTAAGCATACAACAAATCTCAATAAACTTTAAAAGCTTGTACTTTAAGAGTTTTCTCTAACTATATTAGCCTTAAATTAGAAATCAATAACAATAAAGTATCCAGAAATGTGCCAAATATTAATTATGTAACACACTTCTAAATATCCCATGGGTCGATAAGAAATCACAAAAAATAAATAGTGTTTTAAACAAAAAGGTTGGTGGCATACAGTCAAAGCAGTGCCTAGAGAGAAGCTTATAGCTTTAATTGCCTCTGTAAGAACATAAAAAATGCTTAAAATCAGTTTTCTAAGTTTTTACCTAGGAAACCTAGAAAAGCAGAGCAAATTAAACCCAAAGTAAGCAGAAAGCAAGGAATAGTAATTATACAATCAAAGAAATAGCGAACAAACAAGAAACAAACCTTGACAAACTGCCCTGGGGTCTTTTAAAAGATTAAAAATCAATAATCTCCTGGCAAGATTAATTAATAAATAAGCAGAAAAAACACAAATTACAAATATCAGAAATAATATTACTAGAAATGTCACAGATATTAATAAATGATAGTAAGGACATATTATAGAAAAATGAAATGTGCTCTAGAAGTTTGATAACTTCAATGAAATGGACATATTCCTTGAAAAACACAACTTATCAAAACTCAGGAAGAAAGAAAATATCAGAATAGCTCATATCTAGTAAATAAATTGAATTCGCATTAAAAAAATTTTACACACACACACATAGACTCCAGGCTTCATGATTTCTTTTTTGAACTGTATAAAGTATTTAAGAGAGAAATAATATTGGCCTTGCAGAAATAAATGTCCTGCCTTTTGCCAGAGCTGGAGAGAACTGATTGCATAGAACTGGTGAAAGGATATGGGTTCCTAATTGCTTATTCAGATTTCAGTTTTTCCTACTTTCATCACCTGTGATCACCTCTGCTGCTTTTGAGATATTTAACAACCAGGATTCGAGCTCTTAGTGAGAACTTACGTTTCATGTCCCCCAACCTCAAAGGCACTTAAGTTTCTGTGTTGTACTCTGTTCTAGTACATACGACAATTTAGTTAAGTATAGAAGTCTTACAAAAGTTAAGACAGCTTTATTTAAGAAAATTATTCATCTCACATTCTTTCTGTTCTGTCAGTCATCATAATACCTTCATCTCTTTTTTTATAATTTGCATTTTTCTTGACAGTGTTAAATGTGATGTTTATTTTCTCCAGAGTCTATGACTGCAAATATTTTCATTTTTGCATCTGTATTAATTCTATTTTAGTCTGTTATTTTTGTAAAGTTTTAGATTTCTTTAATGTATTATGTATCTTAAATATTGTTTTTCTTATATATTTACAAATTGCTATAATAATATATCAGGATCTTGGAGTGACTAATCTCCTATTTTATGAGATCTGCTGATACATATTTATGTAAGATTGTTTCTTAGTGTACTGTGTAACTATTATTTTATCTGAGTTCTTCATCACTGAAGCTCTTCTTGTGAGAATCCAATAACATTGTGAGCAGGTTGTAGGTGTGTCTCTGGAAAGGGTCTCACTTTTGCATCTACCAAGCATTACAAGCTTGTCATAGGTGCAAAACTTTTTTGTAACATTAATCACTTGGCACATGGATGTTTACCAGCCCTTTGTGTAGTGAATAGCAGTGAAAATTATAGTTAGGAACCTGTATTTTTGTATTTCTCTACTTTGTAAAAGTTATATTCTGCTAAATGTTTACTGATACATAAATTGCAACACATATACATTAGGTGGGTGCAAAAATAATTGCTGGTTTTGCCATTAATTTAATGGCACCAACCTAATGATATCATCGCTATTATTGACATCAGTAGTTATTCAGATACTTGTAAGTTGTCATTACTCTTAGTAGAAGATCCAGTTGAAGACATAGTCTCTGTCCTAAATAGAACACATATACACTTAACCATATTCACCCACATTCACACACACACGCACACGTAAGGTATAGGTGCCATAATTTCTTAATACCTAAGAAATTATTTCAAATTGAGGATATACCTGAATCACTGAAAAAATAATCAAAATTTAATTATTTGTGGCAATTTTTCTTTTACAAAGTTAGTCTAAAAACTGAATTAAATGACCTATACCCTGCTGAAACTTAGCTATTAGAGACAATGTGTAAACTCTGAGGTTAATATGTCTGCTGTCTACCATTAGACTGTGTTGTTTAATTACTTTTTGAATGAAGATGGATTTGTCTTTCACCTACCTAGAGCCCCTATTACCCATTTCATGCATTTTTACATGTTGTTTGTGGAGACAGAATTAAAACTATGTCTTAGTTACCTGGCACATATAAAAATAGAAAGTAAATTTATCTTCAAAATAACTTTTTGTTTACTTTTTGAAGCCATGAAGTCTGAGCACAGACACAAGTGACACACATTGTTAACAAGTAATGACAAAGTTACTAATTTTCAAAATTGTTCAGAATAAAACATATGCGGATTAAAGAGTCTTTATTTTCTTACAATCTAATGTGCTTCTTAATCCCTAACACTACCCAATTCTACCCCCTTTCTCAGGATATCACCCAAACTCTTGACTGCAAATGCAAAGCAATGACTGAATGCCTCCTCAGTTCCAGCCTCGCTGGGGCAGGAGCCCAGGGTCTTGCTCAAGACTCTTCTTTCTAAGACCTCTTAATGCCCTTCATTGAGAAATTAGGATTATGAGGCCATGTGTATATGTATAGAATTATACTAACTTTTACTGAGTTTAAAACTTTTTATAAGCTCAGGAAATATTGTTAGGATTGGAGGAAGGTGAACTAGAAATCATTAAGACTAGCCATGAATCAGGAATAACAAGTAGTAAGGCAAGAGGACAGAAAGTGAAAAATGTAATTTGGTAATAAATGATGATGAAGCTTGAGAATCCTGAAACTCATTGTTGGAGGAAAAGAAAATACAATGAAGCTGACTCCTCAACTAGTCAAGCTTCCTAATGGAAACAGCTTATTTGAGGCGTCACAAAATTGGTAACCATAAAATTAGTCCTGTCCATCAAAATTAATCAGTTTTATGGAGATATGTACTAATGACTCAATGTTTCTACTCACTGGAGGAGAGACTGGCAAGAATCTGAAATAATGTTCTAAATAATTCTCAAACTGCTGAATTATTTTTCCAATAAGTTCAGTAATTATTGCACATACTTCATATTTTACCTTCACTTAAACCGGTTCTACTCCAAGTATGACATGGGGGAAGATACTACAGAACATTAGTCATTAATGTGCTATGATTTATGGCACGTGGTGTTTAATATCCCTATCATTACTAATAACATTCTTTTATTTCATTTTTATATTCCCATGGAATATAAATGGAATCCTAATGGAATTGGTTCACACAGCTATTTCCAAATTCAGAAATATATTTTCTCAAATATTAACTCTCTTTAGTTCTATACATTTTATATCTTCAATGTAAAAAATAACTGAAAGAAAATATTTTTATAGAACTGTGTTTAGCTTAATATTTTTGAAATAACTCTGTTATATACATACCACATTCCCACTTACAAATATTATAAATCCAAATATTAATTTCTGTATGGGTAAAATAGTTCTAGAATGTTACCATATATAAAACTAAATAAGGTTTCTGGATTACAAATGTATACAGAAAAATGCATACAGGAAATTTTGAGAAAGTTGATTTTAACATACACTCTTATTGGCAATGAATTAAGGATTGTATATGTTCTCAGACACTAAGCAGCTTCTAGTAGAAGGATGGGGCTTTGGCACTGAGAGAGGGAGACCTCATTTGCAGTCCATCTACTATGGTGACTCCTGAGATACACAGTATTTCTTTCAGTTTCTGATTATCAGTTCACAGATTCCACTCCTGAACCCTTCCTCCTTCTCAATGTGAAGGCTTCCTTAGGTCTGAAATTCTTCCAACATTTGCTTGTGCTCTTTGCCTCAAGGCATCATCCAGTTCCCCTGTGCAACTATGTATTTGTCCCAAGAATAACAGTGATTGACAGAACACCAAAATTTCTGTGCAAGAAAAAATAGTAAAATTTCTTTTAGTGCAATTAAAGGATGCCAAAACCCACAACTCAGCTTAAGATAGCGGAGTACATAGTAGTATACTCCCATGGGTGTACATGCCTCCTGAAGACAGCTTCTGATGGAAGTGAGAGTGCCATTGATAGTACTGTCTAGATGTCTCTTCATCCCTAGCCTCGACTGGCTCTTTTGGTGCCTCTGGTTTTCTCACCAGGTGTGACGGTTAAGTGTCAACTTGATAGGATTGAGGGATGCAAAGTCTTGTTATTGGGCATGTCTTAAGGGTGCTAGAGGAGATTAACATCTGAGTCAGCGGACTGGGAGAGGCAGACTCACCCTTAACCTGGGTGGGCACCATCCCCTCTGCTGCCAGCACAGCTAGAAAAAGCAGGCAGAGGAGGTGGAATGAGCAGACTTGCTGAGTCTTCCAGCCTTCATCTTTCTCTTGTGCTGGATGCTTCCTGCCCTCAAATATCAGACTTCAAGTTCTTTGGTTTTTGGACCCTTAGACTTACAGTAGTAGTTTCCCAGGGGCTCTAGGGCCTTCGGCTACAGACTGAAAGCTGCACTATCAACTTCTTTGCTTTTAAGGTTTGGGGACTGGAACAGATCCACTACTGGCCTCCTTGCTCCTCAACTTGTAGACAGCCTGCCTATCGTGGGACTTCACCTTGTGATCCTGTGAGTCAATTCTCCTTAATCAACTCCCTGTCATTCATATATATATATATATATATATACACACACACACACACATACATATACATATATATATATACGTATACATACATATATATATATATATATATATATATATATATATATATAAAATATGTATATATCCTATTAGTTCTGTCCCTCTAGAGAACCCCGACTAGTACAGATTTTGGTACCAGGAGTAGTTCTAGAGGAATAGAATTTTCATTAGTTATATTTGGGGTTTCTAGATTTGGCTACTTAATCTGATTAGACCCCAATATGCTAAGGACTCTACTTCTAATAGTATGGGAAACACTGATAGTCCTTGGCATGAACTGTTTAGAAAGTTATGCAAAATAGATGAATTTGATACTCCTGACTCACCACTCTTGAGAGGCAAAAAGTATAGTGACTCTATACATAATACCTTTGACCATATGTTGAGGACCAAAGAATGTAATGAAGTTGGTTGGTTGCTCCTATGTTTACTGGACAAAGTGATGAAAGAAAATCATGAGCCTAAGGATTCTAACTCCTGGTTCCAGAAGTGCACATGGAACCTCAAATTTTCTAAAATTGTCCTGAGTGAGAGTCTTATCTCTTTAGACAAAGGGCTGAAATTGTGGCAAGTCAGACACAAGCTCTTATCATGCAAGTGGCTGACCTGCAATGAAAGGTGCATGCTCAGACTCACCAGGTGTCTACTGTTAAAGTGAGGGCATTGACTGAAAAAGAATGCGACCCTGAAACTTGGAATGGGGATGTGTGGGAGGACCCTGATGAAGCTAGGGACACTGAGCTTGTATACTCTGATGAGCCTTTTTTTGCCAGAAGAAACAGCCTCCCCACCACCAATGGCTGCAACATCCTCTTCCCCACCCACATTGCCATCAGCCTTTCCACTTTTGTCTGAGTATATTAACCATGCACTGTCTGAGGCAACAGTGATGGCCTCCCCTGAGGCAGTTGCCAGGCAGGAAAATACTGATTACCCTCAGGACCCACCCCCAAAACCCCTGTTTGCTTCTAGACCTATAAGTAGACTCAAGTCCTGGCAGACCCCTAGAAGTGAGGCTTAGAGTGTGACCCACAAGCAGGTGTGCTACATTCCAAAATAACTACTTGAGTTTTCTAATTTATATAAGCTGAAATCTGGAGAACAGGCTTGGGAATGGATATTAAGGGTGTGGGATAATGGTGCAAGGAATGTAAAGTTGGGTCAGGCTAAATTTATTGATATGGGCCCACTAAGCAGGGATTCTGCATTTAATGTTGCAGCTCAGGGAGTTAAAAAGGTTCTAATAGTTTCTTTGCTTTGTTAGCTGAAACGTGGATCAAAAGATTTCCCAACTGTGAGTGAACTGGAAATGCCTGATTTCCCATGGTTTAATGTAGAGGAAAGGATCCAAAGGCTTAGGGAGACTGGAATGCTAGAGTAGATTAGTCACTTTAGATCTACTTATCCCAACTGGGAGTGTCAAGAAGACATAACCTTCACCAAAACCTTGTGAAACAGATGTGTGAGAGGAACACCTGCATCCTTGAAGAGCTTTGTGATTGCTCTTTTCTGTATGCCAGATGTTTCCATGGGAACCACAGTCACTCAATTGGAAAACTTAAATGCAACGGGAATAATTGGATCCTGAGGTGGCCAAGGGGAGGCACTGAACCATCCAAAGCAGGATGGGCATAGTTACCATAATGGACAGCAGAGGCGAACCAGCAATCAGAATAGTCTGACTCATGTAGAGCTCTGGCATTGGCTAATTAATCATGGTGTTTCTACAAGTGAAATTGATAGAAAGCCTACTGCATTCTTACTTAATTTGTATAAGCAGAAAACTTCCAGGCTGAGTGGATAAAAGGCTAATTTTAATTATAAAAATAGAGAATTACATCCCCTCAATCAATTTCCAGACTTAAGTCAGTTTATAGACCCAGAAGCCCTTGAATGAAGGGGAGGCTGGGTCCCCTTGAGGAAGGACCTCACTACTGACAATGTACACTATTAATCTTTCTTCCATCCTTCCCCAAGGAGACCTCCAGCCTTTTATCGGGGAAACTGTGAATTGGGGAAAGGGAAATCATCAGACCTTTCAAGGATTACTGGACACTGGCTCTGAGCTGACATTAATTCCTGGGGACCCAAAAGGTAACTGCAGTCCTCCAGTTAAAGTAGGGGTTTATGGAGGTCAGGTAATTAATGGAGTTTTAGCTCAGGCCCAACTTGCAGTGGGTCCAGTGGGTCCCTGGACTCATCCTGTGGTCATTTCCCCAGGGCCAGATGCATAATTAGCATCACCACATTGGCTCCCTGACTGGTAAGGTGAGGGCTGTTACGGTGGGAAATGCCAAATGGAAGCCATTAGAGCTGCCTCTACCTAGAAAAACAGTAAATCAAGAACAGTATCACATCCTGGATGGATTGTGGAGATTGGTGCCACCATCAAGGACTTGAAAGATGCAATGGAGGTGATTCTCAACACATCCCCTTTCAATTGTCCTATTTGGCCTGTGCAGAAGAGAGATGGATCTTGGAGAATGACAGTGGATTATCTTTCCTAAGCTTAACCAAGTGGTGACTCCAATTGCAGGTGCTGTACAAGATGTGGTTTCATCACTTGAACAAATTAACACATCTCCTGGTAGCTGGTATGCAGCCATTGATTTGGCAAATGCCTTTTTCTTCATTCCTGTCCATAAAGCCCACCAGAAGCAATTTGCATTCAGCTGGCATGGCCAGCAATATACCTTCACTGTCCCACCTCAGGGGTATATCAACTCTCTGGCTTTATGTCATAATCCTGTTTGCAGAGATCTTGATCACTTTTCCGTTCCACAGATGTCACACTGGTTTATTACACTGATGACATTATGCTGATTGGACCCAGTGAGCAAGAAGTAGCAAACACACTGGACTTACTGGTAAGATGTTTGTGTACCATGGTATGGAAAATAAATCTGACTAAAATTCAGGGAACTTTTACTTCAGTGAAATTTCTAGGGGTTCAGTGGTGTCAGGACTGTCGAGATATTCCTTCTAAGGTGAAGGATAAGTCGCTGCATTTGGACTCTCCTACAACCAAGAAAGAGGCACAATGCCTAGTGGGCCTCTTTGGATTCTGGAGGCAACACATTCCTCATTTGAGTGTGTTATTCCAGTCCATTTATTGAGTGACCTCAAAGGCGGCCAAATTTGAGTGGGGTCCAGAACAGGAGAAGGCTCTGCAAAAGGTCCAGGCTCCTGTGCAAGCTGCTCTGCCACTTGGGCCATAGGACCCAGCAGATCCAATGATACTTGAAGTGTCAGTGGCAGATAAGGATGTTGTTTGGAGCCTTTTTCAGGCCCAAATAGTTGAATCACAGCAGTGGCCTCTAGGATTTTGGAGCAAGGCCCTGCCATCTTCTTCAGATAAGTACTCTCCTTTTGAGAGACAGCTCTTGGCTTGTTAGTAAGCTTTGGTAGAAACAGAATGTTTGACGATGGGTCATCAAGTCACCATGCAACCTGACCTGCCTATCATGAACTGAGTGCTTTCTGACCTATCTAGCCATAAAGTGGGGTATGGACAGCGGCATTTCATCATCAAATGGAAGTTGTATATAAGTAACTGGGCTCAAGCAGGTCCAAAGGCACAAAGAAGTTACATGAGGAAGTGGCTCAAATGCCCATGGTCTCCACTCCTGCCACCATGCCTTCTCTCCCCCAGCCTGCACTGACAGCCTCATGGGGAGTTCCCCATGATCAGTTAACAGAGGAAGAGAAGACTAGGGCCTGGTTTACAGATTGTTCTGCATGATATGCAGGCATCAGCCAAAAGTGGACAGCTGCCCCACTACAACCCCTTTCCAGAATATCTCTGAAGGATGGTGGTGAAAAGAAATCTTCCCAGTGGGCAGAACTTTGAGCAGTGCGCCTTGTTGTGCACTTTGGATGGAAGAAGAAATGGCCAAGTGTATGATTATGTACTGATTCATGGGCTGTAGCCAATGGTTTGACTGGATGGTCAAGGACTTGGAAGAAGCATGATTGGAAAATCGGTGACTGTATTAGTCAGTTCCCACACTGTTAATAAAGACATACCTGAGATGGATAATTTATAAAGGAAAGAGGTTTAATTGACACACAGTTCAGCATGGTTGGGGAGGCCTCAGAAATTTGATGAAATCAATCAATTATGGTGAAAGGGGAAGTAAACACATCCTTCTTCACATGACAAAAGCAAGGAGAAGAATGAGAGGTGAGTAAAGAAGGAAGCCCCTTCTAAAACCATCAGATCTCGTGAGAATGTACTCACTATCACAAGAATAGGAATAGCATTGGGAAACTGCCCCATTATTCAATTACCTCCCACGGGGTCCCTCCCATAGCACATGGGGATTACGGGAGCTACAATTCAAGATGAGATTTGGTTGGGGATACAGCTAAACTATATCAGTGGCAAAGAAATTGGAGAAGAGGTATGTGGATGGACATCTCTGAGTGGTCAAAAATTGAATATATTTGATATGGTTTGGTTGTGTTCCCACCCAAATCTCGAATTGTAGCTCCCATAATTCCCACGTGTCATGGGAGAAACCCAGTGAGAGGTAATTGACTCATGGGGGCAGGCCTTTACTCTGAGATTCTTATGATAGTGAATAAGTTTCATGAGATCCAATGGTTTTATAAAAGGGGGTTCACCTGCAAATGTTATCTTGCCTGCCACCATGTAAGATGTGATGTTGCTCCTCATTTGTCTTCCACCATGATTTGAGGCCTCCCAAAACACATGGAACTGTGAGTCAATTAAACCTCTTCTCTTTATACATTACCCAGTCTCAGGTGTCTTTATTAGCAGCTGGAGAACAGATTAATACAGTAAATTGGTAAGAGGAGTGGGGTGCTGTTGTAAAGATTCCCCAAAATGTGAAAGTGACTTTACAACTGGGTAACAGGCAGAGATTGAAACAGTTTGGAGGGCTCAGAAGAAGACAGAAAGACATGGAAAAGTTTGGAATTTCCTAGAGACTCATTGAATGGCTTTGACCAAAATGCTGTCAGTGATATGAATAATGAAATCCAGGCTGAGGTACTCTCAGATGAAGGTGAAGAACTTGTTGGGAACTGGAATAAAGGTCACTTTTGCTATGCAAAGAGACTGCTGGCATTTTGATTCCACCCTAGAGGTTTGTGGAAATTTGTGAGAGAGATGATTTAGGTAATCTGGAAGAAGACATTTCTAAGTGGCAAAGCATTCATGAGGAAGCAGAGTATAAAAGTTTGGAAAATGTGCAGCCTGACAATGTGATAGATAACAAAAACTCATTTTCAAGCAGGCTGCAGAAATTTCCATAAGTAATGAGGAGCTGAATGTTAATCACCAAGGCAATGGGGAAAATGTCTCCAGGGCATATCAGAAACTTTCATAAAAGCCCCTCCTATCATAGGCCTGGAGGCCCTGGGGAGAAAAATGTTTTGTCGGCCAGGCCCAGGGACCACCCTGCTCTATGCAGCCTTGGGACATGGCGCCTCATATCCCAGCTGCTTCAGCTTCAGCCATGGCTAAAAGGGGCCAACATACACCTTAGGCTGTTACTACAGAGGGTGTAAGCCCCAGGTCTTGGTGACCTACATGTGATGTCAGCCCTGTGGGTGCACAGAAGTCAAGAATTGGGGTTTGGAAACCTCCACCTAGATTTTAAAGGATATATGGCAACACCTGGATGTCCAGGCAAAGGTGTGCTACAGGGAAGAACCCTCAGGGAGAACCTCTGCTAGGGCAGTGCAGAAGGGAAATGTGGACTGCAAGTCCCCACACAGAGTCCCCACTGGAACACTGCCTAGTGGAGTGGTGAGAAGAGGGCCACCATCCCCCAGACCCCAGAATGGTCAATCTATCTACAGCTTGCACAATGCACCCCCAAAAAGTCACAGATATTCAACACCAGCCCATGAAAGCAGCCAGGAGTTGGGCTGTACCTTGCAAAAGCCACAGGGATGGAGCTTCCCAAGACCATGGGAACCCACCTCTGGCATCAGCATGACCTGGAGGTGAGACATGGAGTCAAAGGAGATCATTTTGGAACTTTGAGATTAATTGCCCCGCTAGATTTTGTACTTGCATGGGTCTGTAGCCCTTTCGTTTTGGCCAATTTCCCCCATTTGGAATGGGTGTATTTACCCAATGTTTGTGCCCTTATTATATCTAGGAAGTAACCAACTTGCTTTTGATTTTACAGGCTCATAGGTGGAAAGGGCTTGACTTGTCTCAGATGAGGTGCTGGACTACAGACTTTTGAGTTAATGCTGAAATGAGTTGAGGCATTGGGGGACTTTGGGAAGGCATGATTGGTTTTGAAATGTGAGGACATGAGACTTGGGAGGGGCCAGATGAGGAATGATATGGTTTGGCTGTGTTCCCATCCAAATCTCATCTTGAATTTAACTCCCATAATTCTCATGTGTTGTGGGAGAGACCCAGTGGGAGGTAATTGAATCATGGGGGCTAGTCTTTCCCCTGCTGTTCTCATGATAGTGAATAAGTATCCTAAGGTGTGATGGTTTTATAAAGGGGAGTTCCCCTGCACACACTCTGTTGCCTGTGGCCATGTAAGATGTCACTTTGTTCCTCATTTGCCCTCAGCCATGATTATGAGGCCAGTCTTGGGTGTATGTTTATTAGCAGTGTGAGAACAGAATAATACAATATTTGTATGCTCACTAAAGGGTGACCTTAGTGGAGGAGGATTTTAGTAATCAAGTGGATAGGATGACTCATTCTGTGGACACCATTCAGCCTCTTTTTCCAGCCACTCCTGTCATTGCCCAGTGGGCCCATGAATGAAGTAGCCATAGTGGCAGGGATGGAGGTTTCCACATGGGCTCAGTGACATGGACTTTCATTCATCAAGTCTGACCTGGCTATGACCTCTGCTGAGTGCTCAATTTGCAAGCAACAGAGACTAACACTCAGCCCTCAATACAGCATTATTCCTTGGAATAATCAGTCAGTGATTTGGTGGTAGATTGATTATATTGGACCTCTTCCATCATAGAAAGGAGAGCAGTTTGTCCTCACCAGAATAGACACTTACTGTGTATATTGGTTTGCCTATTCTCTATGCAATGCTTTTGCCAAGACTACCATCCATGGGCTCATGGAATGCCTTATCCAGCAATCATGGTATTCCACACAACATTGCCTCTGATGAAGGCATTCACTTTATGACCAAAGATGTGTGGCAGTGGGCGCATGCTCAAGGATTCACTGGCCTTACCATGTTTCCATCACCCTGAAGCAGGTGGATTGATAGAACGGTGGAGTGACCTTTTGAAGTCACAATTAAAATGCCAACTAGGTGACAGTAGCTTGCAGAGCTGGGACAAAGTTTTCCAGAAGGCTGTGTATGCCCTGAATAAGCGTTCAATATATGGTACTGTTTCTCCCATAGCCAAGATTAATCAGTCCAGGAATCAAGAGGTAGAAGTAGAAGGGGCACCACTCACCATTACCCTTAGTGACCCCCTAGAAAAATTTTTGCTTCCTGTTCCTGTGACATTATGTTCTGCTGGCCTAAAGGTCTTAGTTTCAGAGGTAGGAATACTGCCACCAGGAGACACAACAATAATTTAATTAAACTGGAAATTAAGATTGCTACCTGGCCACTGTGTGCTCTTCATACCTCTAAGTCAACAGGCTAAGAAAGGAGTTACAGTGTTGGATGGGGTGATTGACATGGACTATCAAGATGAAATCAGGCTACTACTCCACATTGGAGGTAAGGAAGAGTGTGAGTGGAATATAGGAGATCTATTTGGGCATCTCTTAGTATTACCATGCCCTGTGATTAAGGTCAATGGGAAACTACAACAACCTAATCTTGGCAGAACTACAAATGTCCCAGACCCTTCAGGATCACCCCATCAGGTAAAAAAACCACATCCAGCTGAGGTGTTTGCTGAAGACAAAGGGAATGCAGAATGGGTAGTAGAAAAAGTTAGTCATCAATAACAGCTACAACCACGTGACCAGTTGCAGCAACAAGGACTGTAATTGTCGTGAGCATTTCTTCCTTACTTTATTAAATATGTTTGTGCATGTATACACAACACATGTATACACTAGTACTAAGAAAATATCTTCATTTTCTTTTCTTTTTTTTCCCTTTATTATGTGACAAGAGATTTATTGACTCTCTATCACCATTTAAGAGTTGTTATTGTTATGTAATAGTATTTAGGGTAAGGATTAGTACACTTCTGGTTGTACAAAGAGTAGATGTTTTTATGTTAGGCATAACTATAACTTTATTTTCCTTATTTGAAAATTATGTGTTATTTCAGGAGATATGTATGGGTTCAAATTGACAAGAGGTGGACTCAAGATGGCTAATATTGAGTGTCCACTTAATTGGATTGAAGGATGCAAAGTATTGTTTCTAAGTGTTTCTGTGAGGTTGTTGCAAAAGGAGATTAACATCTTAGTCACTGGGCTGGGAGAGGCAGAACTACCCTTAATCTGGGTGGGCACCATTCCTTCAACTGCCAAGGTGGCCAGAAAAAACAGAGAGAAGGAGGTGAAATTTGCAGAACTTGCTGAATCTTCTGGGCTTCATCTTTCTCCTGTGCTGGATGCTTCCTGCTTTCGAACATCAGACTCCAAGTTCTTTGGCTTTTGGACTCTTGGATTTACAGTAGTGGTTTCTAGGGGCTCTAGGGCCTTCGGCCACAGACTGAAGGCTGCACTGTCTGCTTCTCTACTTTTGAGGTTTAGGGACTCCGACTGGCTTCCTTGCTCCTCAACTTTCAGACGGCCTATTGTGGGACTTTACTTGTGATCATGTGAGTCAATTCTCCTTAATAAACTCCTTTTCATACATACATAAATCCTATTAGTTCTGTCCCTCTAGAGAACCCTAATACACCAGGTATTGGGAATAACTAGTTTTCTAATGGGAGTATACTGCCAGATGAGACAGACAAATTCCCAGGGACAGCAGGGCTAGTACTCGTGCCCACTTAAAACATATTTTGGCAGCGCCCCTGCAAATGGTAACTCTTCTTAATTACCTTCAACAAAGAGAGCTTATTTCGTCTATGGACCATTCTCTTTTGAAAAATATTTTTTTATTTCTTCATAATTTTTCTGTGTGCATAGGTGTATATATTTATGGGGTACATGGGATACTTTGATACAGGCTAATGATGGCTAATAATCACATCAGGCATTTATCATTTCTTTGTATTACAAACATTCTAATTATACACTTTTAGTTACTTTCAAATGAACATTAAATTATCGTTGACTGTAATTACCATGTTGTGCTCTCAAATACTGGATCTTATTCATTCTATATACATCTAAAATAAGATCTAGTATTTGATAGCATGACAGGGTGATTACAGATAATACCTGTAATCCTGTATCTACCTGAAACCTATTTCCATATAACTTTACTACATAGAACCTGGAACCGGGAATACAGAGGATATACGATTTTACAACACTCCACTTATGATTCTCATAGGTACACAGGTTTCAGAACCATTGATTATAGAACAGAGGCTCTTAACTCTGGCTGCCCACTGAAATTACTTGAGGAATTTTTTTTTTTTTTTTACCTATGGCAACTGGTCACATGCCAAAAAAATTCTGATTTAATTGACTTGTGATATGATCAGGACATCTGCATTTTTTAAAACTCCCCAGACAATTTCAATGTTTAGCCAATGTGGTAAAAACATTGTTCTAAAAGAACAGATAAACATAGATGAACACTTTGTCTTTCAGTTTATTGCCTATATATATGGCCAGAGTTTTGCTCTTATCGCCCAGGCTGGAGTGCAATGGTGTGATCTCGGCTTACTGCAACTTCTGCCTCCTGGGTTCAAGAGATTCTCCTGCCTTAGCCTCCAGAGTAGCTGGGGTTACAGGTGTGCCCACCATGCCGGGCTAATTTTGTATTTTTAGTAGAGACAGGGTTTCACCATGTTGGCCAGGCTTGTCTTGAACTCCTGACCTCAGGTGATCTGCCCACCTCGGCCTTCCGAAGTACTGGGAGTACAGGCATGAGCCATGGTGCCTGGCCATTTTTTTTTTTTTATTGAGGTTTCATTCATTCTTTTTCTACCATCATATTTGACCAAGTACCAGATCAAGTGTGCTGGGATTCAAGATAGAAAATTAGATGCTAATCAAGGATAATAATAAAATTATAATAACCAGCTATTTCAATTAACAATGCTGGTATGTAGGCATGATCCACACCTTAGGTATAAAAAGATACTACAACTTAGAGATTTAATGATTTCCTTAATCATGAGGTAAAGATCTAATTGTTGCCAGATAGAGCTTTCTCCAAAGTCTATGCTCCTTAGAATATACTGCTCAGATTTGGAAGAAGGGAGATAGAAGTTACCCTGAGGGTGGATTAAGACTTTGGTTTTGAGTGTAGGGGTTACCCAAGGCTCAAGGTCTCATATTTCAATTCTCCTCCTGCAAAACTTGGGGTAGGATTGCTTTTTTCCTGCCTCTCTAGCTGACCATGACCATGTTACTTGCTTTAGTAAATGGAATAGACTTTAAGTGGCACAAAGTTCCCCTGGCCAGAATACAATTCGCCATATCTATTACCATCCAAAGCCCCCAGAGGTCTTCTAGATTGTTGGTTTTCCAGCCTACATCCATGACTGAAAATGCTGTGAATCAGAAACCCCAGCAAACCCACAGTGAGCATATAGCATGAGAGGGGAATTAAACTTAGTTGTTACTGTAATATAACTTAAATATCCTCACAATTTCAGAGATAGAACTCTTTTTAGGTCAGAAGAATATCCTTCCATTGATGAGTGTCTTTTGTGTATAAACATTGTGACCATGAGTAATCCACCCAACTGATTTTGCCTTCGGCTTTACTTATCTACCTTCTTCACAATCGTGAGAGTTCTTATTGAACATATTTCTGAGATCCAGATTTATAATTTCTACAGCTTTCCCTTGCTCAATAATCCACTGATACTTTCAGAGAATGAGATAAATTTAAGTTGTTTACATGAACTTATATTAAGGTCTTTGATAAGTGATTGAGCTATATCAGAGGCTTCCAAACACCTCCAAACAGGTCTTGAAAACATCCCCCGATGGCAGTATTATAATCACCCCAGGAATTTAATGATCTACCTATTTCTAACCTTTTCCTCTAGTAAATTTGTTTAAATAGATAAAGAGTATACTTGGGGCTCGTTATGTTTCCTAAGCTCTAATGAATGTTTAATGTGAACCAGATTTGGACTACTGACTTAGGTCAGTGGTTCTTAATTATGTTGGGATATCAAAATAAATTATTTAGCTTTTCAAGCTACATAGGACTGGCATATCAGTGAAGGCTCTTATATACCAGGTGGTATAATAGAATGTTGAGGTGAAGTTTGGAAAGGGTATAAAGAAGGGCCATTTGTAAAAGTTTCTCAGGTAACCCTGAAATTATCCCTTGCTCATTATGGGCAAAGATGATGTGCACTCACAAACTATCAGTTAAATGGGGCAATTATATTGAAACAAGTCTTTAGCTATAAACAAGAAAATGCCTCGTTGCTTGATTAAAAGAAAAATATTTATTTTACATCATTTTATAGCTTAAACAATTTCAAGAGGGTCATGGAACCAAGCTTGAATACTACCTAACCGGGAACAGTGTAGTTGTCAGAAATGATCAAACGCCGTGTGGGGCTGTGCTAGTGAAAACACCTCCCATCACTGCCTCTGGGTATATATGATGCTAGGGGACATGTAAACATTCAACCATAGCTGATACAAAAAGTGAAAAGTCTCTGCTGCAGATCTAGTCTCCCTGCGGCTGGCACCAACCCGAGCAGCTTTCTACCTTCTAAGTCTCTATATGTACATAGCAAAATTCATAGAATTTAAATGCAGCAGATTCTAAGAAATGTGCCTGCTGCTCTGTAGTCATTATGGCACAGCAATGAAGGCTGAGATATGGCTGGAGAAAGCATTATTTGATCTAGTTTTCAGTATCAGTTCCATCAACCTAGGTCATGGAATCTTTCACTAGACTGAAATCAAACAGAGCACCTTTATCATGCCTTATCTACGTTAAAGGGCTTGTCATTTGCCTTCATTCAGGTTTTCAGTGTGGTTTCTCAATCTCCAAGGTGCCTTAAGATCTCAGTTTCTAAAGTCTAAAGTCTCATATTCCTTGGCTTATCAAATAATCTCTACAATTAAGGAGGCTTGCATTCATGTGGCAGAAAAAAATAAAAAAGGAAGCTATGGTCTTTGTTCTTTCATGCTAGGAACATTGGCACATACTTATTTTTGTTTTGTTTTGGTGTGTTTTGGTTTGGGATTTTTTTCCAGTTTTATAAATAATTTATTTGTTTAGGGAAGTTTTAGGTTCATAGAAACATTAAGAGGAAGATGCAGAGATATCTCATACACTCCTTGCCTCACACATGTATAGCCCTTTCCACTATCAACATCCCTTGTTACAATGGAATATTGGTTACAATTGATGAGCCTACATTGACAAACCATCATCACCTAAAGTCCATAGTTTACCTTAGGGTTCACTCTTGATATTGTACATTTTACGTGTTTGGACAAATACATAATGGCATGCATCCACCATTATAACTTCATACAGAGTAGTTTCACTGATTTAAACCCTCTGTGTTCTCCCTATTCATCCCTGACTTCCTGCAACACCTTGGCAACAACTGATCTTTTTACAGCCTTCCATAGTTTTGCCTTTTTGCTTGTCTTAAGTGTACACTTACTTACATATAAGTCAAATTATATGTACATATACTGCACAGGACTTAGAGCATCAAGCAGAATCCTAGTGGTTTCTCAGAATTATTACCTCTGAAACTTCACTCTATTTTAATCTGAATTACATGATAGAATTCTTATAATAGAAGAATGGGTTCTGATGCTTAATAGTTTCATTGCATTAATAGACTCATGCGTCTTTTTGGGTCAAAATCAACCTACAGCTGAATGAGTCAATACCTTGGTCATCTCAAAGGTCAATTTCAGTAAGTCTTGGATAACCATAGTTGAGAGCAAAAATGGTCTTCCTACATAGAATTAAGTAAATAAATAGCTACATTAATGTAAGCAGAGCCACTGCTTTTTAGTTCTGGCCCAGTGGACATGGTGGCAGGATGACACAGATGAAGTGAGAGGGGTTTTCATGATGATGAACATTCCCTGAAACTATAAAGATCACAGTTGGTTCCAGGGGGTTCCTTTGGTCAATTTGTAATAACTGACGGCAGAGTCATATTCCTCGAAGGAATGAATGATCCACTGCCCATTTAACAAGGAGACTAATTTGGTTATGATGATGAGGTTGAGATATCTAGAAGGTGTCTCTCATTTGCATTCCAGGAACCTTACCTGTGAAGAACAACTCTCACTTTGCTATCATTTTCTAAATTATTTTATTTATTTTAGTGACTGATTTATTATGTAGAAATTCAAACAAATGTCACTTTGAGGTCAATTAATGTGTCCATGGCAGCCACTTCCTATAGTAAGCAATAATTTTGCATAAGAATTTACAAATAAAGAAAAGTAGAAAAGATAAATAAGTTAAGGCGATTACCTTTGTGGGTGATGCACAGAAGGAAGTTGCTGTAAAATCTCCCTCTTTTGATTAAAACTTAAGTGTCTGGGAAAGCAAGATTGAAGAGCTTAAATGTAGAGGTCTAAATTTAGGAACCTTTATTGGGAGGGCTGCTTTGTCCTCCTAAAGGCTCCTTTTGGATTCGAATGAATCTAAGGAAGTTAACATTCTCAGAATGAAGGGAGAATTACAAGGCATTAAATCTCCCTTCCTTTTCAGGGACATCATGTTATTCTTACTTGAATGGCACACTAAGCTGGATTGCAATTAGAGAGGCTTCACCAGCTGAGCCCTTTTGGAATGCATGTGCTGTGTGCACTTCCCTCCATCCTCATTCTGGTAACTTCTGGCTGCAATTTGATATTTAAACCATCAGCAGGATGACAAGCATGGAAGGTCTCATGCAACCTGACCTCTTAAATGACAGAAAATTACAAAAGATTATACTTATGGTAATTGGTGACACAGAAAAGGTCTGAAGATTACATCTAAAAATCAAAAGGAGATAGAGACAAGGGCAGGAAGATATTGCCAGACAGAGAGACAGACAGATATTTGTAGCAACATCTTGTGGGGAGACAGGGGTGGGTCTGAGGCAGCTGACGCAGTGTGTATGAATGGAAGGTGATTGATTGATGCCAATTGTTTGCACGATTCTTACTCTTTTGACATTATTGATAACACACAATGTCCCTGACACTCAATGAACTATTCTTTTGCTTTCTTCAAGTTCATCTCATTGTCAGTATTTAATAACATATGAACTTGACATGCTGCAGAAGATGAGGTGATGTCATAATTGCCTGAGTTGACAAAATGAAACATAAATGGCAAAAGTAGAATTTTAAATGTCAAGCTTTTATTTCTTCTTAATTTAAATTTTAATTGGAAACACTTAGCTTTTATTTACTGCAAAAAAGTAATAATTTTTGCCAGAGATTAATGTATCCCTTTATTGCCAAGGATGATTCTCTTCCTGTAAAAAAAAACGCAGAAAATATTAAATATTGGCTCTGGGAGGATTCATTTATTTGTGAGATTCTATTTGCTCTGTTATTTAAAGTGCTTCTATATACCCATTCTACTCCTAGACATTTAGATAAACTTCAAGTGTCCATGCTAATTGCATTTGTCAAATCTTCCTTAAAAAGCAAGTGTGAGACTATCTTCAAGGTTTCAAATTCCATACTAAGGATGGATACATTTTTCTTTAAAAATTGAGGTATTCCAACCAGGCACAGTGGCTCAGGCCTATAATCCGACCACTTTGGGAGGCCGCGGTGGGTGGATCACTTGAGGTCCGGAGTTCGAGACCAGCCTGGCAAACATGGTGAAACCCCATCTCTACCAAAAATACAAAAATTAGCTGGGCATTCCTGTAGTCCTAGGTACTCAGGAGGCTGAGGCAGGAGAATAGCTTGAACACAGGAAGCAGAGCTTGAAGTGAGCAGAGATCCTGCCACTGCATTCTAGCCTAGGCAACAAAGTGAAACTTCGTCTCAAAAAAAAAAAAAAAAGTCCAAAAGAGACAAAGAAGGCCATTACATAATGGTAAAGGGATCAATTCAACAAGAAGAGCTAACTATCCTAAATATATATGCACCCAGTACAGGAGCACCCAGATTCATAAAGCAAGTCCTTAGAGACCTACAAAGGTACTTAACTCCCACGCAATAATAATGGGAGACTTTAACACCCCACTGTCAACATTAGATAGATCAATGAGACAGAAAGTTAACAAGGATATCCAGGAACTGAATTCAGCTCTGCACCAAGCGGACCTAATAGACATCTACAGAACTCTCCACCCCAAATCAACAGAATATACATTCCTCTCAGCACCACACCGCACCTATTCCAAAATTGACCACATAGTTGGAAATAAAGCACTCCTCAGCAAATGTAAAAGAACAGAAATGATATCAAACTGTCTTTCAGAACACATTGCAATCAAACTAGAACTCAGGGTTAAGAAACTCACTCAAAACTGCTCAACTACATGGAAACTGAACAACCTGCTCCTGAATGACTACTGGGTACATAATGAAATGAAGGCAGAAATAAAGATGTTCTTTGAAACCAACGAGAACAGAGACACAATATACCAGAATCTCTGGGACACATTTAAAGCAGTGAGTAGAGTGAAATTTATAGCACTAAATGCCCACAAGAGAAAGCAGAAAATATCTAAAATTGACACCCTAACATCACAATTAAAAGAACTAGAGAAGCAAGAGCAAACACATTCAAAACCTAGCAGAAGGCAAGAAATAACTAAGATCAGAGCAGAACTGAAGGAGATAGAGACACAAAAAACCTTTCAAAAAATCAATGAATCCAGGAGCTGCTTTTTTGAAAAGATCAACAAAATGTACAGACAGCTGGCAAGACTAATACAGAAGAAAAGAGAGAAGAATCAAATAGACACAGTAAAAAATGATGAAGGGGATATCACCACGGATCCCACAGAAATACAAACTATCATCAGAGAATACAATAAACACCTCTATGCAAATAAACTAGAAAATCTAGAAGAAATGGAATAATTACTCAACACATAGACCCTCCCAAGACTAAATCAGGAAGAAGGAGAATCTCTGAATAGACCAACAACAGGCTCTGAAATTGAGGCAATAATTAATAGCCTACCAACCTAAAACAGTCCAGGACCAGATGGATTCACAGCCGAATTCTACCAGAGATACAAGGAGGAGCTGGTACCATTTCTTCTGAAACTGTTCCAATCAATAGAAAAAGAGGGAATCCTCCCTAACTCATTTTATGAGGCCAGCATCATCCTGATACCAAAGCCTGGCGGAGACACAACAAAAAAATAGAATTTAGCCCAATATCTCTGATGAACATTGATGCAAAAATCCTCAATAAAACACTGGCAAACCAAATCCAGCAGCACATCAAAAAGCTTATCCACCATGATCACATGGGCTTCATTCCTGGGATGCAAGGCTGGTTCAATATATGAAAATCAATAAACGTAATACAGCATATAAACAGAACCAAAGACAAAAGCCACATGATTATCTCAATAGATGCAGAAAAGGCCTTTGACAAAATTCAACAGCCCTTCATACTAAAAACTCTCAATAAATTAGGTATTGATGGGACGTATCTCAAAATAATAAGAGCTATTTGTGACAAACCCACAGCAAATATCATACTGAATAGGCAAAAGCTGGAAGCATTTCCTTTGAAAACTGGCACAAGACAGGGATGCCCTCTCTCACCACTCCTATTCAACATAGTGTTGGAAGTTCTGGCCAGGGCAATCAGGCAGGAGAAAGAAATAAAGGTTATTCAATTAGGAAAAGAGGAAGTCAAATTGTCCCTGTTTGCAGATGACATGATTATATATCTAGAAAACCCCATCATCTCAACCCAAAATCTCCTTAAGCTGATAAGCAACTTCAGCAAAGTCTCAGGATACAAAATCAATGTGCAAAAATCACAAGCATTCTTATACACCAATAACAGACAGAGAGCCAAATCATGAGTGAACTCCCATTCACAATTGCTTCAAAGAGAATAAAATATTGAGGAATCCAACTTACAAGGGACGTGAAGGACCTCTTCAAGGAGAACTATAAACCACTGCTCAATGAAATAAAAGAGGACACAAACAAATGGAAGAACATTCCCTGCTCATGGGTAGGAAGAATCAATATCGTGAAAATGGCCATACTGTCCAAGGTAGTTTGTAGATTCAGTGCCATCACCATCAAGCTACCAATGACTTTCTTCATAGAATTGGAAAAAACTACTTTAAAGTTCATATGGAACCAAAAAAGAGCCCGCATTTCCAAGTCAATCCTAAGCCAAAAGAACAAAGCTGAAGGCATCACGCTACCTGCCTTCAAACTATGTTACAAGTCTACAGTAACCAATACGCATAGTACTGGTACCAAAACAGAGATATAGATCAATGGAACAGAACAGAGCCCTCAGAAATGATACCACACATCTAGAACTATCTGATCTTTGACAAACCTGACAAAAACAAGAAATGGGGAAAGGATTCCCTATTTAACAAATGGTGCTGGGAAAACTGGCTAGCCATATGTAGAAAGCTGCAACTGGATCCCTTCCTTACACTTTATAAAAAAATTAATTCAAGATGGATCAAAGACTTAAATGTTAGACCTAAAACCATAAAAACCGTAGAAGAAAACCTAGGCAATACCATTCAGGACATAGGCCTGTGCAAGGACTACATGTCTAAAATGCCAAAAGCAACGGCAAAAAAAGGCCAAAATTGACAAATGGGATCTAATTAAACTAAAGAGCTTCTGCACAGCAAAAGAAACTACCATCAGAGTGAACAGGCAACCTACAGAATGGGAGAAAATTTTTGCAATCTACCCATCTGACAAAGGGCTAATATCCAGAATCTACAAAGAACTCCAACAAATTTACAAGAAAAAAATAAACAACCCCATCAACAAGTGGGCGAAGGATATGAACAGACACTTCTCAAAAGAAGACATTTATGCAGCCAAAAAATACATGAAAAAATGCTCATCATCACTGGCCATCAGAGAAATGCAAATCAAAACCATAATGAGATATCATCTCATACCAGTTAGAATGGTGATCATTAAAAAGTCAGGAAACAACAGGTGCTGGAGAGGATGTGGAGAAATAGGAACACTTTTACACTGTTGGTGGGACTGTAAACTAGTTCAACCATTGTGGAAGTCAGTGTGGCAATTCCTCAGGGATCTAGAACTAGAAATACCATTTGACCCAGCCATCCCATTACTGGGTATATACCCAAAGGATTACAAAACATGCTGCTATAAAGAGACATGCACACATATGTTTATTGCAGCACTATTCACAATAGCAAAGGCTTGGAACCAACCCAAATGTCCAACAACGATAGACTGGATTAAGAAAATGTGGCACATACACACCATAGAAAACTATGCTGCCGTAAAAAATGTTGAGTTCATGTCGTTTGTAGGGACATGGTTGAAACTGGAAACCATCATTCTCAGCAAACTATCGCAAAGACAAAAAACCAAACACCGCATGTTCTCACTCATAGGCTGGAATTGAACAATCAGAACACTTAGACACAGGAAGGGGAACATCACACACCAGGGCCTGTTGTGGGGTGGGGGGACAGGGGAGGGATAGCATTAGGAGATATACCTAATGTAAATGATGAGTTAATGAGTGCAGTACACCAACATGGCACATGTATACATATGTAACAAACCTGCACGTTGTGCACATGTACCCTAGAACTTAAAGTATAATAAAAAAAAATAAAGAAAAAAAAAGTCAAGGTATTCCCATGTTTCATCTTTGCACCGGAAGTACGTCCTTGCTGTTTTCCTATGAATCATTTCTTATAAATCAGATGTGGCTTTTGCAGTACAAATATTGTTATTGTGTGCTCTTCTTTCATGGAAGGAGACTGTCTGAGTTTGAGAGGCTCACCCTGAGATTTTGAAATACTAGGATCCTTGTTCATGAACACGTACTTAGAATACAAGGATTTCCTGACCTAGTTGGTGTCCACTACTGTCCTAGGGCAGGATCTGATGAACAAAAAGCAATGCTGCTTCAGAGCTTCATTGCTGGTGGGTGGATGCTGAGCCCCTTTGGATTCTGAAAGTTGTGCCTATGCTGACCTCAGGTGCCTGCCCACTTTCAAACTGAAGGTGCACGTATCTAGAATACTGACTTTCCCTCTATCATTAGGATAACAGGATCAGAGCATGTTAAGGTTAGAGGTCACCAAATCACCCTATTATTCCAGATGAGGGAACTGCAGCCTAATGATTAGGAAGAGTGATTAACCAGGTCACATAGCAACCTTGAGTTGTGAACAGGCCTTTAAGTGCTTCAGCTGTATCTCTCTCCTCAAATAATGCTCCCTCAAAAATTTCTCCTGAACCCGGGAAGCAGAGGTTGCAGTGAGCCAAGACCATGCCACCACACTCCAGCCTAGGCAATAGAGTGAGACCCCGTCTCATAAAAAAATAAATAAATAAAAGGAAAGAAAAGAAAAAAGAAAACTCATGGTGTACTTAATATCTGTTTACATGGCTTGTGCTATGGTTTAAATATTTGTCCCCTGTGGAACACATGTTAAAATAAAAGGCTTAATCTATTTCTGTACAAATGGGTTAATGGGTTATTATGAAAGTGGAAGTGCTGGCTTTATAAGAAAAGGAAGAGACTTGAGCTAGCACACTTGGCCCCCTCACCATGGGATGCCCCATGCTACCTTCCGACACTGCAGAAAGTCCCACCAGTAAGAAGACCCTCACCAGAGGTGGCCACTCAACCGTGGACATCTCGCCCTCTATAACTGTAAAAAAAAAATTCCTTTTTTAGATAAATTACCCATTTTCAGGTATTCTGTTATAAGCAACAGGAAATGGACTAAGACAGAAAATTTGCACCAAGAAGTGGAAAACTGCTGAGAATGAATACCTGAAAATGTTCACGCAGCTTTGGAACTGGATAACTGGCAGAGGCTGGAGGAATTTGGAGAAGCAGGTTGGAAAAATCCTGGACTCTGCTGAGGGGTTAGAAGACTAGGGAAAGCTTGGAAATTCTTAGAGATCAGTGAAGTGGTCACGACCAGAGCACTGATAAAATTATAGACAGTAAAGGACATTCCGACAAGGTTTCAGATGGAACTGAGGAACAAGGTATTGGAACCTGGGATTAAGGCCACCTTTATTATAAACGGGAAAGTAACTTGGCTGAACTGCATCCATACCCCAGCACTTTATGGAGGGCTGAACTTGAGAGTGATTACTTTATCTTGTGGAATAAGGATCTAAGTAGCAAAGCATTCAGACTACTGCATAGCTACTTTTAATTACTTGCATTAAGGTTTTTTTTTTTTTTTTTTTTTTTTAAATACAAGGTCTCTCTCTGTCTTTCAGGCTAGAGTACAGTGGCGCAATCATGGCTCACTGGCACCTTGACCTCTTGGGCTCAAGTGATCCTCCCACCTCAGCCTCCCAAGTAACTAAGACTACAGGCATGTGCTACCATGCCAGGTGAACTTTTAAATGTTTTGTCCAGACCAGGTCTCCCTATGTTGCTCAGGCTGGTCTTAAACTCCTGAGCTCAAGAGGCTCTCCTGCCTTGGCCTCCCAAAATGCTAGGATTACAAACATGAGCCACTATGCCTGGAATGCATTAAGCTTTTAGAAGGAAAAATGACTTAAACATGAAATTTATAATCAAAAGGAAAGTAAAGTGAAAAGATTTGGAAAACTCTCAGCCTGCCCCTGTACAGAGTGAAAAAAACTTGTTAGGTAGAGAAAACCTAGTATTTGTGGCCCAGCAACCTTTTGCTAAGATTTGTACCTAGAGAGTGCATGACCAAAAGAATGGAAGAAAGACCTGGACACATTTCTGAGATCATTGAGGCAACCCCTCCCATCACAGGCCCAGAGGCCTAGGAGGGCAGGATAGTTTTGTGGGACAGACCTGGTGTGCCCTCCACAGGCTTGCTGCTCAGGTGCCCCATGGGTATCTGTTCCCTGCATTTCAGCACAGCACTCCTTGGCCACCCCAGCTGAGGCTCCAGTGGCCCAAGGTGTGGCTCAATCTTGCTGCTCCCAAAGGTGTACGACATAAAACTTGGAGGTATCAATGTGGTATGAATTCTGCAGGGCCACTAAATGCAACAGCTAGGGAGGCATGACAGCCTCCACCCATATTTCAAAGGATGTTGCTGAAAGTGTAGGGGCCCAGGCAGAGACTTACTGCAAGGGTGAAGTCACTTCAGAGAGCCTTTATTAGAGCATTGCTGAATGGAAACGTGGGGTTGTATCTGCTAGTCTTCACCCGAGTAATGCCTAATGGAGCAGTGGGAGAGGGGCCACCAAAATTCAAAACAGTAGACTTAATCTACTTTTACAGAAAATTGTATCTAACAGCTACAGAATACACATTCTTCTCCTTAACACATGGAGCATTCTCAAGGATAGATCATATGTTAGCTCCCAAATCAAATCTTAAAACATTCACAAAAATTGAAATTATATCAAGCATATCCTCTGACTCCAAAGGAATAAAACTAGAAATCAATAACAACAAGAATTTTGGAAGCTATATGAACACATGAAATTAAAAATTATGTTCATGAATAAGTGGATCAATGAAAAAAATAATAAACAAATTAATAATTTTTGATACAAATGATAATGGATACACAACATATCAAAGCTTATGGGATATAGTGAAAGCAGTATTAAGAGGAAATGTTATAGTAAGAGTCTACATCAAAAAAAGAAGAAAAACTTCAAATAAATAACCTCATGATGCATTTTAAAGAAACAGAAAAGCAAGAGCAAACCAAGCCCAAATTTAGTAGAAGAAAATAAATAAAAAAATTAGAGCAGAAATAAATATAATTGAAATGAAAATAATACAAAAGATCAGTAAAATTAAAAAGCTGTTTTTGAAAATATAAATAAAACTTACAAACCTTTAGCCAGACTGACTAAGAAAAAAACACAGAAGACCCAATTAAATAAAATCGGTTATGAAAAAGGAGACATTACAACTGACACCACAGGAATTTAAAGGACCATTAGTGGCTACTATGAGCAACTATATGCCAATAAATTCAAAATCTAGAAAAAATGAATAAATTCCTTGACACATAGAACCTACCAAGATTGAGCCATGAAGAAATCCAAAGCCTAAACAGATCAATAACAAGTAACAAGATCAAAGCTGTACAAAAAAGTGTGCCAGCAAAGAAAAGCCTGGGACCCAATGGTTTCAGAGCTGAGTTATACTAAACTCTTAAAGAACTAATATCAATCCCACTCAAACTATTTCAAGAAGTAGAGGAGGAATGTACACTTCCAAACTTATTCTACAAGGACGGTATTAGCCTGATACCAAAACCAGATGAAGACACATTTAAGAAAGAAAACTACAGGTCAATATCCCTTATATATATTGATGCATAAATCTTCAACAAAATACTAGCAAATTGAGTTCAACAACACATTAAAAAGATTATTCATCATGACCAAGTGAGATTTATCTAAAGAATGCAAGTATGTTTCAACAAATGCTAATTGATCAATGTGATACATTTTAACAGAATGAAGGATAAAATCTATATAATCATTTCAATTAATGCTGAAAAAGCATTTGATAAAATTCAACACTTCTTCTTAATTTAAAAATCCCTCAAAAATTGGGTACAGAAGAAACATAACTCAACATAATAAGAGCCATATACAGCAAAACCACATGTAGTATTATACTGAATGGGGAAATTCTGAAATCTTTCATCTAGGATCTGGAACATGACAACGAGCTACTTTCACTACTGTTATTCCACAAAAACAAGAGAAAGAAATAAAGGGCATCCAAATTGAAAGAAAAAGAAGTCAAATTTTCCTTTTTTGCAGATGAAATGATCTTATGTTTGGAAAATTTTTAAGACTTCACAAGAAAACTATCAAAACTAAAGAACAAGTTCTGTAAAGTTGTAGGATACGAAATCAGCATACAAAAACCAGTAACATTTCTATATTTTAACAGCAAACAATTTGTAAAAGAAATCAAGGATGTAATCTTATTATTATATCAACAATTAAAACACCTAGAAATTAAGTTAATGAAAATAATGAAAGATGTCTACAATAAAAACTATAGTGTAAGTTAGTTCAACATTTGTGGAAGACAGTGTGGCGATTTCTCAAGGATCTAGAACCAGAAATACCACTTGACCCAGCAATCCCATTACTGGGTATATACCCAAAGGATTATAAATCCTTCTACTATAAAGACACATGCACACATATGTTTATTGCAGCACTGTTCACAATAGCAAAGGCTTGGAACCAATCCAAGTGCCCATCGATGATAGACTGGATAAAGAAAATGTGGCACATATACACCATGGAATACTATGCAGCCATAAAAAAGGATGAGTTCATGTCCTTTGTGGGACATGGATGAAGTTGGAAACCATCATTCTCACCAAACTAACACAGGAACAGAAAACCAAACACCACATGTTCTAACTCATAAGCGGGAGTTGAACAGTGAGAACACATGGACACAGGGAGGGGAATATCACATACCAGGGCCTGCTGGGGAGTCGGGGGCTAGGGGAGGGATAGCATTAGGAGAAATACCTAATGTAGATGATGGGTTGATGGGTGCAGCAAACCACCATGGCATGTGTATACCTATGTAACAAACATGCATGTTCTGCACATGTATCCCAGAACTTAAAGTACAGTAACAACAAAACTAATATTGATACAAGAAATTGAGGAGGATGCAAAATAATGAGAAGATATTCTATGTTCATGGATTGGAAGAGTCAATATTCCTAAAATGCTTCTAATACTCAAAGCAATCTACAGACCTAATGCTACTCCTATCAAAATACCAATGACACTCCTCACGGAAATAAAAAAAAATTCTAGAATTTATATGGAACCACAAAAGATGTAGAATAGCCAGAGCTATCTTAAGCAAAAAGTACAAAGCTGGAGGAATCACATTACCTGATTTCAAATTATACTACAGAGGTATAGTAACCGAAACATCATGATACTAGTATACAAACAGACATATAGACCAACTATACGGCACATTGGATTAAGCAAAGTTTCTTTAGTGATACTACAGAAGCACAGGTAAACAAAGCAAAACTAGACAAATGAGATCACAGTATGTTAATAAATGTGATGGTTAACACTGAGTGTCAGCTTCGTTGGATCGAAAAATACAAAGTATTGATCCTGGGTGTGTTTGTGAGGGTGTTGCCAGAGGAGATTAACATTTGACTCAGTGGGCTTGGAAAGGCAGACCCACCCTTAATCTAGGCAGGCACAATCTAATCAGCTGCCAGCGTGGCTAGAATATGAGCAGGCAGAAAAATGAGAAAAGAGAAACTGGCCTAGCCTCCCGGCCAACATCTTTCTCCCATGCTGAATGTTTTTTGCCCTTGAATATCAGACTCTGAGTTCTACAGTTTGGGAACTTGGACTGGCTCTCCTTGCTCCTCAGTCTGCAGATGACTTATTGTGGGACCTTGTGATCATGTGAGTTAATACTACTTAATAAACTCTTTTATATATATATATATATATATATAAATATATATATATATATATATATAGTGTTCAGAGGGACAGAACTAATGAAATATATATTTCTGTCCCCCTAGAGAGCCAGGACTGATACAGATTTTTGTTTGGTTTTGGGGTTTCTGGAGTTGGCTGCTTAATATGGTTAGACCCAAAAATGCTAAGAACTCTACTTCTAATAGTATGGAGAACACTGATCATCCTTAGCATGAACTGTTTAGAGAATTATGCAAAATAAATGCATTTGACACTCCTGATTCATTGCTCATGAGAGGCAAGGAGTTTAGTGACTCCATACATAACACCTTTGACCATATGTGGAGAACCAAGGAACATATGGAAGCTGGTTGGTTGCTCCTAAGTTCGGTAGAAAAAGTGATGAAATAAAATGATGAACTCAGGGATTCTATCTCCTGGCTTCAGAAGCAGAGACTAGCATCAAATCTACTAGGATTGCCCTGAGTGAGAGTCTTGTCTCCTGTGGAGAAAAAGCTGAAATTGTGGAAAAACAGACATAAGCTCTTAACCCGAAAGTGGCTGACCTGCAACAAAAGGTGTATGCACAGCCTTGTCAGTTGTCTACGGTTAAAGTGAGGGCATTGATTGGAAAAGAATGGAACCATGCAACTTGGAATGGGGATGTGTGAGAGGACTCTGATGAAGCTGGGGACACTGAGATTGTAAACTCTGATAAGCCTTTTTGCTAGAAGAAGCAGCTTCCCATCCCCAGTAGTGGCAATATCCCCTCTGTGACCCATGCTGCCATCAGCCCATCAGCCTTTCCACCATTGTTTGAGGAGATAAACCCTGTGCTGTCTGAGGCAACAGTGATGGCCGTTTGAAGTCGCAACTGCAATGCCAACTCGATGACAATACTTTGCAGGGCTAGGGTAAAGTTCTCCAGAAGGCCATGTACACTCTGAATCACCCATAGCCAGCCTTCATGGGTCCAGAAATCAAGGGGTGGAAGTGGAAGTGGCACCACTCACCATCACCCCTAGTGACCCACTAGCAACATTTTTTCTTCCTGTTCCCACGACATTACCTCCTGCCGGCCTAGAAGTCTTTGTTCCCTAGGGAGGAATGCTGCCACCAGAAGACAAAACAAGGATTTCATTAAACTGGAAGTTAAGATTGCCACATGGACATTTTGGCCTCCTCCTACCTTTAAGTCAACAGGCTAAAATGGGAGTTATAGTGTTGGCGGGGGTGACTGACCTGGACTATCAAGATGAAATCAGTCTACCACTCCACAACGGAGGTAAGGAAGAGTAAGCATGGAATACAGGAGATCCATTGGGAAGTCTCTTAGTATTACCATGCCCTGTGGTTAAAGTCAATGGGAAACTACAACAGCCAAATCCAGGGAGGACTACAAATGACCCAGATGTGTTAGAAATAAAGTTCTGGGTCACTCCACCAGGAAAATAAAACAAAACAAAACAAAACCATGACCTGCTGAGGTGCTTGCTGAAGCAAAGGTAATTCAGAATGGGTAATAGAAGGTAGTCAACAGTAGCTATGACCATGTGACCAGCTGCAGAAACAAGGATTGTATTTGTCATGAGTATTTTCGCCTTCTTTTGTTAAAAACTTGTTTGTGAATGCATACACTTGTACTAAGAAAATATCTTGGTTTTATTTCCTTTCTCCTTTATCATGTGACATAAGATTTATTGACTTCACATTAGCATTTAAGTAATGTTAATTTTTTGTAATAGGATTTAGTTTGGGGATTTGTGCATTTCTGCTTGTATGAAGGATAGTTGTGTTATGTTAGAGGTAATTATGACCTTATTATTGTCTTTATTTGAAGATTATATATGATCTCAGGAGATGTGTATGGGTTAAAGTTGAAAAGAGGTGGACTTGTGATGGGTAATACTGAATGTCAACTTGATTAGATTGAAAAATACAAAGGATTAATCCTGAGTGTACCTGTGAGGCTGTTGCCAAAGGAGATTAACATTTGAGTCATCAAGTGTTAATGGGGGTGGGCACAATTTAATTAGCTGCCAGCATGGCGAGAATAAAAAGCAGGCCGAAAAATGTGAAAAGAGAGACTTGCCTAGCCTCCCAGCCTACATGTTTCTCCTGTGCTGAATGCTTCTTGCCCTTGAACACTGGACTCCCAGTTCTTCAGTTTTAGAACTCAGACTGGTTCTCCTTGCTCCTCAGCCTGCAGACAGCCTATTGTGGAACCTTGTGATTCTGTGAGTTAATACTTAAACTCCTTTTACATATGTATGTATCTATTCCACTAGTTCTCTCCCTCTAGAGAACCCTGACTAATACGATAATCTTCCACACAGCAAAGGAAGCAATCAACAAGGTGAAGAGACAACCCACATAATTGGAGAAAATATTTACAAGCTACCCATGTGACAAGGTATTAATAACCAGAATATAAAAGGAGCTCAAACAACTCTACAGAAAAAATCTAATAATCTGATTTAAAAATGGGCAAAGTATCTGAATAGACATTTCTCAAAAGAAGACATACAAATGGTAAGCAGGTATATGAAAAGGTGCTCAACATTATTGATCATCAGAGAAATGCAAATATAAACTATAATGAGATATCATCTCAGCCCAGTTAAAATGGCTTATATCCAAAAGTCAGACAATAACAAATGTGGAAAAAAGGGAACCTTCATACACTGTGGAATGCAAATTAGTACAACCACTGTGGGAAACACTTTGGAGGTTCCTCAAAGATCTAGACTAGAACCATTATATTATCCAGCAATCTCACTTCTATGTATATACCCAAAAGAAATAAAGTGTATCAAAGAGACATCTGCACTCCTATGTTTATTGCAGCACTATTCACAATAACTGAGATTTTGGAGAAACCTAATTGCCCATCAATAAATGAATAGATAAAGAAAATGTGGTACATATACACAAGAGAGTAGTATTCAGCAATAAACAAAATGTGATATCCTGTCATTTGCAACAACACGGATTGATTGAACTGGAGGACATTATGCTAAGTGAAATAAGCCTAGCTCAGAATGACAAATTTTGCATGCTGTCACTTATTTGTAGGAGCCAAAAATTAAAACAACTCAACTCACTGAGATAGAGGGTAAGAAGGATGGTTACCAGAGGCTGGAGTGTACTGAGAGATGTGGGGAGGAAGTGGGAATGGTTAATGGGTACACACAAAAAAATAGAAAGTGTGAATAAGACCTAGTATTTGATAGCACAACAGGGTGGCTATAGTCAATAATAATTTAATTGTACATTTTAAAATAACTAAAAAAGTATAATTGGATTGTGTGTACTACAAAGGATAAATGCTAGAAGTGATGGATACCCCATTTACTCTGATGTGATTATTATGCATTGCATGCCTATATTAAAATATCTCATATACCTCATAAATAAATACACCAACTATGTACCCATAAAAATTAAAAATAAAAAAAGAAATATGGGATGTGTTTCTGGAACTTTGAGAAATGCCTCATGCTTTGTCTGATAGGAAGAGCCTCAAAGGTCATCTGTCTTAGTGTGAAAAACATTTGCAAAAGTCGTGGATATTTGAAAAGGCCTTGAATGTTTTAGAGACACTCTGGAGCATTATTGTGGCTTGCCTGAAGTAGGCTATTTCTTGTAATGCTCTGTATTTTCATTACTAAGATACTTCATTGATGCCTTAACCTTAATACCTTCTGAAACAAACATATCAACCCCCTACCAAAACATATTAACACATTGTCGTCCATCTAATTATTCAACTAGCCAGTACCTTGGCTCAGGGTTACAAAACTTCAGTTCTATTTGGCTTGACCCTTGCCTTTGAGTTCCAAATGTAATCAGCTACGTAAATCTATGATTCTACCTCCAAAATAATGATAACATCCTACTTCTTCAGTTTTATTAACATTGCCCTGTAGATCAATAACAATCTTCTCCTTGATATTTATAATTACTTTTGGAAGAAGGAGTTGCATGGGTGAATGAATTAATGCATAAATTGGTTGCTGGTTCCAGACATCTCCCTCAGGGGATAAGCATAGGAGGAAGGAGTTAGCATCTGGCTCATCTTAGTGCTACACATATTATTTAATATAATGCCCTGTAGATGTGGTCATTCGTGGTTTGCTTTTCTTCTATGATTAGCTGAGAATGGCCATCTGCTAGTTTGATTTGTTTGGCCCTGCCAAATCTCAGTTTGAAATCTGATCTCCAATATCAGAGGTGAGACCTACTGAGAGGTGTTTGGGTCATGAAGGTGGATCCTTCATGAGTTGCTTGGTGATACCTTCATGGTGATCTGTGAATTCTTGCTCTATTAGTTCCCACAAAAGCTGGTTGTTTAAAATAGCCTAGCACCTCCTTCTGTCTTGCTTCCTCTCTTGCCATGTGATCTGAATACATGGGCTTCCTCTTCACCTTCCACCATGAGTGGAAGCAGCCAGAGTCCCTCACCAGAAGCAGATGCTGGCACTATGCTTTTTGCACAGCCTTCAGAACCGTGAGCCAAATAGATCTCTTTTCTTTATAAATTACCAGGTGTTCCTTTATAGCAACACAAATGGACTAAGATACCATCATAAGTACATTATGAAAGTACATCAATTTGAATATGTATCAGTGCTCTTTAAATGTCCTTGAACAAACAGGTGTGGGAAAAATATTTTTAATATGGTAGCAGTCTGAAAAGAACAGAAACAAATTGTATCCCATAAAAGTGTGGCTTTAAGTGGTCATTTGTTTGCTGAAATTGTTATTACAATTGAAACAAAAATCAGCAATCTGTCTGGATTCTTCTAATAAACAAAACACATTTAACAAAACTATAAATTATATTGCTGTGGCAAGAAAATAGGATCATCCATGCTGAAATGATCCAGCTGTTTCGGGTTGTGTCATTTTAAAATGTTTTGTTTCTATTTCTTTCCACATATATTTGTATTTGTTTAAATAGAGTTCTTTGTGGTACTGATTGAAAGAACATATTCCAATTTTTTCAACTCTCTGATTATGCAGCTTCTGTGTAAGGTTCTATTTGATTGTCAAGCTAGGCAAGACTTTTTGTGTTGAGCTGTCTTTGTACTGGCAGGCTTCGAAAGGATAACATGGATTTCATCAGCTCTGACAAAATGCTATGCATTTCACATCCCAGACCTTGTCAAGTTCTACTGTGTAGCACACCTTAATTTCCTATAGATGTGTGCATTACATTTTCTCACTTGTGTTTTCCCAAAGTACTTGCATCTTTTTTCCCTAGCATAATGCATATTGCTGGCTTTAAAATTGACATTTTTTTTCAGAATGCAGATGTGCTTTGAAGATGATTAATTCATTCTGGCTGTCAGGGAAGAGAGAATATGATAAGGAAAGACTGCAACGGAAATTATTTGGGCTTATCTGATGTACAGCAGTTTATACGTAAATAACTAGAGTGTTGGTGAGAATGGACAGGAAATATAGGTGTACTTGGGAGGTGGGCGGTTAAGCCAAATGTTGAGTGGGAATCAGAGCTGGAAGGGAAGGTGTTAGAGAAGGAGGAGTCAGGAAAAATATACAGAACATGGAAAATAGTGAAATAAAAGTGATATATATATAAAATATACCTCTCTCCTGAGAATGATAACATCTCAGGAGAGAGGTATAAACGTGGAACTTCAAACATAATATTGTGTTTATCCAGTTTTAGGGGCACTCTTTAAGAAGTTGAGATGAGGCTCTAGGGGTAAAAGGAGAGTGCCCTTGGAGTTTCCGTGCTAAGCTGATATAAAAAGAAGTGGGGCCAATTAAAAAATCGTAGAATCAAATTAGTCTTTAGAATGCTTTTTCTTACTCTTTCCAAAAACAAAGTCACCTCAGAGACATTCTGTACCTTTTGGTGGGCTTCTAGCACCTACTTATTATTTCTCATTATGGGGAAGTTCACCAATTATATTTATCAAATGATACTGGGATATCCTGATTTAGTTTTAACAGCAGTTAATATTTCATCACTTTAAGTCTTCCCCTTTAAACACCATCCACCTTACCTTTCTTTTTTTTATTTTTTTATTTTTTTTCTGCATCTGTGTTTTATTTTTTATTTTATTTTATTATTATTATACTTTAAGTTTTAGGGTACATGTGCACAACATGCAGGTTAGTTACATATGTATACATGTGCCATGCTGGTGTGCTGCACCCATTAACTCGTCATTTAGCATTAGGTATATCTCCTAATGCTATCCCTCCCCCCTCCCCCCACCCACAACAGTCCCCAGAGTGTGATGTTCCCCTTCCTGTGTCCATGTGTTCTCACTGTTCAATTCCCACTTATGAGTGAGAATATGCGGTGTTTGGTTTTTTGTTCTTGCGATAGTTTACTGAGAATGATGATTTCCAATTTCATCCATGTCCCTACAAAGGACATGAACTCATCACTTTTTATGGCTGCATAGTATTCCATGGTGTATATGTGCCACATTTTCTTAATCCAGTCTATCATTGTTGGACATTTGGGTTGGTTCCAAGTCTTTGCTATTGTGAATAGTGCCACAATAAACATACGTGTGGATGTGTCTTTATAGCAGCATGATTTATAGTCCTTTGGGTATATACCCAGTAATGGGATGGCTGGGTCAAATGGTATTTCTAGTTCTAGATCCCTGAGGAATTGCCACACTGACTTCCACAATGGTTGAACTAGTTTACAGTCCCGCCAACAGTGTAAAACTGTTCCCACTTCTCCACATCCTCTCCAGCACCTGTTGTTTCCTGACTTTTTAATGATCACCATTCTAATTGGTGTGAGATGGTATCTCATTGTGGTTTTGATTTGCATTTCTCTGATGGCCAGTGATGGTGAGCATTTTTTCAAGCAAATGCTGAGAGATTTTGTCACCACCAGGCCTGCCCTAAAAGAGCTCCTGAAGGAAGCACTAAACATGGAAAGGAACAACCGGTACCAGCCACTGCAAAATCATGCCACATTGTAAAGACCATCGAGGCTAGGAAGAAACTGCATCAACTAACCAGCAAAATAACCAGCTAACATCATAATGACAGGATCAAATTCACATAACAATATTAACCTTAAATGTAAATGGGCTAAATGCTCCAATTAAAAGACACAGACTGGCAAATTGGATAAAGAGTCAAGACCCATCAGTGTGCTGTATTCAGGAAACCCATCTCATGTGCAGAGACACACATAGGCTCAAAATAAAGGGATGGAGGAAGTTCTACCAAGCAAATGGAAAACAAAAAAAGGCAGGTGTTGCAATCCTAGTCTCTGATAAAACAGACTTTAAACCAACAAAGATCAAAAGAGACAAAGAAGGCTATTACATAATGGTAAAGGGATCAATTCAACAAGAAGAGCTAACTATCCTAAATATATATGCACCCAATACAGAAGCAACCAGTTTCATAAAGCAAGTCCTTAGTGACCTACAGAGAGACTTAGACTCCCACACAATAATAATGGGAGACTTTAACACCCCACTGTCAACATTAGACAGATCAACGAGACAGAAAGTTAACAAGGATACCCAGGAATTGAACTCAGCTCTGCACCAAGCGGGCCTAATAGACATCTACAGAACTCTCCACCCCAAATCAACAGAATATACATTTTTTTCAGCACTGCACCACACCTATTCCAAAATTGACCACATAGTTGGAAGTAAAGCTCTCCTCAGCAAATGTAAAAGAACAGAAATTATAACAAACTGTCTCTCAGACCACAGTGCAATCAAACTAGAACTCAGGATTAAGAAACTCACTCAAAACCGCTCAACTACATGGAAACTGAACAACCTGCTCCTGAATGACTACTGGGTACACAACGAAATGAAGGCAGAAATAAAGATGTTATTTGAAAACTTTCTTAAAAATAATTATTAAAGTGGACTTACTAAGAATATTAGAAAAAAAATTAATGCTTGGTCTGCAATTGTGAAAGCCATGAATGAGTTTACCATCAGGAGTACAGGAAATAAAATGTTACCTCCCCTCTACTTAACTAAACATTTCCCCCACTTTATGTTATTGATGCCACAAGTTACATCTTTATATATTGTATACTTATTATTTATTTATTTATTTTTTTATTTTTTGAGATGGAGTCTTGCTCTGTCGCCCAGGCTGGAGTGCAGTGGTGCAATGTCGGCTCACTGCAACCTCCGCCTCCCGGGTTCACACCATTCTCCTGCCTCAGCCTCCTGAGTAGCTGGGACTACAGGCGCCCGCCACCACGCCCGGCTCGTTTTTTCTATTTTTAGCACAGACGGGGTTTCACCGTGTTAGCCAGGATAGTCTCGATCTCCTGACCTCATGATCCACCCGCCTCAGCCTCCCAAAGCGCTGGGATTACAGGTTTGAGCCACTGTGCCCGGCCTATTGTGTACTTATTAACATAGATTTATAATTCTTTATTTTTTAAAAAATTCTATAAACAAAAAGTGGAGTTGCCAATCAAAATTGAAATAATAGAGGTTTTTATATTTGTCCATATATTTAATTTGTAGTGTTTCAAGTTGCTGCCTAGTATGATTTTATTTCAACTTGAGGGAGTTCCTTTATCATTTCTTCTAGAGTAGTTCTAGTGGTAATAAACTCCCTTAGCTTTTGTTTACATGGAAATGCTTTAATTTATTTCTCATTTTTGAAAGATTATTTTGCAGGATATAATACTCTTGGTGAACAGTTTTTGTCTTTATTTCTGTTTCTTTCACCACTTTATCATTCCACTGCTTGCCAGCCTGCAAGGTTTCTCGTGGAGAAATCCATTAATAATCTTACTGAGGAAGTCTGAGATGTGATGAGTCACTTTTCTCTTACTATTTTCAAGTTTCTCTCTTTGTCTTTAACTTTTAACAGTTTGAATATAATGTGTCTTGGTGTGGGTCTCCTTGAATTTATTCTATAAGTAGTTGGTTAAGCTTCTTGTATTTGTATATGTCTTTGCTCAAATTTGGAATATTTTTGGCCATTATTTCTTCAAATAAACTACATATGCCTTTCTCTCTTCTCTTTCTGGAACCTATATAATGTATATATTGGCCCAATTGATGGCATTTCATATGTCCCTTGGTCTCTGCTTGCTTTTCTACAGTTTTTTTCCTCCATAGATTCAATAACTTCAAATGATTTGTCTTCAAGTTTGCTAATTTTGTATTATACCTATTCAAATCTGTTGTTGAACTCCTGTAGTTAACATTTGAATTCAGTTATTGTATTTTGTAGGTCCAAAATTGCTGTTTGGTAATTTTTTAATAATTTATATTTCTTTTTTTTACATTCACATTTTGTCACATATCATTATCCAGATTTACTTTAGTTCTTTATATTTCTCTTCAGCCCTTTTAGTATATTCAGGACAGTTGTTTTAATTTTTTAATGTATTTGTCTAGTAAATCTGAATCCTATGTTTCTTCAGGGTGGGTTTCTGGAGAGTTATTTTCTTACTTTGAATGGACTTGTTCCCCTGATTCTTCATATGACTTGTGATCTTTTATAGAAAATTGGGCATTCGTAAAATCAGCCACTTCTCCCAGTCTTTGTAGATTGACTCCATGAAGGGAAAGTCCTTCACTAATTGACTCAACATGAAAGCTTAAGTTCTTTTAGTTCTTTCTGGGCATGCACATTTCCTGAGCATGTGTGTATGCTGTTTACTCAATTTATCCATACACATGGCTGTTTTTAAACGTCTAACTTTCCCAAGAATCTAACCTCTGCTTCTCTCAAGGCGTTGGATTTTCTGTGTAGTTTTCTGCTTGTAATCTCTTGCTGTCAGACATCCCCATAGGTCTCCAATTCCTCTGCACTTTTTACATGCTACAGCACCAGCCACTGCTTTCTGTCACCTTCAACATGATATCCAAACCATGCCTCCATTCCTGCATTAGTTCCAAGTCAGGTGAGACTGAAATCAGTTCCTTGGGTAGCCCCCAGACAAGCCAAACATTGCCAGTTAATTTTACTCATTCTCTTCCATCATGAAGGAGGAACTGGCAACTAGGTAGCTTCCTCCTGACTGTATCAAGCCACATTGCATTGCAAAAAGAATGTGGTAGGGTGAACAAAAACACGACACAATTTCCCACTGTTTTGAATGTGTGTGTGTGGTGTGTGTGTGTGTATTGTGTGTGTGTTGTGCGTGTGTGTTGTGTATGTTTTGTGTGTGTGCACGTGTGTTGTGTGTGTGTGCTGTGTGTGCATGTGTGTGTGTTGTGTGTGTGTGTGTGTTCTCTCTCTTTATTAGGTCTTCACTTAGCTGCTATAAACCCTTGCCTGGTTTCTAGAGCTCCCACAAAGCTATTCTAGTTAGTCTGTTGTTGTCTACTTGACATTAAAAAAAATTATTAAATTAATTTCATTAAATTTGTTGAAAAAGAAATAAAGGGTACAATAAGATAATATGATATATATTAGGATTGAGGGGCTTGTCAGAAACCATACCTGACAATTTCAAATGTACCTTTGAAAAACCTAAAATATCCTTAAATTTGTATATTTAAATGTTGTTTATAAGATTTAAAAAAAATCTTGTTTTTACTACTTAATGTGAAATTCTGGTCCCATTGTTAACATGGCTTATTTTCAGTTGTCTGGCATTTTTACTCCATGATAGCTTCTTTATGTAGGAACAAGGACCTAGCACTTCCTAGTGTACCATATTATTAATGTCTCTCTCTTAGTACAAATTAGTTTTGCAAGTATATGTGATCTTGGGAAATGAAAGACCAGTCTCCAAATTAGAGAAGGATAGATACAACTGGCTAACTGGTTTCCATTTTTGTTGAGAGACTATCAATAGTGAAGTAAAATTAAAAATGCAAATTCTCTTGGATTGAGAAAAGGTAGAATAATTAGAACTTCCTATTTTTTACAAACTTCAAGAAAAATGAAGGGGTATATTTCTCTGTACTGCTTATGTGGAATGTGAGTGTAAACTGTTGCAGCCATGAAAATACTTACCACAAAAGAGCTTAGACAATTTAATAGAAATGGCCTGAATCGCAATGGAAAGCAAAATTAATGTTCATATTTGTGATAGTATGTGATGAGTCTCTACTCACTGAAGATGACTTTCCTGTGAAACATTTTGCAATAAGAGAAAATAAGCCTTTGACTCATGTATTCATTAATCTATTTACTCACTCAATAAATAGTTACTGAGGTCCTGCTGTGAGATAGGCCCTGTGTATAACATGTGGAAATTAATGGTATTTATTCTGTTCTGAATATCTTCTTACTACATATGGAAGAGATAGAGATATTTCAATTAACCATACAGTTAAATGCAAAATTATAACTGTGGTATGCAAAAGAAAGAAAAACACGCCAAATTGAGAAAGTGTAGAATAGGAGGAACTTCTCTAAACTGTGAGATCAAAGAAAAATTACCTGAGAAAGCAATATTTGAGATCTAATCTGAAGAAAAAAATATATAATTGATGTAGTAAGGGCTAGGCAAACAATTTTGGGAGAAGGGAATACTACAGTCAAGTACTATTAGATAGAAAACAAAATAGCACATCAAAAGATTATCAAAGTATAGGGTAACTGGAGGACATATGATAGGGGGTTGGAGGATGCTACAATAAGGTCAGATTGTTCAGGTTGTTGTGTGATACCTTAAGAATTATAAATGTGTCATCTATCTTAAGGCACATGATTAAAGGGTTTTAAACTGGGGAGGAAGATGAATATGAAGCTAAAAATGTACCAATTATAAAGAGGCTGCCAATTATTTAGATAGGAGCATTGGAAGAATATTGGAAGATAGGAGGAGCATTGGAGGAACTGGAAGGAATGGGTTTTCCCTTTTTCCATTTGGGGAACAGGAGCTGAGATAACACATTCATCAAATTTTGGTTTCCTTTTGAGCAGCTAAGAAAACTGCATTTTCCAGCACATTAGGATCTAGGCATTGCCACTCCTGGCCAACAGAATGTGAGTAGATAAGCCATTTCTATTTCTAGTGCCTATAAGGTCCTTCGGGATCTCCCACCCTAATTTTTTTCCACTCACTGAAGCCTAGATCTTCAAAATTGCTGAGTAAGTCACATTTTGGAAGGAGACTGAATCCCTAAGACATCACTTGGAGAATAGCTACTCAATCTTCACCCAACTTCACCTGGGTCATGAATAGGCATTTACAATGTAAAATGACTGATATGCATAGGTGTTCAGGTTACCTCACCATAGACATAGAAAGCATTTGAGACATTCTTGTCCTACATGCATAGAATGTGCATCTAAATGGAGAAATTAAGACAAAAATAATATTTGGGAACTGTCAGTAGGTAAGTGATAATTAAAATTATCAGTCCAGATGGAATATTCTGATAAGGGAATATAAACTGAAAAGACAGGTAGATATGTTTAATACTGTTGAAAACTATTGGAAAGCAAGTGAATTAGAGTCCAAAAGATCTGCATTAGATTAAAGGTCAAGGGGGAGATGACCTTTGAAAAGCTATTATTACATGGTTATTTGGATAAAAGCAGGTTGAACAACACTGAGGAATGGAAGGTGATAAATTGGAGACAGAATAAATAATATTCAAATAATTCTGACTTTGAAAAAGAAGAGAGAGTATATTCTGTTTGTCAGATAGGAAGACAACTAAGTATATTTCAATATTAAATATTTAAAGTAAATATAAATAATATAGAAGGGATAGTCAATCTTTAAGGGTCCTGAAAAATAAAGTTAGGAGATGCAAAGATCTTGTGAAGAGATTGACTTTGGATAGGTGGAAGGGTAACTCCATTATTGTAACCAGAAGGAAAGAGAAAAATGGGCAAAAATGTGAATCTACTCCTAGACTGGTTAGCAGAAAATCTAAGATGTATTTTCCTTCTTCTTTGTGATGTAGTAGGTACAAACGTTATTTGCTGAGAGGGAGTAAGGGGAGAAATATGACTGAGGAGACCGAAGAGTCAGAGAAATGATTAATCGACTGGAGAGGCATGACATACATTCAGAGGAAATAAAAATATTAACATAACCTCACCTAGAAATTTTCCTCTTAAGAACGAATTCTAGGGAAATAATAAATGCATACGAAATTTATCCACAATTGTGTTTTTATTATAGTGTTATATATAAGTGCATAATATTACATAAATAATGAAAAAGGGGAGAGTGATTCAATGAATTATAATATATTTGAAGTATAGATCATTATATTTTCATTAAAATGTGTAAGAATATTTTAAAACCTAGGAAAATGTGCTTTTATTAACAAATGAAAGTTAAGTATTGAAATCGTGTATTGGTGTGTGTATGTGTTCCAGTGGAGAATATAAGACTAAAATGTAATTACTAAAGTTTTAACAATGAATATATTTTAGTGGTGAGATAATGGTCATTTATTTGTTTTTTTACATACACTTTTATATTTCAAAAATTTACAATAAGCAGGAACTATACAAGTCATAAAAATCTATCTCGTATTTTTTTCTTTTAAATATCATTTTGATATAATTTCAGACTTGTAGAAAAATAGTTAGAATAGCACAAATAATTATCTTACTGTTTACTCATTTTCCAAGAGCTAACAGTTTACACCATTTTCTTTTTTCTTCATAACATGTACGTATTTTTTCAATACATATTCTCTTCACCCCAAAACACTTTATATTTTCTAAAATAGAAATTTCATGATTAGGGGAAAATAATTAAAATCAAAATTTAATACTGCTATAATGCTATTATATATAGACACAATTTTTGCTAGTTGTTCAATGTTTTTTATAAAAATATTGCATCTTTATTTGTTGCATTTAGCTGTAAAGACTTTTTACTTTTCTATAATCTAACAGTCCTCCAAGTCCTTAACAGCTCTTTTTATATTTCATTTATTTGATAATTTTTGAGAGTTCTGACAAATTATTTCATAAAATGTCCTCAGTTTGAAAGTGGTTCATTGTTTCATCATAATAAAACTATCATTAGGTGTTTTTGGCAAGGATGCTGCAGAAGTGATATTGTGCCTCTCTTAGTGCATTGTATTAGGAAACACATGATATTGGCTTGACTGATTTTGGCAGTGTCTGTCAGACTTCTTTGCTCTGAAGTTTCTGCTTTTTATTTTTTATTATAAACATCTTGTGGGAAGAGGCTTTGAGACCATGAAATATCCTGTTAGTGGTTAAACTTCCACCCATTAGAATGATCCACTGATGATTCTTGACTCAAGCAATTATTACCATGATGGTGGCCAAATAGTGATTTTCAAATTCCATTTCTTCTTCTACATTTACTAATTGCCTTTCTCCTATAAGGAAGAATTTTATTATCTTATGTATTTATGTACGTATATATAAATGTATATATATGTCAGTATTAGACTAATGAATTATTTTATTCAATAGATTATGATTCATTACTACCATTACTTATTTTATGATGAGTTTCTCCCATACTAGACCAGTAAAAGTCATTTAAATAGGTTCTTTTGTCCTTCTAATAAGTTCCCATCATTTTTTAAGCAATCTTCTACCTTCTGGAACAAGAAGACATTTGAGACTCATATACACTTCCCATACACAGTCTGGAATTTGCTATTTCTCAAAAAGATCAGTTGTTCCCTTTAGTGGAGAATATTAGAAAACTAAAATCTGGGTGCTGCATGTGTTCATTGATACAGGGATTTCATTGCTTCTAGGCCCTCTAAACTGACAGAATTAGAAAATCTACCATCTATCTTTCTTCTCTCTCTCTCTCTCTCTCTCTCTCTGTGTCTCTCTCTATCTATCCATCTACTCATCTATCATCTATCTTCTATCCTAAGTCTGAGCTAATATTGATATGTTCAACTTCACTCCAATGTCACAGAATTCATTTTTTTTTCACCCTACCTGTTTATATGTTTGTAATTCCCTTCTCTGATGGAGAGAGCTTTATTTCCTTCCTACCCTGGATACGGGGCAGGGGAAAACAGGGGCAGGGATTCTGGCCAAGTAACTGCCAGGGGTCTGAGCCCGAGCCACTTGTTGCTCACTCCCCTGGTATTTCACCTTCTTGTTTTGTACTTTTTGAGAACTTCTCAAGCAGAAGAAACGTGGCTTCCATTATTGTAAATAATATATTTTCTCATATGAACTTCATTTGTATTCAAATATTTTAATTTGCTGAGATGATGGATAATTCCAGGATGGCGTGAGAGAGGCAGTTCTTGGAATTAGCCTTGCACATGAAGAAAAAAAGTTCTTTACTTACTAAGTACATTGTTTGGGCAAGGTCAAGGGCAGGTGTTAGCAGAGTTATCTCATGTTCAGTTTAAATTATCTGGATTGAGTGGAGTTGGTTGGGCTAAGGCATACCTAATTTATTGTATTTGCCAATTTAATCTCCTCTACTGGATTGATAAATGTATAAGCACTTCTCAAGGTTTTCTGTTTAAAGATATTCTTCCCTTCCTGCCATATATGTACAAATGGTACATATACGTACAAATGTACATATATGTACATTTTCCATCCTGATGGCTCAAATTTCTGTCTTACAGTTCCCACATTTGGATCCCTAATTCAGACTTGCTTTCTTAGTTCCATACTTCAAAATTCTACTCAATACATCTATCTAGACTTTTCGTATAGGTAATCAAAGTCTCAATGCTGAAAAGTCAACTCATGATCTTCATCTCTAACCTTATTTTCTCTAGCTATCTGTGTTCTATCCACCATAGTCACACAAGCCAACAAGTAGATTAGATGCTTTTCACTCATCTCTTGTTTATTCTTATATTCCATCAATGAATATTTACTGCTTTTTTGTTTAATATGTTTTAATTCTATCAATTTATTTCCATCTCCTCTGTAACATGCTAGCCTAGAATAAGATTTTTTCTCTTGCCTTACAGAAATATTCTCTTGTCTGGTCTTGTGACATCAACCTTTCAATTTGTATTTACCTCCATAAACAAGTATATGTCTATAAAATATAAATGTGTTTAAAATAATAACTTAAATTTCAATAAGTACCCTTAAAGTCAAGAAGATCATGTACAACTTTGCGTCTACTTATTTGGTATAACCTAGAGTCAGCCACAAGCACCACCATCTCCTTTCTGTGATTCAGCAGCATATTAGCACCCTCTCATTATACCCTCACCTTCTCCGCAGCACTTACCAAAGTTGTAATCAGATATCTGTGAAATAAGTGCCATGTTTAAATCCACCACACAAAAAAATGTTCTATGAGGAACAGGACAAACCTGTCTTACTTGCCTTTCTAATTCAAGCATCTACTGAAGTACTTGGCACATTACCTAATTGCCCAATATTAGTTGATTGTTAAAACTAAGCCTTTATGGGTTGGGGACATTTAGATAAATATAGAGAAAGGTTTCCAAGCAGGAGATGAAGCATAAGAAAAACTGTTGTGATAAAAAAAATTAACATTCATCTTCTTGTCAAAAGAATATAGTTGCGTATGGAAAGTGCACCAAAGACAAAGTTTAAGGGAAGTTTTCCTTAGAGCCAATATGGAATTTTCCTGAAGGATTCATTTTAAAAGGCATATATCAGCAATGGGATTTGGCATAAATACTCCTGTGCATTTGCACTTTCCTATGCTATCTTGCTTGGCACCAACAGCCCATTGTTGAGCTATACATTCACAATACAAAGTCTTTCTTCTTTCAAGTTACAGAATAAGCCCTATCATGCAATCTGTGATCTTCATTTTCAGAAAACTTAGAGTAACTCAGGTTTCTATTCAATGATTTACTCTTAAATGTAATTTATGCCAAATTAGATTATACTTTTGTGAGGCTCACTTTGTTTTGTTTGCTTAATTTAGTTTGTGAGTTAAGCAGTCTTAAAAAAAGTTGACATTGATATTAAGACTTTTCTCCTTTTCTCTCTTATGCATTCTCACAAGCACCTGTGCTTACCTTTAGCATAGCCCTCATCACAGTGACTGTCACACTTTATTCACTTGTCCATACCTCCCTTGACTGTGCTGCCTTTAAGAATAGACTTTATTTCTCTGTTCTTTTTATCTAGCATCCAATGTGGTATCTTGCTCATAATAGATGTTCAGGAAATGCTTATAGAAAGGATGGACAAATCAATGAATGACTCTTGTATAGCAAATAATTCTGACTGATTTTATCAAGGGCATAACTGGAGCTGTGTGACACAAAAAGAGAGAAAATATAAAAGCCCGTGATAAGATATATCAAACAATAGATTAAAAGACTTTAGTTTCTCATTCACGTTGCTTAATTGGAGGTTACATGATATTACGGTACATTAAAGGGAACATAAAATTGTGCCACAGAAATTAAAATTCAGCGTTGTCACCTTCTTTCTCTGGGCTAAGCACTGAAATTTTCTGAGCCTATGCTCACTCATTTACATAACACATTAGAAACGATAATATATACCTTGTGGGTTTATTTACCTTGTCAAGGTCAAACAGGAGTGAAGGTGGTACATCATGACATAATATACAAATAATAGTGTTTTAATTTAATAATTTATTTCTAATGAATATTGGCTATTCAAGTAACTGATTAAATTCATTATAAAATACACAATGAATTAAGTCCTCTTTGAAAGAGCAATTCAAGAGTAAAGAATCTCTAATGTAATTGCTGTAAATGTGAAATGAGAACGTGTTTAGCGTCACCCTGAAAGGTCAGAGGTCTGACTCAGAAAAACAGCAGCACCCTCACTTCATCTCATGAAATGACAGCAATCTAAACACTGTCCATTTATGGGGGGATGGGAGAAAATGGGAGGACACTAAAAACAAATGTTCTATGAACATAAAATTCTAGTTCTGAATTTAACCAAACACAAGATCTACTACATGTCACTTAAATTCTCTGTTTCATCTTTACCTATAACAGTTTCATTGAATTATGAACCATTTTCCAGGAATGCAGAGAACTTAGATCAGAATTTATTCAGTATGAGCAAACTTCAGAAGCCAATAGGTGGCACATAAATCCAAAAACGTGGTGGTCATACCTGCAGCAGGTGTAGCACATTCTTCCAGGAAAAGGTTTTGACATTTGAATAGATGACAGAAAGTCAAGGCCCAGAAGCAATTTGGGAATTACTCTTAAATTCCTGGTGAGACTAAACAAAATGAAAATTCTTTCACATCTATCCATGCATGTGACTTTTTATACAAAACTTCATAACAAATGTTTGAAAATGGGTAGCTCCCATCATAAAACAGTGCATATTATGAATGCAGCCATGCAGAATATGTGTGTGAAATATAGGCTATCCTAGGATACGGTGCCCAATCAATGAAAGCATGCCACATACATTCTCATTTATTCCACAATAACCCATAAGGCTGGCATTATAATTATTGCATGAATGTCTAGAATTAGGAAAGTGGGGATTAGAAAAGAATCTCTGGGTTCTTTCCTCAAAGCCACTGAACTTCTTACAACTAAATAGCAGAACTGAGATAAAAAGCCAATTTTCTTGACTCTAGGACTGAGGGGATGTGATGATACATAAATTGTTTTGTTTTTCTACTTTCCTAAATATATTAAATACTGTAATATTTTCAGTATAAATTGAAAAAAAAACACAAGAGTTATCCACTTATTTCAAAATGCCTCTATAACTAAAATTAATTTTGGAATTCCTGTTTACAACTGCATTCAGAATCAGTAGCATGCCTGCTTAAACAGATAAATATTATGAAAGAGTTTGATATGAGAAATAGATGACATTTAGAAAGACTAGAGAAAAAGACCAGTTACAAAGTTGATGAAACATATTTTATAAAAATGAAATGTGACTATAAAGTAATAACTGTTTTCGTTTGTTTGTGTTTGTATTCCTGCTGCTGGCATACTGGCTCTAAAATCCTGTTAAAAGTGGGGCTCGATATTTGAAAATGTTTCAAATATATGAACAAATGCATTTTCCCAAAGTAACATTTTTTAAAGGAAAAATATGTAAATGTGTAATTAATGACTTTTTTTCTTTTTTGGTGAAGGGGGCGTGGAGTCTGCACAATGACAGAACTTGGGTTTTTACTCAAAATGTCTTAATTCAAATTCTGACTCATCTAACTTCTACCTTGAGCTCCAGTTTCATCTGTAAAATGGAATAAATAATACTTGCCAATAAGCTGTAGTAGGACTTAATGACGGTGCATGTAAATCATGAAGCACAGAGCCACACCTAAAACACCAACAAATATTTTTCATATTTTTAAAAGTCTCATTACAACGTTATAAAGGAAAGAATACTATATTGTCCTTGAAAGGTGACACCACTGCAGAAACAATTAGTAAATTACATTTAACAAAACTTGGAAATCATTTAATATTATATTTGTATTAAAAAATACAACATTAGTCAACTTCTAAGACAGAAGTGATTTATATACTATTTTTAATTATCTCTTTGGTCAGCTTGGGAGCATAACAGACAGAAGGTACCAAAACTGGTGTGGCTAAATAATCACTGCAGCTGTAGAGTAGGCATTGATACTGAATGAGTGATTCCTCCCACTTTAATCTTTTATGATTTTAGCTATTTTAGGGCCCACATCTTTTCACATAAATTTTAGAAAAAACTTGACAATCTCAAACAACTGGGGCTCCCACTGGTCCTTGCTGGCAGCTGAGGCCTCCTTCCTGGAGGGCAGGAGTCATTTCCATATTTGAGGTGCCTGCTGCTGCTAGGCAAGGAAGGGGAGTCTCCAGTCTGCAGGGGACAAATAATATTTAGTGAGCTAGGGGCTTGCTTATTTTGGTAGGATCTTCCCTGCCTGTGTGGAATAGAGAACACTTCATGAAATGGATTTTGTGTGTGTGTGTGTGTGTGTGTGTGTGTGTGTGTGTGTGTGTGTGGCAAAATCCTTCTCCTATTGTTCCCTGACCTTCTGTCTCTGTGTAGAGGAGTGGAATCTTAGGCCTGGTGGAGAAAGATGTGACGGCTTTTTTAACGTGTAAGTTTGACTCTGCTACATATCCTGTTATTCAGTCAAACAATAATGTAAGTGCTGCTTTGAATGGATTATGCGGATGTAATGAAAGCCCCAATTAGCTGCCTTTAAGTCATGGTGATTATCCTGGATAACTGCATGGCTCGGACTGAATCTGCTGAAAGGTGCCAAGGCAAGACTGTGGCTTCCCTGGGAGGGGGAAGAGATTCCACCTGTGGATAGCAGCCTGCTCCATCCCCATGGGGTTCCAGTCCTGCTACTGAGCTTCTCTTCCTGACTGTGTGGATGACAGCTTCAACTTGTGCTTGTGGCTTTGAGCTTGCCTGTGACCCTCCCTTCCTGACTACCTGTCTGACTTTTCTGCTCCCCTAGTTGAACCCTGACTGATATAATCAGTGACCCTTTAATTGAGCATTTCAAGCCAAAATAAATCTTATCGTAATCAAACATCTGTCGAATGGCTTCAAAAGAAACCTATTCCAATTAAATAAATAAAAAGCAAGTGATAAACAATGGATTTAATGACTACATTCCTGTCAACTTAGCTTACAAAACCACTCAATAATCAAACTGTTATTTTGGTGCAAATTTAGCTCATTACACCATCAATCTGATTGGAACTGTGATAGGCGGGTAGCCATTAGAAATCAGCAAAATTGTTACATTGATGAATTTGTTATCATCCTGTGCCATAGTCCAGCGTTGATGCTTTTCTTTTAAATCCAAGTATCCACTCAGTCAATGAATAACTGGCCTCCCACTGTGGGTCTGTGCTTCAGTAAATTCTTCCCAGAAAATAGAAACTACAAAATAGATTTCTGGCTTCATGGAGATTTTCTTCTAATGGTAGAGGACTTAAAAAGTGCACATATACAATGGCAAATGATTTTATTCCCTAAATAAAAACATTCATTGAGTATCTGCTCTGCAGCACAAATGCCATCCTAAATGTAGGCATATAATGGGAGAGGTAGAAATAAAATTTATCATGTGTATCCACAGTTAATTACTGTTTTTAGCAGCTCAGTAATTTACTAGATCACTCATTCATTCAACAAACTATTATCTCTCCCAGAACAATATTTGCATTGCTATTGCACCTGGGGTTTTGTGTAGTATACAGTGAAAAGGACAATTCTGGGTTTCCAATAGCACAGGAGTTTTAATTAGCAACATGATTTCCAGTGGAGTCGTGAAAAATGTGTTTGCATCAGGCCTAACTAAAAAGAAAATATAGATCAAGTTAATTTAGAAATTGTTCTCCAACTGCAACATTTTGTAATATTCTTCTATTTCAGCATGTTTCTACCCCTTCCCCTAAACCCTCTCACCATGATCAAACAATTTACATCATATGGTATTTGACAAAGATATTAGCAGACACAGGAGCATCAACATCGCCAATGAAATTTTGACTTCAGCTTACAGCAAAGATCTTATATTACTATTTTCCTTTGGGCTCTCAGTATACCCACCAGTATCCATTCTTGAATGGTAAAAAATCTCCATATAACTCTGGACTATACTTAATAAGCACTTTTAGACAAGTGAAAAAATAACACAAATTCACCTAATGACCTGTGGGATACAGTGGGCAAAACATCAGGAGAATATGCCAATTTGCCTTGATGGGCCCTGGAAGGGAAGAGCACCATAAGAGTCCATAATCTTAGAGAATGTAATTGGGGAAATGTTGACCAGAGGACACTGGGCTTCACACATGGGCACATACTTGGAGAGACCAATATAGTTTCCTTAAGATGAAGCCATGTTAATATTTACAAAGCACCTTTTTAAAGCCAAACATTGATCTGGTAGACTAATGAGACAATTACTACCCTCAAGAATCTGGCAGGATAATATGGAAAATGAGAATCTAAATTAAGTAATTCCAAAACCACACATATGTTATGATAGGTATGTGCTGAGTGGCAGTGTAGAGTGTACCTATATACCTTGAGAGGAGAGGCTCATGCGACTTGCCCAGAGAAGGAGCTGTCAGAGGTATGTTTTAAAGGGTGAGCAGGATTTTGTTGGGAGGACAGTTCAGGCAGAGGAAATGGCATGGATGAATTCACAGAGGTGGAAAGGAGAATGATGACATCACAATAATTTTAGAAGTCAACAGATACCATAAAAATAGAAGTCTTTTTCCTTTAAAATCTAACATATTTAAGAACCAACCAGCCCCTTATTGTAGTGTTTTGTCATAACATAATTTTAGCCATGGAACTTGATCAAATTGTGTTATGAGTCATTTGACAAGTAAGCTTAATTATTTGTTAAGTAAATTTAGCAATTTATGATGCCCTTCATAAACATACCTCTGGCAGCCCAACACACATAAATAAGTAAGCAAGAATAAATATGTCTACATTTATTTTGTTCACCTGTAAGAAATTTTTTAAAGTTCATAAAGTATTGATTAGGTAGTATTTATAAATAAACAGTGTAAATATGAAATAATGATTGACCTTCAAATGGAATATTTATTTTTTATAAAAAGATAAGGACATTTGATACTTAATATTTCAAAAATGTCTAATATATAGTTAATAACTAAAATTAATATATAATAAGTAATATATAATTAACAAGTAAAATTATATAATATATAATTGATATATAACTAATAAAATTTGAAAGCATTAAATTAGAATAACAAAAACAATGACTTAATTTTCAATGACGAAGTATTGATTTGAGAGAAATAAATATAAAACTATGTCCTTGAAAATGTATTTAAGAGATATACATGCTCATATGTTGTTGACATAAAAAATTGATTGGTAAATTCCTAATGAAAACAAAATTCATATGTGTCAAGAACAATTAAAAAGAGAATAACTGCTAGCATGCAATCTTACTTCTGGGAAACTATCCTAAATAAATAATAATTAAAAATGCAAGTCAATTGAATACCCTTTATTTCCTTCTCCTGCCTAATTGCCCTGGCCAGAACTTCCAACACTATGTTGAATAGGAGTGGTGAGAGAGGGCATCCCTGTCTTGTGCCAGTTTTCAAAGGGAATGCTTCCAGTTTTTGCCCATTCAGTATGATATTGGCTGTGGGTTTGTCATAGATAGCTCTTATTATTTTGAGATACATCCCATCAATACCTAATTTATTGAGAGTTTTTAGCATGAAGGGTTGTTGAATTTTGTCAAAGGCCTTTTCTGCATCTATTGAGATAATCATGTGGTTTTTGTCTTTGGTTCTGTTTATATGCTGGATTACATTTATTGATTTGCATATATTGAACCAGCCTTGCATCCCAGGGATGAAGCCCACTTGATCATGGTGGATAAGGCTTTAAAAAAAAAAAAATACAAGTCAAGTGATCCATAGTATCTTGACAGTTTTTAAAAGTAAAGATTTGCTATAATTTAAAAGTCTAACAATAGCTATTTGGTTAACTAAATTATTAGGCGGTCATAGAATAAACTAAAATAGGAGTATCAAATCATGTTATTATTTTTAGCTAATTTTTATTGACTACTATGTACCATAAGTTGTCATAAACATATGATGATTTTTATGTAATTATTTATATATTTTATTATTTGAGCATCTCAATAATCCTATAAGGAATGTATTACTCAAGCTACTATTTTAAAATGAGAAAAATGAAATCAATTTAATTAGAATTTTGTCTAAATCAGATAAAATGTACATGTGAAAGACTCACACTCAAAATCACATTCCTTGTTCCCATGTAGTCTACTATAACAAGAACTTGTTATAGTATAGAGGAAGTATTTAGCTTTAATAAATAGGAAAAATGGCTTTAAACCAGAATTATCATAATTATACAGTACATATATGGAGTATAGAGAAACTCTATAAGGAAATAACCTTAAATGTTAACACATTGTTTTTGATGATAGGATTAAGAATATTTTTTCTCCCTACCTTTTCCCAACACTAAAAAGGTGTTAATTTGTTTTAGTGGGAGAACATTTGAAAGAATTTCTGTGAACTCTTGAAACTGTACAATGTCTTCTACACATTCCAAATAGGTGCTTTGGTTCATGCTGAGCCATTAAGACCAAGGGATACATTTTCCGTTTTCTACTCTATCTTTCTGAGATTTTGAAGCATTCTGCCCTCCATTTGCCCCAATATTTCTTTCTTTTCTTATTGCCAATCACTAACGTAAAGACCCAGGCTCTGCCCTTGTCAAAGACACTCATCTCTGAGCATCTTTGGGCAGCCAAGGGTCTTTTGCCTCTTCAGTGAGTGAAAAGATTAATTCGTTTTCAGAATTCTGGATCAAAATAGGAGCTCCGGCTCAAAATAGGAGATTCTTTCCACTTGCGAGATCAAACCCCACATTCCTCCTCCTTTCATTCTATTATGACTGAAGCCTTTCAAGGTCATGGGATTAAACATGGCTGGAGAAAAGTTGATAGTGTCACAGAATGGAAAATGTATTATGTTTTTAATCATGTGTGGAACAGGAAAGGATTGCCTTGCTGTTGATGTGTGTATATTTGTTTGTGTCTTTTTCCCCTTTGCAACAAGGCCATCTCCAGAAAGCAATGGAAGTTAGATGAAATGGATTTTACTTGAGAAAACCATACTAGAAATAAACAATTTTTTTTTTACTATGGAAAGGATTTATTTCATTTGCCTTCAGAATCTAAAACTTCTAAAAGATATATATATATATGTGTGTGTGTGTGTGTGTGTGCGCGCGTATGTGTATGTACATATGTGTTTATATAGATGCAGATATAGAAATAAAAATAGTAATAGATGAAGATACATGTGTATATATTAGGGGAACACACACACACACACACACACACACACACACACACACACACGGACCTAAACACATAGCTATCTTTTAAATGAGTAATGTATAATGCACTTGTGCAATTAAATTTGTGAGTCTCAGTGGGAAATGAGTAGCATCTTGAATGGCAGCCTTCCCTGAATCTAGAAGACAATTGTGAACTTGGGAGTAATTAACTTGCTGTAGAAGTCACTTTAGGATCAGGACTACCAAAAAGAGTGTAGGCCCCACAGGGTCAGCAATGCTGACAGGGTGAGTGGTTACATGGTATTCCCAGAGAAAGCCTATATCCAGGCTAGGGCACCCAACTTTCATAAGGATGACCTTGACCTGGGTTATACTTTTACAAAAGTATAAGAGACCACGTGGACATGTATATGGGGTAAGTGAACAGTCACTAGTGGAGCAAGACTAGAGAGGTCATTCTGAATGTCACGTGCAGCCTGAGACCACGGAGATCTTCCCATTGACTTTGGACTTCCCATCTGTTCAATAATCTTAGACATTGACAATATATTTGATACTATGTAGTGCAGTGGTTTTCAAACCATGACGCATAGAATTGCAGGGACTCTGTAAAGTACATCAGCAGCTGGAGCTAATTACGCAGGAGGCAGAAAACCCCAATAGAAGGTGGCCACCTTCTATGCAGGCCCCTACACTTGCTTGCACACACCCAGACTTAGTAAAAACGTGATTCATTTTATGTGTTATAAAGGCTAGGATTTTTTTCTCCAAAAATATGATCTTTCATATTTTCCTTAATCACAAAACTATAGATGTTTATTTTAATAATTTAAGCCATATAAAAATATATAAAGAAAAACAGTAGTCCTTTCCTTAATAAGTTTATCCCTGAGGAAACCAGTGTCAATAGTCTGGGGTGTGTCCACTTATACAAATATGTACACATATAATTTTCTGTTTTCTGTCTTTTTCTTTAGATCAGAAATTGAGTCTCATTATTTGTATTACTTTGCAATTTACTTCTTTTATTTATTAATATATCAGATATTTTTCAGATGTATAGAAATGTATTTCAATTGTTCTTTTCTTTTACTCCAATAAATTTTTAAAACTACAATACATTGTTATTAACTATAGTCACCATGTGTACGTAAGCTATTAAACTTATGTCTCCTATTTAACTGCAATTGTGTATGCTTTGACTATCTCTGGGATCTCACCCCACCACCATTCTACTCTTTGTTTCTATGAGAAATTATTATTTTAATTGAATGCTTTATTTTGATAGAATTGTCAATTCACATGCAGGTAGAAAAATAATGTAAGTATCCCATTAGCACTTTATCCTGTTTTCTCAATGTTAACATCTTGCAAAACTATAGTATACCATCATGCTCCCAATGGTAACGTTGACAGATTCAACAAACAGAATATTTTCATCGCCACAAGGATTCCTCATGTTGCTCTTCTATATCTGCATCACTTCCTTCTTGCTTAAACATGCCACTCAATCTTCTAGTAACCACTAATCTTCTCCATTTCTATAATTTTGCCATTTTAAGAACATTATACAAGTGGAATAATATAGTTTGTAACCTTTTTGGCTTTTTTTAAAAAACTCAGCGTAATTCTCTTGAGAATCCTGCAGGTTGTTGCTTGTATTAGTAGCTCACTTCCTTTTATTTCTGAGTAATATTCCTTGTTATGAACATACCCATTTGTTAGCCATTTACCTATTAAAGGTATCAGTGTTGTTTCCCATTTTTTGCTAATGTGAATAAAGATTCTATAAACAGTTTTTTTGTGTGAGTGTAAGTTTTTATTTCTCTGGTAATAATTCCCAAGAATACAACTGTTGGATTTTATGAAGCTGCATGTTGATTTTTGTAAGATACTGTCAAACTGCCTTTTAGGGTTGCTCTGCCATTTCACATTTTCACCAGCAATAGATGAAGCATAAGTTATCCCTGGATGCTTGGTGCTGCCATTAATTTTCAACTTAACCATTCTTATAGGTGTGTCATGATATCTCATTGTGGTTTTAATCAGTTCTTTTTTTTTCCCCTGATGACTGATGATCATTCCATGGGATTATTTTCCACCTATATATTCTCTTTGGTGAAGTGACTCTTCATGTCTTTTTTGTATTTTCTAATTTGATTGCTTTTTAATGTTGAATTTTGTGAGTTATTGATTCTACACACTAGTCTTTTATTAGATAAGCACTATTGTACTTTTTTTTTTTGAGATGGAGTCTTGCTCTGTCTCCCAGGCTGGAGTGCAGTGAAGCCATCTCAGCTTACCACAACCTCTGCCTCCCAGGTTCAAGCGATTCTCCTGTCTCAGCCTCTCAAATAGCTGGGATTACAGGTGTGCATCCCCACACCCGGCTAATTTTTGTATTTTTAGTAGAGACAGGGTTTCACCATGTTGGCTAGGTTGGTCTTGAACTCCTGACCTTGTGATTCACCCGACTCAACTTCCCAAAGTGCTGGGATTAGCCATTGTGCCTGGCATAAGCCACTGCGTCTGGCCACACTATTGTATTCTAGTCTGTAGGTTTACTTCATCCCTTTAACAGGAACTTGCATAACACAAAAAAATTTTTAATTTTAATAAAGTCCAATTTATCAATTTCTCTTTTTATGGTCACACTTTTGGTGTGAAGTCTGAGAACTTTTTACCTAATGCTAAATTTCAAAAACTTTCTTCTATGTTCTTTCCTAAAAGTGTTATAGTTTTATGATTTATGGTTAAGTCCATGATCAATTTTGAGTTAATGTTTGTATAAGCTATGAAACTTATGCTATGACTACCGTTGTGTCCTCATATTCCTCCCAGTGATATTTTTTTTCCCAATCCACTGGGTTCATTGACTGAGGTAAGCCCCCGTGGACATTTAGTGACAATCTCAGATACTACTTATCCTAACTAATAGGAGTATTTTAATCACATTTGGGAAGAAAATTGCTAATACCTAGAAATAACAGAGTTCACATAAAGGATATTCTTTTAAGAATTTTCCCTTTATCTTCACTACCACCCCTCTACTTCTATAGTTATAGACATTATTTCTTCTTGCTCAGCGCATGGTAATTTCCCTTTTCTTTTTGGTAGTACCACATACATTTTTTTCATTCCTATTCTCCTCCCCCGCCCAAATTATCTATCCTTTTTTTTTATTAGCCATCATATTCAACTTTTTGAAACACTGATGTATTATTGTTTTTTATTTTTCTTAAGATAAAATAAAATATTTATCCTGGGGACAATAAAATGAAATTACATTTTTATTTATTTTTTAATTTTAAAATTTTTTTATTTTTATAGATTTAGAGGTTACAAGTGCAGTTTTCTTTTCTTTTTTTTTTTTTCATCACTGGCCATCAGAGAAATGCAAATCAAAACCACAATGAAATTACATTTTTAAAAGGAACCTCAGAAGGCTCTCGTACTCAGCTTCATCTTTCACTACCTACCTTAGGTCTTTGTGCTTCAGCCTTCCTGTCCTGCTTCTGTATCCCAGTAATCCACCCACCGAGGTCATTGGCCTCTTCAGGTACAATTCAATTATCTTGAATACTTCTCAAGCCCTCACACATTCATCCATTTTCCTAGGTAATTTGCTCACTTTCTACGTAGCAGTTAAAGTATCATTTCCTAAGGATGACTTCTTTAACTGCATATTCCTTTTTGCTGTGGAATCATATTCTTTCTTTCACGGCACTTATCTTAGGTGTCATTTTACCTTCATGGGTGTAATAGTTTATGTTCATTTCCTCCACTTTAGGTTCAGCTCCACTGAAATGTTCCAGAGAGGATTTCGCTCCCCATTCAATCTTTATCAACTAATCCAGTGTCCCATATGTAATCCATGTTCAGTAAATGTTGCTTAAATTATTTGGGGAAAGTGGGAATCAAACAAGAAAGAAGAGAAAGAAGGAAAAACAGAGGGTCCAAGAGGAAAGGTGGGAAAAACAAAAACGATAAGAAGGACATGTTATAGTGACCTGTTTTTCAAACATAGTTCTGTTACCATTTACCTGTTAATAAATTAGGTCTCATAGGTCTGTTATGAGGATGATATGAAGTAGCCATTTAAAACACCCATGACAGAGCCTGGAACATTTAATAGTGATACTTAGTCAATGTTAGGTTACTTGCCTCTGTACCTAACATTAGCTGGTAGATTTTCTCTTAGATGATCTTGAATTCAGTGTGATTTTTTTTGTTTAATTTGGGGCCTCATTCATCACACTGAATATTAAATTGTTATACCTTGATAATTTACTACTGCTAAAGCCATTTGATTTTTCATTGACAACAGGCAATACAGTAACGTAACTAAGGGGTGAGCATAAAAATTTTTAGAGGCCCTCAAAGTCTTTAATTATAAAATGATGTGCAATTTTATTTTCAGCTCACTTTCAAAAGTTGAGAAAACATAACCCCCATTTTGTAGGCATCGCACTAAATCTCATGAAATACTGCTTTGATTTTATAATCATTGCCATTAGCAGTTAAGTGTTTATATTATTTTGCTCCCTGATAGTTAGAAAACTTGTTAAATCATTATTTTCTGTGGCTGTGTTCTGCCCCAAGATTTGTTGTCCCTCAAGCATCTCTAAGTTTCAGCAGGTATACTTCTTAGTGTTGACATTTTACTCTGAAAAATTTTTTGGAGTAACACACCTGTCATTGCAGATTTGCTTTTCCAGGCTTATAGTTGCATACACATAATCATTTCACTGGACACAGATAGTGTTGTGTTAAATTAGAGATGCCCAGGCTTTAAGTCCAGACAATCAGGGCTTGAATACCAGATGCATCTCCTTACTGGAGGTATAATCTAGGGAAAATTGTTTTACCTATCAAACCTTCATTTGCTTATTACAATTCCTATTACCCAGGATTATTTTGAGAATCAAGCAAGAAATATATCTAATTTATATTATTTGTGAGATATTTTTCTAAGTGCTAGATACTTATTAGGTCATTTAATCTTTGTCAAAACCCTGAAAGGTTGAAGCTATTATTCTCATTGTACACATGGGACAGTTGTGCGTAGAAGTAACTTGCCACACAATTAGAAAGTGGTCACACAGGACTTGAACTCAGACAGTGGGACTCCAGAGGTTGTAATGCTATTGGCTGTGCTATTGCACCTCTAGAGTACGGACCTCTTATGCACTCGCATGGCCCAGGGCTGCCATAAAATCCTTATGGCCTCCTAGTCCTGCTCTCATACCTGGCATTGGTAAGAGTAATGTGTGAGTGGTGCTTCCTGTCACTGCACATGTCTCAGATTTGGTAGGAGCCAGTGCCCAAGGGCATATCTTTGTATTCTGGCTGAACTTTCATCTGAATGGTGGTGGATATACTTGTACATGCTACAACAATGCACTTTTGTTTGGGTTAGGATGAATTAAGCACTTACAGAATCAGACAACAGTAAAAGGATCAAATATAAAGATCACAATCAAGATAGAATCATGAAGTCTAAGAACTGGATGAGACCATGCAGATAGTAACTGGCAATTATTTCAGTTTTAAGATGAATAACATGCATTTCAAAGACATTTCAAGTGTCTTAGCCCTCATTGCACTTTCCAGGTAGTGAAAGTGTTTTTATTCACATTTTATCATCACAACAGCCCTTTCAGGAAGGCATTGCTAGACTCATTTTAGAGTTGAAAACACTGAGGTCCTTAGAGATTACAAAATTTGACTGAGGATACAGGTAGTAACAGCAAAACTTGGGTTTGAGATCTGGAATTTTCTTCTTCTTCACTGGAGATACATTGTCTTAACAATGCATCCATTTCTCATTATGCCTTTTTTCCTGTGTGTATTCAGGGTGATATAGTGGAGCAGAAAGAGATGACACTTTGGTGCAAAAGAGAGCTGGGGTGAAATACAGAGATATTTCACTGACTTGTCACTTGGCTTAATATCTTCATTTCTCTAGGCCTTAGGATCTTCAGTTCATGAAGTAGAGCCTAACTCAGAGAAATGTGCAGAGCATCTGTGGAACCTCTGCAAAGCAGCTCAGCAAGCAGTACTTTCATTTTTATTTGCATTTATTTACTTACTTTGAAATTTATCCATTACCTTATCTCTCAGAAACTCTGGATGTGACTCTAGACCTCAGAGCTGGAGGCCACAGAGAAAGTGTCTAGAAAGAGCCCCAACTGAAGATGAGCCACAACAAACAGCCCATTCAAATAGCACACAGAGAGAAAGAAACGTGTCTTCTACCAAGGCACGGATAAGTAATGTCTTCCTCAACATTGGAAGCTATGAGGCAAAATAAATGATAATGTAATAATGGGACTTACACACAGGTTTAATGAAAGGTACAGACCTTCTTCAACGGTCCATGCTACCCAAGAAAAGAATCTGAGTATATGCAAGTGGGGTGTGAGGGTAGAAAGATGGGCATGCTCTTATCATGAGAGGCTGTCAAAGGTTTGTTTCCAAGTTTTTTATTTGTTTGCTTATCTTTCCAAAGTAGATAAGATTATCTAATCACTGCCAGAAGACCTGGGCAGGAAACACATATCCCCAATCCCATCAGCTTTCCAAGCGGAAGAAAGGATGGAAGGAAACGCGGGAGCCTAAAGAATCAGAGGCAGGTGCCCATAGAAGATGAGACCATAAGGAAGGCAGTACACCCTTGTGCAAAATACCCAAGCATTTGCTTAAAGCCATTATCTCCCTGCTCAGATGAAAAACTAAAGAGTTCTCTATTTTCATATGCCAAATGAGGTGACATTTTTTCTCTTCTAAATAGATAAAATATTGGGCAAAGCAGTTGACCAGAAGGGAAAATTAGCAGAATCTTTCCAAAGCTAAGAAAGACACAACCACAATGGAAAATAGGCTAGAAAGACAATCTTAATTTTTGAAGGGGGCAAAGGAAATACTGTGTTCTTTAAAAGCTACCTTTAAGGAAATGTCTGCATGTGTGCTTTAGCCCAAAACCTTCTAGGGCTGAATTTGCTGTAGGTGGCACTTAAATACTTTGATTCTTACAGTGGGAAAAAAAAATAAAATGAAGTCTATGATCAATGAAGAAAACCAGGTCAAAGGCCAGGAGACCTCATTCCAATCCTGGCACAAAATAGCTACATAACTATTTACCCAACGGATAAATATCCTCAGCTAGGCACTAGATGCCGTTTATAAATTCTTGATTATAATACTGTCTTTTCTACCTCACAGGGCTATTGAAAAGATCAAATTATATCCAAATACAGCTGTGTAATAATAATGATAATAACAATGGTAATAACAATGCCTGCCATTAGTTTTAATTGTATTTTCAATAACTTCTCAATTAACATGCACATGGAATTGTCATGATACAATATCCAATTTCAGAAAATGACTGAGATGAAACCACCTTAATATATTATGAGAAGGGTTGGAAACAAAAGCCTTTAACAAATATTCATAATACAAGCTGAATAAAAAATCATATGATAATGCAGGTTTGGATTTAAATACAGAATAGTGAGTATCTTTTTTTGGATTTCAAATTTAGTTCATAATAACTGACTTTAACATAAATTCTCAGAGGGGAGTGCTCTCTCTCTGTCTTTGAAACATAGCCCACATGATTATTTTAACTTAATTAGAACTATGTTGGGGCTGAGTAGAAAGTTCCCAGAGACCAATATGGGCATAATTTCCAACTTGTTTATGTATGATTCTTCAATTCTGGGTCTAAATGTCATCAATGAGCAAATAAAAAGTGGATCTGTCAGTCAAATACCTGGTATTTTTAAACCACTTTGCATATAAGTGATTCAAATGAGTGTTTAGTCGTCCCGTTATCCATATGCACATATGAAGACACACACACAGAATAATAACATTGGGTAGTTTCTGTGGACAGAGCTCAGGATGTGTGTATGTGTAGGTGGGTACATGATACTAAGGTTATGGAGGAAGGGTAGGAAGCTCGTCCAGAAACAGCCTTGTACACCAGTCTGAGGACTTTCTCTCTCCCCATGCCTCTTTTCAAACAATGATGCCCCAAAGACACCAAATATTTTTTGATGCCGTGACCGAAAGGAAAAGGATCCCCCTCATGAAGGATAAGACACTGACTGGGATGTGGGTAATAAGGAGGACTATAACACATAGCTATTTGAAGGCTGTTCACTGCCATCCTCACCTTTATGACTTTATTGTTCTCTTTTTATCTTATCTGATTAATCAATTAACCCTCAAGTTCTGGCAAAGCAGTGTCTTAATAGTTGCTGTTTCTTACAGTGGTTTCAGCAAGCTGCCAGGAGCATGCCTGGTGTACAGCAGGCACTCACAACATATGTGTGGAAAAAAAGATGAAGGCAATATCAGGGAAGAAGCATGTTGACTATCAAGTTGTGTTTGAAACACCAAGTACTCTTTCTGATCAGCCATAGACCCAATCCATGCTAGACAATAAGTGCAGTGGGGAATGGAACGTTTTAGGAAAAAATATATAATGCCTGCTCTCAAGAAAGAAAGGCAGGGAAAAAAAGAGGACTCATGGAATTCATACATTCTGCCAGGAACTCAGCTAATGAGTTTTCATATAGTGTCTCATTTAATCCTTGTAACCATTCCATTTGGTGGACATTTTTAACTCCATCTCACAGATGAGGAAAATGAAACTAGAAAGATGAAGTAACTTGCCTAAGATCCAACAGTTAAGAAGTATTAGAGGGAAAATTCTATTTTTGGTCTTTCTGAGTTTAAATCCAACACTCCTTTTTTATAATACCATTTTAATTTTTGAAAGAAGTCAAAATAATTTGGGTAACAAGAGCAACAGGAAATAATTAGAAAACTTCATTATAGAATATAATAAAGGGCCACGTATTTTAGACTAAGAATTGATTCTTGACGCAGTGAGAAGCAGAGAGAACAAGCATTTGTACTGACATGTTTTATTCTACAACACCCCATCAGGTGATAATTCCTGAGGAACAGAAAACTTAAGAAATCTCCACAGTCAAAAGAGTCAAACTCGAGATTAGAGTGACAAAATCCCTGCCACTTACACTCCATTGTGAAGTTTCTGTGTAAACTATGATAAATGTTAGAAATATCAAAATTGTTAGAAATAGATAATGGGTGCTGCAAAAAAAAGTCAGCACGGAGACAAAAGATCTCTCAGCAAGGCCATCTTTGCTTTCAGCAGGAAGGGTGCTCAATTGCAGATGGAAGAATGGCAAGAGCACACCTGAACAAAGGAAAAGCAGATGTATTTATCTCTTACACATTTCGGTAGTCCTTACTGCTGTGTCCTGCGTCCATTGGCTACAGCGGGACCTCATACTCTCAAACTGACACCGAATTTGCTAATATCCTAAAACTTTCCTAAATAGGTAAGTGCAAGGAAGAGCAAAGAAGTTGCTTATGAAAGGTTTAAGGAAGCAGTAACATTTCCAAATAAGGAAGGGGCATAGGCTGTGAGCTGGAATGTACCTGTGAGCATGTCCAACAGTTACATAGGATAGGGCTTAGCAAAGAGTTATTAGCACAAAGCAAGGAAGCTTGAAGAAAGTTCGTCTTTAAAAGAAACTATTATTTCTAACACTTATGATTTATTCTTTAACAAGAAGGGGAACTTTGAAAAGGAAACTTTTTACTTTCTACAGTAAAGAAGGTAACATTGTGATAAATCAGCATATTTGTTAAATAAATCCTTACACAGATGATTCAATGATTAGCATAAAATTAAACACCGTGATAAAGCCTTCCTTGTTTCTTAGTGAGAGGATAGAAATAATTCACCAGATACCACAAAAGATGTATAGTAAGCATGGTTCAATATTGCAACATGGAAATATATTACTATATACAATGAATGAATGAATAAGTAAACACACATACGAACAACAAAAAAAGCTGGCTGAGAATTGCATTAGGATTTTTTAAATGCCTTTACATTATGCTTTCAATTGATTTCTGTTCTTTCAAACTCCCTATCAGATGTTTCATTGTATCTGTGAGCCAATAACAGCAACAAATTACATTGTATTCTGGTTACTACAGCAGACCTTAAAATCCCTAAGTAAACTTATTTTTTAAATGGAGCATCTCTTCATAATTAGAATGCCAAATAATTCTCATTTCAAATAGTTAAACAGATTTAAATAGTTCCTTATCTTTGGTGCTTTCTTTCTCTGTGAAATGTATTCAAAGTCTTATTTATTTATGCATGGATTATTATATCTTTGGGCTAGATGCATAAATTTTTAACAGCTGATTTACTCGTGAAAAAGCTACATACATAAATATGAATAAACATGCACACAAAACTATCAAGTTCTATGACATTTGTACTCATCTTCTAAATATCTTTACCATTTTTTTGGTTTATCTGCTCATTATTGCAAATGAAAACTTGTCAAAAGAAATCTGCTTTTCAAAAATAAAATCATGAGCTAAAGACTTTAAATTACTCAGCACGTATAAATTTTAACTTTACTGTTTTCCCCAAATTAATTAATAGTATTCTAGCACATGTAAGACAGTTCTAAAGTAGTTTCTGTTTTCTGACCGATTGCCTTATTAATTAATGATAGCGTGGGACTTTAGATCTTGTTTTAAAAAGAGTCAGAAATAATCTGAAATACAGTTGTTACAAAGGTAATTTACTGGTTGTGATGAACCAAATCTTTTGAGTTTAACATTAAAGACCAGATAGGCAGTTCACTAATTTAGTCAACAAATGGTCTGTCAGATGCCTCTGGTAGCTTACTACAGAAACTGACCCAAAACTTGTGATGAGGACACTTGGAAAAACTATACTAAGTAAATAATTAAGTAAATAAATATATAAATATAGACAAATATTACTGCATAGAATTCAGGAAAAGAGAAATGGAGAGATACGCCATTATTTGGAATCTCTTTAAGTTTGGAGGCGTTTGTCAAACCTGAAAAAGGCTACTGAGAGTGAGATGATGTTACAAGTTAAACAGAACTTTCAAGAAAAACTCATGAGAAAGGTACATATAATCCAGGAACTCCACTACTAGGTAAATATCTAATACAAAAGTTAACACATGTGAAACAAAACTGAAAATAATGAAAAATTAATTTACCTGTACATTTATGATTTGTGCACTTTTCTTTGCTTATGTAGTTTAATAAGAAAATATTTATTTAAAATTATTGCAATATATATCACATAATAAAATAAAATAAAGGATAAAGTATTAATAGATGCAAAGACATTTAATACATACAAAATACATTTTGAAGAATTTTAAACTAAGAAGGACACAATTTTCTTAAATCTGATACCAGGTAACACTTAGAGCAAGCATATTACTTCAAGGTGAAATACTATGGTTTTCTCTCTGAGTTTGGAAGACTATAAAACAATTACACTCTCAGGTTCTATTCACTATTATGCTGAGAGTGTTCTAATGAGTGCAATCAGGCATGAAATAATAAAACTACCAACATTTTGAGTAACTAGGTTGTTAAAAAAAAAGAGAGAGATAGACACATATTAGTCGACATAACAAGTGAATTTTTAAATGTTACCTGATTAAAAGTCAACCACATATCTGTATTTCAGCAACAATTAGAAGCTGAGATTTAGAAAATAAAAATATTTAATGAAAAGCACTAAATACCTAAGAATAAATAAAAGTTGTGCTAATCCTCTACACAAAAAAATCAAAAGTCGTTATCAAGATACATTGAAAAACACTGAAATTTTCTTTTTTCAATAAATGCTGTGGAGTCTCTTGCAAATCTGTATTAAAAAAACAGCCATTGACAATCTACTTCCTGCCATACATATAAATAAATTCCAGAGGGACTGTATATTTAATTATGAAATAAAAAATACAATAAATTATTTACAAAATAACATAGGATAATAGCTTCATGCCTTGGAGGCAGAGACTTCTTTAACATGATATAAAGAACACTCATGCTAAAAGGAAGTAATTGATAAATTTTCCTACATTAAAATAAGAAACTTTTAATGAAAGCACAATTAGGAAAGTGCAAAGGCCAAGTCATAGAGTATGTATTTAAAACAGACATAATTAATGTGGGGTACGTACATTGAATATATAATTAACCACCATGAAAAACAATAAAAAAAACCCAACAAACCAAAAGGAAAAGGAACAATTTCAACAGATATTTCCCAAAAGCAGATACCAAAATGGTCAATACATACATAAAAGAATGTTTTCTATTATTAAAAATCAGGGAGGCAAAAATTAATTCCGCAGTGAGATATAATAAAAACTCAGCAGAATTGCTAACATTGATGAATTATGTAATATGAAAATTTAATGAAGATATGGAGCTATAAAAACTATCTTTTACTGATGATAGAAATAAAGACTCCTATCTTAGAAAATCTATTTGTCAAAATCTACTAACACTGAATACCAACCCTACGATTTTATTCTTAGGTATGCACCCAATATATATTTGCATTTATGCCCCTAAATCAACAAAAATCTACATAACTTTATCATAATAGTTTAAACTATCCTTTTAAACTATATATTACATTTAAGCAACTATGTTTAAAACTTTTGCATTTAAAACTATTAGGTTTTAAACTTTTAAGTTTTAAACTATTACGTTTTAAAACTTGAAACAACCCAAATGCCCCATCGGCATTATAATGAATACATAAAACAATGTTTTATTTACGCAATTGAAAACTTTACAGAAATTAAAATGAACACACCAGAGCTGTTCATTGTATTTCCTTTGCTCCTTTGTCAAAAGTCAGTTGGCTATATATATGTAAGTCTATTTCTAAGCTATCTATTATGTTGCATTCATCCACTTGCCTTTTCTTTCACCAATATTATACAGTTTTAATTACTGTAGCTTTATAGTAAGTCTTGATGTCAAATAGTGTCAGTCTTCTGACTTTGTTCTTCTCCTACAATATTGTGTTGGCTATTCTGGCTCTTCTGCCTCTTCAGATAAATTTTAGAATCAATTTATCACGATCCAGAAAGTAAAAGGTTGAGACTTTGATTGGAGCTGCCTTGAATTAATAAAGAAAGTGGGAAAGAGCTGCATTTTGTTGATATTAAATTTTTCTATACATGAACATGGATACCTCTCCATTTATTTAGTTTTTCTATGATTCGCTTCATCCAAGTTTAGTTTTCCTCATATAGATATTCCACATATTTTATTAGACATGCCTAAGTATTAAATTGTGAGAGTGCTAATGTAAATACTATTGCGGTTTTAATGTCACATTCTACTTGTTCATTGCTGGTATATAGGAAAGTGATTGACTTTTGTATTTTAATTTTGTATCTGACAACCTTGCTATAATCACTTACTAGTTTCAAGAATTTTTTATTGATTTTTTCAGACTGTCTACATAAACAATTATGTCATCTACTATCAAACGTAGTTTTATTTCTTCTTCTTAATCTGGATATATTCTATTTTCTTTTTCTTTTCTTACTGCATATTTAGGACTTCCAGTATGATGCTGAAAGGGTTTGGTGAGATGACAAAACATTTTTGAAAGAAATGAATGAAGACCTATATGTATGAAGGAGTGCACCATGGTCATGTTTTTCAAGGCAAGTTGTTGTAAGAATAAAAATTTATCTTAAATTAACTTACAGATTCAGTGAAATCCTAATCAATAACCCAGGCATTACTTTTATGTGTACAAAAAAGTGTGATAATTAAAAAGCTGACCACGTATGTATATTTTAATACAAAAAAAGGAACACCACATTAAGACTTATTATACAGTTATAGTAATTAAGACAGTATAATATTGGGAGTACAATAGAGATATATGCAATAGAACAAAAAGAATGAGCTAGAAACAATTATATATATATGGACATTTGATTTATGACATTGTTGATTCTATAAAAATAGTAAAGAAAAGATAATATTTTCAATGTATGGTATAATTTTTATATAAATATGAAAAAAATTTGACATGCACACCACAATATACGTGAAGCAGTTCCAGTGGTATTGTAGATTAAACTATAAAAGCCTAAACAATAAAATGTTTATAAAATAAAGTAAAAAAAATACATTCAAAAATTTGGTATGTGGAAGGATTTTTTAAAATAAGACAAAAACAGTAAATAAGTAAACGTATTGTTACATTTGGCAAAAAAGAATTAGAAAGGTCCTATTATCAAAAAAGAGGGAGAAAAAATACCATAGAATAGAAAACATATTTGAAACACATAAATTGAAAGTGATGTACATTAAAAATATAGAAATATTCTTACAAAAACAGGTAACCTAACTTAAAAATGGGCAAGAAACTTGAATGGTCATCTTTCAAAAAGAAGATGGGCACTTGGCAGTTCAACCTATAAAAAAGTCCTTATTTTATTAGCAATCAGGGAAATAAGAATTATCCACCATGAAATACTAATAGGCACACACTAGTCTGGGTAATCATAAAAAGACTGAGAGTAAAAACCTGTGAGTGAGGAAAGGGAGCAATGAGCAACTCTTCTTTTGCTGGTGAAGACATAAACTAGTCAATCCGTTTTGGAATATGGTTTACTAAAAATGAGCAGTCATATACTAAATAATTCTATAATTTCTCTGCTGTGAAATATTCAACAATAGCACACGCACAAATATACAATAAATGTACAAGAATGTTCGTTATTTGTAATATAAACACTGGAAAAACTGTATCATTGTTAGGATAGATTATCAATAGTAAATTTACTCTTTTTTAACTATAGTTTTTTAAAAATAATGTGATTAAATTTCATAAAAATACTACTAACGGAAAGAAGATATACATCAATAAGTAAATCTAGTAAAATCTCACTTATATAGATTTCAAAAACGGCCACATCTACTTTACTCGGCTAGATTCGAAGTAAGGATGGGCAGTATCTTTGGGAATATGGAAAGAAATAGCAATCGGATTAGAAAATAGGTGTCTTCTAGAGTGCTATTTATTGATCTCTATGGTTGTTACACTGTACAATTATGTTTATATGCTCCTCTTTATGTGTTTTCCTTCAACTAAATAATTCAAAAAATGAATTAGTCTAATTGAGCTAACATGTTTGTTGAAATTTTCTCTCTAGTTCATGGATTACAATCTGATTGGTTATTATAGGAAACGATTTTTTTAATTGCAATAAAAACACAATCTCTAATATATAGTAAGATAAAGGAAACTTGATCTCTGGGCCTCACTTTTCTGAAATAAGGAAGAAAGGAGTTGTATTAAAGAAACTTCAAAGTTCTTCCTTTTGTGTAAGTGTCTATGGAGGACTCATCACTTTGAAATATGTTTGTTTCAAAGTGTTGGATCTCAGTGATCTAATTTCTTCTTTATTCATAGTATAGAAGTATCTGCTTTATATTATTTATTTTAAAATTAAGTTCAGATTTAAATACAGTGAAAGGGTCACACCAATCAAAATATAGAACATTTTTATTACCCCAGAATATTTTCTTATGTCTTGTCCAGGCAATCCCTACTCACTGGAGCTACCACTGCTGCAATTGTTATAATATACATTTGTTTTGCCTCACTATGAATCTGTTATTAATAGAATTAAACAATATGTATACTTTTGTGTCTGACTTATTTCACTGAAAATAAAGTTTTTGAGATGCATCCATGCTATGTATTATATCAGTATTTTATTTTGCTTAATTGATAAGTAGTGCCCATTGTTTAAATATAGCACACAGTGTTTTTCAAGCCGCCTAATGATAGACATTTGGGTTGCTTCCAGTCTGGAGCTGTTATGAATAAAGTTGTTTCATATTTCTCTTGAGCAAATACCTGAGTAGAATTTCTGTATCAAAAGGTAGGAATGTTTAATTTTATAAGAAAAAATTTCAAAGAGATTTTCTAAGTATTTTTACAATTTCGCATTCTTGCCAGGAATATATGATTTCTTTTACTAATACATGAAATAATCAGAATAGGTAAATCCATAGAGACAGAAAGCAGATTAGTGGTTAGGGCTAACAAAAGGAGGGAATGTACCTTAGTGGCTACAGGGTCTCCTTCGGGGTCGATGAAATGCTTCTGAACTAGATGGAGGAAATGGTTGCACAACATTGTGACTGTATTAAACGACACTGAATTTCACGTTAAAATGGTTAATTTTCTGTTATGTGAGTTTTTTGGTCAATGTAGAAGAATTGGAGATAAAAATTAACAATAATAATGAAAAAAGAAAAAATCATGCTGAAACATTATGTATATTTCATTAATTTCCCTATTGCCTCTTAGCTTATACTTCTTTGTATTTTTATATCAGTTGCCATAGGAATTACAATAAGCATACTTACCAAAGTTTACTTACAATTACTATTGTATCACTTCATTTAACATATTTGCTTGACCAGTAAATTTCCATATTCCATCTAGATATTTTTGTATTTTGCATAATTTATTTTCACTGATAAATCTCATAATACAGTATTGTTATTTTATTTTTAATGGTCAGTTGCTTTTAAAGTGGTAGAGAGTACAAGCTCACAAATCTTAGTTACCCACATATTTACTACTTCTGGTGCTCTTTATTTCTTTTTGCAGATCCAAATTTCCACGTGATAGTAGCCTCTGCATTCTAAAGGACAGGTTAATTATTGTTACTTAGATATCTAAGTGCAATCTTACTGTCACATTTCTATATTTAGCATGGCTGTGACTTTAGGTTTGAAATCAAATAGAAAGAGGTAGATGATGAGAAATGATGCTGGAGGAGGAGGAGAAGAATGAAAATATTAAGGTTTCAGATCATGCTAAGGCATGTAAATTCTCTCGTGAGTTCTACAATAACAAAGATCCCTAAAGGTTGATAGCTTTGTATTATCTTAAGAGACCATCAAAGGGCTAGAATTCTGACTCCCTCTCCTCTGAAATGTGTGACTGTTAGTAATTATAGACCTTCTCTAAACCTCAATCTCTTTTGTGGTAAAACAGAAGTAAAATATAATGTTTGTTGTTTGGATTAGCAAACCATTGACATATTATACACTTTTTATGTACACTGGTTCTTTTCCTACTAAGACCAAAAACAAATGACTTGGTGTATCCCCTTTTTAGGAAATGAGTTTTTATTTAGGAGCATTCTGATATAATCTGAAGGGAAGCCTGATTTCAATAGTAGAATTTCAAGTATCATATTTGGCCAGAAAGCACAGACAGAAGAGAAAAAACTGTGTGAAGACCAAAACAATATTAATTGTCACTATCTTCATAATATTTAGGGACTATGAAGACTTTCTTTAACTGCCCCAAACTTGGAGATATAAAGAAGCTATATTAAATAGAAAGTTTATGCTTTAGTTTAGAAAGTCATAGATTAGAATCACCACAGTGACACCATTTAGCTTTAAAAGAAGAATTTTCACATTATGAAAAGCATTTATGGTGCTAATATATGTAAAAACCTAATCCAAATACGTGACTTTATAATTGAAAAAGCACAGAAAACTAGAAGTTGAAGTACAAAGAGCTTCCAAAGTAGAACTTCTATTCATCATTTATTTGGGTATGTGTGGAGGCTGGAGGAAAGGGGGTTCTATTTTCAAATCACCCAGCTTAATATGACAGACTGCATATATCAGAGAATGTGTTATTAAATAAATTGCAATAAAAAAGATAAAATTAATTTTACACTACAGCGCTCCTTCTAAAAACATGTGTGTTTCGTGAAATAATTTGATGCTGCTTTCTGAATAAAAAGTGACTTTTTATTCTTGGTATTCTACCAAGTTTGCATCCTGAGGGAAATTAAGCCGACTGTTCACATTTCGTTCATATGTAAATTCTTGTCACCATACATCGCTGTTATCCACAATAATTTAGCAAGCTTACTAGCCTCTGGTCAGTTGCATCCTCCGGGGTCAAGTAGAGTCTGCTTTAGAAGATTGACCTTGGGTTTGACTGGAGTCTTATGAAAATTTTTAAATGTTAAGTTTAAAATATTTAAAAGTCCTTTTCTTCTTCCTGTAGTTTTATGTTCCCAGATAAGTCTTTCTCTCTGTCCAATAAACAAATAAACAAATAAATAAAATTCTAAATATAAATTATAAATGCAAATATAGCATTATCAGTTTTGTAGTTATACTTGGGGGAACAAGTAGATAAATCAGTGGTTTTGTTTATATCGAAGGACAGAGACTATTATTACATATTTTCTGGAAACGTGTGCTATATTATCACAAAGATAAATATCCCCAGTGGATATCTTCCTTTTTCCTCTGGCACAGGCTGGCTTGGTGAGTTATTTATTATATTATTTATTGTCATAATATAAACTGTGATATTTTGTATTAAATAACATTGCAAAGTGTAAAGCAAAATGCAAATATTTGCTGAAATTAATACTGCACAATTTTCCCTACAATAATAAACTCATAGCAATATTTCAAATCCTCAAAAACATTAGATTGTTACTCCAGAAGGCTTCATTCCTGTACTTCCTTAATTCTCTTTTTTTCCTTTCTTCTTTCCTTCCTGAATTCCTTCTTTCTTGTCTTTATTCCTTCCTTCTTTCCCTCCATCCATTCCTTCATCTCTTATCCTTTTTTAAAGCTTTTCTATCTCTCCCTCTTATGTTCTTCTCTTTCTGTCTTTTCTTCTACTGTACAGAGTCTAAGTCTACAGTGACAAATAAAACAGAGTCCATCCTCAACAATTTCAGGAAATAAAACACTTTCTCTCTTCCCTCTGACGGTTTGAAAATTAAGCCTATGAAATAAACTGACAGCAGGCAAATTAACAGGAAAAAAGATACACAAATTTATTACATGCATTTAGGACATCCCAGGAAAGAAAAGTGAATACTTCAAAACCCAGGATGATCTAGAAGGTTGACTAACCTCTTCATAAGTGAAAAGGAAGGAGTGATGTAGGCAATTTTGAAGATGGTAAATGATTTTGGAAAAGACGAATGGGTTTTTAGAAGAATAGATAATAACCTGTGACAAAGACTGTCTGGGTGTAGTGTCAATGTCCAGTCTCTTCTGTCAGCTAATCTTCCTTGGTTGATGACATTCCTGGGGAGGGAGTTTGTGACAATTAAGTTTCTTTGGGATGATCTACTAAGCAGATAAGGAAAGTTCAGAGAAAGCCCCTTTTTACATTTGCTTTCCCCCAAAGCCCTCAGTTTGAAGTAATTATCATATCAAAGTGGCATACTGAGGGATGGCATGTTCTGAGCTTTTCATTCCCCCTGTCTAAACCTTTCCTAAAACTTCTACACAGTGAAAGCTGAGCTGATGTCGGTGGAGAGAAAAAAAATTGTTGTTATGTAGCTGAGTAGTAAGAGATCTGAAAATAGGTCAGTCCAATTAAAGAGTTGTGTCTCATCTCAGACGGTGACATTGCATGTAGGTTTGTATCAAAGTTAGGCCTCTGTAAGGAAGGAAGTTCTGGCCGGTATCCCAAATACTCCGGTGGCTGAGGCAGGAGAATTGCTTGAACCTGGGAGGGGGAGGTTTAGGTGAGCTGAGATCACTGCACTGAACTCCAGCCTGGGTGACAGAGCAAGACTCTGTCTTAAATAAATAAATAAATTAAGTAAGTAAGAAAGGTGATGTGATTCCTCCAGTTTTGTTCTTTTTGCTCGGGATAGCTGTGGCTATTCTGGGTCTTTTGTGGTTCCATATAAATTTTAGGATTTTTTTTTCTATTTCTGTGAAGAATGTCATTGTTAACTCGATAAGGATTTTATTGAATCTGTAGATTGTTTTAGGTAGATTGCTTTAGGACATTTTAAAAATATTGGTCTTCCAATCCATGAATATAGAATACCTTTCCCTTTTTTGTGTCCTTCTTGATTTCTTAAATAATAGTTTTCACTGTAGAGGTCTTTCACTTCTTTGATTAATCCCCAGGTATTTTATTTTATTTATAGTTATTGTAAATGGGACTGTTTCTTGACTTCTTTTTCAGATTGTTTGATGTTGGCATATAGAAATGTTACTGATTTTTCTATGTTGATTTTGTATTCTGCAACTTTATTGAATCGTTTGTAAGTTCTAACAATCTTTAGTTTTTTTCAAATATAAGATCATATCATCTGAAAACAAAGATAATCTGACATCTTTCTTTCCAATTGAATGCCTTTTATTTCTGTCTTTTTTCTTGCCTGATTTCTCTAGCTAGGACTTCTAGTACTATGTTAAATAACAGTTGTGAAAGTGGGCATCCTTGTCATGTTGCACATTTTAAAGAAAAGGCTTTCAGTTTTTCTCCATTCAGTATACTAGGTGACAGACGGTCAAATATGCTTTTTACGCAGTTTTTTAAGGATTATTATCATGAAGAGATGTTGAATTTTATCAAATGCTTTTGTAACATCAATTCAAATAATCATATAGATTTGTCCTCCATTCTGTTGATATAATCTATCACATTGGTTGATTCGCATATGGTCAACCGTTCTTGCATTCCTGGGATATATCCCACTTAGTCACAGTAAATGAGCTTTTAAATGTATTGTTGAATGCACTTTGCTAGTATTTTGTTGAGGATTTTTGCATGAATGTTCATCTGAGATATTGGTCTGTCATTTTCCTTTTGTTCCTTTTTTTTTAGGCCTTTTTATGGTTTGGGTATCTGGGTAGTACTGGCCTCATTGAATGGGTTTGTAAGTATTTCCTCCTTCTCTATTTTTTGAAATAGTTTGAGTAAAATTGGTATTATTTCTTCTTTAAATGTTTGGTAAAATTCAACAGTGAAGCCATTGGGCCCCAGGCTTTTCTTTGCTGGGAGACTTTTTTTTATAGCTTTAATCTTGTTACTTGTTATTGGTTTGTCCAGGTTTTGGATTTCTTCATGATTGAATCTTGGTAGGTTGGATGTGTCTACAAATGTGTCCATTTTATAAAGGTTTTTCAATTTATTGGCATATAATTATTCATAGTGACCTCTAATGATCTTTTGAATTTCTGTAGTATTTGTTGTAATGTCTCATTTTTCATGTCTGATTTTATTCATTTAGACCTTTTTTTTTCTAGTCAGTTTGGCTGTTTGCTGATATTGTTTGTCTTCTCAAAACACCAACTTTTTGTTTTGTGGATCTTTCGTATTGCTTTGTTTGAATTTCATTTATTTCTGCTCTGAGGTTTATTATTTATATTATTCTACTAATTTTGGGTTTTGTTTGCTCCTGCTTTCCTAATTCTTGAAGATGTAATATTAGATTATTTAGTTGAAGTTTTTCTACTATTCCAATGTAGGCAATGATAGCTATAAATTTTCCTCTTAGCACTGCTTTTGCTGTACCTCACAGGTTTTGGTATATTATGCTTCCATGATCATTTGTTTCAAGAAATTTTTAAATTTACTTTTTAATTTCTTCATTGACTCACTGGTCATTCAGGAACATATAGTTTAATTTCCATGAAAGTGAACAATATTCCAAAATTCCTCTTATTATTGATTTCTGATTTTATGCCATTATGGTCAAAGAAGATGCTTTATATAATTTCAATTCTTTTGAATCTTTTAAGATGTGTTTTGTGGCTTGACATATGGTCTATTTTTGAGAATGATCCATGTTTTGAGGAGAAGAATGTGTATTCTGCAGCCATTGGATGAAATGGTCTGTAAATATCTTTTAGGTCCATTTGATCCATAGTGCAGATTAAGTCCAATATTTCTTTGTTGATTTTTTGGTCAGGATGATCTGTCCATTGCTGAAAGTGGTATGTTGAAGTCTCCAGCTATTATTGTAATGGGGTCCATCCCTCTCTTTAGCTCTAATAACATTTGCCATATATATATATATATAATATATATATATATATTATATATATATTATATACATAATATATATATATTATATATATATAATATATATATATATAGTGCTGAGTGTATATATATTTATAATTTTTACAGTCTCTTGCTTAATTACAAATGTATCATTATATACTAACTTTCTTCTTCTCTTTTTATAGTTTTCTTGAAATCTATTTTGTCTGATTTAAATATAGCTACTCTGGCCATTTTTTGTTTGCATTCTCATGGAATATCTTTTTCATTCCTTTTATTTTCAGTATATGTGTATCTTTTTAGAAGTGTGTTTCTTGTAAGGAACAGATCATTGGTTCTTGTTTCTTTCATTTACGTAGTCACTCTATGTCTTTTGTTGAGGAAGTTAGTCCATTTCCATTCAGTGTTGTTACTGATAAGCAAATACTATATTTTGTTATTTGTTTTCTGGTTATTTTGTAATCTTATCTTCTTTCTTTCATTCCTTCTTTTTTTCATTTTAGTGAAGATGACTTTTTCAGGTGATATATTTTAATTTCTTTCTTTTCATTTTTTGTGTATCTGTTCTATGTTTTTTGACTTGATGTTATCATAAGGCTTACCAATAATATCTTATAATTCATTATTTTAAACTGATGACAATGTAACACCGATTGCATAAACAGACAAGCAAAGAGAAAACTAATAAAAATTATACAATTTAACTTCATCTCCATCCTTTTTCAGTTTTTGTTGTTTCTATCTATATCTTATTGTATTGTCTATGTTTTAAAAAATTATTATAGCTATTTTTGTCACTTCATCTTGATGTCTTTCTATTAAAGAGTGGTCTACACACCACAATTACAATGTTATTATATTCTGTGTTTTTCTCTGTACCTACTATTACCAGTGAGATTTGTACCTTCAGATGATTTCTTCTTGCTTATTAACACCCTTTTCTTTCATATTGAAGAACTCCCTTTAGCATTTCTTTCGAGACAGGTCTGGTGTTGCTAAAATACCTCAGCTTTTGTGTTTCTAGGAAAGTCTTTATTTCTTATTTATATTTGAAGAACATTCCATCATATGACTGCAATATATAATACTTTTTAATCCATCCCTTTCCTCTCTATTAAAATATGCTCTAACAAAATTATTTTATATTAGTAACTTAGTGGAAAATCTAGTTGTTAAGTTGATGACAGGAAGCTCATTATCTTATTCGTCAAATAGCCTTTTTTTTGCTGTTTGAATATACTATTATAGGATTATTTTTTCTTCAGCATTTTAAATATGTCATGCCACTCACTCTGGCATATGTTTCCACTGCACAGTCTGCTATCTGGCGTATTGTTGCTTCATTGTATATTAGTTGTTTCTTTTCTCTTGCTGCTTTAAGGATCCTTTTATTTTCCTTGGCCTTTGAGAATTTGTATAAAAAAAGGTCCTCAGGTAGTCTTATTTGGGTTAAACCTGCTTAGTGTTTTATAATTTTCTTGTACTTGAATATTGATATCTTTCTATCTTTCTCTAGGTTTAGGAAGTTCTCTGTTATTATGTCTTTGAATACACTTTCTACCCATAGCTCTCTCTCTACCTCTTCTTTAAGTCCAGTGACTCTTAGGTTTGCTTTTTGGGGCTATTTTCTAGATATTATAGGCATGCTTTATTCTTTTCCTTTTTCTTTTGTCTCATTTGAGTGATATTTTCAAATAGCCTGTTTCAAGCTCACTAATTCTTTCTTCTGCTTGATCAATTCTGCTGTTAAGAGACTCTGATGCATTCTTCAGTATGTCAGAGTACCATTATTTTTTAACAGAGGAAGACTGAGAGGAATAGAGCAAGATGATATGCTATTCTAGTGAAAAATTATTTGATAAAATGTAGATAATTTTGGAAATTGAGTGATGGCTACCATGTGTATATATCATACTGTTTTTGCTATGTTTAAGTTTGCTTAAAATTTTTCATTCAAACCCTTACATATACATGTTTACACACACACACACACACACACACACACACACACACACACGTCCCCTGAAGTTCAGTGGCTAAAAAAACTTGGCATCATTTAGCCTAGTGTAGTTAATAGTTGTAGTGGCACTCAGTGTGTTTTCAAATAGGTAATGGGGTCATTAAAGAGTAAGAATGTTTGTCCAAACAAATGAAAGTTTTAAAATTGAATGCTTCAGCTAAATAAGGTGATTAAATTCCTAATAGATACATTCGAAGCAAAAAATGAGCTGTTTGAAGAATAAGATAATGAGCTTCTTTTCATCAACTTAGCAACTAGATTTTCCATCAAGTTACTGATGGAAAATAATTTTGTTAGAGCATATTTTAATGGAGAAGAGAAGGATAGATTAAAAACTGTTGTATGGTGCAGCGATACTATGGGATGCAGAGGAAAAAACATAGTAAGCCAGACAGAGACACAAACGATCTTTCCTTTCTTAAGGGGTACGGATCAACTCAACATGCTATGTTCTCTTGTAGACCTTTTTAGAGAAATAATATTATTCTATGGTATTGACTAAGAAAGTGAGGCTACAGTAAGTGGCAAGGTCTACATATGAAATCAAGGATAGCTTATTGAAAACTTAATGCATTTCACTCTGCACTCACTGTTCAAAAGTCCATGAGACATCCTGATTTAGTGGAAGGAAGGATAAGAGCAAGCCATGGGAGGATCGCAGGGACCCAGGGTGAGCCCAGTGCTTCTACTCAAAGATCAAGATCCTGCTTGAATGTGCAGGTGCTCCACTTAGAAGACCTGTTTTCAAACTCTTGCTCTGTATGGATTAATTTAGGTTAATTTTTATCTCTCTAAGTTTTCATTTACAAATTAAAAATTGAGTTTTTATCAGAATAATTTATAATAATTAGGCAATAAACTTTAGCTGTTATATTGTTCTTTTTATTAAAAATACACCTGGCCTTGATATTTCTGATATTTCTGGGCATGTGAGTAACCATGGCTCTAACCAGTGTGTTCTATCCTGGGCTTTGATCATGAGCTCTTTCTAAAAGCTCTGATCTGTTCAGTCCCTTAATAAGAATTGTTTTTGACATAATAAGATCAATTAGATTTTCTTGACATGTGCTTTTTGTCACTAAAGAAGCTTATAGGGAGGTGACAGAAACAATTTTTGCTTTTTCAACAACAAAGGAAAGCTATAATTATCTGGGCTGATAATTATTGATTTATTGATTTATAGATTTTGGTTTTGTAAAACAGTGGCAAGGGCCTCTTTATGTGTACTAGCTGGTTTCGTTAGAGGGACAGAGCCCAATATTCCTGATCAAATTTGACTGGAGGCTGTTGTTAAGGAGCTGCTAATTTTCACCTACTGGTGGTTCCCATGGTAGGTGCTGGCATTTCTTCCTTGGATAATTACTTAAAATACATTTATGGTAATTAACCAAGCTCAAGGCACTCAGCAGCCCACAGGGCCACACTGCCACCCCAGGCTGAGCATGGTCAGAACAGAGCCCATTAGGAAATGACAAAGGAAGGGAGGTGAGGTAGAAACTAAGAAAATGTCATTTATGCATGAAAATCAAGAAAGGCTGAGTACTCAAGCCTGAGGCCCCAAATAAATTAGAGTGGGTGTAATGAAAATCAGGCAGAGGAATTCAAGGAAATTGAATCCTTAGTTTCTGCTGCCTGCCTCTGTTTATGTGTCCCTCCTGTAATTGAGTATTCAGAAGCTGATTTTAGTTTTTCCACTGTCACAACAGTCAATTGCATGGTAATCCATCATCCCATTTCTGACAAAGTCAGTCTGATTCACATTGGATGCTCTTGATTTCAGGCTGTACAGCATAGTCTCCAGTGTCTGCTCTGTCTTCTACTGAGCTTCCCCATCCTGTGGCCCGGGCAAGGTATTTGCCTAAAAAGATCACACTTTCTTGTTGGAAACAAAAGGTGCCAGAATCCCAGAGGAGTTCAAGACCATTAGCAACTAACATCTAGGTTGTGTGTGTCTCTGTGTGTGTGATCAGAAAGAATGAAAGAGCACAGATGAAAAAACAGCTTTAGCCTGACTGTGCAACTCTATATTTTACATTCGGAGAGACTACTTCAATGTCTTTTTCTCCTACCTCTCTTACCCAGGGAACTCACCTGAGGAGGATGTTTATTTTCTCAGTTTTTCTCCAAGAATTCCGAAGCTCACAAACTATGTGGTAGAAGCCAGACTCTCTTTATTCCTGTAGTTGGGCTCACATGTGGTACTTTTTCATGAAAGTTTACGTCTTTTCTCTTCCTAACCTACCCTTAAACCAGCATTCACACATCACCTTCCACAGTCAGTAGCTACTTGATACATTCCTCATCCCTGTGACTCACAACACTTCTACCAAAATATGATGAAGAAATTTCGATAGACTCTGCTCACAGCTGGCTACTTTGAACAGTGTTGCCATAGAGCACGCTACATGGATTTTTCAAAAGAATCTCAATCCAAACATATTCAAGGGTGAGAGCTCACCACCACTCCCTTCTGTCCCTATGTACATGCCCAAACTCCCCTTATCCCCTTGTCACCTATCTCCAATATCTCCAAGCTTGGCATTAACATTTCTCCAAGAGAAGAAGCTGACATTTTTCTAACTACTACTTCTCACTTATCTCTCAATGTCCTTCAAGTCCTATCCATTCTAACTCTTTTTTTTGTGTGTGTGTGAGATGGAGTCTCGCTCTGTCACCCAGGCTGGAGTGCTGTGTTTCGATCTCTGCTCACTGCAACCTCTGCCTCCCAAGTAGCTGGGATTACAGGCACCCGCCACCACGCCCAGCTAAGTTTTTGTATTTTCAGTAGAGATAGAGTTTCACCGTGTTAACCAGGAGGGTCTCGATCTCCTGGCCTCGTGATCCGCCCACCTTGGCTTCCCAAAGTGCTGGAATTACAGGCATGAGCCACCATGCCCGGCCCGTTCTAACTGTTTAATATCAACAGAATTCTTACTCTCAAGGTGCTGTGACCCCCAGGGCATGATCACCCCATTCATTCCTTGGTGCTGTCCATGGATCTTTCTGTAGCACCTTGTATTAGAGTCTAGTATCGTCATCCTGGACCTTGAAAACATTAGTCTGTTTACAAGGTTCTGAGGATAAAGCTCAAACATAATTGATCTGGCCTGTCCGGATCTTGATGCTGTTTAATTTTTTAAATTCCTCTTTTGCTTTATGTCTTATTAATTTCATGATACATTTACAGAAAAAAATATATTTTCAGTTTCTCAAGTTTTTGTTCTCCACCCCCTCTCTTTTTTCCTAAGCTTTGGAACATTCTGCCTGAAAGACACTTACTCTCCTCTGACTTGCTAACTCCTTCTCATAATGCTGATCTTAGTTTGGAGCTCACTCTTCTTGGAAGTGGTCCAAGATTGATTGTTTTGATGTTACACAGCTTACTGTCACATGAATATATCTTTCTGCCGTCCCTGTAGTCATCACTGTTAGCATTCTTGCTTATTTCAATGTCTGTTCCCCTGCTCAGTTATCTTCTCTGTGAGCATGATAATCGGTCTGTACAATTACAGTTGTAACTTCAGTGGTTGGTCCAGGTTTATAATAGGTTTAATTAATGGATGCTGTTACAATTATTCTTTCTTCATATTAAAATACTCTACAAGGTATTACCTTTATTTCCCAGCTTCCAGACTCTTCCAGAAAGTCTGAAGTTAAAGTTAGGAACTGCCCAAGATCAAAAGGTGATTATGTAGTGGAGCTTGTACTAGAGTCAATCTGCTTCTTATTCTAAATTGCACTCTATTTTACTATAATAAACTGCCTTTCTAATCCATGAAGTGGTATACAGTAAATAGCATGTATGGCATGCTGGACTGTCGTCTATCAAAGGTATTCACATCCTCATACCCAGAACCTGTGACTATTACTTTATATGGAAAAGGTACTTTGCAGAGGTGATTATTTTAAGGATTTGGGGATACAAAGAAAATCCTGAATTATTTGGGTTGGTGCTGAATATAATCACAAATGTTCTTGTAAGAGGGTGGCAGAAAGATGTTTTACTATAGCAGAGGACGTAGGAGATATGGTGACAAATGTAAGAGGTTGTAGTTATGTAAGGAAAGGGTCTGAACCCACAATGAATGCAGGTGGCCTCCAAAGCTGGAAAAGGCAAGGGAACAGATTCTCTCTTAGAACCTCCAGGGGGAACAAGCCCTGCCAACACCTTGACTTTATCCTGGTGAAGATGTTTTCACACTTATGGCCTCTAGAGTTGTAAAGTAATAAATTTGTGTTCTTTAAAGCTGGCAAATGTATGGCAACTTGTTACTTCAGCAATAGGAAACTAATACAAAGTACAAAAAAATGCAATATACATATATTTGATGCATATGTAAGTAGCATTCTCATTAAATCCAGCCTAAACAGAAGGCCACAAAATTCACTAAAAAGCTAATCAAAAATTACTTTAAAAGTGTTTGAAATATCAAAATGGCTTATGACTTTCTTCTCATTGTTCTCCAATAACCAATTCCAAAAGAAAGGGGAACAAGAATTGGCCCCTTGCTTTCAAAATATTATTTAATAAGATGATAGGATTAGTCCCTGTTATCTCAATAATTGGTTAAATACAATTTGTGGCTTTAAAATTGCTATTGGCCTCCGTGCTTAATTAGATTTTACTTTGCAGTATATTAAGGGCACTTACTCAGTAAACTTCAATTAAACAGATTTGTGCTGTATGTCACTTAATCACACTGCACCTGTCTGGTGTCCTGTTCAATAAGGATAGTGATATAGTTTATATTCTGAAAGCCTCAGCCTAGACAAGCTGTAGTCTACTATTCCCTTCTAGCTGTGAGCACTGATTTTTAGTCTACATATTGCCTTTCCTACCTTCTCCTTTGCACTTATTAATCTGCCCTGGCTAAGAAACTGAGTGGTACACTCGGCCATTCTTTCTTTAAAACTCCTCATGCATCTCTTCTCCAACTAGTTACCTCCCTTGCCAGTGTCTTAATCAAGAGTTTCTTCCTCTCTTATTTGAATTAGTTTTAAGAACATTTTACCTGATGCTCCAATAGCTCCCTGTGCTCTTAGAAACTCCTTTCAGATACCTCCAAAGCCCTGTATAACTTGTCCCTTATCACACATTCTGGGTCTTGCATATGGTCTCCTGTCTGGATGTGGAGCCCACCATCTTACCTGAAAAATCAAGCTAAAATCATAACTCCCACATTCTCATCCTGCCTTCCTTGAATTATTTTACTATTCATCTTACTCTTAGTGGCACTTATCACATTCCAATATATTACATAGTACTTTTTAAAATAGACTTTATTTTAAAGCAACTTTAGGTTCACAGCACAATTAAGCCAAAGGTACGAGGTATTCCCAAATATCCCTCTGCCCCCACCTACACCCATACCACATTCCGACTATCACCTTCCCTCACCAGAGTAGTACATTTGTTAAAATTGGTGCACCTATGTTGACATGTCAGTCTCACCCAAAGTCCAGTTTATAAGGTTCATTTGTGGTATTGTACATTCAATGGGTTAGACAAATGCATAGTGACAGGTATCCACCATTATAGTATCAAACAGAATAGTCTATGTATATCGTAAAAATTCTTGGTGCTCCACAGATTTATCCCTAACTCCTGACACTAATGATAATTTTACTGTCTCCATATGAATTAGTCTGTTCTCGTGCTGCTATGACAAAAAACTCAAGGCTGGGTAATCTATAAATAAAAGTGGTTTAACTGACTCACAGTTCCACATGATTGAGAGGCTCCAGGAAACTTACAATCATGGTGGAAGGGGAAGCAAACCATCCTTCTTCACATGGTGGCAGGAGAGAGAATGAGTGCAAGCAGGAGAAATGCCCAATACTTTTAAAACCATCAGAGTTCATGAGACTCATTGATTATGACAAGAACAGCATGAAGGAAACCACCCCATGATTCAATAACCTCCACCTGGCTATGCCCTTGACATGTGGGAATTACAGAGACCACAATTAAAGGTGAGATTTCGGTAGGAACACAGAGTCAAACTATAATATTCAGCCCCTGGTCCCTCCCAAATCTCATGTCCTTACATTTCAAAACACAATTATGCCCTTCCAACAGTCCCCCAAAGTCTTAACTCATTCCAGCATTAACCCAAAGGTCCAAGTCCAAAGTTTCATCTGTGACAAGGCAAGTTCCTTCCACCTACGAACCTGTAAAATCAAAAGCAAATTACTTCCTAGATACAATGAGAGTACAGGCATTGGGTAAATACACTCATTCCAAATAGATGAAATTGGCCAAAGTGAAGGGGCTACAGGCCCCATATAAGTCTGAAATTCAATAGGGCAGTTATTAAACATTAAAGTTCCAAAATTATCTCCTTTGACTCCATGTCTCACATCAAGTCCACATTGATGTAAGAGGTGGGCTCCCATGGCTTAGGCACCTCTGACTCTGTGGCTTTCTTGAGTACAGCCCACCTCCTGGATGATTCACAGGCTGTTGTTGAGTGTCTGCAACTTTTCCAGGCACATGGTGCAAGCTATTGGTGGATCTACCATTCTGGGGTCTGGAGAATGATGGCCCTCTTCTCACAGCTCCACTAGGGAGTGCCCCAATGGGGACTCTGTGTGGGGTCTCTGACCCCACATTTCCCTTTGCCACTGCCCTAGCAGAGGTTCTCCATGAAGGCTCCACCCCTGCAGCAAACTTCTGTCTGGGCATCCAGGCACTTACACATCCTCTGAAATCCAGGTGAAGGCTCCCCAACCTCAATTCTTGACTTCTGTGCACCCACAGGCCCAACATCACATGCAAGCTGCCAAGGTTTGGGGCTTGCCCCTCTGAAGCAATTGCCCAAGCTTTACTTTGGCCCCTTTTAGCCATGGCTAGAGCTGAAGCAGCTGAGACGCTGGGCAAAATGTCCCAAGGATGCACAGAGTAGAGGGGCCCTGGGTCTAGCTCACAAAACTGTTTTTCTTTCCTAAGCATTTGGGCCTGTAATGGGAGGGGCTGCTGTGGAGGTCCCTGATATGCCCTGGAGACATTTTCTCCAATTCTTGCTGAATAACATTTGGCTCCTCATTACTTATGCAAATTTCTGCAACAGGCTTGAATTTCTCCTTAGAAAATGGGTTTTTCTTTTTTATCACATCATCAGGCTGCAAATGTTTATGTTCTACTTCTTGAATGCTTTGCTGCATTGAAATTTCTTCTACCAAATATCCTAAATCATCTCTCTCAAGTTAAAAGTTCCATAGATCCCTAGGGCAGGGGCAAAATGCCACCAGTCTCTTTGCTAAAGCATAGCAAGAGTCACCTTTGCTCCAGTTCCCGATATGTTCCATATCTCCATCTGAGACCGCCTCAGCCTGGACTTAATTGTCCATATCACTATCAGCATTTTGGTCAAAGCCATTCAACAAGTCTCTAGGAAGTTCCAAACTTTACCACATCTTCCTGTCTTCTTCTGAGCCTTTTGAACTGTTCCAACCTCTGCCTCTTACCCAGTTCCAAAGTTGTTTCCACATTTTCAGGTATTTAAAGTAATACCCCATTTCTGGTACCAATTTACTCTATTAGTCTGTTCTCACGCTGCTATGAAGAAATACCTGAGAATGAGTAATTTATAAAGAAAACAGGTTTGATTGACTCACAGTTTCACATGGCCTGGAGGCCTCAGGAAGCTTACAATCATGGTGGAAGGGGAAGCAAACATGTTTTTCTTCATATGGCACCAGGAGAGAAAATGAGTGTAAGCAGGGGAAATGCCAGATGCTTAAAAAAATCAGATTTCATGAGACTCACTGATTATCATGAAAACAGCATAGGGTAAACCGCCGCTATGATTCAATTACCTCCACCTGGTCCCACCCTTGACATGTGGGGATTACAGAGATTACAATTCAAGGAGAGATTTAAGTGGGGACATAGAGCCAAACCATTTAACCATAGCTTTGCCTTTTCCAGAATGTCATTTAGTTGGAATCATACAGTATGTAGACTTTTCCAATTGGCTTTTTCCACTTAGCAGTATGAATTTAAGTTCCCTCTATGTCTTTTCATGGCTTGATATTTTATTTCTTTTTTTTAATTTTAACTTTTATTTTAGGTTCAGGGTACATGTGCATATTTGTTATATAGGTAAACTTGGGTCACAGGGGTTTGTTTTACAGATGATTTTATCACTCAGTTACTAAGCCTAGTGTTCAACAGTTATGTTTTTGCTCCTCTTCCTCCTCCCAACCTCAACCCTCAAGTAGGCCACAGTGTCTGTTGTTCCCTTCTTTGTATCCATGTGTTCTCATCCTTTAGTTCCCACTTATAAGTGAGAACATGCAACATTTGGTTTTCTGTTGCTGCATTAGTTTGCTAAAAATAATGAGCTTCAGTTCCATCAATATTCCCACAAGACACAGAATTTTGTTTTTTTTATGGCTGCATAGTATTCCATGGTGTATATGTACTACATTTTCTTTATTCAATCTGTCATTGATGGGTATGTAGGTTTATTCCATGTCTTTGCTATGGTGAATTCTGCTGCAATGAACATATGAGCACAGCGTGCATGTGTCTTTATGGTAGAAGGATTTATACCCTCTGGGTATATACCCAGTAATAGGATTGCTGGGTCAGATGGTAGTTCTGTTTAGCTCTTTGAGGAATTGTCATAGTACTTTCCACAATGATTAAGCCAATTTACACTCCCACCAACAATGTTTAAGTGTTCTCTTTTATCCACAACCTTACGAGCATCTGTTCTTTTTTAACTTTTTAATAGTAGGCATTCTGACTGCTGCAGGTGATATCTCATTGTGGGTTTGATTTGCATTTCTCTAATAATCAGTGATGTCAATCTTTTTCATTTTTGGCTGCATGTATGTCTTCTTTTGAAAAGTGTCTGTTCATGTCCTTTGTCCACTTTTTAATGGGGTTGCTTTTTTTGGAAATTTATGTTCCTTTATAGATGCTGGATATTAGACCTTTGTAAGATGCATAGTGTGCAAAGTGTGCAAATATATTCTCCCATTCTGTATGTTGTCTGTTCAATTTGTTGATAGTTTCTTTTGCCGTGTAGAAGCTCATAAGCTGAATTAGATCCCATTTGTCAATTTTTGCTTTTGTTCCATTTGCTTTTGGTGCCTTCGTCATGATATTTTTGCCCTTTCCCATGTCCAGAGGGGTATTGCCTATGTCGTCTTCTAAGGTTTTTATAGTTTTGGGTTTTACATTTAAGTAATTAATGCATTTTGAGTTAATGTTTGTATATGGTGTGAGGAAGGAGCCCAGTTTCAATCTTCTGCATATGGCTAGCCAGTTATTACAGTACCTTTTATTAAATAGGAAGTCCTTTCCCAATTGCTTGTTTTTGTCAGCTTTGTCAAAGAGCAGATGGTTGTAGATGTGTGACATTATTTCTGGGTTCTCTATTCTGTTCCATTGGTTTATGTGCCTTTTTTTGTACTAGTGCCATGCTGTTTTGGTTACTGTAGCTCTTTAGTACAGTTCGAAATCAGGTAGTGTGATGCTTCCAGGTTTTTTCTTCCTGCTTAGAATTTCCTTGGCTATTAGGACTCTTTTTCTGCTTCATATAAATTTTAAAATAGCTTTTCCTAGTTCTGTAAAGGATGTCATTGGTAGTTTTTGATAGGAATAGCATTGAATCTTAATTGCTTTGGGCAGTATGACCATTTCCATGATGTTGATATTTCCTATCCATGAGCATGGGATTTTTTTTATTTGTTTGTGTCATCTCTAATTTCTTGGAGCAGTGTTTTGTAGTTCTCATTATAGAGATATTTTACCTTTCTTATTAGCTGTATTCCTATTTTATTATTTCTGTGGCCATTGAAAATGGGACTGTGGTCCTAATTTGGCTCTCAGTTTGACTGTTGGTGGTGGTGTTTAGGAATGCTAGTGATTTCTTTTCAGCATGAAATAATACCCTATTGTCTATGTATGAAAGAGCTTATTCATTCTTTCACCAGCTGAATGATATCTTGGTTGCTTCCAAGTTTTAGCAATTATGAATAAACCTGCTATAAACATCCATGTGCAGGTTTTGGTGTGGACATAAGTTTTCAATTTATTTGGGTAAATACCAAGAAGTGAGAATGCTGGACATATGGTAAGACTATGTTTAGTTTTTTAAAGAAACTGCCAAAATGTCTTTCAAAGTGGCTGTACTATTTTAAATACTCAACACCGATGAATGATTATTCTTGTGGTTCCATGTCCTTGCCAGCATTTGGTGGTGTTAGTGTTTTAGACATTTTTTATTCTAATATGTGTGTAGTGGTATTTGTTTAATTTGTTTAATTTGCAATTCCCTAGTGACATATGATGTTCAGCATATTTTCTTCTGCTTATTTGCTATATGTAAATCTTCTTTTGTGAAGTATCTCTTCAGATCTTTCTCCCATGTTTTCATTGTGTTGTATGTTTTCTTCTTGTTGAGTTTTAAGAGTTCTTTGTGTATTTTTGGTGACAGTGGTTTATTAGATATATTTTTGCAAATATATTTTCTCAGTGTATGGTTTGTCTTCTAATTCTCTTGATAATGTCTTCAGCAGAGCAGAAATTTTTAATTTTAATGAAGTCTAGCTTATACATTATTTATTTCATGAATCATGCCTTTGGTATTGTATCTAAAAAGTTATTTTCATACCCACAATTATCTAGATTTTCTCCTATTTTATACTATAGGAGTTTTATGTCTTTGAATTTTAAATTTAAGTCTATGATCCTTCTGGAGATAATTTTTTGAGGTATATAAGGTCTGTATCTTTCTTTCTTCTTTCTTTCTTTCTTTTTTTCTCTTTCTTTCTTTCCTTTCTTCCTCTCTCTTTTCCTTTTCCCTTCCTTTTTTTAACTTGTAGTTTGTCGATCTGTCCCAGATCATTTGTTTAAATGACCATGGTTTATCCAAAGTATCTTTATCATATATTATTAGTTGACTATATCTATAGAGTTTATTTCTCAAAGTTCTATTCTGTTTCAATGACCCATTTGTCTATTTTTTACTAATACCATACTCTCTTGATTACTGTACCTTTATAGTAAGTCTTAAAATGAGATAGTCTCTTTTTCTTCTCCTTCAATATTGAGTTTGCATCTCCACGTAAACTTTAGAATTGGTTTGCTAGTATCCAGGAAATAAATTGTTAGGATTTAATTTAGATTACATTGCATCCACAGATCAAATTGGAAAAAAAAAGTCTTTGATGATTTTGTCAGATCCTTTCTTCTGCATCTATTAACATGAATATGTGATTTTTCCAATTGATTTGATGAACTATAGGAATTTATTTTCTAAGATTGAATCAGCCTTGAATAGCTGGGATATATCCCTCTAGGTCATGGTGTAATTCTTTTTACATACCGTTGGCTTCAATTTTCTAACATTTTGTTGAGGATTTTTGCACCAATGTTTATGAGAGATACTGGTCTGTAATTTTCTCGTATGTCTTTTTCCAGTTTTGGTACTCGGGTAGTGTTGATCTCATAGAATGAGTTGGAAAGCATTACTTCTGCTTTTATCTTCTGGGAGTGATTATAGAGAATTGGTATAAATTTGTCTTTAAGTGTTCAGTAGAGTGTACCAGTGAACCCATCTATGCTTGATGTTTCATTTTGAAAGGTTATTTACTATTGATTCAATTTATTTAACAGATGAACTTCTACTCAGACTGTCTATTTCTTCTTGTGTAACTTTTGGCAGGTTGTCTTTCAAGGAATTGGTTTATTTCATCCAAGTTATCAAATTTGTGGGCATGTAATTGTTCATAGTATTGTTTATTTGTCTTCTAATGGCAGTGGAATCTATAGTGATGTCTTCTCTTTCATTTCTGAGGTGCGTAATTGTATCGTCTCTTATTTTTTCTTAGTTATCCTAGCTAGAGGTTTATCAACTTTATTGACCTTTTCAAATAATCAGCTTTTTGTTGATTTCCCTTTTTCTTTTTTTCTTCCTTCCTTCTTTCTAAAATTGATATATTGTAAGTGTTCATATTTATGGGATACAGTGTGACGTTTCAATACATATCTGTATTATATAATGATTCAGAGTAGTTAGTGTATCCATTACCTTGTACACTTACTATTTTTTTAATTTCTTTTTTCCATTTTATTTAATTCTACTCAAAATTTTATTATGTCTTTTTTCCACTTCATCTATAATTAAAGAATTCTTTTTCTAGTTTCCTAAAGTGGAATCTTTAATCATTGATTTTATATCTGTCTTCTTTTGTAATCTGTGCATTCAATGCTATAAATTTATCTCTTACCACTGATTTTTCTGTATCTCACAAATTTTGAAAGTTGTATTTTCATTTTTTTAGTTAAACAGTTTTTGAATTTTTTTGATACTTATTTTTTGACTCTTAAGTTACTTAGAGGTATGACGTTTAATCTCCAACTTTTTGGAATTTTTCTAGCTATCCTTCTATTATTGATTTCTAGTTTAATTCCATTGTCGACTGAGAGAATACATTTTATGATTTCTATTCTTTTAAATTTGTTAAGGTGTGTTTTATGGGCAAGAATGTGGTCTATGTAGTTTAATGTTCCATGTGAGCTTGAGAAAAATGTACACACTGCTGTTGTTGAAGGAAGTAGTCTATAGACTATTCAATTATATACAGTTGATTGATGGTGTTGAGTTCAACTCTGTCCTTACTGATTTCCTGCCTGCTGGATCTATCTATTTCTGATAGAGGGGTGTTGATGTCTCCAACAATAATACTGGATTAATCTATTTCTCCTTGCAGTTCTGAGTTTTTGCCTAAAACATTTTGACATGTTGATGTTAAAGGCTTTCACATAAAGAATTGCTACATTTTGTTTCAGAATTTACTACTTTATTGGTATTTAATATTTCTCTTTATTCCTCCAACTTTCTTTGTTCTAAGGTCTATTCTGTCTGAAATTAATATAGCGACACCAGCTTTTTAAAAATTAGTGTTGGCATAATTATCTTTCTTCAGTCTCTACTTTTAATGTATATTTGTCTTTACATTTAACACAAGTATAGTCTAGTCATTAGGTCTCAGTCTTATTTTTTTAATACTGTATTCCTAGTTCACTGAAAAGTATCTACGTAATAGGAATGTAAAGATATTGGTTAAATAAACAATCCTGCAACCATTTTTTTTTAACTCAGTGCAATCATATGACACACTTTATCTTTCAAAATAAGCCAAACATTGAAGCTGAGGGCAAACATAATTAGGGTCATCAAATTTTAACCTGCTTCACTTGCTTTTAGCTGGTTTAATAGTTTTGTAATATCACTAAGTCTAAATGTTATGTAGCTAAGCAATGTATCACAAGACTCCCTTCTGCTTCCCTATAGATAACATCTCTGAAGTATGGATAATAATGGTGATGGTTTCCTAAGTTGTTTTTCAGAAACTCGGCGTCAGCTCTTAAGTAGTTCATGCCAGCTGAGACCACTGATCTATCAACTTGGCCTGGATGAATGATGGGTGACCTTTTGATGTCAGAGGGCAGAAAGCTTCACCCTCAGATCATGCTAATGCTGCCATTTTTCAAACACGCATCCTACGAAGAGCTATAAAGTTTAACTACCCTTGGGCAGAACACTGATTACCTCATTTTTTCTAACCTGCAATCACCCTACCCCATGCCTCAGATCACCCTGCTCCTCTATCTCATAAATATCCCTAAACCCCATCTTTGGAGAGGTAGATTTGAGACCTGTTCTGTCATCTCCTTGTTTGGCTGCCACATGAATACACACCTCCACCACTGTAAAACTTGTTATCTCAGTGATTGGCACACTGCACAGCAGGCAAAATGGGCCTGGTTTAGTAACAACATCATCAGTTTCATGTTTGAAATTCCTTGGTGGCTTCCTGTTAGCAAAAAGGCAAAAATCCATGTTTTTCACTTGGATATACAAGTTGCTCTGCAAGCAGACATCAAAACTACCTTCTTGAAGTTTCTCCTCATGACACACACCATCATCCCTTCCAAACCTGCTATATAGCTTTCCCCATTTGCTGTGGCTGCCCCAGACCCATTGTCTGATGTGCTGTTACCCAGTGATTTTGCCCAACAAATTCCTCCTTCATCCTACAAATCAAAGTTTGAAAACCAGCTCTTTGCAACAATGCTGTAACTCTCTAGGATATTAACCGCGATTTTCTTATTATCTCTGCAAAACACCCCCAGATTGCAAGATACTGTATCTGTTTATGCCTGCCTCTCTCAATTAGCAAAGTTCTTCTTAAAAGATTAGATTAGACCTTACTCATTATGTTAGCAAAATGTTTGACATATGTTTAATAAGCAATAATTGATTGAATCGGATGAAGTTAGGAAAGGATTACTTTGGTGCTGATTATTTAGATCAGCTCCCTGACCCTAAACTCTTTTTATGTTTTGGCATACACTGAAAACTTTGTGTGTACTGTCCCAATAATAAGTGAAGAAAGTTGTCCTTGGAGAAGGAGGCCAGCCAGGGTCCAGCCACTCGAAAGGCCAGAACACGAATGCAATCAATATCTCTGCCCATCTGAAGCTCACTTGAAACTCAGTAGAGGAGTCACTCTAGAATGAGAGGCTAAAACTCCAATCGGAACTCATTTCTGTGCTCTCTGTGCTTCACTTTGGTTTAGCAAGGATGAAAATCTTTTCTATGTTGGATCTCAAGTTTCAGAGCCAGTTAGAAACAGAGTCAGGATTTTTTCCAATCTACTCATTTATCCTAGGGCTCTGTGGTCCAGTTCCCTGGGGAACAGCCCCTCATGTAAGAAAAATATATAATTATACTGAAACATGCATATAAATATGTGCATATACATTATATTTATTCAAATTATTTATAAAATATATACATATAAAACCTTATATATATGGTATTCAGATAAACTTAAACTACATATAATAGTGCTGTTTATTTTTTGCCATTAAAAAAGAGGGATTTGCAGAAATATTGTGGAGTTTAGACATGAATTATCTTGGCTCATAACACATTCAGTACATGTGTTCATAAAAAGAGCTGGAGGCCATCATCCTAAGTGAACTAACACAGGACCAGAAAACCAAATTCTGTATGTTCTCACCATAAGTGGGAGCTAAACTTTGAGTACACATATGCATATGTGTACTTGAGGGTGGAGGGTAGAAGGAGGATGAGGATCAAAAAACTACTTATCAGGTACTCTTCTGATTACTTGGGTGATGAATAATCTGTACACCAAACCCCTGTGACACATAGTTTACCTATAAAACAAACATGCACATATATCCCTGAACTTAAATTAAAAGTAAAATAATTATAATTACAAAAAAAAGCTTAAAAACAGAATCCACTTTAAAACTGTCTGAGAGGAAAAACAGGGTTTTATCATTTATTTAAATAATGGGCCAGGAGTAAATAAAATTGAAAAATGCAAAATGGGAATAATTACCCAACTCAAGAGATCTTGCCTAGGTCATTTACAAACACTGTATTTTTTGTAATTACAAATAATCCATTTTTCAGGCAAAATGCAACCTGATTTTTGTATGAATCCTGTCTGAGGGTTGTGGTTGCATTTAACCCTGGATTTTATTTTCTTTACCTTTAATGCCAAGCAAAGAATGCTGTTTATTTTGTGTTAGTCACTCACATTCAAATGAGCTCTGTGACATTTACCAGAATGCTGAATTCCTAGACTGAAGGCTATTATGTAGTTCACTATTACATTTATAAACAACACAGTCTCCAGTCCAAAAAATGCTATTCACTTCTAATTTCCATGTACCTTATTCATTTACATGTATTAATGAAAAAAGCTTAAGACCTGTAGTTACATATGCACAGCAGTAAAAGAGGTTTCACATTTTTCTCTGAGCTCCTGACCCTAATATTATAAATGACCAACTTGTCCCTTAGAGCTGTGTTTTTATTTTTTTGTAGTGTTACTTAAATTTCAAACAAAATATTACAGAGGAATCTAAGATATAGCATGGAAAAAATATTTTAAAAATCAGAATTGTGGTGGCTGGCAAGATGGCCAAATAGGAACAGCTCCAGTCTGCACCTCCCAGCGAGATCAACACAGAAGGCAGGTGATTTCTGAATTTCCAGTTGAGGTACCCGGCTCATCTCATTGGGACTGTTTAGACAGTAGGTGCAGGAGGGCAAGCTGAAGCAGGATGGGGAGTCACCTCACACAGGAAGCACAAGGGGTTGGGGAATTCCCTACCCTAGCCAAGGGAAGCTGTGAGGGACTGTGCCATGAGGAACAGTGCATTCCAGCCCAGATACTATGCTTTTCCCATGGTCATCACAACCTAAAACCAGGAAATTCCCTCCGCTGCCTATACCACCAGGGCCCTGGGTTTCAAACACAAAACTGGGTGGGCATTTGGGCAGACACTGAGCTAGCTGCAGGAGTTTATTTTGTGGCACCTGGAATGCCAGCAACACAGAACTGTTCACTCTCCTGGAAAGGGGGCTGAAGCCAGAAAGCCAAGAGGTCTAGCTCAGCAGATCCCACCCCCACAGAGCCAAGCAAGCTAAGATCCACTGGCTTGAAATTCTTGCTGCCAGCACAGCAGTCTGAAGTCGACCTGGAATGCTCCAGCTTGGTGTGGGGAAGGGTGTCCACCATTACTGAGGCTTGAGTAGGCAGTTTTCTCCTCGCAATGTAAACAAAGCCACCAGGAAGTTCGGACTGGGCGGAGCCAACCACAGCTCAGCAAAGCCACTGTAGCCAGACTGCCTCTCTAGATTCCTCCTCTCTGGGCAGGGCATCCCTGAAAGAAAGGCAGCAGCCCCAGTCAGGGCTTAAAGATAAAACTCCTATCTTCCTGGGACAGGGCACCTGGGGGAAGGGGTGGATGTGGGCACAGCTTCAGCAGCCTTAAACATTCATGCCTGCTGGCTCTGAAGAGAGCAGTGGATTTCCCAGCACAACACTCGAACTCTGCTAAGGGACAGACTGCCTCCTCAAGTGGGTCCCTGACCCCCATGCCTCCTGACTGGGAGACACCTCCTAGCAAGGGTCGACAGACACCTCTTATAGGAGAGCTCCGGCTGGCACCTGGCGGGTGCCTCTCTGGGATGAAGCTTCCAGAGGAAGGTACAGGCAGTAATCTTTGCTGTTCTGCAGCCTCCACTGGTGATACCCAGGCAAACAGGGTCTGGAGTGGACCTCCAGGAAACTCCAGCAGATCTGCAGCAGAGGGGCCTGACTGTTAGAAGAAAAGCTAACAAACAGAAAGGGATAGCATCAACATCAACAAAAAGGACATCCACACAAAAACCCCACCTGAAAGTCACCAACATCAAAGACTAAAGGTACATAAATACATGAAGATGAGGAAAAACCAGCCCAAAAAGGCTGAAAATTCCAAAAACCAGAACACCTCTTTTCCTCCAAAGCATCACAACTCCTCGCCAGCAAGGGAACAAAACTGGATGGAGAATGAGTTTGATGAATTGACAGAAATCGGCTTCAGAAGGTGGGGAAAAACAAACTCCTCCAAGCTAAAGGAGCATGCTCTAACCCAATGCAAGGAAGCTAAGAACTTTGAAAAAAGGTTAGAGGAATTGCTAACTAGAATAACCAGCTTAGAGAAGAACATAAATGACCTGATGAAGCTGAAAAACACAGCACGAGAACTTTGTGAAGCATACACGAGTATCAATATCTGAATCGATCAAGCAGAAGAAAGGATATCAGAGATTGAAGACCAACTTCATGAAATAAAGCATGAAGACAAGATTAGAGAAACAAGAATGAAAAGGAATAAACAAAGCCTCCAAGAAATATGGGACTATGTGAAAAGACCAAAACTACATTTGATTGGTGCAACTGAAAGTGACGGGGAGAATGGAACCAAGTTGGAAAACACTCTTCAGGATATTATCCAGGAGAACTTCCCCAGCCTCACAAGACAGGCCAACATTCAAATTCAGGAAATACAGAGAATACTACAAAGATACTCCTTGAGAAGAGCAACTCCAAGACACATAATCATCAGATTTACCAAGGTTGAAATGAAGGAAAAAATGTTAAGCGCAGCCAGAGAGAGAGGTCAGGTTTCCTCTCTCAGCAGGTTTCCTCTCTCAGGTTTCCTCTCTCAGTGGATCTCTCAGCAGAAACTCTACAAGCCAGAAATGAGTGGGGGCCAATATTCAACATTCTTAAATAAAAGAATTTTCAACCCAGAATTTCATATCCGGCCAAACTGAGCTCATAAGCAAAGGAAAAATAAAATCCCTTACAGACTAGCAAATGCTGAGAGATTTTGTCACCATTGGGCCTACCTTACAAGAGCTCTTGAAGGAAGCACTAAATATGGAAAGGAACAACTGGCACTAGCCACGGCAAAAACATACCAAATTGTAAAGACCATCAACACTATAAAGAAACTGCATTAACTAACCGGCAAAATAACCAGCTAGCATCATAATGACAGGATCAAATTCACACACAACAATATTAACCTTAAATGTAAATGGGCTAAATGTCCCAGTTAAAAGACACAGAGTGGCAAATCAGACAAAAAGTCAAGACTTATCAGTGTGCTGTATTCAGGAGACCCATCTCACATGCAAAGAAACACATGGGCTCAAAATAAAGGGAGGGAGGAATATTTACCAGGAAAATGGAAAGCAATAAAAAGCAGGGGTTGCAATCCTAGTCTCTGATAAAACAGACTTTAAACCAACAAAGATCAAAAAAGACAAAAAAAGGTTTACATTATGGTAAAGGGATCAATGCAACAAGAAGAGCTAACTATCCTAAATATATATGCACCCAATACAGGAGCACCCAGATTCATAAAGCAAGTTCTTAGAGCCCTACAAAGAGACTTAGACTCCCACACAATAATAGTTGGAGACTTTAACACCCCACTCTCAATATTAGACAGATCAACGAGACAGAAAATTAACAAGAATATTCAGGACTTGAACTCAGCTCTGGATCAAGTGCACCTAATAGACATCTACATAACTCTCCACCCCAAATCAACAGAATATACATTCTTCTCAGCAACACATGGCACTGATTCTAAAATTCACCACATAATTGGAAGTAAAACACTCCTCAGCAAATGCAAAAGAAGGGAAATCATAGCAAACAGTCTCTCAGATCACTGTGCAATCAAATTAGAGCTCAGAATTAAGAAACTCACTCAAAACTGCACAACTACATGGAAACTGAACAACCTGCTCCTGAATGCTACTGGGTAAATAATGAAATTAAGGCAGAATAAGTAAGTTCTTTGAAACCAATGAGAACAAAGATACAATGTACCAGAATCTCTGGAACACAGCGAAAGCAGTATTTAGAGGGAAATTTATAGCACTACATGCCCACAGAAGAAGGCAAGAAGGATCTAAAATCGACACCCTAACATCACAATTAAAATAACTAGAGAAGCAAGAGCAAACAAATTCAAAAGTTAGCAGAAGAGAAGAAATAACTAAGATCAGAGCAGAACTGAAGGAGATAGAGAAATGAAAAACCCTTCAAAAAATCAATGAATCCAGGAGCTGTTTTTTTTGAAAAGATTAACAGAATAATTGATCGCTAGCCAGACTAATAAAGAAGAAAAAGGAGAAGAATCAAATAGACACAATAAAAAATGACAAAGGGGATAACATCACTGATCCCACAGAAATACAAAGTATCATCAGAGAACACCTCTATGCAAATAAACTAGAAAATCTAGAAGAAATGGTTAAATTCCTGGACACATACACCCGCCCAAGACTAAACCAGGAAGAAGTCGAATCCCTGACCAATAACAAGTTCTAAAATTGAGGCAGTAATTACAGCCTACCAACCAAAAAAAGCCCAGGACCAGATAGATTGATAGCCGAATTCTACCAGAGGTATAAAGAGGAGCTGGTACCATTCCTTCTGAAACTATTCCAAACAATAGAAAAAAAGGGACTCCTCCCTAAATCATTTTCTGAGGCTAGCATCATCCTGCTACCAAAACGTGGCAGAGACACAACAAAAAAATAAAATTTCAGGCCAATATCCCTGATGAACATTGATGTAAAAATCCTCAACAAAATACTGACAAACCAAATCCAGCAGCACATCAAAAAGTGTATCCACCACGATCAAGTCGGCTTCATCCCTGGGATGCAAGGCTGTTTCAACATACACAAATCAATAAACATAATTCATCACATAAACAAAACCAATGACAAAAACCACATGATTATCTCAAGAGATGCACAAAAGGCTTTCAATAAAATTCAACACCAGTTCATGCTAAAAACTCTCAATAAACTAGGTACTGATGGAACGTATCTCAAAATAATGAGCTATTTATGACAAACCCACAGCCAATATCATATTGACTGAGCAAAAGCTGGAAGCATTCCTTTTGAAAACCGACACAAGACAGGATGCCATCTCTCACCACTCCTTTTCAACATAGTATTGGAAGTTCTGGTCAGGACAACCAGGCAAATGAAAGAAATAAAGCGTATTCAAATAGGAAGAGAGGAAGTCAAATTGTCTCTGTTTGCAGATGACATGATTGTATATTTAGAAAATCCCATCATCTCAGCCCAAACTCTCCTTAAGCTGATAAAGCTTAAGCTAAGCAAAGTCTCAGGATACAAAATAAATGTGCAAAAATCACAAGCATTCCTATACACCAATAATAGACAAACAGAGAGCCAAATCATGAGTGAACTCCCATTTACAATTGCTACAAAGAGAATAAAATACCTAGGAATACAACTTACAAGGGGTGTGAAGGACCTCTTCAAGGAGAATGAAAAACCACTGCTCAAGGAAATAAGAGACCACACAAACTAATGGAAAAACATTCCATGCTCATGGATGGGAAGAATCAATATCATGAAAATGGCCAAAATGCCCAAAGTAATTTATAGATTCAATGCTATCCCCATCAAGCTACCATTGACTTTCTTCACAGAATTACAAAAACTACTTTACATTTCATGTGGAACCATAAAAGAGCCCATATACCCAAGACAGTCTGAAGCAAAAAGAACAAAACTGGAGGCATCACGCTACCTGACTTCAAACTATACTACAAGGCTACAGTAACCAAAACTAGCATGGTACTGATACCAAAACAGATGTATAGACCAATGGAACAGAACAGAGGCCTTAGAAATAACTCCACACATCTACAACCATCTGGTCTTTAACAAACCTGACAAAAACAAACAATGGGGAAAGGATTCCCATTTAATAAATGGTGTTGGAAAAACTGGCTAGCCACATGCAGAAAACTGAAACTGGACCCCTTCCTTATACCTTATAAAAAAATTAACTCAACGCTGGGTGCAGTGGCTCATGCCTGTAATCCCAGCACTTTGGGAGGCAGAGGCAGGCGGATCATGAAGTCAGGAGTTTGCGACCAGCCTGACCCACATGATGAAACCCCATCTCTACTAAAAATACAAAAATTAGCTGGGCGTGGTGGCACATGCCTGTAATCTCAGCTACTCAGGAGGCTGAGGCAGGATAATCACTTGAACTTGGGAGGCAGAGTTTGCAGCGAGCCGAGATCACACCACTACATTCCAGCCTCGGCCACAGAGCGAGACTCTGTCTCAAAATAAATAAATAAATAAATAACTCAAGATGGTTTAAAGACTTAAATGTAAGACCTAAAGCCATAAACACCCTACAAGAAAACCTTGGCAATACCATTCAGGACATAGGCATGGGCAAAGACTTCATGACTAAAACACAAAAAGCAACGGCAAAAAAAAGCCAAAATCAACAAATGGCATCTAATTAAACTAAAGAGCTTCTGCACAGCAAAAGAAACTATCATCAGAGTGAACAGGCAACCTACAAAATGGGGGAAAATTTTTGCAATCTATCCATCTAACAAAGGGCTAATATCCAGAATCAACAAGGAATTTAAACAAATTTAAAAGAAAAAAAACAACCCCATCAAAATGTGGGTGAAGGATATAAACAGACACTTCTAAAAAGAAGACGTTAGGCGATGCAGGCTCTTTTTTGGTTCCATATGAACTTTAAAGTAGTTTTTTCCAATTCTGTGAAGAAAGTCATTGGTAGCTTGATGGGGATGGCATTGAATCTATAAATTACCTTGGGCACTATGGCCATTTTCATGATATTGATTCTTCCTACCCATGAGCATGGAATGTTCTTCCATTTCTTTGTATCCTCTTTTATTTCATTGAGCAGTGGTTTGTAGTTCTCCTTGAAGAGGTCCTTCACGTCCCTTGTAAGTTGGATTCCTCAGTATTTTATTCTCTTTGAAGCAATTGTGAATGGGAGTTCACTCATGATTTGGCTCTCTGTTTGTCTGTTATTGGTGTATAAGAATGCTTGTGATTTTTGTACATTGATTTTGTATCCTGAGACTTTGCTGAAGTTGATTATCAGCTTAAGGAGATTTTGGGCTGAGACAATGGGGTTTTCTAGATATACAATCATGTCATCTGCAAACAGGGACAATTTGACTTCCTCTTTTCCTAAATGAATACCCTTTATTTCCTTCTCCTGTCTAATTGCCCTGGCCAGAACTTCCAACACTATGTTGAATAGGAGTGGTGAGAGAGGGCATCCCTGTCTTGTGCCAGTTTTCAAAGGGAATGCTTCCACTTTTTGCCCATTCAGCATGATATTGGCTGTGGGTTTCTCATACATAGCTCTTATTATTTTGAGATACGTCCCATCAATATCTAATTTATTGAGAGTTTTTAGCATGAAGGTTGTTGAATTTTGTCAAAGGCCTTTTCTGCATCTATTGAGATAATCATGTGGTTTTTGCCTTTGGTTCTGTTTATATGCAAGTCATTCCTAAGCCAAAAGAACAAAGCTGGAGGCATCACGCTACCTGACCTCAAACTACACTACAAGGCTACAGTAACCAAAACAGCATGGTACTGGTACCAAAACAGAGATATAGATCAATGGAACAGAACAGAGCCCTCAGAAATAACATCACATATCTACTACTATCTGATCTTTGACAAACCCGAGAAAAACAAGAAATGAGGAAAGGATTCCCTATTTAATAAATGGTGCTGGGAAAACTGGCTAGCCATATGTAGAAGGCTGAAACTGGATCCCTTCCTTACACCTTCTACAAAAATTAATTCGAGATGGGTTAAAGACTTAAATATTAGACCTAAAACCATAAAAACCCTAGAAGAAAACCTAGGCATTACCATTTAGGACATAGGCATGGGCAAGGACTTCATGTCTAAAACACCAAAAGCAATGGCAACAAAAGCCAAAATTGACAAATGGGATCTAATTAAACTAAAGAGCTTCTGCACAGCAAAAGAAACTACCATCACAGTGAACAGGCAACCTACAAAGTGGGAGAAAATTATCGCAACCTACTCATCTAACAAAGGGCTAATATCCAGAATCTACAATGAACTCAAACAAATTTACAAGAAAAAAACAAACAACCCCATCAAAAAGTGGGCAAAGGATATGAACAGACACTTCTCAAAAGAAGACATTTATGCAGCCAAAAGACACAAGAAAAAATGCTCATCATCACTGGCCATCAGAGAAATGCAAATCAAAACCACAATGAGATACCATCTCACACCAGTTAGAATGGCGTTCATTAAAAAGTCAGGAAACAACAGGTGCTGGAGAGGATGTGGAGAAATAGGAACACTTTTACACTGTTGGTGGGGCTGTAAACTAGCTCAACCATTGTGGAAGTCAGTGTGGTGATTCCTCAGGGATCTAGAGCTAGAAATACCATTTGACCCAGCCATCCCATTACTGGGTATATACCCAAAGGACTATAAATCTTGCTGCTATAAAGACACATGCACACGTATGTTTATTGTGGCACTATTCACAATAGCAAAGACTTGGAACCAACCCAAATGTCCAACAATGATAGACTGGATTAAGAAAATGTGGCACATATACACCATGGAATACTATGCAGCCATAAAAATGATGAGTTCATGTCCTTTGTAGGGACAGGAATGAAATTGGAAATCATCATTCTCAGTAAACTATCGCAAGGACAAAAAACCAAACACCGCATGTTCTCACTCATAGATGGGAATTGAACAATGAGAACACATGGACACAGGAAGGGGAACATCACACTCTGGGGACTGTTGTGGGGTGGGGGGAGGGGGGAGGGATAGCATTAGGAGATATACCTAATGCTAAATGACAAGTTAATGGGTGCAGCACACCAGCGTGGCCCATGTATACATATGTAACTAACTGGCACATTGTGCACATGTACCCTAAAACTTAAAGTATAATAATAAAAATAAAGAAAGAAAGAAAGAAAGAAGAAGACATTTATGCAGCCAACAAACATGAGAAAAACTCATCATCACTGGTCATTAGAGAAATGCAAATCAAAACCACAATGAAATACCATCTCACACCAGTTAAAATGGCGATCATTAAAAAGTCAGGTAACAACAGATGCTGTAAAGAATGTGGAGAAACAGGAATGCTTTTATACTGTTGGTAAGAGTGTAAATTAGTTCAACCATTGTGGAAGACAGTGTGGAGATTCCTCAAGGATCTAGAACCAGAAAAACCATTTGATCCAGCAATCCCATTACTGGGTATATACCCAAAGGAATATAAATCATTCTACTATAAAGACACATGCACACGTATGTTTATCGAAGCACTGTTCACAATAACAAAGACTTGAAACCAACCCAAATGTTCACCAATGATAGACTGGACAAATAAAATGTGGCACATATACACCATGGAATACTGTGCAGCCACAAAAATGGATGAGTTCATGCCCTTTGCAGGAATGTGGATGAAGCTGGAAACCATCATTTTCAGCAAACTAACACAGGAACAGAAAACCAAACACCACATGTTCTCACTCATAAGTGGGAGTTGAACAATGAGAACACATGGACACTGGACGGGGAACATCATGCACTGGGGCCTAGCTGGAGGTTGGGGGCTAGGGGAGGGATACCACCATGGGACATATATACCTATGTAACAATCCTGCACGTTCTGCACATATATCCCAGAACTTAAACTATAATTATAAGTAACAAAAAAATCAGAATTGCAGGCTGGGCTCAGTGACTCACATCTGTAATCCCAGCACTTTGGGAGGCCGAGGTGGGTGGATCACCTGAGGTCAGGGGTTTGAGACCAGCCTGGCCAACATGGAGAAACCCCATCTCTCCTAAAAACACAAAAATTAGCCAGGCATTTGGCAGGTGCCTGTAACCCCAGCTACTCGGGACGCTGAGGCAGGAGAATGGCTTGCACCCAGGTGGCAGAGGTGGCAGTGGGCTGAGATCGCACCAGTGCACTCCAGCCTGGGCAACAGAGCAAGATTCTGTCTTAAAAAAAAATTAGAATTGCTCTGGTAAGTGCAAACATATAGGCCTGTGGCTGGTCCTACTCTGCAGCATCCCGCCTGGGCCCTAGGATTCATAGAAAGAGCCTAACAGAAGCCCTCACGTTTGGGCAGGTGTGCATGGTCCACAGCAAGGAACTAACAGGACGAACGGGGTGCACTAGGATCTGGCGGAATGGCGAACAAGACCAAGTGATTGGCAGGGTGAGCGGGAGCAATGAGAAGCAAATCAGAGCAGCAACAGGGTAGTGGTAAGGTTACCTGAGTTTGTGGAGGGCTGAGATATTGTGCCAGGGACAGGTATACAGTTTTCTGCTTTCTTCACATCCTCAGGCTTCTAAAGCTCAGACACTGCCTTTCTTCCATCAGCTGCCACATTGATTTGGAAAGTTCAACTCCAGGGGAAGCACACCTTAACACTGCTTCAGGTTCTAAAGGAAAAAATTACTTTGTCAAAATGAAAACAGAATAGTATAATGATCATGCCACAGTTGAGACTGACACACTTTCTCACAGTAAGCCAAAGAAGACAGATTTATTTCCAGTGTTGATCAGATTTCTGTTTCTTTAGTTATAGATCAGAACAAGTAGTCAGCTTGCTCCAGGGCAAATGCTCACAATTTCCCCCACCATATGAATGATTATTTTTATTTCTGGTTCTTTTATTTGAGGTGGGAAATCTAGAGTTGCACTTTCCTGAGCTGTGTATCAAAATATGCAAAATTGTACTCCAAAATTGTAAAGGGGCCAGGCGCCGTGGCTCATGCCTGTAATTTCAGCACTTTGGGAGGCCGAGGTGTGTGGATCACCTGAGGTCAGGAGTTTGAGCCAGCCTGGCCAACATGGTAAAACCCTGTCTCTACTAAAAATACAAAAATTAGCTGGACATGGTGGCAGGCACCTGTCATCCCAACTACTCTGGAGGCTGAGGCAGGAGAATTGCTTAAATCTGGGAGGCAGACTTTGCAGTGAGCTGAGATCGCGCCATTGCACTCTATCCTGGGCAATGAGAGAAACTCCATCTCAATAAATAAATAAATAAATATGTAAAGGAGTTCAGTTTCTTAAAATTGAAAAATGAAATCTAACCTTAAGATAGCCCATTATTGGGGCCATTTTCCTGTCTACCTTTTGATAGCTATTTGTTACATATGCAGCCGTTGATTACAGTAATGTTTGCCAGGCTTAGGACATCATCAAAGGAGTATCTCCTAAGCTGCACAGTTCTAAATTGGAACCACATGCAGTTACAGTGAGCAGATCATGAGAAATGTTCAAAGACTGAGAGAAGCTATCTCAGTCAAGAATCAAAATTAACATGCAATGAGAAAAAAAAAATGAGTTTTCAATGAACAAAGCCAGAAATGAGCAATATAGAAGTGTGTGTCTGTGAGAAACAAGATTTGAGTGAAATGGATCTAAATTCAGGCCAAGCGAGGGAAGGTGATCTAAGTAGCCAAAAGATTGCCACGGTTGATGCCAATGGGGCCAACCAGGTTGCGCTCAAAAGGTTGCGCTTATTCCTGGGGCTGGAGGTTGCCATGGATGGTTTAACATGTGTTGTCAAGGGATGTATGGCACCCACCGTGGCTGGAGTGAAGGAAAGTCAGGTGCAGTGTGAAGAGCCAGAGAATCCAAGTGGGAATGTGTTGCTGCCCCAGAGTATGTCTTGGGCACAAGTGCAAGCCAGGAAGCCAGCAGTGACGGTCAAGGCAGAGGGCTGGAAGGTTGTGCTGCTCAGCACCAGGTCTGTCTTCATCTTCACAGCACTGGTGCTGGATGGGGATCCTGTGCATGAGAATGGAAAGCCTGAAGATGCACCGTTCTTCTTGAGAGGAGCCTGATCGTGGAGAGGTTCACCGTCGCAAGAGAAACTGGCTTTGGAGGACAATGTGACTCTCCAGAAGTGTGTGAGCCTGTGTGTGTGCACATGCGTGTGTTACAAGCCAAGTTAAAAACTCTGAGGCTGCACAAACCTGGTGTCCATGGACTGATTTTAGAACTTTCAGAAAAATAATAAACACTCTAAGTTATGGATACCTCAAGTATCTTGATGTGATCATTGCACATTCTATGCATGTAACAAAATATGAAATGGACCCCACAAATTTGTAAAATATGTTTCAATTAAAATTAAGCATATACAAATAGACACACACATTCACACACATAGAAACACACACACACACACACAAAGGAGATTTGAGAGACATACCAGAAGTGCCAGGCAAGGTATATTAGTGACTTCCTACAACTCATATTTTCTCCAATTGCTTAGAAAACAAAAAATGTAGACCCAATCGCGCTTTATTTTTTAAAGAAACATTAAAATAAAAATGACATTTTAAACCAAACAAATAGAACATAATCTCAGCATAAAGGAAAGAACACTTAGATACTCAGTTTACCTATATTTAGCTTCAAGAGCTTAGAAAAATCTTTACTGGAATATAGATATTGATATAGATATAGATATGTGATATATTTGTATTTATCTATTAAATATAGAGGTTTATATTTAATTTTGTGAGAACTTTTTCAAGTCCCGCTTTTTCCTAATTTAAATGACTCGGTTGTAACTGAAGGGCATTCATCTAAATTTTTTTTTTTTTTTTTTTTTTGAGACGGAGTCTTGCTCTGTCCCCAGGCTGAAGTGCAGTGGCGCATCTCGGCTCACTGCAACCTCTGTCTCCCAGGTTCAAATGATTCTCCTGCCTCAGCCTCCTGAGTAGCTGGGACTACAGGCACACACCACCACGCCCGGCTAATTGCTGTATTTTTAGCAGAGAGAGGGTTTCACCATGTTAGCCAGGCTGGTCCCAAACTCCTGACCTCAGGCAATCTGCCTGCCTCGGCCTCCCAAAGTGCTGAGATTACAGGCGTGAGTCACCGCACCTGGCCTCATTCATCTAATCTTATGGAACATTTTCCTCTGGCATCTGAGTGTCTCCTGGAGGACACGGGCAGGGATGCACCAGATTCATAACAAAGAACCAGAACTCATAAACTTGCAGGATCCACCCCTAACTCTCCTCCCTGTCTCTCTCTGGAAATGCTCAATGCTTCTCTCTTTCTGCACACCAGCCTTCCCTGCTGGCCACACTCAGGATAGAAGAGTCTGGACCATCTTCGTGTGGATTCCAAATTCCCAGGGAAGGGGCTCTGACTGCCTCAAATCCTGTGAGGTTTCACACCTGGCTGGCTCTGATAGATAGTAGTGGAAAGAAGGCTACTGGGCATGCCCCATGGCCCTATAACATTTGCTAGGTGGCCTGGGGTGACTCGGTAGATAGGAGAGCTTCTCTCCAGAAGGAAAGCCATGAACTGGACCTACACTGCCCTAAGTACTGGGGGCAATGGACATAGAGAATTTTAGAGCAGATGGAGGTGTCATGGAGACTGGCCTTCTTATCCACTCTCTTTCTTCCTGCCCCAACAGTCTTGCTCCTCATCCTGAAAGGAAGAGGGTTTAAGGATAATACGGTGTTTTTATGCAAAAAAATGAAAATGTCTATATGAGAAATAAACATAAGACAGCACTCTTGGTAAAGTCATTGTGATGGTGGACTAAAGGTACGTGGGCATGTAAGACTGTGAGTGTGGCTGCGTGTGTGCCTGTGGGTGCATCTGTGTGTGTCTGTATGTGCACCTCGATGGAGGCTCTGTGCATGTGTGTAAGGCAGTGTGTGGCTCCATGTATTTGTGTCTGTGTATGTATCTATCTGTGTCTGTATGTGTGGATGTGTGTGTGTGTGTGTGTATCTGTGTCTGTCTGTATCTGTGTGGCTGTGTGTCTTTATGTATACATCTGAATATGTCTGTGAGTGCATCTGTGTCTGTGTGTGGCTATACGTGTCTTTGTATCTGTGTATTTGTGTGTGTCTCGGTGTTTCTGTGTGTCTCTTTGTATGTCCTTGTGTTTCTGTGTGTATGTACTGTGTGTCTATGTGTGTATCTCTGTGTGGATGTCTCTGTGTGTGTGTATATGTGTATGCCCATATGTGTCTGTGTATGTATGTGGCTGTGTGTGTGTCTATGTGTGTAAATGTGTGTATGTGGCTGTGTGTCTATGTGTGTGTGTGTGAGTGTGTGTGTGTGGCTGTGTCTATGCGTGTGTGTTTATGTGGCTGTGTGTATCTATATGTGTGAGTGTGTGTATATGGCTGTTGTATGCGTCTATATGTGTGTGTGTTGGCTGTGTTGTGTGTGTCTCTGCATTTGTCTATGTGTGTGTCTGTGTCTCTGTGTGTATATGACTGTGTGTATCTCTCTGTGTCAGCATGTGTCTCTGCATGTGTCTTTGGGTGTGTCGGCATGTGTCTCTGTGTGTGTCTGTGTCTATATGACTGTGTATTTCTGCCTGTGTCTCTGAGTGTGTCTATGTGTGTATATGGCTGTGTGTATCTCTCTGTGTCAGCATGTGTCTCTGCATGTGTCTTTGGGTGTGTCGGTATGTGTCTCTGTGTGTGTCTGTGTCTATATGACTGTATTTCTGCCTGTGTCTCTGCGTGTGTCTATGTGTGTATATGGCTGTGTGAGTCTCTCTGCGTGTCTCTGCATGTATGTGTGTCTCTGCATGTGTGTCTGCATGTGTCTCTGTATGTGTCTGTCTACGTGTGTATATGGCTGTGTTTGTCTCTGCCTGTGTTTCTACATGTGACTCTGCGTGTATCTGTGTCTGTCTATGTGTGTGCGTGAGGCCGTGTTGTGGGAGGCAGTAGCGAGCTATGCTGGTCCTTAGTGGAGTGAGCTCCATGCAGTAGCAGCAGCACAGTCTCCAGCCATGCTTCTCGACAGGGAGGAGCTGCAGAAGGTGGCATCAGCCGCACTGACAGAGGTGAAATCCTTCACAAGCCTTCATGGGTGACATCAATGAAAGAGACTGTTTAACAGGAGAGAAAGAAGAGTGTTGGGTGTTGTATAGCAGCTTAAGAGACACATTCAGGAAAACTTGGAATTTACTCTTAGAGACTCTGAAATAAACCAGGGGCCTTGGGAGAGTCGGGGAGGTGGAGGACCTGGACATTTTGCACCAAGTGAGCTGCAGAGCCTGGCCCAGGTGGCTTCAGATGAAGCTCAGTGCGCTCTTTCCCTTCTCTCTCTGTTCAACATGGGGCTGGGCAGCTGTGCATCTTCCGGCTGTTCTTTCCTTAATGAGCAACCATGCTTGAAGTTTCTCGCCTTTTGTTCCTGCTCAACTGTTCTTGTTACTTGCTTCTCTTTTGAAGCCTAAAAGAGGCAGATTTTTGTTTTCTTCTCAGCGACAAAGATGAAACACATCCCAGCCCAGAGCAGGTGGTGCACGGCAACATGGAGGTCTTGGAGCCCGGACACAGAGCTGCGGACTGGCAGTCAGCATCTGCGGCTCTGAGATCCTCTCCCTTACCTTGATGACACAGTGGTCAGCTGGAAGATTTTAGTCCAGCTGCCCTTCCCCTCTTTGTCATTTAGGAGAAGTTATTTATTCCTCTGATCCTGAAATTATCCATCTGTAGAGAAACAGTGCTTCGGTTTTCAATATCCTCTCCAAGAAGCATATCTCAAGATCAGGGAATGCTACAGAGGTAGAAGAAATAGTGTCATTGTGCTGAGTCACCCAGCAGTTAAATTTGTTCAGAGAATCTGATGTCCCAAAGCCTCCACAAATGTTAACTCACTTACCAGGTTTTCACAGAAACAAGAATCCTAAACCAAAGTTCACTCTTTTTAAAGAAGCCTGATAGAAGCAAAGCTAGATAAGAGAAAGAGGGGAGGAGCCAAGAAGAGAAGTCCCGGTCCAACAGCTCACCATGGCTGTACTTTTGCTGATGGGACAGAAGATGTTGGGAACACACAACATGGAAGAGGGGGCTATCAGGTGCCTATTTGATTCAAGGAGAAGGAAGAAAACTTAGACTAAGAGTTTAGCAGCTTAAAAACTTAAAGAGCTAGGAGGAAGAATTTTTTGAAAGACAGCCTTTAGTCAGAAAAATAGGAAACGACTATAATTGCTTGAAGCTTTTCATCCTAACAAGCAAAGTTTCCAGAACTTCTCTTGAAGGTTAAAAATACTAGGGTCTTCAGTGAAGAATATACATTTAATTTGATTTTTACCATCACAAGACGACTAGCAACATGAGTGAGAAGGTCATGTGCTCTTTGTATATATGTTTTTATTCTTTAGTTGATGACTCACAAATGTGAGTGGCTGGATATACCCACAGCTAACTTCAAAGGTGCATCTTGGATAAAGGGTTTATCTAACTAAAAATATACAGGCCCTTTTATATTCTTCTTTTATTTTCAACTTTATAGAGAGACAAGGTCAGTTCTTCTGCCACTGACCATAAATCAGTAGCAACTGAGAATAACCCCTTTTTCCAAGTTCCATAGCTACCTGTGCACACACTCAATTATAAAATATTGCAGAAATGTGAAATTAAATATCAGTGATGAAGCATATTTAATAAGCACTTTGATAAAAAGAAATAGATCTACAGAGATTTGATGCTTAACTATAAATATAAGAATGGAAATAAGATTCAGTGGCATTCGTGGGACACATACTTTGTGCCAACTTGTAGTGCTTTTCATGTCACCATATTTATTCCCCTCTACAGAATTGAATAGCTACGTAGCTAATTGTTTCCCTTTCCTAGATAAAAGAATGTTAAGAATTTAGCCGAGGTAACACTACCAGAAAGTCATCTGGTGGAGCCACATCTCACACTTGGGGCTGTCTGACTGCATGTTACACATAGGTTTCCTCCCTGTATGGCAGGGCCCAAGCACACAGCAACTCCTGTGCCAGGTGCCTCCAGCGTAGAACCAGCTCTCAGACCTAATGAGGCCTCACTTTGAATCTCCTGACTTGCCACTGTGAGTCCAGATGTTTGGCATCAGCAATTACTATCTGTAAATTTCTTCTGACCCTAGAAATACCCTAGCTGAGGGACTATCTTCTGATTACAAATGAGCAGAAAATTTAGTAAGAGAATAGCTGTATGTTTTTTCAATGCTTCAGTTTTGTACAACTATTCATCATTCTGGTCCTTTCTTCATGCAACAGTACACTAAAGTTCACAGAAAATAGGGAGGTATGCCCTTTTGCAAAATAGTAGCATATATCAGTTTACTTTGACAGCGTAAACTGAAGCACAACTTACGATGAATATGAATGAAAGCAAACACCTTATAGAGACGCTCTTTGCAGGCTGTAAAGCACAGATCAAGTTAAAATGAGAGTTGCCATCTTCAATCTTGAAGCAGTGTGCCGGGCATGGGTGAACAATAGAAGGTGATGTTTGAAAAAAACATCAAGGAGAAATACATGGCTGGGTCAAAGCACAGAGCTCCCAGGGATCAACAGTTATGTTTTTAAATTGATTCATTCATTCATTCATTCATTCATTCATTTTTTTTCAAATGTCTATTGTCAGATATTGTGCTTGTGTTGAAGATAGAAAAATACATTAGAAATTTTGACTTAAAAACCTCATTGTATGGCAAAAGTGACAGATAAGTATACACACAACAGGAATGAAGCCTCAGAAACATTACAGAGGTAAATCCAAGTACCAGGGCATCTAAATTAAGGGGTGACAATATTGAAGGAGACTTATTCTCCATACTCATGCATTACTCACTGTGACCTCTCTGTGGAAATCAAACCATCACATATAAAACTCTAAAATTATTTTAAAAATTCTGAGCATTATTGAAATATTAATGTGGTGCACTTTTTCCTGCTGGGTTGAACAAGAAAGATGGCAAATGATGAGAAAATCACTTATGTTCCCTGACTGCCAGGGGTTTTTATGTGTACTGAGTATTTTATTCCATGTGCCACATTATCTGCACATTTTTTTCTCATAACTATTAGGAACTATTGAGCATGCTGTGATAATATTCATAGTGGATTTCAGAGGGGATTGGAGAATTGAGATGCTCAAGAAACACGCCACTACCATAAGCCCATGGCACATGGCACCTTTGTCCTGGAAGGAAAAGAGGACAGGGCTAGCAAGCGTTGCTGTGGGAACACAAGCTGGTAAGCAAGCCTCCCTGTCTTAAAATCCTGGTGCTGCCACTTCCTACATATGTGGCATAAGCAATTCACTCAGTTACCCCATAGTAAATAATATTAATAATATCTATATACCAGTATATATGTATAAGTCAATGGAGGTACAGCCATTAGAATACTGCCTCCCACACAATAAGCAATTTATTTATTTATTTTTTTTAATGTTTTCTTTTTTTATTATACTCTAAGTTTTAGGGTACATGTGCACATTGTGCAGGTTAGTTACATATGTATACATGTGCCATGCTGGTGCGCTGCACCCACTAACGTGTCATCTAGCATTAGATATATCTCCCAATGCTATCCCTCCCCCCTCCCCCGACCCCACCACAGTCCCCAGAGTGTGATATTCCCCTTCCTGTGTCCATGTGATCTCATTGTTCAATTCCCACCTATGAGTGAGAATATGCGGTGTTTGGTTTTTTGTTCTTGCGATAGTTTACTGAGAATGATGGTTTCCAATTTCATCCAAGTCCCTACAAAGGACATGAACTCATCATTTTTTATGGCTGCATAGTATTCCATGGTGTATATGTGCCACATTTTCTTAATCCAGTCTATCATTGTTGGACATTTGGGTTGGTTCCAAGTCTTTGCTATTGTGAATAGTGCCGCAATAAACATACGTGTGCATGTGTCTTTATAGCAGCATGATTTATAGTCCTTTGGGTATATACCCAGTAATGGGATGGCTGGGTCAAATGGTATTTCTAGTTCTAGATCCCTGAGGAATCGCCACACTGACTTCCACAATGGTTGAACTAGTTTACAGTCCCACCAACAGTGTAAAAGTGTTCCTATTTCTCCACATCCTCTCCAGCACCTGTTGTTTCCTGACTTTTTAATGATTGCCATTCTAACTGGTGTGAGATGATATCTCATAGTGGTTTTGATTTGCATTTCTCTGATGGCCAGTGATGATGAGCATTTCTTCATGTGTTTTTTGGCTGCATAAATGTCTTCTTTTGAGAAGTGTCTGTTCATGTCCTTCGCCCACTTTTTGATGGGGTTGTTTGTTTTTTTCTTGTAAATTTGTTTGAGTTCATTGTAGATTCTGGATATTAGCCCTTTGTCAGATGAGTAGGTTGCGAAAATTTTCTCCCATGTTGTAGGTTGCCTGTTCACTCTGATGGTAGTTTCTTTTGCTGTGCAGAAGCTCTTTAGTTTAATTAGATCCCATTTGTCAATTTTGGCTTTTGTTGCCATTGCTTTTGGTGTTTTGCACATGAAGTCCTTGCCCACGCCTATGTCCTGAATGGTAATGCCTAGGTTTTCTTCTAGGGTTTTTATGGTTTTAGGTCTAACGTTTAAACCTTTAATCCATCTTGAATTGATTTTTGTATAAGGTGTAAGGAAGGGATCCAGTTTCAGCTTTCTACATATGGCTAGCCAGTTTTCCCAGCACCATTTGTTAAATAGGGAATCCTTTCCCCATTGCTTGTTTTTCTCAGGTTTGTCAAAGATCAGATATGCGGCATTATTTCTGAGGGCTCTGTTCTGTTCCATTGATCTATATCTCTGTTTTGATACCAGTACCATGCTGTTTTGGTTACTGTAGCCTTGTAGTATAGTTTGAAGTCAGGTAGTGTGATGCCTCCAGCTTTGTTCTTTTGGCTTAGGATTGACTTGGCGATGCGGGCTCTTTTTTGGTTCCGTATGAACTTTAAAGTAGTTTTTTCCAATTCTGTGAAGAAAGTCATTGGTAGCTTGATGGGGATGGCATTGAATCTGTAAATTACCTTGGGCAGTATGGCCATTTTCACAATATTGATTCTTCCTACCCATGAGCATGGAATGTTCTTCCATTTGTTTGTGTCCTCTTTTATTTCCTTGAGCAGTGGTTTGTAGTTCTCCTTGAAGAGGTCCTTCACGTCCCTTGTAAGTTGGATTCCTAGGTATTTTATTCTCTTTGAAGCAATTGTGAATGGGAGTTCACTCATGATTTGGCTCTCTGTTTGTCTGTTGTTGGTGTATAAGAATGCTTGTGATTTTTGTACATTGATTTTGTATCCTGAGACTTTGCTGAAGTTGCTTATCAGCTTAAGGAGATTTTGGGCTGAGACGATGGGGTTTTCTAGATAAACAATCATGTCGTCTGCAAACAGGGACAATTTGACTTCCTCTTTTCCTAATTGAATACCCTTTATTTCCTTCTCCTGCCTGATTGCCCTGGCCAGAACTTCCAACACTATGTTGAATAGGAGCGGTGAGAGAGGGCATCCCTGTCTTGTGCCAGTTTTCAAAGGGAATGCTTCCAGTTTTTGCCCATTCAGTATGATATTGGTTGTGGGTTTGTCATAGATAGCTCTTATTATTTTGAAATACGTCCCATCAATACCTAATTTATTGAGAGTTTTTAGCATGAAGGGTTGTTGAATTTTGTCAAAGGCTTTTTCTGCATCTATTGAGATAATCATGTGGTTTTTGTCTTTGGCTCTGTTTATATGCTGGATTACATTTATTGATTTGCGTATATTGAACCAGCCTTGCATCCCAGGGATGAAGCCCACTTGATCATGGTGGATAAGCTTTTTGATGTGCTGCTGGATTCGGTTTGCCAGTATTTTATTGAGGATTTTTGCATCAATGTTCATCAAGGATATTGGTCTAAAATTCTCTTTTTTGGTTGTGTCTCTGCCCGGCTTTGGTATCAGAATGATGCTGGCCTCATAAAATGAGTTAGGGAGGATTCCCTCTTTTTCTATTGATTGGAATAGTTTCAGAGGAATGGTACCAGTTCCTCCTTGTACCTCTGGTAGAATTCGGCTGTGAATCCATCTGGTCCTGGACTCTTTTTGGTTGGTAAACTATTGATTATTGCCACAATTTCAGAGCCTGTTATTGGTCTATTCAGAGATTCAACTTCTTCCTGGTTTAGTCTTGGGAGAGTGTATGTGTCGAGGAATGTATCCATTTCTTCTAGATTTTCTAGTTTATTTGCGTAGAGGTGTTTGTAGTATTCTCTGATGGTAGTTTGTATTTCTGTGGGATCGGTGGTGATATCCCCTTTATCATTTTTTATTGTGTCTATTTGATTCTTCTCTCTTTTTTTCTTTATTAGTCTTGCTAGCGGTCTATCAATTTTGTTGATCCTTTCAAAAATCCAGCTCCTGGATTCATTGATTTTTTGAAGGGTTTTTTGTGTCTCTATTTCCTTCAGTTCTGCTCTGATTTTAGTTATTTCTTGCCTTCTGCTAGCTTTTGAATGTGTTTGCTCTTGCTTTTCTAGTTCTTTTAATTGTGATGTTAGGGTGTCAATTTTGGATCTTTCCTGCTTTCTCTTGTAGGCATTTAGTGCTATAAATTTCCCTCTACACACTACTTTGAATGCGTCCCAGAGATTCTGGTATGTGGTGTCTTTGTTCTCGTTGGTTTCAAAGAACATCTTTATTTCTGCCTTCATTTCGTTATGTACCCAGTAGTCATTCAGGAGCAGGTTGTTCAGTTTCCATGTAGTTGAGCGGCTTTGAGTGAGATTCTTAATCCTGAGTTCTAGTTTGATTGCACTGTGGTCTGAGAGATAGTTTGTTGTAATTTCTGTTCTTTTACATTTGCTGAGGAGAGCTTTACTTCCAACTATCTGGTCAATTTTGGAATAGGTGTGGTGTGGTGCTGAAAAAAATGTATATTCTGTTGATTTGGGGTGGAGAGTTCTGTAGATGTCTATTAGGTCTGCTTGGTGCAGAGCTGAGTTCAATTCCTGGGTATCCTTGTTGACTTTCTGTCTCGTTGATCTGTCTAATGTTGACAGTGGGGTGTTAAAGTCTCCCATTATTAATGTGTGGGAGTCTAAGTCTCTTTGTAGGTCACTCAGGACTTGCTTTATGAATCTGGGTGCTCCTGTATTGGGTGCATAAATATTTAGGATAGTTAGCTCCTCTTGTTGAATTGATCCCTTTACCATTATGTAATGGCCTTCTTTGTCTCTTTTGATCTTTGTTGGTTTAAAGTCTGTTTTATCAGAGACTAGGATTGCAACCCCTGCCTTTTTTTGTTTTCCATTTGCTTGGTAGATCTTCCTCCATCCTTTTATTTTGAGCCTATGTGTGTCTCTGCACGTGAGATGGGTTTCCTGAATACAGCACACTGATGGGTCTTGACTCTTTATCCAACTTGCCAGTCTGTGTCTTTTAATTGCAGAATTTAGTCCATTTATATTTAAAGTTAATATTGTTATGAGTGAATTTGATCCTGTCATTATGATGTTAGCTGGTGATTTTGCTCATTAGTTGATGCAGTTTCTTCCTAGTCTCGATGGTCTTTACATTTTGGCATGATTTTGCAGCGGCTGGTACCGGTTGTTCCTTTCCATGTTTAGCGCTTCCTTCAGGAGCTCTTTTAGGGCAGGCCTGGTGGTGACAAAATCTCTCAGCATTTGCTTGTCTATAAAGTATTTTATTTCTCCTTCACTTATGAAGCTTAGTTTGGCTGGATATGAAATTCTGGGTTGAAAATTCTTTAAGAATGTTCAATATTGGCCCCCACTCTCTTCTGGCTTGTAGGGTTTCTGCCGAGAGATCCGCTGTTAGTCTGATGGGCTTTCCTTTGAGGGTAACCCGACCTTTCTCTCTGGCTGCCCTTAACATTTTTTCCTTCATTTCAACTTTGGTGAATCTGACAATTATGTGTCTTGGAGTTGCTCTTCTCGAGGAGTATCTTTGTGGCGTTCTCTGTATTTCCTGAATCTGAACGTTGGCCTGCCTTGCTAGATTGGGGAAGTTCTCCTGGATAATATCCTGCAGAGTGTTTTCCAACTTGGTTCCATTCTCCACATCACTTTCAGGTACACCAATCAGACGTAGATTTGGTCTTTTCACATAGTCCCATATTTCTTGGAGGCTTTGCTCATTTCTTTTTATTCTTTTTTCTCTAAACTTCCCTTCTCGCTTCATTTCATTCATTTCATCTTCCATTGCTGATACCCTTTCTTCCAGTTGATCGCATCGGCTCCTGAGGCTTCTGCATTCTTCACGTAGTTCTCGAGCCTTGGTTTTCAGCTCCATCAGCTCCTTTAAGCACTTCTCTGTATTGGTTATTCTAGTTATACATTCTTCTAAATTTTTTTCAAAGTTTTCAACTTCTTTGCCTTTGGTTTGAATGTCCTCCCGTAGCTCAGAGTAATTTGATCGTCTGAAGCCTTCTTCTCTCAGCTCGTCAAAATCATTCTCCATCCAGCTTTGTTCTGTTGCTGGTGAGGAACTGCGTTCCTTTGGAGGAGGAGAGGCGCTCTGCGTTTTAGAGTTTCCAGTTTTTCTGTTCTGTTTTTTCCCCATCTTTGTGGTTTTATCTACTTTTGGTCTTTGATGATGGTGATGTACAGATGGGTTTTCGGTGTAGATGTCCTTTCTGATTGTTAGTTTTCCTTCTAACAGACAGGACCCTCAGCTGCAGGTCCGTTGGAATACCCTGCCGTGTGAGGTGTCAGTGTGCCCCTGCTGGGGGGGTGCCTCCCAGTTAGGGTGCTCGGGGGTCAGGGGTCAGGGACCCACTTGAGGAGGCAGTCTGCCCGTTCTCAGATCTCCAGCTGTGTGCTGGGAGAACCACTGCTCTCTTCAAAGCTGTCAGACAGGGACACTTAAGTCTGCAGAGGTTACTGCTGTCTTTTTGTTTGTCTGTGCCCTGCCCCCAGAGGTGTAGCCTACAGAGGCAGGCAGGCCTCCTTGAGCTGTGGTGGGCTCCACCCAGTTCGAGCTTCCCGGCTGCTTTGTTTACCTAAGCAAGCCTGGGCAATGGCGGGCGCCCCTCCCACAGCCTCGTTGCCGCCTTGCAGTTTGATCTCAGACTGCTGTGCTAGCAATCAGCGAGATTCCGTGGGCGTAGGACCCTCTCAGCCAGGTGTGGGATATCGTCTCGTGGTGCGCCGTTTCTTAAGCCGGTCTGAAAAGCGCAATATTCGGGTGGGAGTGACCCGATTTTCCAGGTGCGTCCGTCACCCCTTTCTTTGACTCGGAAAGGGAACTCCCTGACCCCTTGAGCTTCCCAGGTGAGGCAATGCCTCGCCCTGCTTCGGCTCACGCACGGTGCGCACACACACTGGCCTGCGCCCACTGTCTGGCACTCCCTAGTGAGATGAACCCGGTACCTCAGATGGAAATGCAGAAATCACCCGTCTTCTGCGTCGCTCACGCTGGGAGCTGTAGACCAGAGCTGTTCCTATTCGGCCATCTTGGCTCCTCCCTCATTCCACAATAAGCAATTTATAACACTTTGCTGTTGCTACTGCAACTACTACCATTATTATTATCATTATTAACAGAGAATGAAATAAGGAAGTAAATGAATGTCTTATGGCTTTCATATTATGTTTATAGTTTCTATTTTCTAAATGCAAGATAATATGTATATATTCTGAATATATATACTTCATATATATTTACATGTATTTTAACATAAAAAATATAATATAAATTTATTTATATATATTTAGAATATATTTATCTTGCATTTAGGGGAAGAACACCTATATATGTATGTTATATATATATAGAGAGAGAGAGAGAGAGAGAGATGTGTGTTTAAGGCAGGTTCTCTTACTGCTTCTTGATGAAACTCTTCTCTCTTCTACTCATACCCAAGAGATTCTTTCTCTTTTGGCTATTGAGACATATATCTTTATTTTCAAGGGGAAATTGCTGGGAAAAATGGCCCAAGAAGGAAAGCAAAGGGCATGTTATCCTCTAACAGGAGATGAGATGTGGTTGGGTGAAAGCACTATGGATTGTTGGAAAACGGCTTCAGCTTTGAGGATGCTCGAATGTACATTCTTCCACCTATCAATGCATCACCCTTGAAGAGCTCCCCTCCCACCTACCCTGTAGTTGCCTTTTGACCGAGGTTGGGGAAATAGCACCACTTGAGCTTTTCTCTTGAGCTATGGTATGGGTGGTGATAAATTAAACTAAATTTGGCCAAAAAATGCCCATGCACTTTGAGTTCCTACTTAAAAAACTGCAACCTAGCCTCCTACCTAAACTAACAGAAAGCCTAAGTTTGCAGTATATTCCTGTAAGAAGTAGCTGAGTCTCAGCCAATCACACAACAAACTTCAGCCCATCACAGGCTGCCAACTGATCACATCATGTCCAAATAGGGCAACTGCAGAAGCATAACCAATCAAGCTGTTTCTGTGCCTCACTTCAGTTTCCTGTCCATAAACACTGCCTGCTCACTCTGCAGAGAGCAGCTCTCTGATTGTTTTCCAGTTCTGAGAGCTGCCTGATTTGCAAATCGTTCCCTGCTCAATTAAATCCCGTTAAATTTAATTTGTTTAACGTTTTTCTCTGACCAGTGGACATACCACTAAATTACAGTCCTCAGCATCTGGCATACTTTCTGGCATGTAGGAGTTGCTCAGAAATGTAGCGTAGCAGAGGCCGGGTGCCATGGCTCACGCCTGTAATCCCAGCACTTTGGGAGGCCTAGGCAGGCGAATCACTTGAGATCAGGAGTTCGAGACCAGCCTGATCATCATGGTGACATCCTGTCTCTACTAAAAATACAAAAATTAGCCAGGTGTGGTGTTGCATGCTTGTAATCTCAGCTACTTGGGAGGTTGAGACAGGAAAATTGCTTGAACCTGGAAGGCGGAGTTTGCAGTGAGCCAAGATCACACCCCTGGGCAACAGTGTGAGACTCTGTCTCAAAAAAAATAAATAAATAAAATAAAAAGAAATGTAGTGTGGCTGAATTAGCAAGTATATGACTCAATCACCGAAGTTCTCAGTATTTGAAGCTTGGTAAGAGTCACAGAGACCAACCCTAGAATATCCATCTCAAGGCCGTCTTGTGGAGAGGAACCCATAGTTCCGAAGCATGGCTTTTTGGGCGCACAAAGCAGGTAGCACTCAGTCCTCTATTATTGTGGTACTGCATGTGGCAGGGTTTCAGGGTCTGATGTCATCAGATACCTCCAATATTTAGCTTATCCGCCGTATCCTGAGGTCATGATTTTAAGGCAGTTTTTAACAATCGGACCACTTGTGTAACTGATTTATCTGGTTAGGTCTCAGAGTCCAGACCCCTATGATTCCCGAAATAAAATGCTATATTGTTAATAAACAGATGCACATTCTGTCTCACGTATCATTCTCTTATGAGTTGGGTTAGCATGAATCAGTGTTCCCAAGGTCTAGTTTCCTCTACGACATAAAAAGACTTCTGAAATAATAATAAAAATAAATAAATAAAAGTGAACTGGCCACATTTTTGAAGCAGAAAGCCAGACTCTTAGAGATTATATTGTGACGTCTCCGGGCAACGGTTGTGTTGGCCTTCCCCCTGGCAGCACCTTGGTCTGTCCCTGGATTTGTCTTCAAAATACAGAGTGGTCTCTCCATGTGTCCCCTCTATAGTTGTAGGCTTCATGCAACCATGTTGCAAGGGTCTCAGGCTGTGGAGGTATAAACCACCACTCTTCACCACTTGTCCCCTCTTTCTTGGTAGAAAATGGATACCTTAATGACATCTTGGCCAGATTCTATAACTTCTCAGTTACTCTTGGCTTTTGAAAAAGCCTCATTTCAATACTTAGACTCACTTCTGCTCTGTTGAAAGTGTTACTCTCAAGCACAATTGAAAGCCCTTTACTTCTTTACCTGCCCTAATTGCAGCCCCAGGTTAGGCTCAGCTGTTCTGCAGTGCAGTCTCCTGGAGTAGATGAGGGATGGGTTGCAGAATAACCTCTTTACCCTTCTATCCTCCTCACTCCCTCAGATGCACAGGTTGCAGCAGAGAAACTACTCAGGTATATTAAAGCGGGAAGCTTTAAAGCAGGAAATGGCATGTCTTCTTACTTGAGTGAGTGTGAGTTCTCTCCTTCTTAACCAACAGGAATTCACTGGCTAATACTAGATGGCAAGCAGCCAAGCTGGCTCCCTCACAGGGGACAGGCAAAGGTTCTTTGGAGCTTCTTGCAGGGACCAATTCCACGGTCTGATCATGAGATCTAGTCATGGACTCACCTACTCCACTACTTCCTAAGTTCCCACAGTGGTGTTCCATTCTGGTTCCCTTCTGCTGAAAAGTAACTCTTCTGGTTGGGCTACCTGCTTAACTAACTTCTGCAGTGACCACTAAACTCCTGGGAAGCTGCTGGCACAGCAAAGAACATGGCTACATCTGTGCCACAGGTGCTCTCCTTAGCCCTCCTACCAATCAGCAATGTTATTTTCCCTGCTGAGATAGCACAGATTAGGAAGTCCATCACTATATAAATGTCTCTCCAAAAGTTGTCAGTCTCTTAATTACTTTATGAGTAGTTCTTATGCCAGCTCACTCTTTGGCATTGAAGAGGAAAAGATGCCCTTTTTGAGGGAAAATTGCATCAGTGCTTTCTTTTTTCTGTTCCATAGGGGCTGTTTCTAACTGTGTGAATATTTATAAACCTCAAGTATGGAGTCCCTAATGCCTTTTACCCTCAGATTGAAACCCCCTTCACAGGGTAAACAGGAATTACACCTCAGGCTTTCTGCAGAATTGTAGATAGGCACTGAACAGGGTGGGCTGGCGCATTTCAACCCACTTCCCTGCAGCTGCTAACTGAGAGTTGTATAGCAGGCTGACCACCTCCTCACCCATTGTTCCTATAAATAGACTCTCTGACACTGGACCTTGTTACCCAAGAATTGCTTACTGAGTTTTTCAGATCTTGAATTCCAGTAAAATAAGTGATGCCCACCAATCAAAGATGCCCACCAAGGAACTGACATAGCAAAGGAATGCGCTTTCTTCGTCTTCCTGTCCCAGGATATCACCCCTCACTTCTTGACCAATCAGTAATCCTTACGCTTTGGTCCATCACTCATCCCCACACCCCTTAAAAACCCCATCGCCAAACCTCTCTGGGAGGCAGAGTTGACATTTCCTCTCATCTCCTCATTCAGCTGCCCTATGATTATTAGATTCTTTCTCTGCTGCAACCTGTGGTGTCTTGGTGTATTTACTCACCACGCAACAGGCAATGATCCTCTTTCAGCTACAAGATTTAGGTCTCAGCTACAGTTCTGAGTCAATAGGAAAGAATCTCTCCCAGAATCCTGTTACATTCTTTTTGCTACTCTGAAGTCTCTCTTGGAGGCTTATTCCCCTTTGCCATTTCTGACAACCAAATAGCAGGCATGCCACCCCCAGATGTGGCCCGGACCACAGATATCACTCTTATTATTGTTTTTAACACTTTTATTGTTAGGACAATTTAGTCTATCTGAAAAACTGTTTATTAAGCACTAAAACTTACTTTGTTATTGACAACAATTCAGCATACCCTTTTACTCATCCACATATTCCACATACTTACTGAAAATGTGCCATGCAGCAGGCAGTGCGGCTGAAAAGATGCAAGAGGCTGTAGCTATCTAGTTTGAGAAACAGACAAGTGAGGTGTCAAGAGGCCACAGGAGAGGGAGGAGTCTGCCTGTCCCGGAGAGAAAGAATAGGAAGAAAACTTCCTTCCCAGAAGATATGAATAAAATGCTTAACCTTAAAAAAAAGAGGAAGAGAATTTAAAGACAAAACCTTGCATATTAGTAATATTTTAGAGATTTTAAAAAGGAAATAATATCAGTGAAAAAAGAAAAAAGAATAGGAATGTTGGCTGTCCAAATAAGACAGCAGAGTGAATCAAAAGTCAATGAAGAAGAAAGTTTCAATAATCAGAAGGGAAGTTAATAATATTGAGTGTTATAGAAAGGCCAAGCAGCTACAGGTGACTTTTGAGGGAGCAGTTTGGGAGGAAAGGAAGAAGCAAAAAGGTAAACTACACTGGATTAAGGAGCAGTGAGTGGACAGAGAGGAAAAAAATTACTCCTTTAAGCTCCTTTAAGGATTTTGGTAAGATAAGGATGAAAGGATAACACTGGTGAGGTCCTTGTTTTTTCCTTAAATAGTGAAGAAACCTAACATGCTTGAAAGCAGAAGTGAAGGGCCAAGTGGAAATGAACAGATAAAACTGGACTTGAAAGAATGACGTTCTAGAAGGAGCAGGAAGATATGAGATTAAATATAAAGCAATCCTGTTAAGAAGCACGTTTTGGTATTTAAACTACCAAAACCACCTACGTTGCTCTTCAGTAGAAGTAATCCTTGCACTGAAAACTAGAATTGATTTGCATCACTGTTTATCCTCTCAAAGTGTAAACTAAGAGACACCTTCTGCGCTACCCTGCCACTCAAGGTATTAACTTCCAGAAGGCAAATTCTTCCTTATTTTTTATTCCTGTAAAATAAGCATCCTTTAAAATGTGAGTGAATTCATAAGGGCCGCAGACCTCTAGAAGGAAGGCTGACTGAAGCGACCAGTCTCAAGTCAGAGAAGAAGAGAAGGAATAGAAATGTCCGTTCATTTTTGGGCCATGGCATTGTCCTATTTTCTCTGGCTCAGAAGTTTCCAATTTCAATATGGGTGAAGAGAGGCAAGTGCTTACCCAAGCACCAAGTGCAAGACAGGGATAATTACATGACAACATTTTCTCTTTTCAAAGAGCTATGATGAAGCTTTCAGGTCTTAATTCATAGAGCTTGGTGAAAGTAAACAGAAGTGAATACTAGGTCCAAGGTGGCCCCTCCCACATAAAAATTTGTGAAGAGAAAGAAAACAAGAGTAGAGGGCATGCTTTTACTGATAATAACAGATCAGATGTATCTTTGCACCATCCCCTCCGCCACATGATGTATTCAGCTGTTTTGAGGGCAAGAAGCATGAGATAAGACAAATGTGTAATTACTTCTTGACCCACTCTTCTTAGTTTTCCATTTTCATGAGATGCCACAATTCATTATTTGCCTTGATATGTACAGAAGGACGGGGAAGCTTAGTTGATATTCATTTATTCAACAGTCTGTAATCTATATTTAATGGAGTACCAGACTGTGGCATAATAAACCGTTTAGAAAGATAGCTGCTGCGTACACAGGGGTTATTGCTTGCATAACCTGTACTTATTTTTCATTACAAAACTAAAAGAGCAAAGCATAATTCATATAAGCAAATGAAGTTAACATTTAATGGCTTGAAAAATGATAGTATGAGCTTGTATTATGCCAGGTACTGAGTAGCTGTAATATAAAGCAATGGAGTCCCCCCAAAATTGCTAAATAAAAAGCTGCTTTTGAGTGCACTGTGAAATATAGATGCCATAGCAAACAATGGGGTTCTGCTTTGTCAAGTATTGAGTGTCCCCTTGATTGGCCTCACTGGTGGCTCACCCCTCAGAGGCATCCTCTGTGCTAAGAGCATGCATGTGCTAGTAAGTCTAGAAGGGTCTTCCTGCTAGCACAGAACTTTGAAAACCTCATCTTGAGCAGTGCCCTGCTGAATACATACCAGTTCCATGACTGCCTATGGAGCCAGGGGTAGAAATTAATCTCACCAAGAGTCATGAATGAGAAGAATATAAACCCCTGACTCTTGGTGACATACAGGCACCAACATAAGTGTCATGAATTTCAAATGTTGCCCTGTGGAGTAGTGCAAGTCTGGCAAAAACTTTTACAACTATAGCAAAATTAAAAACATAAGGACAACATCATGAGTTTTTCAAGTAGTTCCATGTAATCTATTTGAAGGATTTTCTATTTTCTTTTTAATTTCAGCTTTTATTTTAGGTTTGGGAGGTACATGTGAAGGTTTGTTACATGAGTTTGTTGTGTGATGCTGAGGTTTGGGGTACAAATGATCCTGCCACCCAGGTAGTGAGGATCGAACCCAGTAGGTAGTTTTTCAGCCCCTGCCTGCCTCCATCTCTCCCCAATGTCTGCTCCCATTTTTATGTCCATGAGTAAACAGTGTTTAGCTCCCACTTATAAGTGAGAGCATGTGATATTTCATTTTCTGTTCCTTTGTTAATCTGCTTAAGATAATGGCCTCAGTCTGCATCCATGTTGCTACAAAGGACATGATTTCATTACATTTTTAAGGCTGGGCAGTATTCTATGGTGTATGTGTACCACATATTCTTTATCCAGTCCACCATTGATAGACACCTAAATTGATTTCTTATCTTTGGTATTGTGAATTGCACTGTGATCAATATACTAGTACGGTTGTTTTTTTGGTAGAACAATTTTCTTTTTTCTGGATATATACTCCAAATTGCGTTTCACAATGGTTGAAGTAATTTATATTTCCACTAAAAGTGAATAAGCCTTCCCTTTTCTCCAAAGCAACTCCAGCATCTGTTTTTTTGTTTTTTGTTTTTTGTTTTTGACTTTTTAATAACAGCCATTTTGGCTGGTGTGAGATGGTATCTCATTGTGGTTTTGATTTGGCTTTCTCTGATAATTAGTGAAGAAGACATACAAGTGGCCAATAAACATATAAAGGACTTTCAATGTTTTTTTAAAATTCTTTTTGATAAGTCACTGTTTTGATTATGAAACAGTGATGATAACAGATGGTAGATCTGATTATTTAAAAAAATATTCATGTGACCGAATAACAAAACTGGCAACTTAATTCCAGTTATTAAAAAATTTAAAATCATTAGAATCATGGTTTTAGATTTCTCATCCTCAAAGAATGATACAGACCAATTTCTGTATGCAGAAGCCATCTTGGTATTCATAGATACTACTGAGAATTATACTTTCTTAAATCTATGTCCAACTTGGCTTATGAAGTAGTTGTTTTATTCTGTCTTTCCTTACCATTGGTTCTCCATTTGCAAAAATTTGGCTGCTAGAAGAATGTTTACACATACGCATTCTCAGGCCTCTCAATTTCTCTACGCACTAGCAATTTCATTTGACATGGTGTACCAATAAAATGGATTACCACACCATATATTATAGCTTTTACTGGGAAGTGTGGGCAATAACAACAATAAATCCCTGCTTTTATTTCTATAACCATGTTTATATATTTCTATAATAGTGTCTTGTGGGCCAAGGAGCAAGAAGCAAAAGCTTAATTATGAAATGGGTTAGCAATGTGCTAGGGATGTGCTACTATGGGATGTTGTGGAAAATTGAATGCTCACAGCTGTATATTATCAAAGACCATCCATAATGCCTAGAAACAAGATCCCAGGTACCTCAGGTTATTTAAATATTTTCAACCTACGTCACTGGGCATTTTTGTTTGCTCCAACATGTAACTCCAGCTCCTCATGCTGCTGCTTAAATATGACAGAGTAATAATTTATATTAGTCCTGAAGGAAAAGAGAAGGGGTGCTACAAGTCACAGCATAACTTTTCTATAGCAGGTCACAGTAAGACTCAATATAAAGATGGTTGGATGGGGAAAAAAAAGATGACAGAGTCCAGTCCATAGCAGGCCAAACCAACAAATGGATAAATCCCTTCCAATTAAACACAGGGATCAGAAGGCAGAAATGGGCACATGGCCAAACCATAGTAAACTGCCTTGGAATCAGCTTCATTGTACTAAGTGGAAGCCTGATTTCTGTCCCTATGTTAATATTATAATTTTCTGATCACACACAACTTGTATATACTGTTTCAATGCCTCATAGGGATATAGTGATTTGTTTGGGGCAGGTGGCATTAAGAAATGCTTAGTAAAATCTCAAAAGAAGGAGTCTAGAAAGTGAGATGTACCTTTTAATGTATTCTGAACGCTGAGAAGTTCATATGATACCTCCTCAGCTATATCAGTTCACATTGTAAACAACACCAATGAGGTTTAGTTTCAAAGAGAGTCATTATCATCACTATCACCACCACCACTACCACCACTACCAATATCATCATTGCAATTAATGTTTGTTGAATTTTCATTATGTACCAGGTGCTACGCTATGTGCTTTACAATTATTTTATTTAATCCTTACAACAAACTTACTAAATATTTTCTATTATTTGTTCCCTTTCTATAGAGAAAAAAAAACCAGACAAACATGTATCTGACTTTCCCAAGGTCCCACAGAGCCTGACACCTGAAGTCAGAATCTTATTCTCTACCTTATTCCTGTGGTCACTGACATTCTCTACAGTTTGAAGAGGGAGCCTGGTATAAATGGCTGGGGCAAAACTTCATTTTCTTTTGCTGCCATTGGAAATAGATAACAACAAGTGACTATATGTTACACAACTAACCCTAAATATATTTACCATTCTTTTTTGTTATTCTCAAAAGGCCAGTATTCTCATTTAAACACCCTACTTTTGGGTCTCCTCATATATTCTGAAATTTTCCATAAACAGGCTTTCATTAGCCTAATACAGATTCAGTTCCTTATTGTTCCCACAGAACAATGGTCTTTTGATAGATTTCAGTATCAATAATACTTTAAGCAAAGCAATAAGTATTTGTTTATCTTATAAATTCTGGCGCTAAAAGAAACATTGGATTATGCAAATGTTGTAGCTAATTGAATCCAAAGTGCCTAAGTAACCTGCCTTAGTTCATAAACGGTTGATAGGAGAGCAGGTACTGTATGTCAGTCCTGATATTTTCCATCTTTGCTTTGACAGCACTGGCAGAGGGAAATACATTTTTTTTTTTTTTGCCAGAAGTCTTCAGTATGGGCTTTCTATAGAAAGAAGGATTCTTCTTTGGCACCAAAAGTAAATCAAATCTATGCCACTACTGCATGGAGAAGGGGAAAATTAAAAAAAATTAAATTAAAAATTTAAAAAACAGCAACAATGAAACAAACATACAAACAAAAAGCTTTCCTGTATATCAGGCTTTTCCATGTAAGGTTGCTGAACACTGTCTCTTTGCCTTGATTTTTCAGGAGTCTGCTTTCTCTCACACCTGATTTTCACTAGAAATTGTGTGGTCTCTCTAAATAAAGAGCAGGTTCAAACCTATATAGTCCCACACCCTGTTACTAGAACCCTGCTGGCATGAGGCTTCACTTGAGCAATTTCTGTTTTTAAAAATGGAGTGAGAATGTATAGCACATTCTCTGCCCACACTTAGCAAATTAGTGATCAAATGTCACCCACAAACAGGACGGTTAATGATTTTCTTTAAGCTGAAACAGAAGTTGATCACTGGAAAAAGGAAACAATGCTCTCTTTACTCTCTGCTTGGGATGTGATGCAGGGTTGACTGAGGACTCTATTTAAAACTCAGCAACACAATTCTCACAAACGCTGGGCAAAGCAAATCTTCAAGCCCAGAAAATGAGAAATTCAGAAAGTAATGACTAAATCAATAGTATCTATAACCTGGGATGGAAGGAATGCCTTATCTGCAGTATTGATAATTATTTGTAATACACAGAGACTTACTTAATGTTCAGATATAGATGAGGACACAGGCACTCATCAACTGAATTGGCTGAGAAATATAGCAGAATGAAGAACAGAAAAAACATACTTAATCCTTCACTTGGAGAAAGGCAGTTAACATAATTTTCAATCCTGTAATTAGAGACACTTTAGATTTGGTAAAGCAGTATAAACAATAGGAGATGGGTAACAGTATCCCAGCTCTGCTGGAACCTGCAGGATTGAAGCAAATAAGAAACGCTTTGGTATTATTAGTGACTGGCTCTGGGACCAGGCAAGACTGGGTGGGGCTGCAGGTGGGAACATCTGCAGCTGTTAGTGTGAGCAGCTGGGAGGGCAGGCTCAGGAAGAGGAATGAAAGATGCTGACAAACAGGCCGGATGCTGATTAATCCTTCTCTTGGGAGCAGGGCAAGAATATTGACCATTTAACAATTTTTTTCCATGTGTTTGGTTAATTTACATTCACTAAATCATGGTGTCAAGCCCTATCTTAAGTTTGTTTGTTGTTTGTGTGTCTGTTTGTTTTTAGTAATTTGAGGCAGGTGGATCATGAGGTCAGGAGGTTGAGACCAGCCTGGCCAACATGGTGAAACCCCGTCTCTACTAAAAATACAAAAATTAACCTGGCGTGGTGGCGGGCACCTATAATCTCAGCTATTCGGGAAGCTGAGGCAGGAGAATCATTTGAACTCGGGAGGTGGAGGTTGAAGTGAGCTGAGATCTCACCATTGCACCCCAGCCTGGTTGACAAGAGCAAGACAATGACGTTGGAGGAGGAGGAGCAGGAGGAGGAATAAAATAATAATCTCTAATAAATAAATTACACAAAATAATTATTACTAGAATATAGACATCATCTCTTTCAAGCCTCTCAGATGAGTTAAGATGGGATGAGTCTTTGTCCCCCAACCCCCTTGGTCCGCTACTGTAGCTCACTGAAGCAGAGGATGCCCAACTAGGCACTTGTGAGACTGAGCTCAGAACTGCACATGGAAGGGAACAACACTCTCCGGGTAACTAGCAGGGTAGTGGAACCACCTCCAAGCAGTGCTGTAGATGGGAGGGCAGCCCCATGTGACCACAAACTTTGTGCACGCTCTGCTTTTATTGCAGCTGGAGTCTTGTGGTGTTTTACTGTGGAAAGAAGTGTGATTTCCCACTAACTAGTGACTAGTTAAGAGAAAGGCGCACAATGCCAAAAAGCAGAGTAAAGGAGAAAGCAACAACAGGCAGATGTGTAGCAATCAAGGCAGCAATGCCTCCTAGTACAAGGGATTTTGAGGGCATATTTCTGAGGAAGACACTTATCAAAACAGAATCAGAGGCGCGATGAGATGTGTCTGGCTAGACTACGGAGAAGATGCCTCCTCACCAAAATGCTGCCATCCTAAATGCCTGACTCAGTGTCGGGGTGCCTTAGCTCTCTGGGAGCATGTTGTTCTGCACCTTGTACCCCTTAAGGGTGGAAGCCGCTCAGTGGTCCTGCAGATGAGTGTCAGGGATTAAGAATTGACAACAACTTGGACTGAGGGGTGGAGCCAAGATGGCTGAATAGGAAGAGCTCCAGTCTACAGCTCCCAGCATGAGCCACGCAGAAGACGGGTGTTTTCTGCATTTCCAACTGAGGTACCAGGTTCATCTCACTGGGGAGTGTTGGAAAGTGGGTTGAGGACAGTGGGTGCAGCATACTGAGCATGAGCTGAAGCAGGGCAAGGCATTGCCTCACCCGGGTAGTGCAAGGGGTCAGGGAATTCCCTTTCCTAGTCAAAGAAAGGGGTGACAGAGGCCACCTGGAAAATCAGGTCACTCCCACCCTAATACTGCGCTTTTCCAATGGTCTTAGCAAATGGCATACCAGGAGATTATATCCTGCGCATGGCTCAGAGGGTCCTACGCCCACGGAGCCTCCCTCATTGCTAGCACAGTAGTCTGAGATCAAACTGCAAGGCAGCAGCGAGGCTGGGGAAGTGGCCCCTGCCATTGCCAAGGCTTGAGTAGGTAAATAAAGCAGCCGGGAAGCTCGAACTGGGTGGAGCCCACCACAGCTCAAGGAGGCCTGCTTGCCTCTGTAAACTCCACCTCTGGGGGCAGAGCATTGCCAAACAAAAGACAACAGAATCCTCTGCAGACTTAAATGTCCCTGACAGCTTTGAAGAGAGTAGTGGTTCTCCCCGCACACAGCTGGATATCTGAGAATGGACAGACTGCCTCCTCAAGTGGGTCCCTGACCCCCGAGTAGCCTAACTGGGAGGCACCCCCCAGTAGGGGCAGACTGACACCTCACACGGCCAGGTACTCCTCTGAGACAAAACTTCCAGAGGAACGATCAGGCAGCAACATTTGCTGTTCACCAATATCCGCTGTTCTGCAGCCTCCACTGCTGATACTCAGGCAAACAAGGTCTGGAGTGGACCTCCAGGAAACTCCAACAGACCTGCAGCTGAGGGTCCTGACTGGTAGAAGAAAAACTAACAAACAGAAAGGACATCCACACCAAAACCCCATCTGTACATCACCATCATCAAAGGCCAAAGGTAGATAAAACCACAAAGATGGGGAAAAAACAAAGCAGAAAAACTGGAAACTCTAAAAATCAGAGCACCTCTCCTCCTCCAAAGGAACACAGCTTCTCACCAGCAACAAAACAAAGCTGGATGGAGAATGCCTTTGACAAGTTGAGAGAAGAAGGCTTCAGAAGATCAAACTACTCTGAGGTAAAGGAGGAAGTTCGAACCCATGGCAAAGAAGTTAAAAACCTTGAAAAAAAATTAGACAAATGGCTATCTAGAATAACCAATTCAGAGAAGTCCTTAAAGGACCTGATGGAGCTGAAAACCAAGGCAAGAGAACTATGTGACGAATGCACAAGCCTCAGTAGCCGATTAGATCAACTGGAAGAAAGGGTATCAGTGATGTAAGATCAAATGAATGAAATGAAGCAAGAAGAGAAGTTTAGAGAGAAAAGGATAAAAAGAAACGAATAAAGCCTCCAAGAAATATGGGACTATGTGAAAAGACCAAATCTACATCTGACTGGTGTACCTGAAAGTGACAGGGAGAATGGAACCAAGTTGGAAAACACTCTGCAAGATACTATCCAGGAGAACTTCCCCAATCTAGCAAGGCAGGCCAACATTCAAATTCAGGAAATAGAGAGAACGCCACAAAGATACTCCTCGAGAAGAGCAACTCCAAGACATATAATTGTCAGATTCACCAAAGTTGAAATGAAGGAAAAAATGGTAAGGGCAGCCAGAGAGATGGGTTACCCACAAAGGGAAGCCCATCAGACTAACAGCTGATCTCTCGGCAGAAACTCTACAAGCCAGAAGAGAGTGGGGGCCAATATTCAACATTCTTAAAGAAAAGAATTTTCAAACCAGAATTTTATATCCAGCCAAACTAAGCTTCATAAGTGAAGGAGAAATAAAATCCTTTAAAGACCAGCAAATGCTGAGAGATTTTGTCACCACCAGGAATACCCTAAAAGAGCTCCTGAAGGAAGCACTAAACATGGAAAGGAATAACTGGTACCAGCCACTGCAAAAACATGCCAAATTGTAAAGACCATCGAGGCTAGGAAGAAACTGCATCAACTAACCAGCAAAATATCCAGCTAACATCATAATGACAGGATCAAATTCACATAACAATATTAACCTTAAATGTAAATGGGCTAAATCCTCCAATTAAAAGACACAGGCTGGCAAATTGGATAAAGAGTCAAGACCCATCAGTGTGCTATATTCAGGAAACCCATCTCATGTGCAGAGACACACATAGGCTCAAAATAAAGGGATGGAGGAAGATCTACCAAGCAAATGTAAAACAAAAAAAAGGCAGGTGTTGCAATCCTAGTCTCTGATAAAACAGACTCTGAACCAACAAAGATCAAAAGAGACAAAGAAGGCCATTACCTAATGGTAAAGGGATCAATTCAACAAGAAGAGCTAACTATCATAAATATATATGCACCCAATACAGGAGCACCCAGATTCATAAAGCAAGTCCTTAGAGACCTATAAAGAGACTCAGACTCCCACACAATAATAATGGGAGACTTTAACACCCCACTGTCAACATTAGACAGATCAACGAGGCAGAAAGTTAGCAAGGACATCCAGGAATTGAACTCAGCTCTGCACCAAGCAGACCTAATAGACATCTACAGAACTCTCCACCCCAAATTAACAGAATATACATTCTTCTCAGCACCACACCACACCTATTCCAAAATTGACCACATAGAAGGAAGTAAAGCACTACTCAGCAAATGTAAAAGGACAGAAATGATAACAAACTGTCTCTCTGACCACAGTGCAATCAAACTAGAACTCAGGATTAAGAATCTCACTCAAAACCGCTCAACTACATGGAAACTGAACAACCTGCTCCTGAATGACTACTAGGTACATAACGAAATGAAGGCAGAAATAAAGATGTTCTTTGAAACCAACAAGAACAGAGACACAACATACCAGAATCTCTGGGACACATTCAAAGCAGTGTGTAGAGGGAAATTTATAGCACTGAAAGCCCACAAGAGAAAGCAGGAAAGATCTAAAATTGACACCTTAACATCACAATTAAAAGAACTAGAGAAGTAAGAGCGAACACATTCAAAAGCTAGCAGAAGGCAAGAAATAACTAAGATCAGAGCAGAACTGAAGGAAATAGAGACATAAAAAAACCCTTCAAAAAATCAATGAATCCAGGAGCTGCTTTTTTGAAAGGATCAACAAAATTGATAGACCACTAGCAAGACTAATAAAGAAGAAAAGAGAGAAGAATCAAATAGACGCAATAAAAAATGATAAAAGGGATATCATCACCTATCCCACAGAAATACAAACTAACATCAGAGAATACTATAAACACCTGTATGCAAATAAACTAGAAAATCTAGAAGAAATGGATAAATTCCTTGACATATACACCCTCCCAAGACTAAACCAGGAAGAAGTTGAATCTCTGAATAGACCAATAACAGGCTCTGAAATTGAGGCAATAATTAATAGCTTACCAACCAAAAAAAGTCCAGGACCAGATGGATTCACAGCTGAATTCTACCAGAGGTACAAGGAGGAGCTGGTACCATTCCTTCTGAAACTATTCCAATCATAGTTTCCCCATGACAACACTCACAAATTGGAGCTTTCTCTGGCAAACAAGGACATATGGACACCCTATTAAATAAAATCTCATCAATCTCCTTCTTAAAGTTTTCCTACGACCTCTCGTCCCATGAAGAATAAATTACAACCCCCATGCTGGGCCTTGCAAAGCTTCTTCTAAGACTTCATCTCATCTCTTTGTTCCACTTGCTCCAGGCCTCTGGCCTTTGTTCCAACCCCTAAAGTACAAAGCTCTATTGCTTCTGGAGGCCTCTGCATTTATTGCCCACTCTACTGAAGGTGATTTTTCCCTCTATCTTTGCACAGCTGACTTCTCAGCCTTCAAATTTGCTCATGTGTAACCTCCTCTAAGAAGCCTTCCTTGGTTATTGTATCAAATATAGCCCTTCTGTCCTTTCACTCTCTATCATGTTAACTTGATCAGTTGCCTATCCAGCACTCAGCCCATCTGGCTTTCTATTTTTTATTGTTTTACTTTCCCTTTTAGATACAAGATCCGTGAAACCAGAAATCTTGTTGTGTCTTTAGTAATTGGGTTAGCATTTGGCATATACATAGTCTTTGTTCATAAAATAAATACAATTTTAAATTATGTTCAAATACATAATTGGCAAATCACAAGAAGTATATGAGATGAAAACTCTTTGTAATGTAAGAAGCGATATGGAAAACCAAGATAGAGACATAAGCTACATATCCTTATAAATATTTATATCCTGTAAATATAAATATATATACAGATATTTATATCAGTGCGTATATACATGTATACATGAATATATACATATATACACATATACATATAAATACACATATATACATATATAAATATATATATACACATTACATATATATATGGAGAGAGAGAAAGAAACTATTATAAATTAATAGGTGTAAGTTCTTCCATCAGCAGGCTACACTCAGATAATACAATATATTATACCATCTGGTTAGCAGAGTGTGTAGTGAAAGAGTTAAACTTGACTGGTGAGGAAGCCAAGTTGGAAGGCACCAGAGATGTGTAATCAGATGTCTGATCTCTGGTGGAGGCAGCCTCTATATCACATCTATTATGAGTGATACAGATGCAGAAGACTGTATTCTTCATATCATTACACTTATATACAGTGTTATTTTCCTTCCGGAAATCTTAGGCTGCATAGCCTGGAGGTATTCAATAAAACTGAGAGGGAACACTAGAAGTGAATCATGCCAGTTTGGCATTTCCAGTTCTGCTGTGACCGCTAGACCAAAATATAGTCTGTGGGCCTCTTTTTCATTAGCATGAAACTGCCGGGTTTTAAAAACAGTTTATCCGTTGAATTAATCTCCAACCTGTCTTTCACACAGGGCAGATACAGCTCCCTGCATCAGTCTTCCTATTCTGAAACGCTCTTATTTTATTTGTGTGCATTCTGGGTAATGAATAACGATGTTTTGTCCTTAGAGAATGCCATTCTCTAAAATAGCTCCTAGCATTTTGTAAATGTTAACTCATTAGACCTCATACAGTCCACTGCCACCTATCACACACCGAGGTAGGTCAAAGGCATCATATTTCACATTTTACAGATGGAGGAATTTTAGGAACTTCAACCCAAGGTCACCCACAGCCAGTAGCCCAACAGGAGAAGACAAGGGACAGAAATATTACCCCAGAATCACACAGATCTCACTCTGCCCTCTGAGAGAGCCAAGGGGAGCAGTCTCAGAGACATGTGAGGATGGTGACACTGGCATTCTACTCACAGTCAAGATCCAGATGGGGCTGGGGGACAAGAGGTGAATCACACTGCTTTTGCCCCCTACTTGCTTTATGATGGCAAAACATGATTAAAATGAATACCAAAGCAAACCTCCAGTTCCATTATATCAGAGACAAATTCAGTTCAGTCCAGTTCAACCCTCTCCTCCAGGCACTTGGCTGAAGTGTTCAGAGATTACAGAACCCAGTTCTTAGATCATCCCTGGAAGAGCTGGTACTGCTGAAAGCATGGTCCCACCTTGGGGAAGTGAGCTACTTGCTAGGATTCCCACTTCCAGCCCTCAATTCCTCTTTGGCTTTTTAGTGATACACATCGCCCAAGTAGTAACACATTGCACTGGCTGCTTTTCAGTTTTCCTGGCCCCATGTCCCTTCTTCCCCACCATCACAACCCTGGGCTTGCACCTCACAAATAAAGAGTCCTCACTTTAATTTTTGCCTTTGTCTCTGCTTTCCTATTACCAGTCAAGGGGACTAGGGAAAAGGAAAACATCTAAGAACAATAAGAGGTTTTCAACGTCTCTTCCTAAAACAAAAGGGTACTGCAGACATTGAATAATACAGACAATGAATAATACAGAGTACAACAGAACTTAGGAGTATATTATATTTTGGCTCTATTACCCTACTCATCCATAGCTTAGCTTCCCTATCAAGGAGGATGCAGTTTCGTTCACATTTCCCAATGCATTGAGAGTAAGAGGGAAAGGAAGAAAGCAAGAGCTGGGGAGAACGTGCCTTCCTCACCATCTCAATGTGATGCCCTGGGTTTGTGGTCAGGATTGTTTCCAGTGTCAAAAATGTAATAGAACATGAAACATGATAGAAGTCACGTCAGCCATGTCACTTGTGAGATATAAGTCACAATTATCTTTATACTGAGACAATGTCAATATCAATTTTTTCCCCTTAATATATAAACTACAACCAAACAACAGCCTGTCTGCCTTTTGAATGGGAATATGTGCTGTCCAACATGTATAATATACACACAAACAACAAGAACAACATCAGCTGTGTAGTCACAAATGCTTGTGACCCTGAACACATAGGGAAATGGCAACCACATTGATTCTCTTTGTCTTACCAAACTTGAATTCCACCTATGCCTAATCATCACCAACACAAGAGAGATGATTTGTAGAGGGAGCAAAGATAGTTTTTGGCATCCTGCAGACAGCACTCTCTATTCCTTCTTTCACCTTTACTTCAGGAAAAAGCTGCGCAAATGGGTCAGTCCTCACAACTGAAAACATTCCTCACTCCCCAAAATAAGATGGAACTTAACAAAGAAATTAGACTGTGTGGAAGAAAATATGACATCAATATTAATTTGGTCACCATTCATCAATACAATTCCCTCCATTTAACTACCTAAAAGAATCAACAAAATGAATGTACAATCCTACAACTTACATAATTTTAGGCCATTTCCAATTTTCTGTCATTGAAAGCAGTTTTATATTCCACATCTTTGCACTTATATCCTAATATTCATGCCGCAGTATATTTGTGAGAGTGAAGCAGGAGTTTTGGATATTTTCTCTCATTTTTAAATTGTAATAGAAATGGCTAATTCATTGACTAATTAAAACTGTATAAAATATCAATTTTTCCTACCCTACAGCCAGCAGTGAGCTTTAAACACACAACGAATTATTCAGTCTTTTTCATTTTGATAGATGAGAGAAATAATTATAAATCTTTTCTGATTTCAGGGTCTTCCATTCAAAAGTTTCCTGAAAGTGACACATGGATTTTCTTTGACGATACCTGGCCTGGAAGTGGAGAGGTGACTTCAGCAAGAAAAATTCTAGCAACCCACCTATGTTCTGTGTGTCTGCATTACACAATGGACTTTCAGAGATAATTTCAAAGTTATCTCAAAAGTTCTGAGACTACTGAATATTTGGAAAATGCACTGGACTAAATGATCACTAAAGTCTCTCCTATCCTGTTCAGTGAAGGTTCAGCCAAAGAAGTAGACCTAGTAGGAGATATATTTTACAATATTTACTGCAAGGTATTGGCTTACACAATGAGGGTGGCTGGTTATGCATGTCTAAAATTTGTATGACAGGCCTTCAGGAAGAACAGGCTGGAATGACGGCTGGGTATGAGCTGAAGCTGCTGTTCACAGATAGAATGTCTTCATTAAGCCTCAGTTCTGCTCCTGAAGCCTGTCAACTGATTGGATCAGGTCCAACTAGATTATTTAGGATAATCTTCCTTACTGAAAGTCAACTGATTATGGATTTCAATCACTTCTACAAAATACCTTCCTGGCAAAACCTATATTAGAGTTTGATTAAATAACTAGAGCCTAGTCAAGTTAACACATAAATGGCCATCACACCAGCTTGTCTCACTTTATATATATTTAGTACAAAGAGAAGGTAGGCCTTAGTTATTTTCAGATTTATAATGGCTATATCTCTAGCTACTCTAAAGGACAAGTATTTTCCCTTATTAATTAATTTTAATGTTCACACTTACTGTAATTATTTGTAATAATCAAAATTGAGAAAAACCAATAGGCCCCTCAATAGGTGAATGTCTAAACAAGCCTCAATACCTTAAAGCTATGGAATACTAGTTAGAAATAAGAAAGGGCAAACTATTGTTACACTCAACAACTCAGATGGATCTCAAGGGCATACACCGAGTGATAAAAGCCAATTTTAAAATGTCATGGACTGAATGATTCTATAACCCAACCTCCTGGAAATTACAAAAGTTTAAAAATAGAGAATGGAGGCCAGGTGCAGTGGCTCATGCCTGTAATCCCAGCACTTTGGGAGGCCGAGGCTGGCGGATCACCTGAGGTCAGGAGTTTGAGACCAGCATGGCCAACAAGGTGAAACCTCATCTCTACTAAAAAATACAAAAATTAGCCGAGTGTGGTGGCACACGCCTGTAATCCCAGCTGCTCAGGAGGCTGAGGCAGGAGAATTGCTTGAACCTGGGAGGCGGAGGTTGCAGTGAGCCGAGATCACACCACTGCACTCCAATCTGGGTGACAGAGCGAGACTGTCTCCAAAAGAGAATAAACTAATAGCTTCCAGGGCTTAGGGATGGTGGAGGGGAAGGAAGTGGGTGTAACTATAAAGCGGTAGAAGGAGAAAGATCCTTGTGGGATGGAATGTTCTGTATGCTGATTGGGGCAGTGGTTACCAATGTATACAGGTGATAAAAAATAACATAGTACTACAAATCGCACCTTTCTCTACCATATTTACAACTTCCTATAGATCTAGAATTATTTCAAAGTCAAAAGCTTAAAAATAAAGAAATGTACAGAATATGTACTTAACCTCAAAGTTGGGAAGAATTAGCTTTAAAAAAGAGTAACCGTAAATGGAAATATTGACGTAATTGAGAATATACACACACGTTGCAACTTTTGTACAGCACAAGCCTATATAAACAAAACCAATACATTGATAGAATTGTAAATACTTTGTAAGCCATGGGCAAATTGTTACAAATCCAGCAGGGGTTATTATATGTTTATAAGATAGTACATCCTGTTAGAAATCAATCTATTATATATTGATAAGACTAAGTCTTGTTAGAAACCTGTTTAAATATGGGATTTTACCCATATTTTTACCCTTAGGTGGGATTGAGATGCCAAGGAATAGACACTGGACACACTAATTAGTGCATCCTTTTCCTAAACACACATATTTATTTGCAAGCACTGTGCTTAGATCTCTCTGAGATAAAGAGAATGATAGTGACAGTAGTGATGACAGCAACCATTATGCGTTAAAAGATAGAAAATATGTTTCCAAAACAGTTTCAAACATGATCTAGTATTTTTAGGTGGACACAAGTAATGACTGATTTGGCTCCCTGAGGTAAAGCTAGCATCTTGGTTGCCATGGTACTCTGATGTCATTGGCCCCCTCCTGAGGAAGTCGAGCTGGTATTGATGGATACCAGAGAGACTGGGGCCACGGGGGCTGCTGATGCAGGAGACATGGAAGGTGCTGATCTGGGTGGGAGTTGGGAGGAGCAGTCAAGAACACACTGACTTTTAACACTTCCTCTTCCTCTATTTTCTGGAGTAGAACCTGTGGAACACCATCAGCCTGGGGAACACTAACAAGGAATTTTAAAAAATTGCTAGAGCCCCAGCATAGGCTAGCTGGAGATGAGAAGCTCCTGGGGCCACAGTCATGGTTGAGGGGGAGGGTCCACTTTCATAGTCTTTTCCACCAGCAACATCACCAGGATCTCACAGTGAGGAGAGTTGTATGTAAATCCAGAGAAAGCCCCCCACTTCCTGAAACTGCTGATGGAGGAGAAGAGTCTCGACATGATCTCTGTATACTTCTTCCTAACATAGGACTTGGTGTTTAGCAGGCCTTCAGTAAATGTTTGTAGAATTGAAGTAGATAAAATGTTCATATGCATCCCCATTTTAAGACAAGACATATTTATCTTTCTATTTCTTCCCAGTGCCTAAGCATGCTGATGGGTAGATTGAAGGTACCCAGTTGTTAGCTGATAGCTCAGCTAGAACGTTCTGTATTTTCACTGATTTATTCCTCCCCATAAGCCTTTTTGTCTCTTATAGTTGTTTCTATCTATGTCCTGTGACTCAAATTGTACCTTTATAGTTGAACTTCTTACCTATAAGGTATTTAAGCCTGTTACAAGGTGCATCCTCTTGGGAGAGATAATATTTGATGGTCTGATCACTCTTTTACTGCCTTCTTTAAAAGAGTGTTGGATAAAGAAATAGCAGGGAAACTCTGATGAAAGGGAATTCACTAAGAGAAATGCAGAATTTGAAAATCTTAATGTTAACATCAGAATGGATTAAGAGGTAAAAGTAATTAAACTTACTGAGCACTACTGAGTCCCGGGCTTTGGTATGAGATGACTTTAAATGTGACCCAAATAGCTTTCAGGCTCCCTTGCCCTTAGATTTCTATGACCAATGGGCTCAGACTCAAGCAAATTCTTTAGCCTCATTTCTCTAGGTTCCTACAAAATCCCAGAGCCACATGTCCATATCTCATTTTGTGAATGTTCACCTCCTCAGTTCAGCTGGGAAGTTCAATCTCACAGTGTCCTGGTGAGTGTCACCTGGGATTAACCTTGAGTGGAAATGAAGTGATATTAATTGGCACAGTCTCAAGTTAGAATTGCTGAACCTCTATTCTGAGGATACAAATTTAAATCTTGACTTTGAAACTTGCTCTGCATCTCAACCTTAATATATCTCAACATCATCATCTTTAAAACAGGATAGTGGCTTCTACCTTAACAACTAGGCAGGAGGTTATAAAGGTCAAACAAAGTAAGATTTCATATAATTTTACAAACATAAGTGATCAGGATTTAATGGTGGCAAGTTACTACTGACTGAATCGTATCACTTAACCCTCCTTCTCTTCGAGGTTCTCACTCAAAAGAAGCACAGAAAGTAGAAAGTGTAACAGAGTGAGAAAAAATAAAACAAACAAAATTTACAGCTTTATTCACAGAGAAGTGATTGATAATGCTTTGAGAAGCTGTAATAGAAAACTGAGGCCAAAAAATGAAGGGAAGCTCATTAGGAAGCAGATTACTTGCTACCCACTTTTTTTTTTTAATTATACTTTAAGTTCTAAGGTATATGTGCACAACGTGCAGGTTTGTTGCATATGTATACATGCACCATGTTGGTGTGCTGCACCCATTAACTCGTCATTTACATTAGGTATATCTCCTAATGCTATCCTTCCCCCCTTCCCCGACCCCATGACAGGCCCTGGTGTGTGATGTTCCCCTTCCTGTGTCCAAGAGTTCTCATTGTTCAATTCCCACCTATGAGTGAGAACATGCAGTGTTTGGTATTTTGTACTTGCGATAGTTTGCTGAGAATGATGGTTTCCAGCTTCATCCGTGTCCCTACAAAGGACATGAACTCATCATTTTTTATGGCTGCATAGTATTCCATGGTGTATATGTGCCACATTTTCTTAATCCAGTCTATCATTGATGGACATTTGGGTTGGTTCCAAGTCTTTGCTATTGTGAGTAGTGCCGCAATAAACATATGTGTGCATGTGTCTTTATAGCAGCATGATTTATAATCCTTTGGGTATATACCCAGTAATGGGATGGCTGTGTCAAATGGTATTTCTAGTTCTAGAGCCTTGAGGAATCGCCACACTGTCTTCCACAATGGTTGAACTAGTTTACAGTCCCACCAACAGTGTAAAAGTGTTCCTATTTCTCCACATCCTCTCCAGCACCTGTTGTTTCCTGACTTTTTAATGATCACCATTCTAACTCGTGTGAGATGGTATCTCATTGTGGTTTTGATTTGCATTTCTCTGATGGCCAGTGATGATGAGCATTTTTTCAATGTGTCTTTTGGCTGCATAAATGTCTTCTTTTGAGAAGTGTCTGTTCATATCCTTTGCCCACTTTTTGATGGGGTTGTTTGTTTGTTTCTTGTAAATTTGTTGGAGTTCTTTGTAGATTCTGGATATTAGCCCTTTGTCAGATGGGTAGATTGCAAAAATTTCCTCCCATTCTTTAGGTTGGCTGTTCACTGTGATGGTAGTTTCTTTTGCTGTGCAGAAGCTCTTTAGTTTAATTAGATCCCATTTGTTAATTTTGGCTTTTGTTGCCATTGCTTTTGGTGTTTTAGACATGAAGTCCTTGCCCATGCCTATGTCTTGAATGGTATTGCCTAGGTTTTCTTCTAGGGTTTTTCATAATTTTAGGTCTAACATTTAAGTCTTTAATCAATTTGAATCCAAATACCAGGATAACATGCACAAGAGGGAAAGAGAAACAATGAGAGAGAGATGACAGGCACCAGAAGAATCCCTGAGGTGACAAAAGTGAAGTACAAAAAAGGAGACAGCTCTCCACTGGGAGAAGCCACACCTGTAGGAATTACAAGAGCAACTAATATGGTTTGGCTCTATGTCCTCACCCAAATCTCATCTTGAATTGTAATCCCCACAGGTTGGAGGAGGGACCTGGTGGGAAGTGATTCGATCATGGGGTCAGATTTCTCCCTCACTGTTCTTGTGATAGTGTGTGATTCTCACAAGATCTGATGGTTTAAAAATGTGGCACTTCCCCTCTTTCTCTCCCTCTCCTACTGCCATGTAAGATGTACCTTGCTTCCTCTTTACCTTCTGCCATGATTGTAAGTTTCCTGAGGCCTCCCTAGTCATATGGAACGGTGAGTCACTTAAACTTTTTTTCTGTGTAAATTACCCAGTCTCAGGTAGTTTTTTATAGCAGCAGTTATTATCTCCTCCCTCCCCTCTGTGTTTCCTTTCTTTGCTTTTAGAGAGTTATGTATAAGTTTATACACATGTGTGTGTGTTTCAATCCATAGGGCCATTTATGTTGGAAGAACATAACCTACCCTCTTGACTACTGAAAAATGCAGTATCATTTAGTTTCTGCTGGAAAACAATTAGCAACAAGGAGACTACTGTTTTGCAAAGCTGTATATTTCCTTCCTGAGAAGCTCAGGCTATTAGAAGTCATATGATGCAATGACGAAAAACCGGTGTACTGAAGTTCAGCTGTTTCTCTTTCAATAGCCCTTCAGGTATTGGGAGACAGAGTCCAGCGAGCAGTTGGGAAAACTAACTTGTGTTATTCCCTTGCCCACATATTTTCAGTGTTTGTGCTCTCAAGAATGATCATGACAGGAAAGCAAATAACAATCTCAGGGAGAATTCAGAAACACAAACTGTATATTTACAAAGGGCTGATAGAAATCAAATGCAGTAGCCCCTCTGCAGAAGGATTCAAGAAAGTCAGCAAAGATCACTATGCGATTACTGGGAGATGTAGAAATCTCCTTCCTGCGGAGGGGTGGAGAGAGAGAGAATGTGCAAGAAAAATACTCATGCCTCTCAGAATTTGTTCATTTGTTTAATCAAACCCTGGTTGTTTTTGTTTGTTTGTTTTTTTGTTTTCTTTAATTTCCTTCCTTTTTTTCTTTTTCTTTTATTTTCTTTCTATTTTATTTTTTATTTTTATATTTTGGTCACGGTTAGATTTTCCTACAAATGCTTTATTAAAATGCAAATGTTTCAAGTCTCTCTTGCTATTTTGATAGAAAATAAAATAGTCAATTTTCCAACTTTATCTCATCTAAATTGGATACATTTATTATTTTCATAATGGAAAAAGGCCACTCATTCATTTTCAGGTAGTGTGTATATTTTTATAAGGTACAAATAGAGTTTTTATTTAAGTGTCTGGCAACACTTGCCATTTTTTATGCTAGAAATGACAGTGTGTTGTTCTGTGTTCTGAAGTCCCAGGATTGAACTCTAATTTATCAACATGACATCTATGTGAGGGAGCTTCACACCCAACCCCCACCTTATAAAAAATAGGTAAGATGGTCCAGTAATATTTTATGAGGATTCTGGAGGAGCTACCATTTCTCACTCAAGTGTCTTATTTCAAAATATTAACCCTAATTTATGAATGACCATATCCAACCTCACAACAACCCTATGGCAGAGGTATCCTCATTGCCGTTTCACAGATTAGAAACTTAAGCTTACAGAGGCCCAGTGTAACACAGAGCCTGCTTAAAATAAATAATATATTCAGAAACATTCAGAATGTCAACCTCGTGAACTGGGAGTTAGCACTGAAACGATTGCTAAGTACCTCATTAACGATAAGAAGCCAGTCTGTGAGTTTCAGGCAGGCAACCTCAGAATACCTGTATAGAAAGGGCAAGGGAGGCCGGGTGCGGTGGCTCACGCCTGTAATCCCAGCACTTTGGGACACCGGGCAGGCAGATCATGAGGTCAAGAGATTGAGACCATCCTGGCCAACATGGTGAAATCCCATCTCTACTAAGAATACAAAAATTAGCTGGGCATGGTGGCAGGCACCTGTAGTCCCAGCTACTCGGGAGACTGAGGCAGGAGAATCGCTTGAACCTGGGAGGTGGAGGTTGCACTGAGCCAAGATCGTGCCACTGCACTCCAGCCTGGTGACAGAGTGAGACTCTATCTCAAAAAAACAAAACAAAAAAAGAAATAAAGAAAAAAGAAATGGCAAGGGAGTATGGGTGGGAGGTATGGGTGATGGGTATTTGTGGAAGGCTTGCCATGTGCTGCCCCTTGCACCTGATCTATCTTACAGAGACTGAGTCCTCTGAGGGAAGCATAATCATGTTCATTTATGGAAATGAAAGAACTGGGCCTCTAGAGAATAGGTCACTTGTCCCATTTCACATTACTATTGCAAATATTGAGAAAGAACCAGGATTTGGCATGCGGTATTTCTTCCACCAAAGGGAAATGTTAGGAAAGGTGAATGAATGTGTGAGACAATGTTTTCACCCAGAACCAATCTCTATATTACATCAGTGAAACTCATCCATCAAAAACTCAAGCTCTTCCTTCTTTTAGGTGGAAATAATTACTATCTATTCTTGCAGCAAGCCTATTAAAATTGAGAAACACTTTGCTTCAATGATTCCACAATCACTTTTGATTGAATGACTTATTTTTTGATTCATTCATTCATCAAACACACAGCCTTGTGAGCTATGTACTTGACATAGAGATAAATAAAGCAAAAAACTTTTGCTCTAAAGGAAGGCCTTGTCTCCTCAGGGATAGAAGATGTTAAAATAGTTAGAAAGCACTGGGATAATAATAAAGTTATCTGGGAGGAAGAAGAGGAGAGGGATATTTGGCTGAATAAAAAAAAAGTTAGAAAAAAGTCCTGTAGAATAATTTTCAAAATGGATTTTAGAATTAACTTATAACATTATCTAATGCCTAATATATGCAAAAATGTATGAGTGGAAAAAATGTGAAGAAATTTAATAATATGAGTTGTTTCATCTATTGAGCCCTACTCTATGCCAGGATATTTACATGTATTTATTTCTCATCCAAGGTCACATTTATCAATCTTGTTTAGAAACAAAAAAGATTAAACAAAGCCTCTGAAGTTCAATTATTTTTATACTTTAGTAAATAGCAGATTTGGGATTCACACTCACTTTCTCCAGGCGCTATGACTATGACCCTTCTACTTTTTCACACTACGGCCCCTGAAACCCCTGAATTGAAGGGATTTGCACGCCAGTTGGAAAGATAAGGTTTACAGACAAACAACAGCTAATAGTGAGATAGCAAGTCAAAATTAATGACAAACCTCAAATATATGTTATATATTATAAATGTATTACATATAATACATATTATATATACACATACGTTATACAACACACAAATAGAGTTGGAAAAGGAAGTCATTCCCGTGGACTATGAAGAATCCACGAAAAAGCTAAAAATTGAGGTCAGCATCAAAAGACAGTAGAAGAAAATAATACTGCCTTCCATACCCTCCCCTAGTGTCCAACTCCTACAGGGTCAGGAGATCTTTGGGGCTAAGCTTTCCTGACTCTATAGGGGTTGTGGGCTCAGCTGAAAAGTGTGAACACTGCAAATATTAGTCATCCTTAGGAAGGAAGATAGTGGGATAGTATATTCACTTATTTGTTTTATTATTATTATTGCTATATAATTAATTACTGCAAACTTAGTGGCTTAAAATGACACACATTGCTGGGTGCAGTGGCTCACACCTGTAACCCTAGAGCTTTGAAAGGCTGAGGTGTGAGGACTGCTTGAGGCCAGGAGTTTGAGACCAGACTGAGCAGCATAGCACTACCCCATTTCTACAAAATTTTTAAAAATTAGCTGGGCCTAGTGGCATACTCAGTTATTCGGGAGACTGAGGCAGGAGGATTACTTGGGCTCAGGAGTCTGGGACTGCAGTGAGCTATGATTGCACCACTGGACTCCATCTGGGTAAGAGAGTGAGACCTTATTTCAAAAACAAAACACAAAAAATCCCCACATATTTACTACATCATAGTTTCCATGGTTTAGGATTCTGAGCACGGATGAGATGATTCCTCTACTCAGGATCTCAAGCTGTCCTCCAGGCTGTGATCACGTCTGAGCTGCGAGGTTCTCTTCCCAACTCACTGGTTGTGGGCAGAATTCACTTCCGTGTGGTGGTGAATCCAGGCAAGCAACTCCTAGAGGCCACCCATGGTTCCCTGCCATGAGGCCCTCTTCTCATTCTGGAAAATTGCTTCTTGAGGGCGGGGAGGAGAGCATCTCTGCTGCTTCTTGTCTTTGAACTTTAAATCTTCTTCTTCTAGGGGACCCATCTAAGTGGGTAAGGCCCGCCCAAGATCATGTCTCCATTGATCCTTAAAGTCAATCAATCAGGGACCTTCATTACATTTGCAAAATTAATTCACCTTTGGCATATCCCATAACCTAATCACAGGGAGGATATTCCATCATAGTTGTAGGCCCTGCCACACTAAAAGGGGAGAATTTATACAGGGGGGCAAATCTTAGACCCATCTTAGAATTCTGTCTACCACAGATAGGATAAAGGAACTGAGTTTATTTATTGAGAGCCTGTTGTTCCTGGTACTGGGGATATAAAAATACACAAAACAAATGCAGTCTTGCCTCATAAGGCCACAAGACACTGTTATGAGCTAATTTGAGCCTTCCCCATCCCAAAATTTATATGTGGAAGTCCTAACCCCCAGTACCTCAGAATGTGGTCATATTTAGAGACAGGGCCTTTAAAGAGGTGATTAAATTAAAATGAGACCATTAGGATGGGCCGTAAGCCATTCTGACTGGTGTTCTTTTAAGAAGCAGAATTTGAACATGGAAAGAGACACCAGGGATGTGTGTGCAGAGGAAAGATCACATAAGGACATAGCGAGGAAGCCAAGGAGAGAGGTCTCAGGAGAAATTCATCCTGCTGATGCCTTGTTCTTGGACTTCTAGCCTCCAGAAGTGAGAGAAAACAGATTTCTGTTGTCTAAGCCACCCTGTCTATGGTATTTTGTTATGGCAGCCCCAGCAACCTAATATAGAAGTCTTCCTGGGAAACCAAACAATCAAACAAATAAGGAATGTGACAGCTTCCTGACAGTGCAGTGCTACATTGGAAAGTAAAGCGGGGTCAGAGATAAATGCTATTTTAGTTGAGTTGTTTAGAAAAAGGATGGCAGATCTAAAAATAAAAGGAACTCCTTCCTTCCTAGATCCCAGCCTTTTGGGTCTGGACTCTTGGAGAGAGCCCCAGAGTGACCTGGCTGATGGGAGGATATTCCTTTTCACAGGGAGGCAGAAGCCCCCTGGGAAGGACCCAGGAGACAGGTAATTAGGGATGGTCCTCTATCTAGGTCAGGAGGAATATGGGATGGGTCTGTGGATTCTATTACCTGAAATACATGTTACTCTGGTTTCAATTTCACTCAGCCTTTCCATCCTCTCTAATGTTCTATCCTGGTCCTTGCTGTGCTATAGGGATGGAGGGTAATATTGGGGTTCAGTCTAGATCAGTATAGTGGTGGCAATTTTGAAATGTAAAGTCTTTATGGGGAAGGCGAACCTAGAGATTGCAAATTCTAGCTGTTCTTGCACCATGGAAATGTTCTCTCCCCTTTCTTCTTTTGGAGAAAGAGGTCATTAATTTAAGTTGATTCTTGATACACTCAAAGAAAATGGAATATTTGCAGAGAATGGTGTGAGCAAAAGAATGACATAAGCACACAAAGTACCCTAGTCCGGTGGTAAATCCAGAAGTCTCGCTGGGGAATGTAACACAAATAGGTGATTCCAGAAAGATAGGCTGAGGCTGGACTGAGCACAGGCTCATATGGAATGAGCTACTACATACAGTGATCTGCCTTGTTCATTTTTTTCCATATCCACTTTATTTCGGTATAGATCATCTACCACAAAATTCACCTTTTTAAAGTATACAATTCGGTGGTTTGTAGGATACATCCAGAGTTGCGTGTATAACCATTACCACAATTCATTACCTTGATGCTGGCTGAAGACAAACAAGATCAAGAAGGATTTGGAAAAAATTTCAGAAAACATGCCAGTAATTCAAGAAAAGATGGAAGATGTGTAGTGAGAGTTCTTTGAGGAAATTCAGGAATCATACTAATAAAGGGATGGTTAGAGTTCAGAAGAAAAATGTGCACGATTTCATGCTACCTTTAAATTCTTATCACTTTGGATGCTGTCTTCGAGACACAAAATCTAGCATGGTGCCTGGTACATTATTTGAGTTCATTAAATATTTGTTAAATGAATGAATGAATTGTTCATCCACTAGCCAGGGAATCAAACCTCGTTGTATGTTTCTGAGTGTTTTCAAAATGTAATTAATTTGAAGATACCTTGGAACTGCTGTCTCTCTACTCTCACTATGCACCCTGGGGAAACTGCTATTGGCAACTGCATTTTATTTTGGAGACTTATTTTTTCCCCACTACACATATTAATTTTGTAATAATGGTTTATGTTTTTTTCTTATTAATTTAAAACCTCCTGTGGTAGGCATTTTGTCTGAGAGACTGTTTCACAATGCCGTGATTTTTTCTCCCACATTTTCCTCCATGTACGTGTTATGCATGTCACCCTACCTTCCTTTATTTTCAGACCTATGCCTTTGAATATGGACATCACACAAGCTAGTATTGAATTTTGATGTTTCTTTTCTGGGATCTCCTAGCTATTCTTAGTTTAGTGTCTCTGTTTAGTGTCCCTTTACTCACAGATATAGAATTCCATGTAAGTCTTCATAGATTTATTTGAACTTATTGTCAATACATTTTGTCTTGGATTAAATGCTCACACAGATGAGACTTAACTGTTGAGTTTAGTTCAATTGTGGAATGAAACAGACACTGTTAGTTGCAAATCCAACATCTATTTCCACCTATCTCTCTTCAGTTACAGAGGGAAGGCTTAACTATTGGCTCAGGGGAGGATTATTTTAATATTCTTATTGGAGAGAAATAAAGAAGTGAAAGCTCCTGTTGCCACTGGAAGCCATATTGTGATGAGGAAGAAAATTGTCCTTAGGATGAAATTGACCCTGAGCACAGCCATGGAAGGAATCTAGGCCCTTTTGATATCAGTAAGTGGTTTATCACACTAGGCTAGGTATCTGTGCTAATTCTCCACTTTTTATTTTGTGGGAAAAAAAAAACAATTTTAAAAAATAACTTAATTTTCATTATTTAGGTTAGAAAGTAAGAAAATGAACATAGAAGCCAAATGAAAGATCACTGAAGGTCACAAACTATGTGAGCAACAAAATAAATAATGTAATATTGGATCATAATGAAAGTACAAAACACACAGCCACGAGTCCATATTGCTATAAATAAATGATTGTGTAAGTCCACAAATAGGGGAGGAGGGAAGATAAATTTCCAAATAATAGGCAAAAGAATTCCAAATACTTTATGTAGATACTGCCTCCCTCAGAGAGGTGGGCCATAACTCCCACCCCTTAGGTGTGTTGTGGGTTGCACACTTCTTACTAAAAGGGCAGAGGGGAGAGGAACTTTATTGTGGAGACACATGACAATCAATACCTCAGCGCTGGGATCAAGTTGAACATGTTCCCTTGATACAACATCATGAGAATGACGTTTTATCTCTGTGGTCTTCCCCCACCCCTCAAATATAACCCCATTATAACCCTAAGGAAAAACACCAAACAAACCCAAATTGTACAGAGCTAATTACCAGTACTGCTCAACATTCTCAAGATCATCAAAAACAAGGTACGTTTGAGAAACTGTCACAGGGAGACATAACAACTCAACGTAATGTGGTTTCCTAGAAGGGACCTTGAAGAAATTAAAGACATTAAAAAATCCAAATGAAGTTTAGTTAACAGCAATGTATCAACAGACATACGTAGAATGTTTCCATATGCATATGTTTCATTAGTTGGGACCAATCTATCATGTTAATGTAAGATGTAAACAATAGGGAAACAGGTGTAGGGATATACAGGAACCTTCTGTACTTTCTCTGAAACTTTTTTTTGTAAATCTAAAACTGCTCTAAAATTTAAAGTAAAAACAGTGTGCATTTTCTATATATTCTTAAAGGTGACTTTTTGATGAACAGTAGTTTTTATTTTTCATGCAATCAAACTTATCAATCCTTTTTGCTGTCATTAATAATTTTTTTTCTCCTTTTCAGTAAACTTGTCAGCTTATCCTTCCTCAGTATCATGAAGATATCCTCCTATTTCTAGAAGTTTTATCTTATTGATTTTCATATTGAGGTAAATTATATGCCTGAAATTAACTTTTGTGTATGATACAAAGTTGGGAATGGTCTTATTTTTTATTTTCTATACTTTTTGAAATACAGCTTTTTGCCCACTTTGTGCAGGGCCAATGATAAGTTTCTTTGTATGGAATGTTTTTATGTGTCTAAAGATCTAAGGGACTAGGTCTCAAGTGGCCCCCTCATCACCCTACCCAGTCACTAGGCAATCTAGAAAGGCCATTCACCCATTGTTAGCAAGTGAACATGCGATGAAGTCAGTTCTTATGTAGACTCACGCAGCGTCCACCTACTCTGTTAAATGCAGTTCCTGTCCCTGGAAAGAGATATAAGCCAGTACAATTGTTCAGGCCTTTCTTTAATATCTCCCTTTCCTCTTAAGAAACAAAAAATAAATCTCCATAAATTTTCAAAGCTTTCCATTATATGCCCTCCACCTATCTGTCTCATCTCCCATATCACAGTTCTTACTGCAATCCCTACTGACCTTCTACCCATTCCTCAAGGACACCACTCCAGTAATTTCAAACATGAATTTCTTCCCCCAGAAAATCATACCCTTCTGTGACTTTCCTGTCTTGGATATTTCCTGCCCCATCTTTTCCCTGGCTAATTCTTATTCTTGCCTCAAATTTCAGAATAAATAATCCCTCTTTAGAAAAGACTACCATAATCCATCAAAATCACATCATTCCCCATTATAATTTAATTTTCAGTCCTCATTACAATTATATTTGGTTAATTTTTGCATACTTATCAGGTGAGTTTTTTTCTCCCAATACACTGAGAGTTTCACAAAATATCTGGTTCAGCAACATTTCCAAAATCTACCATAGAATCGGGTACATAGCATATTCTTTAAAAATATTTTTTTTAAAAAATGGGGTGAAAAACTTATTTAAACCGTTGTTACTGAAATTTATTTTAAGAAATTAACTCTAAAAAGAATCATTACAAAACCTCTTTAGGGTAAAGAAATGCCTAGAATAGAAACTAAATCCCTGAGGGCATAAGCACTTTGAAGCTAGGGAGCATTAGAGGTGGATAAACTCTGAATTACACACTGACAGAGATGAGGATGGAGACAGAACACAAATGAGGAGAAGATAGGAAGAGCAAGGCTGGGAAGCAGAAGATAGCAGATTTTTCTAAGGACCTAGAGTGTCTAACAATTCCTCTTCTTCCCCTCTCCACCCCCTCCTCCTTGATATACCTTTAATTTAACATCGTCCATTCACATTGATGCTTCCACCTGACTCTCCAGCCTACAGTTTGGTGCAGTGGTATGGCAATGCCTGCAGAACTGAAAATCAGAGAACAGGTCCGTGCTCCACTCCCAGCTGAGGCCAAGGCTGAGCTGAGCAAGGCTACCTGGGACAAAGCCATGGCTCTCGGCTGCCCTACTTCTTCGCCAGTGGAATCAAAAACTGGTATACGTGTCATGCAACACCCCTGGAAATTCACTGACCTCCTGGAGAGGAGAGGATGTTGGCTATTCAGAAACAGTGAAAGGGGAGAATGAACCCATCACATCTATATATGAGGGGGCAGGGAGGCCCACGAACTCTCCTTTAAGGCCCTCCATCACATAAGCACTTCCCTGATGCTCCTCTTCTTCTGACCTAGTGACTGCCAAGCCCTCCTGCACATCCTGCCCTGTTTCTATCCCACTTCAGGGCCTCAGATCTTTCCCTGTGCCCAAAGTGCTCATCCTAGGGAACTCCTTAGGGTTGGCTCCTCATCATTCCAGGCCTAGGTCATTGCTGACACTGGCCAGGCTTGAGTGCCACATTTAAAAGTGGCCCTCACCCCACAAGCACAGCTTGTCGTCTTACCCTGCTCTGTTGCCTTCATGCATTTGGCACTATCTGATATTATCTATTTTAAGTACTCATTTCCTCATGTATAACATGTAATAGGCTTGAGGACAGATGCTTTTTACTATCTTCTTCCCTGTGGTATGCCCAGAATCCAGATAAGTAACTAGTAAGCAGTAGGTTCTCTCTGAGTAATTGTTGAATAAATGGAATGATCTTGGTTACAAATGAATAACTGAGTACACAAATGAGGTGAGAAGAAACCTACTAATAAGTAATTGGAATTACCTGACCCAGCCATCCCATTACTGGGTATATACCCAAAGGACTATAAATCATGCTGCTATAAAGACACATGCACACGTATGTTTATTGCGGCACTATTCACAATAGCAAAGACTTGGAACCAACCCAAATGTCCAACAATGATAGACTGGATTAAGAAAATGTGGCACATATACACCATGGAATACTATGCAGCCATAAAAAATGATGAGTTCATGTCCTTTGTAGGGACGTGGATGAAATTGGAAATCATCATTCTCAGTAACCTATCGCAAGGACAAAAAACCAAACACCGCATGTTCTCACTCATAGGTGGGAATTGAACAATGAGAACACATGGACACAGGGAGGGGAACATCACACTCTGGGGACTGTTGTGGGGTGGGGGGAGGGGGGAGGGATAGCATTAGGAGATATACCTAATGTAAATGACGAGTTAATGGGTGCAGCACACCAGCATGGCACATGTATACATATGTAACTAACCTGCACATTGTGCACATGTACCCTAAAACTCAAAGTATAATAATAATAAAATAAAATAAAATAAATAAAAAAACAAAACACATAGGAAATGGAATATGAGGGAATAACACATGTGTTTTTCATCCTTTCTGATCTTCCTTTTCTGTTTCTCAGTTTGTTTCTGCTTTTAGGCACAGGTGCCTAGACTCTAGGCAAACTGGACTGCCCCCCTGAGCACTGAGCAGCAGCCCTACCTGTGTGTGTGTGTGTGTGTGTGTGTGTGCGCGCATGCATGTGTATCTTCCGGTCTGGCAGCCAAAATGTTCTTGACAGGTCCCCTGGATCGCTCTGGAGAATCCAGGCACATCCAGGTCAGTAAGTGAGGGCCCATGGTTTGTGAGTGGAGCATCATTTATGTGTCTATGCTGAGAGCGGGACGCATGTTTTTCACAGCCTGGGATAGCTTGAGACAGTCTGCAGAGGTAAGGCAGTCAGCATCCGCATTCTGTCAACTCTGTGAAAATGGAAGCTCTACATGGATGCAGTCATATTATTTTCAGAGTTGAAAAGTGTCACACTGGAAAGGTTTAATACAGTTGTCACGACAGGAGTAGCATGAAAGACTCAGATGTCAGCCTCATATGTATTAAGTGAAGTCTCTCATGTTATTAAAAGGGAAATTATATTTGATTTTAATATCAATTCTTTAAAGCATGTGGTTATTTAGTTATGATATACACAAAGATTTTACTTTTTCCTTTGATGACAGTGCATTTAAAACCTTCTACTTCACTAATTAAAGAACACCAGGCCATGAAAATGATGGAATCTTATTTTGACAGAGTTTTGCCTGTTTTATAAGAAACAAAATTTGCACCTCAAAATAAACATATCATTAAGCATATTCTCTTGCTTTTAAATTTTAATTTGGGAAAATGTACAGGAAAAACCAACAGAATAAGGAAGTCTCTCAATATTTTTAAGTATTTTATCTTGCTATATTATGCCTCCACTCGTAACTATTACTCAAGGAAGGTATTTTTAAGAGACATATTTTCTTGACCGTGTCTTCTTAATGTCAATATTATATTTTGCTACCATCGAGCAGCATGTAGTTTGAAGACGACTGTAGTAATTTTATTGAACATCGCAATTTTATGTAATATTCATCCTTTTCAATAATGACACATAAAAATATAGATCCAGAGGGTTGCTCAATTGTTTATAATTCTAATTAATGAGAAATCTTGTCACAGATTTTGCAGAGCTATTAAAACTTTATAGGAAAAAAGAAAGTTTGGGGAGAAAAATTTACAAAATGAAAAAGCAGCCCAGGACATACAATGTTTACATAATACAAATTTCTGAAAAAGAGAACAGAATATGGATGGGAGAAAATTATTTAAAAAAAAAAAAATCAGCTGGGCGTGCTGGCCCATGCCTGTAATCGCAGTACTTTGAGAGGCCGAGGCAGGCGGATCTCAAGGTCAGGAGTTCGAGACCAGCCTCGCCAATATGGTGAAACTCTGTCTCTACTAAAAATACAAAAATTAGCCAGGCATGGTTTAGGCACCTGTAGTCCCAGCTACTCGGGAGTCTGAGGCAAAAGAATCGCTTGAACCCGGGAAGCAGAGGTTGCAGTGAGCTGAGATCGCGCCACTGCACTCCATCCTGGGCGACAAAGTAAGACTCTGTCTAAAAAAAAAAAAAAAAAAAATTCAAGAAAATTACTCAGCCATTGAGAATGTGGAATCTAGCCCAGGGGTCAGCAAACATCCTGTAAAGAACCCAATAGAAAACAGTTCAGGCTTTACCAGCCACGTTCCCTTTTCTGTCTATGTCACAATGACTCAACTCTGCTGTTAAAGCACATCCATAGATACAGGCAACCCATCAGTGAAGGAGACCAGCTGTATACCAATAACATTTTATTTATGGACACTGAACTTTGGATGTCATGCAATGTTCACATGTCACAAAATCTTCTGTTTCTTCTCAGCCTCTTCTTGCTCCTCTTCTTCTTTCTTCCCATTTAAAAAATGTAAAAACATTGTTAGATTGTGAGCCAATCAGAAAATCAGGTTATGATCCAGATTTCCCCCATGGACTATAGTTTCTTGACCCCAGATCAAACCTCTAAGTGTCCACTGATGGATCAGCACAATGGATGGGAACACCGACCCCATGACCCTCCCCTGTGAGACCTCAGGCACTAGGGACAAAGGGAGGGTATTACAAGTACTGGCTACATTTATGTGTAACTGGAATAAAGAATTCCAACATAAACAAGGAGAAATAAGAGTCTAGAAAAGTTGCTATTAATCAAACAATCCAACATGTACCTGAAATAGATAATATTGGAGTGTAAGAATTCTTATTGAAGTTTCTAATTATTCATAACAGAATTTTTATTCTTTTTCTATTTTTTAAAATTTTTCTTTAACTTTTGGGATATACGGGCAGAATGTGCAGGTTTGTTACATAGGTATACATGTGCCATGGTGGTTTGCTGCACCCGTCAACCTGTCATCTAGGTTTTAAGCCCCATATGCATTAGGTACTTGTCCTAATGCTCTCCCTCCCCTTGCCCCCCACCCCCCAACAGGCCCCGGTGTGTGATGATCCCCTCCCTGTGTCCATGTGTTCTGACTGTTCAATTCCGACTTATGAGTGAGAACATGGGGTGTTCGGTTTTCCATAACAGAATTTTTAAATTTTAATTTTGTTTGTGTGTGTATGTTTTACCTCAACAAATTGATTCTAACATTTATATACAAGTGTAGGGCAAAAATAGGCAATTCAGTTTTGAGTAAGAAGAGCAAGATATGCAGAGGCAATAAATCAGCATAATTTCTAATAATTGAGAGCCTGAATATACAGATGGACAATGGCCAGAACATATATAACAAAAGAACTCTGACCCACAGTCTGCAGCAGCAAGGCCAGGACACCAACCCCTTATCTACAGGAAACAGCCCCCAGGAATCCAGCCTGTTATCTGTAAGCCAGACTTACGGGAAATCAGACCAAGGTCTCTAGCAACCAGTCCCAGAAGCCAAATAGTAATTCCTGTAACAAAATAGCTAAGATTTAATTAAACTCTGAAAGCTTCCCTAATGCTTTTTTACCTGCTTCCAACTTAGGACCAACCAGAAAAAAACAAATATACTCCTCTAACCAATCCCATAAGATACCCACTTTTGGTGAGTCTTCCTCCAGCTTCCCATGCCAACAGCCTCCATCAGGGCACACTGAAGCCTTCCTTCTGTCCACTACAAAGCTCTCCCACTCCTTGTCTGCCTTAGCATCTTAGCCAAAAGGCAAGTGATGGTGGCTGACTCCCGTGATACAGCAAACTCTGAACTGCTTCTGCCTGTTCTTATTTGGTCAATCTTCATTTATTTCCAATGATGAAAATTTGGAGTTACATCATTGATAAAGTATGATAAAGTAATTTGTGAATAAATTGTGATAAACCCCATACAATGGGAATTAGCTGACGGAAATGAGTTCTATGGTAATTGCCACCCAGTAAGACAAACGTACTATTTTTGAACAAATTTTCCTTAGAATACTTTTGGAAAGAGAAGAAATCATGGTATTTGCAAGAGGTTTCATTGCCCCACTCCAACCATGGCCATTGTGGACATGCCAAGTCCACAAGCACACAGCTAACCAGGCAGCTGTTTCTCACTGGGATGATTCTAAGCCCAGCTGTGGGCTCTACATTCTGTCCCTACCTCCCACTTCATCACAGTGTTTAGAGAGAAGAAAATATATAACGTGAATAATCAGGAAGTCTGCCAAAGTGTTTCTTCCATTCCACAGCCAGATATCCCATGATGCCCAAAGTCCAAAGCTCATGAATTGTGACAGCTCGTGGCTTGATATTGCTGCATGGAAACAAGCAGGAGGCAAGGAAAAGAGGGAGGAGGGAGTTGTGTTGACAGATTAAATGCAGGACACTCAGTTAAATCTGAATTTTAGATACATAACAAAGCCATTTTAGTATATCCCAAATATTACATGAAACATAGTTATAACAAAAATTATCATTTGTGAATCTGAAATTTAAATCTAACCGAGTGTCCTGTACTTGTATTTACTAAATATGGCAACCCTAGGGGCAAGGGTAACACATGTTTTTCTAGTCCTTTTATGGAATACTTACAACCAGTGTTTTTTGTTGTTTTGTATTTTAGAGACATCTTGCTCTATTGCACAGGCTGGAGTACGGTGGCTCAATCATAGTTCACTGCAGCCACAAACTCCTGAGCTCACCTCCCACCTCAGCCTCCCAAGTTGTTAGGACTACTTGCACACACCACTTTACCTAGCTAATTTTTAATTTTCTTTTTTGGAGAGCCAGGATCTTGCTATGTTGCCTGGGCTGGTCTTAAACTCCAGGGCTCATGTGATCCTCTAACCTCGGCCTCCCAAAACACTGGGATTGCAAGTGTGAGCCACTGCAACTGGCTCACACAACCAGTATTGATATTCTCCCCATGGGTTACTTAGAGCTGTGCCATTTAATTTCCAACTGTTTGCTTTTTTGAGATATCTTATTTTATTACCTTTAATAGAAGGCTAAGGGCCCTTCAATATTCTTTCAAATTAAGTACTTCTATAAAGTAAAAATATAAAATGAAATCAACAAATATTTAATGGCTATCTGCTGTTTTATAGAGTGCAGAATAAGACAGTAAAGAAAGATACAAGGTTGGAGTTCTGGAGACTGTAATTGTGGAGCCACATGTATAGGACTCAAGGTCACAAAGATAGCAAAGGCAGCAAGGAGCATCAAAAGCAGGCAGAACCCAGATGGGAGTTAAGCCTTGAAAGAGGAGAACCACACTCACTCATGCTTATAGCATACACCACAGTCCCTAAGGCAGGGAACAACCAAAACTCACGAAGAATGCCATTCTTGTTGCCTTGAAGTGTCAGAAGACAGCGTTCAAGGCTACTAGAGTAATAGGAAATTGAGAGAAAAATCCTTGAAAAGGGGAAGCCCCAACTATTCTCAGATCCCCTTGGGACACCTGCACTATGCATGTACAGAGAAAACTCCAAGGACCCCCAGGAAAGCAAGAGTTTCCACATAACGGAGAAAGTTTTTAGTCTAAATCCTGCCAAGTCAGAGGGTCCTGACAAGTCAGAGGGTCTTGGTAAATCCTTTCTGCTTTCTACCAACCTGCTCCATCGAAGTACATAAAACCACGCCTCTGTAAGTTCAAAGTGTTCAGCCAGTCATGTAATGAAATGGCATCTTTAAAGTTTGAAAGAAAAAAAAACTTTAGAATTCTATGTCTACAGAATTAGCCTTCAAAAATCAGGGCAAAATAAAAGCACTTTCACATAAATGAAGAATGAGAGACACCAGCAGACCAATGATCAATTATTCAGGAAGGCATAACAATTGCAAATTCATATGTACCTCATTACAGAGCCTCAAGATACATGAAGCAAGAACTGACTAAATGGCGAAATAGATAAATTATCTATCACAACTGGAGATTTTTACCCCCCCTCCCTGCAATTGATTTAGCTATTGTCCAAAAATCAGTAAATACGTAAAAGATTTTAACAACAGTACAACTCAATTAGGCCTGACAATTACACAGCACTACACTTAATGGCCTCAGAATACATATTCTTTTCTCAAATGCACATAAAATGTTCACAAAGATAGACCATATGCTGAGCCATAAAACAAGTCTCAATACATGAAAAATATTTGAAATCTCACAAAGCCTGTTATTTGAACACAAATAAATTAAATTAAACATTAACCTTCTAAGTTATCAAGAAGTATTGCAAATTAATTGGCATACCACTATGTACTCCTGGCTTAAATAAGAAATCACAAGGGAAATTAGAAAATATTCTAAACTGAATATCAATGGAAACACCACATAAAAATATTTGTGAGATGCAATGAGCAGCCGAAACCTAGCCTAGGGAAGAAAAAAAAAAGCTTGAAATACTATAATATAGTAGAAAAGGAGAAAATATTTAAAGCAGTTAAGATTGCTTCTCAACATCATCAGTATTGAAGGACATGAAATACACAACTATAATGAGATACCATTTAAAACCACTAGTATGACTCAAAACAATTGACAACTGATAGTATCAAATGCGGGTGAGAAAATGAAGTAGCCAGAACTATCATGCACTGCTAGGTAGGAATGTTTAATAGCACTACTACACTTTCAAAATCTGTTTGGCAATTTCTTATAAACACCCACCCTATGACCCTGCAATTTCACAATTTGGCACAAAAACAATTGGAACAAAAGCAAGAATTAACAAATGGGATCCAATCAAACTAAAGAGCTTCTGCACAGCAGAAGAAACTATCATCTGAGTGAACAGGCAACCTACAGCATAGGAGAAAATTTTTGCAAGCTACCCATCTGACAAAGGTCTATACTCAGAATCTAGAAGGAACTTAGACAAATTTACAACACAAAAACAACCCCATCAAAAAGTGGGCAAAGGATATGAATGGACGCTTCTCAAAAGAAGACATTTATGCGGCCAACAAACATACGAAAAAAAGCTCATCATCACTGGTCATTAGAGAAATGCAAATCAAAACCACAATGAGATACCATCTCACACTAGTTAGAATGGTGATTATTAAAAAGTTAGGAAACAACAAATGCTGGCAAGGCTGTGGAGAAATAAGAACACTTTTACACTGTTGGTCGGAGTGTAAATTAGTTCAACCATTGTGGAAGACAGTGTGGCAATTCCTCAAGGTTTTATAACTAGAATACCATTTGACCCAGGAATCCCATTACTGGGTATACACCCAAAGGATTATAAATCATTCTACTATAAAGACACATGCACATGCATGTCTATTGCAGCACTATTTATAACAGCAAAAACAGATCCAACCCAAATGCCCATCAATGATAGACTGGATAAAGAAAATGTGGTACATATACACCATGAAATACTATGCAGCCATAAAAAAGAATGAGTTCATGTCCTTTGGAAGGACATGGATAAAGTTGGAAGTCATCATTGTTAGCAAACTAACACAGGAATAGAACACCAAATACTGCATGTTCTTACTCATAAGTGGGAGTTGAACAATGAGAACACATGGACACAGGGGGCACATCATACACCAGGGCCTGTTGAGGGCTGAGGGGCAAGGGGAGAGAGAGCATTAGGACAAATACCTAATGCATGCGGGGCTTAAAACCTAGATGATGGGTTGATAGGTGCAGCAAACCACAATGGCACATGTATACCTATGTAACAAACCTGCACATTCTGCACATGTATCCCAGAACTTAGAGTAAAATAAAAAATAATAATAATTTTAAAAATTTAAGAGAGGTAAATAAAAGCACATGTCTACAAAAATATGTGTACAAGAATGTTAATACTCAATTCATAATACTCAAAGTGGAAAACACCAATTGTTTATCAATAGGACAATGGATAAAAAAATTGTAGCATATAATGGAATAAAACTCAGAAATGGAAAAAGAATGAACTACAAATATAATACAACAACATGACTGAAGCTTGGAAATATCGCATTGAAATGTCAATAAAGAAATAAGCTAGGCACAAAAAATTATGGTGATAGAAATAAGAAGATGACTGCCTATAGGAGATTGGGATTTACTGTGGATGAGAAAACGCTGTATGTTGATGGAAATTCTCTATCTTGATCAGAGTGCTGCTGCCAGATCTAAAAAAGCCCAAAATGCCAGTAGATGCAGATTTACTTACTATAAACAATCCTTTGAAAGTCCCATAATTCAGATCTTCTGCATCCTCTTCTGAATAGACCATTTATTTAGGGCTCTACTCTGTCTTTTCTGCACATTCCATAATTCATTTCCTACCCTAGTCTCAATATCAAAACTGGAAAAGGCTTCTAGCATCAGCCACATCCTCCTCTATCACTCCACCAGAAATTTATTTTAAGTTTGCGGTGAAAGAAAATGATAGAAAGAATACTGCGTGGTGGCTAAGGGCATTTATTGACTATTGGTGTGCAGAATTATATAAGCGCCAGTAGATAAGAGGAAAAAATAATGAAGGTGATAAGATTAATGGTAGCTAACTTATTGAGCATTTAGTATACACCACATATTTTCTAAGCACTTTGCATAAGTATCATCACTTTATCCTCACAATAGAACTATAAGGTGATTATAATCATTTTTTCTAACATTAAAAATGTTCAATTAAGGTGCGAAAAGGATAGGTTGCCCAAGGATGCACAGCTAGCAAAAGTGAAAGTTGGGATTTACGACTTGGCATCTAGTTCTAGAGCCTACATTGTCAACTCACTATGCTCTCAGTCAATGTGGTCTGCTATGGCAGACACTGGCTAAAACAAGTGACTATTTAAGTTTGAATTAAATTAATTAAGGTTAAGTAAAGTTGAAAATTAATTTTTAGTTAAATGGGCACATTTCAAGTCCCAAATAGCCACATGTGGCAAGTAGCTACCATAATGGACAGCAGAAACACAGAACACCACCTAAGATATGAGCTAAGACCTCCTCCCAAACTAGAGGCTGATTTTTGCAGAGTATATCTAGTTTCATGGTGAAAGTAAGGTCACATTAATGCACTAATCCCAAATTGACTGATTATTATTTATTTGCTCCTCACACAGTGTCTCACTTCCTCTGCTAAGTGTCTTTCCAAATGATGCCTCTAGGTGGTACCTCCCACATGTTGCTGGTGGGCTAACATCCTAAAATTTCCACTGATCTTACAGAAAGCACCGTAACTCTTGGAGTTGCTAATGCTTGAGAGGATGGGTGGTAAGTCACATTTGGAGGTTTGGCAAGTGGGAAGTGGATGAAAAGTCCATGGTGTGCTCATTTCTTGTATCATTTTCTGTTCAAGTCATTCTAAAACAATATTCTTAAATTAAGTGCATTTGAGAATTAATATCTTTAACTTTTTGGAAATCTCCTTATATTTGATTTTGTCTTTGTTTCTCTCTCTTCTTCTTTATTTTCTTCTTTTGTAGATATGTGCTGTGTGTGTGTGTGTGTGTGTGTGTGTGTGTGTGTGTGTGTGTCCCAGCAAACATTAAATTGCTATTAACATTCTTGTACCCATATTGTTCTGAGAAACTATGAACATGTTTTTCTGAGAATCCTTACTTTCCTCTGACCACTATGCTGAAGTCCCTGGGTCACAGGCATAGCTACTACAATGTCCTTTGCATGATTTTGTTTGTTTGTTTGGATGACCCTCAGTTCCTATTGACCAAGATTTCTACTGGGTGTTTTCCACCAGCTCACTGGATGGGCATTGACTCAGCACAGGCTAAAGCTGAGAGGTCCCCTTATAATTGAACCTATAATGACACAATTTTGTCTACTCCCATTGGAAGAAAGCTTACCATGCTTCATTCTGAGCTGGCCTGATAGTGAGTCTCTGAATGAGACTAACCCATGTCCTGCAGGTCTGATAGTCAATACAGATGAGCATCCAGTGCCCCACTCCTGGCAATCATCTTGGAATGAAGAGAGAGTTTTACAAAGAGACAACCCCAGAGAGCTGTAGAGTCCACCCAACTACATATTTAGCTGATTAATGATTAGTATTTACAAGTGAGACTACCTGAGACCAGAATAAGATCCACTTGAATGGATTATAATAAAGAGTATCCCATGTAACACAGTGTCATGAATAGTTAATTTTCACAAGGTAGACGGGAAAATCTCATGATTCACAGGGCACTGGGTGGGGCAAACACAAGGGTCTGGCTTTACTCATGGGGAATAAATACCCCTAGACTGACCACTGCTCTAATCCTACCTTAAAAAATTGTCTAAGCAAAATGTAAAGAACCTAACTATTTCTAAATAACTTGAATCCATCCCAGAAAAAAAAATGCTGAGGATTAACAGGAACACAGAAATATCCAGTACTCAAGAAATTAAAGTCACAATATCTGGCATATATTCAAAGATTATTAGGCATAAAAAGCAAGAAAATATAACACATAATAAGGATAAAAATTAATCAGTTGGAACAAACAGTAAAACAGATGTTAAATTTAGCAGACAATGACATTTTAAGAAGTTACTATAATTGTATCATATATGTTTGTAAAGCTAAGTAGCTCAAAAAAAAAAAACCCCATGAGCTTAGAAACACAAAGTAAATTACACCAAAATTAAATTGCTTAAAACCCGTTATCTAGAAAAAAGTACTGAAACTATAACAGAAAAAGGCATGTTATGTACAAAGGAATAAAGATAAAGATAATAGTAGATTTCTTATTGGAAACTATAGAAACAAGAAAATACTGGAGTACTCTTGTTTAAATACTGAAAGAAAATACTTTCAGCTTAGAATTCTCTACTCAATGAAAACATCTTTTAAAGATATAGCTTACATTATTTATTCTTTTAGTTATTCTAATAGACCTTTTTTTCCAAAATTCAGTCTCTAGTATCCCACTGTAGAATTGCACCCCCTGCATTATTGTCCTGGTCCCTTCAACTGGAGAAAGGGACAGCAGTCATAACTTGTTGCCAATGATACGTCCTCATGGAATGCACAAGGAAGCGGAACAAGCACCCAGAAAGTAAAAAGTAATAAGAACTAATGTTAGTGTTCTTCACGTTCATAACTATGCAGTATGGACAAACGTGAAAGACCTCATGGAAACTCAGTGACAGTAAAACAATAAGATTCTCCCAGCTGCGTGGATCCTCAGTGGGCAGATGATTCATTTTGCAGCTGTGTTTCCCATGGCTGACAAGGGCTGACTGCAGTCCACAGGACTTGTCAGAGGCCAGTGGTCTGATAGGTGTTCTACACCAAGCAACAGAGGAAGAACAAAACTACATCTCTTCATGAAGACAAGTGCAAAAATAATATTAGTAAGAAAACACTGAGCAAATGGAGATGACTTGATTCGAGGAATGAAAAATCAAAGGGGCAGTGAAAGTGGTAACATTAAAAGTGGGAGTCACTTGGATCAACACTTAAGGGATATTTTTTGCAATATATTTTTTATTATACTTTAAGTTTTAGGGTACATGTGCGCAACGTGCAGGTTAGTTACATATGTATACATGTGCCATGTTGGTGTGCTGCACCCATTAACTCGTCATTTAACATTCTTTTCCTTGTGTAATCTTCACAGAAAAGCCATTCTTGAAATAAGATCTCTTCTCAGTTTAGAAAAGAGAAACTGAGGTTTAGAGAGGCCAAAGAACTTGCCCACCATTCTGCAACCATTGAACAATGGGGTTAGAATGGTACCCATCTTCCTGACCCAACACTCAACATACATTCTCTTCACTGCCCACTATTGCAACCCCACAAAATAGAAGAGGTTTCTGAATAAACAGTTGGGTGCACATATTGATATTTTGTATGTCTGAATATCAACTTCCTTACAGTGTGCACATTTTGCACTGGTTTTTAAAATCCTTTGCTCATAGATTTTTTTTGAGAGTCCAAAAAGATGAACTTATCTCCAGGGAAATATACTTAGGTACACACATGTACACACACACACACACACACACACACACACTTCACATATAGTTTTGGAAGGTTCTTACGTGACCTGAAAGCTATCCATGAGCCATATAGAAGACCATGGTAACTATCTCCTTTCTTCTTCACAAACAGCTACTATACCAAGCGTAGTTTTGTTATAAATTGAGAAAATTGAGGCTGTGAAATATTGTGACCTTCAAAGATGCACAATTTTGACCTAGTTGGTGAGAGAAATGATATCTGCCTGAGTATAAAAACACCATGTCCTACCTACCCACTGTTTTCTATTGTAGTCACCAAGTGAACACCATACCAATGGTGTTCAAACATTTCTAGCTTTGCAAAAATGTGTATATGGAATATGTCCTAATTTACAACATGGCACAAAATATTGACTAAATTCAATAATATCTTATCCTGGATTTTCAGATTGTCAAGGGTTTAAGAAAATATATGGAAAACATTAAAGCCAAAATATCCTGTGAATTAACTTTTTTTCCTTTATGACAAAAGTCATTATTCAATTTAAGAAGAAGAAACTCATCAAGGGTTTGCAAATATTAATCCACATAATGAGGCCTGCACAGGGCTAATCTTGGTTATCCACACTTCGCATATTCATTTTAATTCCTAGAATATATTTTTGTCAGAACAATGAAGAGGAGATCAATACAAATAATTTTAAATCCTTATGAAAATCTTTTAGATGTATGTGACATTCATCCAGTTTTTCAGTTAATATTTGTTAAGCACCTACTATGTGCCAGCACAATGATAGAATCTGGCAATCAAAGGAGCGAAGAATATTGTCCTTGGCCTCAAAGGCTTCGCAGCCTTGTAGAAATTCTTTAAGAAAGAGATATGGGCATAGAGACAAGAAAAATATATGGCTAATCCATTTGCTGTTGAGGTGATTATCGCCGCTAAGAGTAAAAGTGGAAGACATAGCAAAGTCATTTGCTTTCAGTAGGAAACAACGTGGTTAGGCTAAGGAAATGTCTCCCTCGTGCAGGGACCTGTAGCACCAAGCCTACATTGGGGAATTTGTATGAAGTGAAGCAATGAAAATCAAAGTGGCCATTTAAGTCATGACAGCTACAAAGCTATGCCATCTGCTACCCAGGCTCTGGTTTTGCCCGACACAAGCTACTCACGGGATGTTCCACATAGAGATAATTTCAGAGGAAAATAGTGCATGTAAACATGTGTGGCCATGGAAAAATATACAGAGAAAGATGCTGAGTAGTATTCTGTGGGGCTGGGTAATACTAATAACACTTATCTCCCATTCTCCTCCCCCTCCTTCTGCTCACTTCTCCCTCCACCTCTTCCCTCCATCCTCTCCTTCCTGTTTCTTCCCTCCACATTCCTCCTTGTCCTTCCTCCTTCCATCTCCTCCTCCATCCATCCTCCTCCCCCCTCCTTGTCCACCCTCCCTCTTCCTTCTCTTTCCTCCTCCTCAAGCCACTTCCTTCTTAGGCCTCCTCCACCTCCTCCCCCTCCTCCTCCTCTCCCCTCTTCTTTAGTTTCTGCTCCTGCTCCTCCTTCTTTATTTATAAAAGTTGTGCATTCTTCCCTTTCCTGCCTGCTTTTTTTTTTAGCTTTTTAATTTTAAGTGCACAGAAAAGCTGAAAGAAAAATGCAATAAACCCCTAAAAATCATTGTTTGCAAAAAGATCAAACAAAAATCATTTGTTGCAAAAAGCAGAAAGTATGTTTTCTGCTTTTTACATCTCTCTGCATATCCTCCCTCCGTTTCTTTCTTGCTCAAAATCTTTCTCTTTGTGTCCCTCCCTCCCCTTCATGTCCTCCCTACCTCGCTCTCTCTCCCTTTCTTCATTTATTTAGTTATTGCACCCTTCAAAATAAGATGTGGACAACTTCACACTTTACCTCTAAATACTTCAGCATATAACTGCTGAGAACAAAGACATTCTCCTGCATAGCAACAATATCATTGTCGCCGGAAAGGAATTTAACATTGATAAATAATATTACCTAACAGACAGTCTATGTTAACATTGAACCAGTTGTTTCAACAACATGCTTGATAGCAGCATTATTGTGGAGGGGGTGTCCAAAATCCAGTCAAGAACCTCATCTTGCCACATCCCTTTAACCTGTTTTGATGTGCGACTTTTATGACAATGACATGTGTGAATAGGCCCATTTTCTTGTGGAGTGTTTCATATTCTGAATGTATGTCACGATTAGATTGAAGTTAAACTTTGTTGATGGTGGTTACTGGGCTTCCCACAGCAGCATACGAGAAGGCACACAACTTCAGTTCTCTGCATCACTGGTATTGTTACTTTGCTCGCTTGGAGAGGGTAGTATCTACTAGGTATCTCATTGAAGAGGTTCATCTGGACCCAAAACCTTTCATCTGGTCATTTAGTATCACCTGGTGATCCTTGCTCTAATCAATGATTATAGTGGAGGTTTAAATTGGTGATTATGGAATTCCATCATTCCTTCTATACCTGTTGGCTATTATTCTGTACAGAATTTCCTTCTACATTTTTCCCCTTTACTATCTGTGTGGACTCATATTTTTGTTTTATATTTTTATAATTCATTAATATCATTATCCTTATCCTTCAATTGCCTGAATTTGATGAATCTTGTGATTTTTTTGCATGCATACATCATATTTTGAGCATTCTCTTGCTTTTAGGCACACCACTATGTTCCAGCGTGACCATGTCTTTTTCCTTCCCATAACTCGGAATCAGCATTTTCTTCAAGGCACCTGGTTCTTTTCAGCTTGGTATTTCAATCAAGATTTGAACATTAGGTGTGCTCATTGCTACTGGAGTTTCTCCTAGTCTCTCTTCAGTGGATTTCCTACTGATACTTCCAATTCCAACCTTTTTTCCAAATTTGAATCTCCTTTCTTCCACCAGGAGAATATGGGCATACAGCAACATCCATTTTTATTACGTACTAATGTTATCAATTTTATACATGGTTAATTAATTTTCTTTTTAATATTAGAGATCTTCTTATTTGTGTTTTTTACTTTACTTTTAAACGAAATAGTCTAATACCATTCAAAAGTCAAAACTATAGAAGTATACATATTTGAGGTCAGGATTTTGAGACCAGCTTGGCCAACGTGGTGAAACCCCATCTTTACTAAAAACAAAAAGTAATTGAGCCTGGTAGTGCGTGCCTGTAATCCCAGCTACTCGGGAGGCTGAGGCAGGAGAATTGCTTGAACCAGGGAGGCAGTGGTTGCAGTGAGCCAAGATCAAGCCATTGCACTTCAGCCTGGGCGATAGAATGAGACTCTGTCTCAAAAAATAAAAAATTTAAAAAATTAAAATAAACAAATAAATAAAAGTGTGTACAATGATAAATGTCTACTCCACCCAATTTCTATCTCCTCTAAACCACCCCCACTAAACTTAGGGAACCATTTCAGTATTTTCCCATTTCTTTTTTTTGTTGTTGTTTTTTTCTTTCTGTTTTTGAGACGGCGTCTCGCTTTGTGTCCCAGGCTGGAGTGCAGTGGCGCAATCTCGGCTCACTGCAAGCTCTGCCTCCCGGGTTCATGCCATCCTCCTGCCTCAGCCTCCCGAGTAGCTGGGACTACAGGCACCCACCACCCACGCCCGGCTAATTTTTTTGTATTTTTAGTAGAGACGAGGTTTCACCTTGTTAGCCAGGATGGTCTTGATCTCCTGACCTCGTGATCCCCCCGCCTCAGCCTCCCAAAGTGCTGAGATTAACAGGCTTGAGCGAACGCGCCTGGCCCAGTATTTTCCCATTTCTTAGGGAATCATTCCAGTATTTTATCTTTTATTCTTTTGTATTTATTTTTGAAAAAAAAATCCCTTTATTTGTACAAAATCTGCAGATGTATACATATATATATATGAATGTATGTGTGTAGTGCTTAGTTTTTAATTTAAATAGTATATCCTCAAAGTCACTACATATCAATGAATACAGATATTCCTCATTCCTTTTGTAAAAAAACAGCGCTGATATATCATAATTTATTTAACCAATCTTCTACAAATCAGCATTTTTATTTTTTGTAATATTGTGCTATTACGTATGAAGCCACAGTGAATGATCTTCTGCCTATGATGCTTTGCATTTCTGGAGGTGGATTTTCAAGATGAAGTCCTAGAAGTGACATTGCTGGGCCAAAGGGTCAATGCACTGTGGTCTTGTTAGGTCCCGCCAAATCCTCCTCCTTAGGATGCTTTCCTCTTGCATTCCTATCAGAAATGTAGGAGAATAACAATTTCTACACCAAGTCTCAAACAGAATATTTATTGAGCCTCTGAGTACTTCCCATCTGATAGCTAAGAGATGGCATGTCAGTGCAGTTATAATTGGCATGTGCAAGCATGAGTGAGGTTGAACACTTCATAGATGTAAAGCATTTGTATATCTTTACTGTAAATTGTCTATCGGTGCCATTCTCCCATTTTTTGCTATAGGGATTTTTATCCTTTTTGTTATATTTAACAGTGTTTTAAAAATACATATTGGGAGCTATCTTTTTATATTCCATGTAAGTTGAAAACATTTTTTCCCAGTATGTCGTCTTTTTAACTTTGCTTATGTTCATACATGTACATAGAAATTTTTCTACATAATACAATCTATCAATTTTTTCTTGAACTATTTCACAGGAATTCCAGACTGTTAGCGTGAGAATAATCTAAGTGAATCCCTAAATCTAAGATGTGCACCTTTGAACCAGAGAGCCCTAGAAAGAGCAGAAGCAGCCGCTGAGGATGAATGGGCCAGGGATCCAGGACAAGCATCCCTCCTGTGCTTAAGGACAGGAAGGATAAACAGGGTTGTACAAATGAGATCCTTTATAAGTTGGAGAGGTTTAACAAAAGGTAGAACTATGTGTATGAATATTATTTGTGGATGATAGTAATGGAAATTAGGTCATTAAGATGGAAAACAGATCTGTGCACATCTTAAAATCAAGGACCCGGATATTCATCTTCCTGGTGTCTATGTGTCTGGCACCTAGAAAATGCTCCATAAATATATTCTGAATGGAGGGAATTGAATCTAAAATGGAGCAATAAGGAACAACCACAACAGTGGAATGAAAATACTAACAGTACAAATTCAGATGCATCCTTGTGCATGTACTTTTAAGTAAATCTATTTTCTTCCACGTTCAATACAAATTTCATTTTAAAAAAATCAACCACCACGTTAATTCAAACTGGCTAGGCAGACAACAAGGCTTTGTTTTTTTAACAATAAAATATCTCTCAAATGTGTCAGGGCAAGGGAGTTGGAGAAAGCTCTTGATTTTCTTTATTCCTACAGCACTGAACATTTTAACTACCTACAAGAGAGTGTCTTATGAATAACATACTTATGCATTTGTAAACTGTTTATGTGAGCACTAGAGAAATGACCAGCCATCTAGATTTGAGGTGCCTGCTGATATCCACCTAGTCATTCTCTTAAAAACCAGCTGATTTCTTAATGATAGACAATAGGCCTGCCCACATCAGGCAGAAGTAGCATATTATGGGGACTGACAAATAGTTCTCAAAGCGAAGCAATTCACAGGACTCCCTTTTCCTTCTAAAGCCAAGTGCTTGGCCTTCGAAATAAAAGAAACATTTGTTCAGTTGTTATTGAGTTTCGTTTTGTCAAGTGCATGCATTCTTGCAGAGCTGGCCCAAGAACTTTTCAAGACACCATCAGCACAAATACAAATATTTGACAGTGCAGCTCATGAGCAACAACAACAACAGCAAAAAAAAAAACAAAAAAAAAACAGGATCCTTCCTGTCAGACCATTGCTTTTGTTCCTTCATTGGCTTGGTGTCTTTCTAATAGATTTCATTGCTATGTTCATCTGGCTCTCATGTCTTTCAACATGTGTCACAGGGGATAAACATATGATTATCCAATCCTGACAGCCTTCAAAAAAGCACATCAGATCATTCTTTGCTGCTTTGTGGGTATCAAAGAGGCAGATCCATGCTACTCGCTGTAAATATTGCCCTCAATAAAGGGAAGTAGGGAGAAAAGGAAAGTTCCAGCTTGTTTATGTTAGCAAGATCTGTCAATCCAAACTTCCACATCTACAGATTCTTTCCTTTGCAGGCCAGACTTTGTTTTCACCAGACTATACCACTGAAGTGTGAAAATAGAGGGCAGGAGAATAGACATGTGGCAGTCATCATTTCTGAAAATCCCTTCCTCTGTAGGCATGGATGATGGTGTTGGAGAAATAGCTCCTATCATGCACTGCATATTTTATTTTTTTTCCGTGAAGAAATAGAGATTCGAGAATGCGATTGCATTATAAAGGGGTTGATTGATTTGATATCCGTTATTCTCATGAAGGCAGAACTATGTTTTATTCATTCTGCATCCCTGAGGACAGATACCTGCTCTCAGGTTGATGCTCATAAATGTTTCCTGAGTGGATCTCAGGGTGAGGGCCTTGGACCTGCAGCACCAGCACTACTAGAAATGCAGATTCTTGGGGCCCCTCCAGATGTGCCAAATCAGAAATGCTGAGATGGGGCCCAGGAGTTCATGTTTCCACAAGTCCTTCAGGTGATGGTGATGCATATGTAGGTGTGGGAAGGTTCATTTTGCTAAGAAGAAAAGTAGGAGGAAAGACAGTGGATGAACGTCTGTTAAACTAAATGTTGAGGTGCATATCGTAAGGCTCCTCTCAGGGGCCAGCTCTTTTGGGAAGCTCTCCCCAAGTCCCTCTGCCCGCTTCCAGCCTACTGGCTGGGTTAGTTGTAGTGTTCTGGTGTTCTCATAGCCCCTGGTTATGTAACTATATTGTTACCTTAAAGAAAATATATTCATATCCTGAATACATGTTCTGGCTTCTACAACAATTCATCGTGATGACCCTATTCATCTCTGGAGTAAGTTCACAGAGAACAATGAGCAGGTGTATGTGTTGAAGATATCAGTTTACACAATGTTCCATTGTTGATACCAATGTCCACAGTCATATCTCTAGTTTTTGGTGTAGAAGTAAGTGTATAAATGAATTCTGACATGGAAAATACAAGAATATGCCAATACACATTTTCACAATGTGCTTTTTTAAAACAAATTGTCATATATGAAATACATAGACTCAGGAAGACACTTCCTTCTTTCAAATATACTAACTGGATGAATCAGCCTATTGATAACCAGATGTTCATAATATATCCCGGATTAATAACAAAGTAACATAAACTGGGCAGCTTACACAACATTCTCTCACAGTTCTGGAGGCCAGACATGTGAAGTTAAGGTGCCAGCAGGATTGGTTCCTTCCGCGGGCTGTGAGGGGGAACCTGCTCCGGACCTCTCTCCTTGGCTTTGTGGGTGGACATGGTGATCTCCCTGTACGGGCATGTCTGGGTCCAAATCTCCCTGTTTCATTAAGACATCAGTTACATTGGATTAGGGCCCACCCTAAAGACCTCATTTTAACCTAACTCTGCAAAGGCCCCATCTCCAAATCAGGTCACATTCTGAGGTACTTGGGGTCAGGACTTCAATATATGAATTTTAGGAGGGGATGCAGTTTAACCCGTAACATACTTCAACTGTTCTCTTGGTCTTGAGGTATGCGTGCATGGCCTCAGAAGAAACAGGGAACCAGATTCAAAGCCTGTTGCATGTAGGAAAATGTCAGCGTACCCATGTCCACTTACCTCTTGACAGAAAGCATCAGACCCCATGACCTGCACATGTGGCTGGTTTCCTGTGTTTTCCCAGAACTGCTTTTCCTCACGTGCCTCACTCCTGCCTTCCATCTTCTGACTCCCTGGGCTTCCAGTCTCAGTGTCCAGCTGCCTTGTAGGTACTTCCCTTGGCCTACAGGCAGCCTCTCTCAATGGTGAGTCAGCTTCCATCTTGATTCTGCTTTGATGCCCCCTCCCTGCCAGTCCTCAGGGTTCCTCCACTAACAGGTCCAGACACCTTCTGGCAGCCAGCCCTGGGGAGCCCAGCACGGTGCTGAGGGCATGGCTTTGAGTGCCAGGACGCCCGGCTGAAATTCAGGCTCTGTCACTTTCTGGCTATGAGGGCTTAGCCAATTTACTCTCATAGTAGTGCCTCAGTGGCCTTGTCTGTAACATGTGGTGGCTAATAGGACCAACCTGGTTGGGTTCCTGTGAGAATTAAATGTTTGATGGCAGTTCCTGGCACATGGTAGGCTCTGGAGGAACATTTGCTGCTGTTCATATGCTTGTTCTGGCTGTACATGCTGGTTCTGGCAACATATCGCTGCTGCTAGGCTCACACGCACTTCACATGTTATAGTCTATAAAATTCAGACTCACATTACAATGAGATGTACGTTATAATGAAGGGATGTTTTTCCCCCCTGGAAACTTTCTATTAATTCAAGAGCGCATCTTAAAATCAATGTCATTTTATAATTCAGGAAATAATATCTTGCCATTTAATGAAACCCTATTAAGCACCAGATTGTTGACATATCTTCTTAAATCTTAAAATATTCCTGCAAGGGAAGTTTTGTTATATCTACCTTGTATGTGGCAACAGGGATTTGTAGGCATCAGAGACTTTCTGGAGGCCAGAAAGTTAAGTGGCAGAGCTGAGGTCTGAAAGGTCTGTTGGATGTCTAGATCCTTGTTCTTTATATAAAGCTAATAAGCTGGAATACTTGCCTATGAGAAAAGAAAGTTAATGAGAAGTTGGACAAATTATCACTGAATTGATTAAAGAATAATATGGTGATGAGACTCATGCTGTGCTGTGTTAGGTTGCGCGTGTTGTGTTGTGATTATTTGTGAGAGAAACCAGCTCTGCTCAGAATGTGAATTCACCCATTTGCCTCTAATATCCGCTTGGTCAAAGCAGTATCTGGTGGACTATAGAATTAGTGTTTGTTCCTCAGACCACATCATTAAGAATTTACTCCCTTTATCATCTTTATTATATCAGCACACAATTCTGTCACAATAAATAATACTGTGCTTATTAGTTGTTGATTGCACATACACTTTCTCTAGTGAAACTGTAAGCCTCTTACAATCAGTGCTTTCTATGCCCATTGTGTTTTATGAAAGGCAGAGAAAACAAAAAGCAAAAAAAAAAAGTTTCTAATACTAAGCTTAAAAGACCTCCTAAGGTATTGACTAGTTATATAAGTAAACCTAATACATCCTACTATTCTGATGGGAGAGGGCACTCTTCTGTAATATACATGTGGAGATACATAAGGTCATCTGCAGACAACTCTCTGCTTCTGTTGAGTTATGCAAAGCTAGCAAAGCCTGTCCTGTGCATTGCCATTCCTCATTCCAAGCACTCATGGCAGACATCACTAATTGATCAGGTAGCTTTTACTGCTGTTGTCAGATACAACCTCTGATTGTTTTGCAACA